>NC_000010.11:25010000-25635000 GCF_000001405.40 Homo sapiens | reverse complement strand
TTATGAGCAAAGAAATCTGTGAGTGCATTTTTTCTTGTACTAACTGGTTTGTTACTCGCTTAGCTGTAGAGTTTGAATCTAAATAGAGTTAAAGTTATGGTTAGGATTCAGTTTAAGGCCAGGGACTCAGGGTCAGAATGAACTCTATTTTCTTTTTTAATATCAACTATTTAATCTTTTTTTTGTCTTTTTTTATTATACTTTAAGTTTTAGGGTACATGTACACAACGTGCAGGTTTGTTACATATGTATATGAACTCTATTTTCTAATGAGAAAATAGAATTGCAGAGAGATTAAGGGATGTTTCCCATGTCACCCAGTGTATTTGTCTTCTATACGTGCTGTAACAGATTATCGTGCACTGAATGGCTTCAAACAATACAAATGTATTACCCTGCAGTTCCCTAGGTCAGAGTCCAACATTGGTCTCACTAGCCTGGAACCAAAGTGTTGGCAGGGCTGTACTCCTGTCTGGAGCTCTGGCATGGAATTGTTTTCTTGCCTTCTCCAGCTTCTAGAGGAACCTGCATTCCTCAGCTCCTGGTCATCTTTGGAGCCAGCAACGGCAGGTGGAGTCCTTCTTACTTTGAGTCACTCCAACCTCCTCTTTAGCCTTCCTCTTACACTTTTCAGTGTATTTGGGATTATGCTGGCTCCACCTGGGTAATCTAGGCTACTCTCTCACTATATGATAGTCAGCTGATTGGAAACTTTAATTCTCCTTTGCCATGGAATCTAACTTATTCACAGACTTGGAGGAGGCGTACGTGGACATCTTTGGGGAAGGGGCTCATTACTCTGTCTACTCCACCCAACTGCTTTCTGAAGGGGTAAGGAACACACGAGTTTAAGCATTCACATTTTCAGATAAATAAATGAAAGCTGAGAGAGCTGAGAAAACTGTGATGGGGCGGGGGATTTGCAGACTGAGATTTCTGCAAATCTCAGAGGGGAGCACCGATGCTTAGAGAGGTCAGGACACTGTCTTTATACCATTCAGTTGTGTGTTTGGGGGTTTGGAGGTTGGGATTGGATATGTTATTGCTACTCTCCAGAAGAGTGAGAGGAGGAACAGAGATGGAACTTAGCTAAAGGCTGAGGATAATTGACTTAACCTCTCTGGGCTTCTGGTTCCTCCTCTGGGAAAGGGAGATATACATTTACCTATCTCAAGGGTTATTGAGAATTTAAGTGTGTTTAATGCACGTAAAGTGCTTAGTACAGCGCCTGACACACTAGTCAGTAACTATAAATGTTTGTCAGTTTTATTATGAGGTTAATGGAGAGGTAATGTGAGATGCCACATGTCAATTTTATAGTTCTGTGGTTTTTTTCTCTTGGGTCTAGACTCTCATATCCAAGCTTGTATGCCCTCCATTGTACTCAGCAGATTTCTAGAAGCTATTAAGAAGGTGGGGAGGAGGTCAGGCACAGTGGCTTATGCCTGTAACTCCAGCACTTAGGGAGGCCAAGAGGAGTGGATTGCTTGAGCCAAGGAGTTTGAGACCAGTCTGGGCAACATGGCAAAACCCCATGTCTACACCTAATACAAAAATTAACCGGGTGTGCTGGTGCATGCCTGTAGTCCCAACTACTTGGGAGGCTGAGGAGGGAGAATCCCTTGAGCTGGGGAGGTCAAGGCTGCAGTGAGCCGTGATTGCACAACTGCACTCCAGTCTGGGTGACAGAGAGACACCCTGTCTCAAAAATAAGGTGGGGAGGAAAAAGGATCCCTAGGGGTGTTAAATCTGACCTTGACTAACCACTGACATCTCTGCGAACAAAGCTCTTGGCCCAAAGGTTTATGATGCATTTTTTGTACTTTATTAATAAAAATGGCTACAATATCAGGGGAACTAGGACAAAATGGCTAAATACCCAACCTAACTCATAAAAGAAATTCTTTTAAGAATTATTTTATGCACAAATCATGGTTGAACTACAAGGAATTAAAATGAAACATTCTTGGGAATTGAGGTGTGTGTGTGCGCATGCGTGCGTGCACATGCTAAGATACTGAAATATGTCAAGCCATACAAGAATTCGCTTCTGTGGACATAATTCACTTATGCCAAGATACAAGGAGAAATTACTAACATTTAGAAGAGGAAAAGCCAGGTAATGGAGTGGCAGTGAGGAGACGGCAATGTCTTCTCCAGAAAAAAAAAATATGTAGGGAAAGATTAGCAGAGTCTTGAATGTGTCAGAAAGAGTCATCCTCTAGATAAAGGTTACAGGGATTATGTCAGAGAAAGGGAAGGAGGGCAGAGGCCCCGGGACAACACAGCAGTGGGAAGAGTTGGAAATCAAGGGAGCAGACAGGGTCTCCGGAGGATTCTCAAGCACTTTGATGCAAGAATTATTTCCTTTTCAGTGATACCCAAACAAGCATTGCTAATTCCTAGCTCTAAATAGTAAACCCAAAACTCACTGAGTTCTTTATAATTTTTATTTCTGTAACCTACTTTCAATATTTAGGTCATGGAGTTTTGTTTTTTCCAAATGAATATTATTTCTTTTTTGTACTTTGAAAATTACCATCCTCCCAGCAAGTCTGATACAGCTATCTGCATAAAATGGGGGGTCTGGATAAGGACTGTGCAGCTGGGATCTAAAGAGAAAAAGCTAATGCTGAATTTCTGTCATACCAAATAAGATTATGCAACACCAAAAATAAGTTGCGGCTGGGAGCAGTGGCTCACACCTGTAATCCCAGCACTTTGGGAGGCCGAGATGGGCAGATTACTTGAGGCCAGAAGTTTGAGACCAGCCTGGCCAATATGGCAAAACCTCGTCTCTACTAAAAATACAAAAATTTGCCAGGTGTGGTGGTGTGCGCCTGTAATACCAGCTCCTTGGGAGGCTGAGGCATGAGACTTGCTTGAACCCAGGAGGCAGACATTGCAGTGAGCCAAGATTGTACCACTGCACGCCAGCCTGGGTGATAGAATGAGATTCTATCTAAAAAAAGTCTATATCTTTTATATAAAAGATAAAAGTTGCATGCATGGCTTTATACAAAGGAAGAGGAGTTTCTAAATGGCTTTAGGCCTTGCAGACTTGGATAAGAGTTTATTTTTTTGGAGGTGGAGAAGATATTCTTTTCATGTAGAAGAGGGGGAAACTGCTCTTTCTAGCCTGTTAGAATTGTGGGAAAGAGATGGAGAACAAGGAGGTCAGATACAGGGGCTTTCATCCCTCTATCCATTCCAGCTTCTGTGCTTGACCATCTGGTGTGGAGGAGTGGCTTTAGAAAACTCAGAGAGGCATGAGGGAGACCAAGCATATTTAGGTTCATGGCGTAATTCTCCTGGCACGGGGAGCAGAGGAGGCTGCCAGCCATTGGGAGAAACTACATAGAGACAGTTCCAACAAGCCCGGGGTGATGGCATGAAGGTGGGAGCAGACCACAGATGGTTGATCCCTATGGCCTATATTTGGTATGCAAGAGAACCAGATGACTCTGCATGCCCTGGCTATGAGATGTGGAGGTGCTAAGAGCACCCCCGGACTGCAGAGCTCTGGGGTCAGGACCAAAAGGCTACAGAGCTAGGAATTTCTAAACAGGGGGAAAGTTCCTGGGAGTACAAGCTCTAGGGATGGCAGCAACACAGATCCCAAGAGAGGATCTCAGCAGCCGTCACCAGACCAGTGAGCAAACCAATCCCATCATTTGGAGCAGTGAATCCAAAGCCCCAGGATATACCAAATAGACCCAAGGACTCTGTTTCTTTCCACCACTATGAGAGCCCAAAACTCCTCCTACACCCCAAGCCAGAAGTGTAGGAGGGAAAGGAAAGGGTAGAATATGACATTATTTGCATAAATTTCATCATACCAAAGGTGATCCCAAAGAGAGTGAAAGGAGTGAATGTTTATAGACAGAAAGGAAACTGCTTAAATTAGAAGAAACAAAAATAGGCCAAATGCAGTGGCTCACCCCTGTAATCCTCACACTTTTGTTGGCCAAGGCAGGAGGATTGCTTGGGGACTCACCATGTTTCCCAGAATGGTCTCTAATTCCTGGGCTCTATTTAAAAAATTTTAAATTGAGGCAGGAGGATTGCTTGAGCCCAGGAGGTTGAGGCTGCAATGAGCTGTGATTGCACCACGGCACTCCTGCCTGGGTGACAGAGGGAGACCCTGCCTCAAAACAAAAAAACAAATAACTGGCATATCAAAGTTTTCCCTATCTCCCAGAGGGGTAGGAGTCTGGAAAGAAGATGAGGACAATATCAGAGAATTGGAAACTAGATTTTTTTCTGTGGGCCTAAGTATAGGGTAACTCTGCTTCAGTTTGTAAAGTTGTTAATTCTTAAAACTTGGCCTTCAAGCCCATTAAACAAACCAAACATTCTAAATGAAAAATGAAAAATGTAAAGTTATTAGGGATTGGAACTGGGTTTTTTAAATCTTATAAAGGACATTTTCTAGACAACTGCTTTAATTATTCCTTTAGAACTGTTAACAGTGGAGGGTGTCCAGGTTCTTGGCGTCTTGAACAAAGAATTGGACAAAATGCACAAAGCAAGCAAGGAAGGAATGAAGGGATTTATTGAAAATGGAAGTACACTCCCCACAGTGTGGGAGCAGGCTGAGCATAGGGGCTGAAAGGCCCCATTCCAAAATTTTGGGGAGTTTAAATACCCTCTAGAGGATCCCATTGGTTACTTGGGGTATACCCTATGTAAATGAGGAGGATGAAGTAAAGTTACAAAGTCATGGAGAGGATATTTCCTGTGATAGCTTAAGTGTGAATTAGCCTTGGGTTCCCTGCCTTCAGACCCTATTTTCCTGCCTCAGAACCCCTGGCCGTGGGATTTGACTTGGGAAAATACTAAAGCACCTTGTATCCGTCTTTTTATGAACTACATCTCTGCTGGACTTGTTTCATGCTTGCTGGATTGTAAATTCCTCAAGGGAAGTGAATACATTTTCTTTTAGTGAGTATGACACTTTTTATAGTGATCATAATGTAAATTTGGTGGTTAGAGTCCCATTTTCTTCACCAGGGAGACAACGGGCGGGTCTTAAAGCACAGCAAACTGTGCTGGGTATCTGATTATATGCACAGTTATTGTGCCATTGCATCATGACTTTCACGAGTTTGTTGAGGTTTCTGATTTCCTTTTTGTCTCTATACTTTAGGACCCCAGAGTACCCCGTGTATCGAGGCCACTTGGTGCCGCAGTCAGCGGAATGCACTTTGCTGACCCTATTTCTTCTAATCTCAGCTATGATTTGTGCAAGCCATAGTTTCAGTTGTTCCTATTAACTGTTTTTTCTTCCTCACTGCCTCTTATTTTTTCCTTTCATTGCTTCTTTAATGATACTTCTCAGTTTGTTGCTACTGGAACTAGACTTATCAACATCATCTGGTCACCTCAGGCCTTTTCTTTTTCACTGGGCCTTCTGTGCTTTCAGTGTTTTTAGTGTTTCCCAGCTGTTTTGACTGCTGGTCATTGTCAAGTCCTAATCCATTTCCAGATCTGGGGCTGTTTCTGAACTCAGACTGTTAGTGCTCCCACATGTGAAAAATACAGATATTATAATGCTGAAAAGAATCAAGAAGATGAAATAAAAGCATCTGTCAGATGAAGCTTAAAGGAGAACTTAAGAAAATCAAAGTGTGAGTTGCTAAATGGTACTAGACACTGAATAAATGGTACTAGACACTGAATAATGTACTTCGATTTAATATCCTAAAAACACTTTTAAAATGCAGTAACCATCTTTGACCTAGGGGATAAAACATATAGAAGCACAGAAACCTAGGCTTCAGAATTACTTACTTGCTGTTACTTTCCAGTGCACCATCTTCTGTACTCTCAGTTTCAAGAGAGGGTGGCCACGAGGGTACATTGGTTAAAGGGAGTCAGAAAATTTAATTCTGTCCCTCAAAGTGCAACAATCTGGGTTTCATAGTAACATAAACGTCATCATGAGTGGCAGATTTCTTCAGTTTGTAATTCTGCTCTTTCTGAAGTGCCCTTGTAAGATTAGAATGTTTTCTGTACCCGCAACCCATAATTAGGAGGTTTACGCAGAAAGATCTATGGTATCACTGATCCTCATAGAGCCTGAAACAGCTGGTACATTCCAAGAGTAGGTGCAAAATTTAAATTTAAGATGGACCGTATTATGCAGCCATAAAACAAAACAAGGCCATGTCCTTTGCAGCAACACAGATGGAGGTGGAGGCCATCATCCTCGGTGAACTAACC
The DNA here is from genome assembly GCF_000001405.40 of Homo sapiens. Classification (NCBI taxonomy): domain Eukaryota; kingdom Metazoa; phylum Chordata; class Mammalia; order Primates; family Hominidae; genus Homo; species Homo sapiens. Next base: position 25,628,775 of record NC_000010.11, on the reverse strand, counting down.
ACAGCAACAGGAAACCAAATACTGCATGTTCTTACTTATAAGTGGGAGCTAAATACTGGGAACACGTGGACACAAAGAAGGGAACAACAGACACAAGGCTACTTGAGGGTGGAGGGAGAAGGGGGGTAAGGATCAAAATACTACTTATTTAGTACTCTGCTTATTACCTGGGTGGCAAGGTAATCCATACACCAAACGTCCATGATGCTCAATTTACCTATATAACAAAATAAAATGGGCCAGACGTGGTGGCTCATGCCTGTAATCCCAGCACTTTAGGAGGCTGAGATAGATGGATCATTTTGAGCCTAGGAATTTGAGACCAGCCTGAGCAATGTGGCAAAACTTAATCTCTACAAAAAATACAACTATTAGCCAGGCATGGTGGAGGGTGCCTGTAGTCCCAGCTACTTGGGAGGCTGAGGTGGGAGGATCTCTTGAGTCCAGGAGGTTGTGGCTGCAGTGAGCTGTGATCACACCACTGCATTCCAGGCTGGGCGACAGAGAAAGACCCTGTCTCAAAATAAATATATATATACCTATGAAAAAATAAACTGCTCAGTTATCACCCTCAAGCAGCAGGTAGAATGAAATTATAATATAGACCCTGAAAGAAAGATTCTTCATGAAAAGGATGGTTTCCAATTCTATCAAAAGCCGTTGATTTCCTCAACAATTTTCTCCCCCTCACACACCAACAGGCCCAAAGTAAGGGCTAAAGTGATGGCGTTTAGGCTATAGTTTGGCCAATCTATTGACTAGACTTTCAGTATCAGTCAGCTTTTCCCGGGTTGTGCTGTGGTAACAAACAACTCTATATTCTTACTGGCGCACAAAGTCAAGTCTTATATTTTGCTCCTGTTACATGTTGGCTGTGGAACTGCTGTGCTTTTGCTGGGCTCTGCTTGGCTGTGCTCCATGTGCCTTTTTTATTCTGAAATCTAGGCCAAAGGAGAAGTCTCAATTTAGAACATATGCTGTTCTTGTGGCAGAGAGAGAACAACTAAGCCAGGACCACATGAAGATTCTGAATGCTCTGCTTGAATGTGTCCAAGCCTGAAACCCATGGGGATGGGAATATTCTCCCCAGGAGGGCCCACAAGTCATGTGCCCCTGGGTAAGAACGGCTGCATCTCCCTCTCACAGGGAAAGCTGCATATGAGCAGGAACAAGAATGCAGTCCACAACGTTCCAGCCTCTTGCTTTCTGCCTTTACTAAGAAAAATATATTCACCTCTCCTCCAAAGAAGATGTTGTAAGAGTTTTACTCAGGTACTGAATTAAGCTCAAAGCCCATCATCTCATGACAGTCATCTTATCAGGTCCAGATAAAGCTTTTCTTGATCTGGGGTTCTCTTAACTAAAAGGCAAATTATTGTTCCCTCTGCTCCCTATGTACCCAAGAAACAGGGTGGGGTGGAAAGAGGATGGCCACAGTAAGTATGGCTGTCCTGAAGAGGAAGGAATGTCAGGTAGGTTGGGGGAGTCATAAAATCTCACTGAGCAAATTTTTTTAATGGATTTAGGGGTATAAGCATATTATATGGATATATTACATTGTAGTAGTGTTCTGGACTTTCAGGGTGCCCCATCACCCAAACAGTATACGTTGTACCCAATAGGTCATATCTCATTCCTCACCCACTCCACCTCACCTTCCCACCTTTTAGAGTCTCCAGTGTCTATGAGTCCATCTTTATGTCCAGGTGTACCCACTGCTTAGCTCTCACTTATAAGTGAGAACATGGAGTTTTTTACTTTTTGTTCCTGAATCATTTCACTTAGGATAATAAACTCCAGTTCTATCCATGTTGCTGATAAAGACATGATTCCATTCTTTTATTTTTTATGGCTGAGTAGTAGTCTGTGGTGTACATATATGAACCACATTTTTACTCCAATCATTCCTTGATGGACACTTAGGTTGATTCTACGACTTTGCTATTATGAATAGTGCTGCAACAAACATATAAGTGCAGATGCCTTTTTGATAAAATGATTTATTTCCTTTGGGTAGATGCACAGTCAGGGGATTGCTAGATCAAAGGGAAGTTTTATTTCTAGTTCTTTGAGAAATCTCCATACTGTTTTCCAGAGAGGTTGTACTAATTTACATTCCTACTAAGAGTATAAACATTCCCATTGGGCAGATATTAAGAGCACCTTCCTATCCTGGGAGGAGATGTCTCTTGAATAGAAACTAGTTCATTTCCCACAATTAGCTCCCCAGTAAAATGTGTTTTGTTGTCTTTGTCTCCATTGTCTGGGCAGTACTTCCATTTCCATAATTTTCTTAGCCACATCTGAATATGACCTTGGAGAATATATGACTCCTCGGAGGTGGGGCAGGCTTCCTACTGCCTATCAAAAGCTAGGTGCCAAAAGGCAATTTTACATCTCAAGGCAACTTATTCTTTTTGTTAGAATAATCATATATTCTAATTTGTCCAGAAGCTCTAGTTTATGGCTACTGTCTCAGTATAATGAATAATGCCCCTTTATCTCTAAAAATGCTCCAGTTTGGTTGATGAATTATACAATTATTCTGCTTTTATCCTGTAATTTTTTGAAGAAAAAGTTAACTCTTTATTCATTTTATGTCTATCATCACCATGTGCCAATAAGCATACATGCAATTCTTTTTGAGATAAGCTTTTTTCTTTTCTTTTTGTTATTATTATTTAAGTTTCTTATTATACTGTAAGTTTTGGGGTACATGTGCAGAATGTGCAGGTTTGTTACATAGTTATACCCGTGCCATGGTGCTTTGCTGCACCCATCAACCCATCATCTACATCAGTTATTTCTCCTAATGCTATCCTTCCCCTAGCCCCCCAGCCCCCTGATAGGCCCGGGTGTGTGATGTTCCCCTCCCTGTGTCCATCTGTTCTCATTGTTCAACTCCCACTTATGAGTGAGAACATGCAGTGTTTGGTTTTCTGTTCTTGTGTTTGCTGAGAATAATAGTTTCCAGCTTTATCCATGTCCCTGCAAAGGACATGAACTCATCTTTTTTTATGGCTGCATAGCATTCCATGGTGTATATGTGCCACATTTTCTTTATCCAGTCTATCACTGATGGGCATTTGGGTTGGTTCCAAGTCTTTGTTATTGTGAACAGTGCCACAATAAACATGTGTGCATGTGTCTTTATAGTAGAATGATTTATAATCCTTTGGGTATATACCCAGGAATGAGATTGCTGGGTCAAATGGTATTTCTAGTTCTAGATCCTTGAGGAATCGCCATACTGTCTTCCACAATGGTTGAACTAATTTACACTCCCACCAACAGCATAAAAGCATTCCTATTTCCCCACATCCTCTCCAGCATCTGTTGAGTGAGAACATGTGGTATTTAGTTTTCTGTTCTTGTGTTAGTTTGCTGAGAATGATGGTTTCCAGCTTTATCCATGTCCCTGCACAGGACACAAACTTGTCTTTTTTATGGCTGCATAGTATTCCATGGTGTATATGTGCCACATTTTCTTTATCCAGTCTATCATTGATGGGCATTTGGGTTGGTTCCAAGTCTTTGCTATTGTGAACAGTGCCACAGTAAACATATGTGTGTATGTGTCTTTATATTAGAATGATTTATAATCCTTTGGGTATATACCCAGTAATGGGATTGCTGGGTCAAATGGTATTTCTACTACTAGATCCTTGAGGAATCACCAGACTGTCTTCCACAATCATTGAACTAATTTACACTCCCACCAACAGTGTAAAAAATATTCCTATTTCTCCACATCCTCTCCATCATCTGTTGTTTTCTGAGTTTTTAATGAATGCCATTCTAACTGGCTTGAGATGGTATCTCATTGTGGTTTCGATTTGCATTTATCTAATGAACAGTGATGATGAGCTTTTTTTTCATGTTTGTTGGCTGCATAAATGTCTTTTGAGAAGTGTCTGTTCATATCCTTCACCCACTTTTTGATGAGGTTGTTTGTTTTCTTGTAAGTTTAAGTTCTTTGTAGATTCTGGATATTAGCTCTTTGTTAGATGGATAAATTGCAAAAATTTTCTCCCATTTCATAGGTTGCCTGTTCACTCTGATGATAGTTTCTTTCGTTGTGCAGGAGCTCTTTAATTAGATCCCATTTGTCATTTTTGGGTTGTGTTGCCATTGCTTTTGGTGTTTTAGTCATCAAGTCTTTGCCCATGCCTATGTCCTGAATGGTATTGCTTAGGTTTTCTTCTAGGGTTTTTATAATTTTAGGTCTTATGTTTAAGTCTTTAATCCATTTTTAATTTTTGTATAAGGTGTAAGAAAGGGATCCAGTTTAAGTTTCTGCATATGGCTAGCCAGTTTTCCCAACACAATTTATTAAATAGGGAATCCTTTCCCCATTTCTTGTTTTTGTCAGTTTGTCAAAGATCAGATAGTTGTAGATGTGTGGTGTTATTTCTGAGGCCTCTGTTCTGTTCCATTGGTCCATCTATCTGTTTTGGTACCAGTACCATGCTATTTTGGTTACTGTGGGCTTGTAGTATAGTTTGAAGTCAGATAGTGTGATGCCTCCAGCTTTGTTCTTTTGGCTTAGTATTGTTTTGGTTATGTGGGCTCTTTTCTGGTTCCATATGAAATTTAGAGTAGTTTTTTCCCAATTCTAGGAAGAAAGTCATTGGTAGCTTGATGGGGAGAGCATTGAATCTATAAATTACTTTGGGCAGTACAGCCATTTTCACAATATTGATTCTTCCTATCCATAAGCATGGAATGTTTTTCCATTTGTTCGTGTCCTCTCTTATTTCCTTGAGCAGTGGTTTGTAGTTCTCCTTGAAGAATTCCTTCACATCCCCTGTAAGTTGGATTCATAGGTTTATTTTCTTAGAAGCAATTGTGAATGGGAGTTCACTCATGATTTGGCTCTCTGTTTGTCTTTTATTGATATATAGGAATGCTTGTGATTTTTTGCACATTGATTTTGTATCCTGAGACTTTGCTGAAGTTGCTTATCAGCTTAAGGAGATTTTGGGCTGAGACAATGGGGTTTGCTAAATATACAGTCATGTCATCTGCAAACAGAGACCATTTAACTTCCTCTCTTCCTATTTGAATACCCTTTATTTCCTTCTTTTGCCTGATTGCCCTGGCCAGAACTCCCAATGCTATGTTGAATAGGAGTGGTGAGAGAGGGCATCCTTGTCTTGTGCCGGTTTTCAAAGGGGATGTTTCCAGTTTTTGCCCAGTCAATATGATATTGGCTGTGGGTTTGTCATAAATAGCTCTTACTATTTTGAGATACGTTCCATCAATACCTAGTTTATTGAGAGTTTTTAGCATGAAGTGCTGTTGAATTTTGTCAAAGGCCTTTTCTGCATCTATTGAGATAATTATATGGTTTTTGACATTGGTTTCTGTTTATGTGATGGGTTACATTTATTGATTTGCATATGTTGAACCAGCCTTGCATCCCAGGGATGAAGCCAACTTGATCATGGTGGATAAGCTTTTTGATGTGCTGCTGCCTTTGGTTTGCTAGTATTTTATTGAGGATTTTTGTGTCGATGTTCGTCAGGGATATTGGCCCGAAATTTTCTTTTTTTGTTGTGTCTCTGCCAGGTTTTGGTATCAGGATGATGCTGGCCTCATAAAATGAGTTAGGGAGAATTCCCTCTTTTTCTATTGTTTGGAAGAGTTTCAGAAAGAATGGTACCAGCTCCTCTTTGTACCTCTGGTAGAATTCAGGTGTGAATCCATCTGGTCCTGGACTTTTTTTGGTTGGTAGGCTATTACTGCCTCAATTTCAGAACTTGTTATTGGTCTATTCAGGGATTCGACTTCTTTCTGGTTTGGTCTTGGGAGGGTGTATATGTCCAGGAATTTATCCATTTTGTCTAGATTTTCTAGTTTATTTGCATACAGTTGTTTATAGTATTCTCTGATAGTGTGTATTTCTGTGGGATCAGTGGTGCTATCCCCTTTATCATTTTTTATTGCATCTATTTGATTCTTCTCTCTTTTCTTTATTAGTCTGGCTAGGAGTCTATTTTGTTGATCTTTTCAAAAAAAAAAAAAACAACTCCTGGATTGATTTTTTTTTTTTTTCTTTGAAAGGTTTTTTTGTGTCTCTTTCTCCTTCAGTTCTGCTCTGATCTTAGTTATTTCTTGTCTTCTGCTAGTCTTTGAATGTGTTTGCTCTTGCTTCTCTAATTAAAGAATTGTGATGTTAGGGTGTCGATTTGAGATCTTTCTTGCTTTCTCTTGTGGGCATTTAGTGCTAAAAATTTCCCTCTAAACACTGCTTTAAATGTGTCCCAGAGAGTCTGGTATGTCATGTCTTTGTTCTCATTGGTTTCAAAGAACATCTTTATTTCTGCCTTAATTTTGTTATTTACCCACTAGTCATTCAGGAGCAGGTTGTTCAGTTTCCACGTAGTGGAGCGGTTTTGAGTGAGTTTCTTAATCCTGAGTTCTAATTTGATTGCTCTGTGGTCTGAGAGACTGTTTGTTATGATATCCATTCTTTTGCATTTGATGGGGAGTGTTTTACTTCCAATTATGTGGTCAGTTTTAGAATAAGTACGATGTGCTGAGAAGAATGTATATTCTGTTTATTTATTTGGGGTGGAGAGTTCTGTAGATGTCTATTAGGTCTGCTTGGTCCAGAGCTAAGTTCAAGTCCTGAATATAATTGTTAATTTTCTGTCTCATTGATCTAATATTGACAGTGGAGTATTAAACTCTCCCACTATTATTGTGTGGGAGTCTAAGACTCCTTGTAGGTCTCTAAGAACTTGCTTTATGAATCTGGGTGCTCCTGTATTGGGTGCATATATATTTAGGATAGTTAGCTCTTCTTGTTGCATTGATCCCTTTACCATTATGTAATGGCCTTCTTTGTCTCTTTTGATCTTCATTGGTTTAAAGTCTGTTTTATCAGAGACTAGGATTGCAACCCCTGCCTTTTTTTGTTTTCCCTTTGCTTGGTAAATATTCCTCCATCCCTTTATTTTGAGCCTTTATGTGTCTTTGCATGTGAGATTGGTCTCCTGAATACAGCACACTGATGGGTCTTGACTCTTTATCTAATTTGCCAGTCTGTGTCTTTTAATTGGGACATTTATCCTGTTTATACTTAAGGTGAATATTTTTATGTGTGAATTTGATCCTGTCATTATGATGCTAGCAGGTTATTTTGCCCATTAGTTGATGCAGTTTCTTCATAGTGTCAATGGTCTTTACAATGTGGTTTTTTTTTTTTGTTTTTGTTTTTGTTTTTTTTTTTTGCAGTGGCTGGTACTGGTTTTTCTTTTCCATGTTTAGTGATTCTTTCAGGAGCTCTTGTAAGGCAGGCCTGGTGGTTACAAAATCTCTCAGCATTTGCTTGTCTGTAAAGGGTTTTATTTCTCCTTCGCTTATGAAGCTTAGTTTGGCTGGATATGAAATTCTGGGTTAAATTCTTTAAGAATGTTGAATATTGGCCCCACTCTCTTCTGGCTTCTAGGGTTTCTGCCAAGAGATCCGCTGTTAGTCTGATGGGCTTCCCTTTGTGGGTAACCCGACCTTTCTCTCTGGCTGCCCTTACTATATTTTCCTTCATTTCAACCTTGGTGAATCTGATGATTATGTGTCTTGGGATTGCTCTTCTCAAGGAGTATCTTTGTGGCGGTCTCTGCATTTCCTGAATTTGAATGTTGGCCTTTCTTGCTAGGTTGGAGATGTTCTCCTGGACAATATCCTGAAGAGTGTTTTCCAACTTGGTTCCATTCTCCCCGTCACTTTCTTGTACACCAATCAAACGTAGATTTAGTCTTTTCACATAGCCCCATATTTCTTGGAGGCTTTGTTCCTTTCTTTTCATTCTTTTTTCTCTAATCTTGTCTTCTTGCTTTATTTCACTAAGTTCATCTTCAATCTCTGATATCCTTTCTTCTGCTTGATTGATTAGGCTATTGATACTTGTGTATGCTTTGTGAAGTTCTCATTCTGTGTTTTTCAGCTCCATCAGGTCATTTTTGTTCTTCTCTAAACTGATTATTCTAGTTAGCAATTTGTCTAGCCTTGTTTTCAAGGTTCTTAGCTTCCTTGCATTGGGTTACAACATGCTCCTTTAGCTCAGAGGAGTTTGTTATTACCCACCTTCTGAAGCCTACTTCGTCAATTCGTCAAACTTACTCTCCATCCAGTTTTGTTCCCTTGCTGGTGAGGAGTTGTGATGCTTTGGAGAAGAGGCATTCTGGTTTTTGGAATTATCAGCCTTTTTGTGCTGGTTTCTCCCCACCTTTGTGGGTTTATCTACCTTTGGTCTTTGATGCTGCTGACCTTTGCATGGGGTCTCTGAGTGGACGTCCTTTTTGTTGATGTTGATGCTATTCCTTTCTGTTTGTTAGTTTTCCTTCTAACAGTCAGGCCCCTCTGCTGCAGGTCTGCTGGAGATCCACTCCAGACCCTCTTTGCCTGTGTATCACCAGCGGAGGCTGCAGAACAGCAAAGATTGCTTGCCTGTTCCTTCCTCTGGAAGCTTCGTCCCAGAGGGGCACCTGCCACATGCCAGTCAGACCTCTCCTGTATGAGGTGTCTGTCAGACCCTACTGGGAGGTGACTCCCAGTCAGGATACACGGGGGGTCAGGGACCCACTTGAGGAAGCAGTCTGACCCATATCAGAGCTTGAACGCTGTGCTGGGAGATCCACTGCTCTCTTCAAAGCTGTCAGGCAGGGATGTTTAAGTCTGCTGAAGCTGTGCCCACAGCCACCCCTTTCCCCAGGTGCTCTGTCCCACGGAGATGGGGGTTTTATCTATAAGTCCCTGACTGGGGCTGCTGCCTTTTTTTCAGAGATGCCCTGCTCAGAGGCGAGGAACCTAGAGAGGCAGTCTGGCCGCAGTGGCCTTGCTGAGCTGTGGTGGGCTCCACCCAGTTTGAACTTCCTGGAGGCTTTGTTCACACTGTGAAGGTAAAACCGCCTACTCAAACCTCAGCAATGGAGGATGCCTCTTCCCCCCACCAAGCTCCAGCATCCCAGGCTGACCTCAGACTGCTGTGCTGGCAGCGAAAATTTCAAGCCAGTGGATCTTAGCTTGCTGGGCTCTGTGGCGGTGGGACCTCCTGAGCCAGACCACTTGGCTTCCTGGCTTCAGCCTCCTTTCCAGGGGAGTGAATGGTTCTGTTTCACTGGCATTCCAGGTGCCACTAGGGTATGGGGGGTGGGGGACAAAAAAAACACAAACAACAAAAACTCCTGTAGCTAGCTTGGTGTCTGCCCAAACAGTTGCCCAGTTTTGTGCTTGAAACCCAGGGCCCTGATGATGTAGGCACTGGAGGGAATCTGCTCTGTGGCTTGTGAAGACCATGGGAAAACTGCAGTATCTGGGCCGGAGTTGCACCATTCCTCACAGCACAGTCCCTCACAGCTGCTCTTGGCTAGGGAAGGGAAATCCCCCAACCCCTTGTGCTTTCCGGGTGAGGCGATGTCCCACCCTGCGTCGGCTCACCCTCCATGGGCTGCACCCACTGTCAAACCAGTCCCAATGAGATGAACTGGGTACCTCAGTTGGAAATGCAGAAATCGCCCACCTTCTGTGTTGATCTCACTGGGAGCTGCAGACCAGAGCTGTTCCTATTGGGCCATCTCGCCAGCAAAATGAGATAGGTTTTTTTCTCTATAGTAATTGACTGGTACATTGATCTTATCAGGCTTCTGTGAGAGAGACATGCCCTTATTTACTTTTTCATGAACCATTTTGAAAGGATTTACTGGGGCCAACTCCAACTCAGTTTAGTCTTAGATCTTTACCCAAAGCTGAGGCTGAATTGGTTTTTTGGCTCAAAAGTTTTTAGGTTTTAACTTTCACCAGTTTCAGTTGAGAAGTCATTACACATCCCAGCCCTGCAATTCTTAGAATTTCTGGATAGCCTATATCCCTTTTAACTCTGCTTACAAAGCAGCCAATTCTTTTCTGAGCTTATCTCTTTTTTGGTAGTAAAACCGCCTTTGCAAAAATTATGACAGGGAGAGAAATCTAACATAATTGGCTTCATCTTGTCTCTAACCTCACAAGCCAACAGCCCTTGCCCATTCCTGGGCATAGGCCAAGCTAACTATGGGAAGAATTTAGTGTCTAGTTTAACCTTTAAGCAAAGATAGTAATAGCCCCTTCCTCAAACTACCCCTCCTTGTTTGGGGACTGAAACTACCTTTGTAGAAACCAATGAAGGGCCACAAGATTAGAATTATGAGAGAAGCCTGCATTGTGCTAAGACCTATGCATAGTTAAATGATAAATAGTCATTATCTACTAACTTTCTTCCTGCTCAGAAGTCATACAGCCAATGGTCACAAGACTTGAAACTTCCCCAACATCACTATTGTAAAATCTAAGACTGGCGTTTGAGATATTTTTCAGATTTTGCATTCTGGTAGAACAACTGATGCCATTTGGACTGGTGACCCCAACCCAGAAAATTAGCCCACAAAGACAGTTTTCAACACCCTTGTGATTTCATCCCCAACCCAGCCAATCAGCATTTCTCATTTCTTAGTCCCTCTGTCTGAAAAACAATCCTTAGAAACCCTAGCCTCCAAATTCTCAGAGAGGTGGATTTGAGAACTGTCCCCTGTCCTTCTCCTTAGCTGCCTTGTGATAATTAGAGTCTCTGCTGCAATAAGCCTGCTGTCTCAGTGCATTAGCTTTATCTGTGCAGTGAGCAAGAAAAACTCATTGGGCAATTATAGTAGTATTTAACCTAGTCAAATTCAGCCAATGACTTACTAACTCATAATTGCAACATTATGTTTACACAGTTTTTGTCTAAAGTCACAAGTTTATCAGGGAGTTTATTGCAAGCAACTGTTTTACTAAATATTTTGCCAGTAAATATGCCAAACTCTAGATATATTTTTCTTGACACCCACTGAGGCAAGGTATTGAGAGCCAAGTTCCAAAAGAAAGGATTTGTGGCTGAAGGCCCAGTAAATACTGTATATATGTACATGCAGTAGTTATGATTAAATTCTATTTCAGGAGACAAAGTAAAGGGAATGGCTTAAAAAAATAAAAGTTTATTTTTTCTCTCATGGATTCAAAATCTCCAGGATAGTTCAGGGGTGGCACAATAATAAAGTATCAAGGATTCTTCTATTTTGTTTCCTGTCATATTCAATATGCAGATTTTGCCTCAGGTTCCAAGATGGCTATTAGACATCCAGTTGTGAGGAACAAAAAAAGGCAGAATAAGAGGCATGTTTCCTCACATTTCTGGATACCTCTTGGAAGTCACATGTCTCATTTCTACTTACATCTTATTGACCAGTCATTTACTGGCCAAAATGTATCAATTGACTTAGTCATTGGCCATACCTATCAGAAAGAGAGCCTGTGAAATTTAGAGTTTATTCCAGGGCACTCTGTGTCCAGCTAAAAACCCAGGATTAAATTACCAAGAAGTTAAAAATAATAATGAGCATAACCACCAGTCCTTGCCAATGTAGTCAGATGGCAAAATAGGAAATAGAATTTAAAACCTCAAATCATTCAAAATTAAGAGGCCTTTGTTAATTTTTCATTTTATGGTTTCTCCGTGTTGATGGAGACTATATTCAAGGCTGAAATTAGAACTTTGTGTTACCAAAATTGCCTCAGCTGCTTGCAACTAGGAATGCAGGACTGTTCCTCTGGCAGAAGGCAGCAGAGCTCACATCATATTTGGTAACATCACACCACTGTCTGAGATAGACTGAATGCTTACTGGCCTCCTGGACTATGGTGCACAGTACATGGGCTCAAGTTTGGTCCATTCATATTTTTGTTAACATTAACTTTTTGCCTAGTATTTGGCCTGCCCTCCTTCCATTCCTGCCATTAGCTATACTTCCACTGTCTGCTATGCTATCTTTAGAGACCCATTTCATTTAAGAAAAAGGGAAAGCTACCTAGACATAAACCCTGCCCCTCCACAACTGCATACTGGAAGGCTCCACTGGGACCAACCTCAGATAGCTCAGAGTCTCTTTAAAATTCATGACAGAAGGCCAGGCATGATGGCTCATGCCTATAATCCCAGCACTTTGGGAGGCTGAGGCAGGCAGATCACTTGAGGTCAGGAGTTCAAGACCAGCCTGGCCAACATGGTGAAACCCCATCTCCACTAAAAATACAAAATTAGCTAGGTGTGGTGGTGGGCACCTGTAATCCTAGCTACTCGAGAGGCTGAGGGAGGAGAATTACTTGAATCTGGGAGGTGGAAGTTGCAGTGAGCCAAGATCTCACAACTGTACTCCAGCCTGGGTAACATAATTATACTCTATCTCCACAAAATAAGTAAACAAAATTCGTGCCAGAAGAGGGGTGGAGAAAGGTGGTAGAGTAGAAGGCCGTACCAATCATTCCTCTGGCAGGAACATCAAATTCAACAACTATCTAGATACAAAACACCACCTTCATAAGAATCAAAAATTGGTGAGCACTTACAATACCTGGTTTTAAATTCACATCACTGAAAAAAGCACTGAAGAGTGTAGGAACGACAGATTTGTCTTGAATTGAATTGCTGATGTCATTCCTCCCCCATCCCCTCACAGTAGCCATGTGGTGAATAGAAATCTGTGTTTGGGAGAGGGAGTGCAACAGTTGTGACACTTTGTATTGACCTCAGTGCTGCCTTAACACAGCAGAAAGCAAAACCAGGCTGAACTCAGCTGACACCCGCCCATAAAGGGAGCATTCAAACCAGCCCTAGCCGGAGAGAAGTCGCCTATCCCCGTGGTCAGAACTTGAGTTCTGGCAAGCCTTGCCATCACAGGCTGATGTGCTCTGGAGCTCTAAATAAACTTGAAAGGCAGCCTAGGCCATAAGGACCACAAGTCCAAATACTGAGCTGGGCTTGGAGATAGTGGAATTTGGGTGTACACAGACTACTGAGACACCAGGTGGGGCATGCTTATACCACCCCTCCCCCAACCCCAGGCAACACATCTTGTGCCTCCAAAGAAGACCCTTTCCTTCCTCCTGAGGAGAGGGAAGAGTAAAGAAGACTTTGGTCTTGCATCTTGATTATCATCACAACCACAATAGGATAGGGCACAGGGCAAAGTCATGAGGCCCCCATTCCCGCCTCTAGCTCCCAGACAATATTTCTGGACACACTCTGGGCCAGAACGGAGCCCGCTGCCTTTAAGACAAGGACACAGTACTGGCAGGATCCATCATCTGCCAACTGAAGAGTCCTTGAGCCCTGAATAGCAAGCAGTAATACTCAGGTAGTATACCATGGGCCTTGGGGTGAGACTCTGAGATGTGCAGGCTTCAAATGAGACCTAGCAAATTCTCAGTTGGGGTGACTACAATGAGAGACTCCATCTGCTTGAGAAAAGCAGAGGGAGAAGTAAAGACTTTGTCTTGCACCTTAGGTGCCACTTCGGGCACAGTGGGTAGAGTGCTAAACAGGCTCTTGAGGTCCCTGATTCCAGACCTTGGCTCACGGACAGCATTTCTGGACCTGTGTTAAGACAGAGGAGAGCCCATTGCCTTGAAAGATGAATCCCAGACCTAGCAGTATTCACCAGAAGCTGACTGAAGAGCCCTAAGACCTTAAGGGAACATTGGCAGGAGCCTGATAGTATTCCCCAGTGGGCCTGTAGTGGTGGTGACCATGAGGTGAGGCTCCTCTGCCTATGGAAAGGGGAGAGTGAGAAGAACCATGTCTTGTCATTTGAGGGCAAGCTTAGAGAGAGACTGAGACTTCATTTGTTTGAGAGAAAGTAAGGGAAGAGAACAAGCCTCATAAGGGCAGATCTTAAGACTTATTGGCCTTAAAGAGGAGGTAGAGAAAGAAATAGGGGCAGAAAGTTTATTCAAAGGAATAACAAAAGAGAACTTCCTGAACCCTGGTAATCCAGATAATTCTTTTGGATCTTATCCCAGACTACGAGGGTGGTACCACTATGAGTCTGCAAGAAGCACAGCATTACTAGGCTTGGGGTGGCCCCTAATGGAGATATGACTTAGATGACGACACCCAAGTCCTTTCAAATACCTAGAAAGCCTTCCCAAGAGGGATGGGTACAAACAAGCCCAGACTGGTTAGACTACTATAAATTCCCAACTCTTCAATGCCTAGACACTGAAGAACATCAACAAGCATCAAGACCATTCAGGAAAATATCACCAAATGAACTAAATAAGGCACCAGAGACAAATCCTAGAGAAACAAAAATATGTCACCTTTCAGACACAGAATTCAAAATATCTGTTTTGTGGATATGCAAAGAAATTCAAAATAACACAGAAAAAGAATTCAGACAAATAAATGTAACAAATGGATTGAAATAATTAAAAAGAATCAGGCAGAAATTCTACAGTTGAAAAATGCAAGTGACATACTGAGGAATTCATTAGAGGATCTTAATAGCACAACTGATCAAGCAGAAGACAGAATTATTGATCTTGAGGACAGGTTGTTTGAAAATACACAGAGGAGACAAAAGAAGAAAGAGTAAAAAACAATGAGGCACACCTACAAGATCTAGAAAATAGCCTCCAAAGGGCAAATCTAAGAGTTATTATTGGCCTTAAAGAGGAGGTAAAGAAAAAGATGGTGTAGCAAGTTTATTCAAAGGGATAATATCACAGAACTTCTCGAACTTAAAGATATTAATATCCAAGTACAAGGAGGTTATAGAACACCAAGCACATTTAACTCAAAGAAGACTACTTCAAGGCATTTAATAATCAAGCTCCCAAAGGTCAAGGATAAAAGATCCTAAAAGCAGCAAGGGAAAAGAAACAACATACGATGGTGATCCAACATGTCTGGCAGCAGACTTTTCAATGGAAACCTTACAGGACAGGAGAGAGTGACATAACATACTTAAAGTGCTGAAGGAAAAAAAAAAACCTTCTACCCTAGAATTGTACATCTGATAAAAATATTCTTCAAACGTGAAGGACAAATTAAGACTTTTTCAGACAAAAGCTGAGGGATTTCGTCAACACCAGACCTGTCCTACGAGAAATGCTACAGGATGTACTTCAATCACAAAGGATGTCAATGAGCTATAAGACATCATTTAAAGATACAAAACTCACTAGCAATACACAAAAACATAGAATATTATAAATATTGTAACTGTGGTGTATAAACTACTCAAGTAGACTAAAAGATTAACCAATCAAAAATAATAACTTTCAAGACATACACAATACAATAAGATATAAACAGAAACAAGAAGTTAAAGGGTAGGGAAACAAAGTTAAACTAGAGTTTTTATTAGTTTTCCTTTTTGCTTATTAGTTTGTTTATGCGAGCAGTGTTAAATTGTCATCAGCCTAAAATAATGGGTTATAAGATAGTAGTCACAAGCCTCATGGTAACCTCAACCAAAAAAATACAACAGATACACAAAAAATAAAAAGCAAGAAACTAAATTACATCAACAAAGAAAGTCACTTTCACTAAAAGGAAGACAGGAAGGAAAGAGAGAAGACCACAAAACAACCAGAAAACATACAACAAAATGGCAGGAGTAATTCCTTACTTATCAATAATAACACTGAATGTAAATGGACTAAATTCTCTAATCAGAAGACATGGAGTGGCTGAATGGATTAAAACACAAGATCCAATGATCTCTTGCCTACAAGAAACACACTTTACCTATAAAGGCACACATAGACTAAAAACGGAGGAATGAAAAAAATTTCATGTCAGTCAAAACCAAAAAGCAGGAGTAGCCATACTTATATCAGAAAAAGTAGATTTCAAGACCAAAACTGTAAGAAGAGACAAAAATGTCATTACATAATAGTAAAGGGGTCAATTCAGCAAGAGAATATATCAGTTGTAAATATATATACACCCAACACTGGAGCACCAGATATATAAACCAAATATTAGAGTTAAAGAAAGAGACTGCAATACAATAATAGGTGGAGACTTCAACACCCCATCTTTAGCATTTAACAGATCATTGAGACAGAAAATTAACAAAGGAACACTGGACTTAATGTACACTATAGACCAAATGGATCTACATGTACAGAATACTTAATATTTACAGAATATTTACAAAATATTTTATCCAACAGCTGCAAAATATACATTCTTTTCCTCAGCACATGGATCAATCTCAAGGATAGACCATATGTTAGGTCACATAACAAGTCTTAAAGCATTCATAAAAAAACCTAAAATAATATCAAGCATCTTCTCTGACCACAATGGTATAAAAACTGGAAATCAATCAGGAATTCTGGAGACTGTGCAAGCACATGGAAATTAAACAATATGCTCCTGAATGACCAGTGGGTAAATGAGAAATTAAGAAGGAAATTGAAAAATTCTTGAAATAATGATAATGGAAACACAACATACCAAAACTCACGGGATACAGCAAAAGTTGTACTAATAGGAAAGTTTTTAAGCTATAGCACCTACATCCAAAAAGAAGAAAAACTTTAATCTAATGGTGCACCTTGAATAAATAGAAAAGAGCAAACCAAACCCAAAACTAGTAGAAGAAAAGAAATAAAGATCAGAGCAGAGACAAACGAAATTAAAATGAATAAAAAAATACAAAAGATCAAAACAAAAAGTTGGTTTTTTGAAAAGATAGACATAATTGACATGCTTTTAGCCAAGCTAAGAAAAAGAGAGAAGATCCAAATAAAATTGGAGATGATAAAGGAGACATTACTACTGATACTGCAGAAATTCAAAGAATCATTAATGGCTACTATGAACAACTATATGCCAATAAATTGGGACATTCAGAAGAAATGAATGAGTTCCTAAACACATACAACCTGCCAAAATTGAACTAGGAAGAAATCGAAAACCTGAATAGACCAATAAGAAGTAATGAGATCAAAGCCATAATAAAAAGTCCTCCAGCAAAGAAAAGCCCAGAACCCAATGGCTGCACTGCTGAATTCTACCAAATATCTAAAGAATAACTCATACCAATTCTACTCATACTATTCTGAGAAATAGAGGATGAAGGAATACTTCCAAACTCATTCTACAAGGTCAGTATTACTGTGATACCAAAACCAAAGACACATCAAAAAATAAAAACTACAAGCCAATATCACTGGTGAATATTGATAGAAAAAGCCTTACCTAAACACTAGCAAACAGAATTCGACAACATATTAAAAAGATCATTCATCATGACTAAATGGGATTTATCTCAGGGATGCAAGGATGATTCAACATATGCAAATCAATTAATGTGATACATCATATCAATGGAATGAGGGACAAAAACCATATATGATCATTTCAATTGATGCTGAAAAAGCATTTGATAAAATTCTTTCATGATAAAAACCTTAACAATCCTGGATATAGAAGGAATATACCCCAAGATAATCAAAGCCATATATGACAGACCTATAGCTAGTATTATACTAAATGGAGAAAAACTGAAATCTGAAATCCTTTCCCCTAATATCTGGAACATGACAAGGATGCCCACTTTCATCACTGTTATTCAACGTAACACTGGAAGTCCTAGCTAGAGCAATCAGACAAGAGGAAAAAAGGGCACTTAAATTGGAAATAAATAAATTATTCTTGTTTATGGATAATATATTTGGAAAAACCTAAAGACTACCAAAAAAGTGTTAGAACTGATAAACAAATTGCATAAAGTTTCAAGATACAAAATCAACATAAAAAAATCAGTAGTTTTTCTATATGCCAACAGTGAATAATCTGAAAAAGAAATGAAGAAAGTGGTCCCATTTAGAATAGCTACAAATAAAATACATGGAATTAAATTAACCAAAGAAGTGAAAGACCTCTACAAGGAAAACTATAAAACACTGATGAAAGAAACTGAAGAGGAAACAAAAAAAAAGGAAAGATATTCCTTGTGCATGGATTAGAAGAATCAACATTGTTAAAATATCCATACTATCCAAAGCAATCTACAGATTCAGTGCAATCTCTATCAAAATACCAAGATAATCTTCATATAAATAAAAGAAATAGTCCTAAAGCTATGTGCCAACCACAAAAGACTCAGAATAGCCAGAGTTATCTTAAGAAAAAAGAACAAAACTGGAGGGAATCACATTACCTGATTTCAAATTATACTCTAGAGCTATAGTAACCAAAATGGCATGGTACCAGCATAAATAGAGAAGTATAGACCAGTGGAATACAATAGAGAACCCGGAAATAAATCCATACATATACAGTGATCTGATTTTTGACAAAGGTGCCAAGAACATTACACTGGGGAAAGGACAATCTAATGTCTTCAAGAAATAGCACTGGGAAAACCAGATATCCATATGCGGAAAAATGAAATTAGATCCCTATCTCTCACCATATATAAAAGTCAAATAAAATTTGATTAAAGACTTAAATCTAAGACCTAAAACTATAACACTACTGCAAGAAAACACTGGGGGAAATTCAGGATATTGGAGTGGGCAAAATATTCCTTGAGTAATACCCCACAGTGACAGACATCCAAAGCAAAAATGGACAAATGAGATCACATCAATTTAAAAAATTTTTGCACAACAAAGAAAACAATCAACAAAGTGAAGACACAACTCACAGAATGGAAGAAAATATTTGCAAACTACCCACTTGACAAGGGATTAATCACTAGAACATATAGGAAGCTCAAACAACTCTATAGGAAAAAAATCTAATATTACTATTAAAAATGGACAAAATATCTGAATATACATTTCTCAAAAGAAGACATACACAGGCAAACAGGTATATGAAATTGTGTTCAACATTATTGATCATCAGAGAAATGCAAGTCAAAACGACAATGAAATATCATCTCACTTCAGTTAAAATGACTTATATCCAAAAGACAGGTAATAACAAATGCTGGTGAGAATGTAGAGAAAAGGAAACCCTTGTAAACTATTGGTGGAAATGTAAATTAGTACAAACACTATGGAGAACAGTTTGGAGGTGCCTCAAAAAACTAAAAATAGAACTACCATATGATCCAGCAATCACACTGCTAAATATATACATAAAAGAAAGGAAATCTGTATGTTGAAGAGATACATGCACTCCCATGTTTATTGCTGTTCACAGTAGCCAAAACTTTGAAACAACCTACACATCCATCAACGATGAATGGATAAAGAAATTGTGATACATATCAACAATGAAGTATTATTCAGCCATTAAAAATAATAAAATCCTGTCATTTGCAACAACATGGATGGAGCTGGAGGTCATTATGTTAGGTGAAATAAGCCAGGCACAGAAAGAGAAACTTTGCATGTCCCCACTTATTTGTGCGAGCTAAAAGTTAAAACCATTGAACTCATGAAGATAGAGAGTAAATGAATGGATGCCAGAGGCTGGGAAGGGTAGTGGGTGGCAGGGGGGATGGGGAGGGGAGTGGGGGGATGGTTAATGGGTACAAGAAATAATTAGAATTATTAAGACCTATTTCCTAGCACAAAAGGGTGACCATAGTAAAGAAAAAAAATGTACATTTTAAAATAACTAAAAGAGCATGATTGCATTCTTTGTAACACAAAGAATAAATGCTTGAGGTGATGGATACTCCATATACTTTGATGTTTTTATTATTGCATGCCTGTATCAAAATATCTCGTGTAAACCATAAATACATACACCTACTATATACCCACAAAAAGAAAAACTAAAACACTTAAAAAAATAAAAATCTAGATCCTTGAGAAATCACCACACTGTCTTCTACAATCGTTGAACTAATTTACACTCCCACTAACAATGTAAAAGTGTTCCTCTTTCTCCACATCCTCTCCAGCATCTGTTTCCTGACTTTTTAATGATTTTCATTCTAACTGGCATGAGAATGGTATCTCATGGTGGTTTTGATTTACATTTCTCTGATGACCAGTGATGATGATCTTTTTTTCATGTGTGTTGGCCACATAAATGTCTTCTTTTGAAAAGCGTCTGTTCATATCCTTCATCCACTTTTTGATGGGGTTGTTTTTCCTTGTAAATTTGTTTAAGTTCCTTGTATATTCTGGATATTAGCCCTTTGTCAGATGAATAGATTGCAAAAATTTTCTCACATTCTGTAGGTTGCCTGTTCAGTCTGATGATAGTTTCTTTTGCTATGCAGAAACTCTTTTGTTTAATTAGATCCCATTTGTCAATTTTGGCTTTTGTTGCAATTGCTTTTGGTGTTTTAGTCATAAAGCCTTTGCCCATGCCTATGTCCTGAATGGTATTGCCTAGGTTTTCTTCTAGGGTTTTATGGTTTTACGGGGAGGGGAATATCACACACCCGGGCCTGTCATGGGGTGAGGGGCAAGGGAAGGGATAGCATTAGGAGAAATACCTAATGTAGATAACGGGTTGATGGGTGCAGCAAACCATCATGGCACATGTATACCTATGTAACAAACCTGCACGTTCTGCACATGTATCCCAGAACCTAAAGTGTAATAAAAATAAATATATAAATAAAAATAAATAAAATTCAGGCCCATGCTATGGCTGCTGCTCAGTGTGTTCTTGTCCCAGGCCAAATAGTCCAGCAGCTTGAGTTTCATGAATTTGTATTGGAAACTAAAAAGGAATTTCAAAATAATAAAAATTTCATTCTAAATTTAACCTCCTTGTTAAATTTGCTGCCTGAAATAGTATTTTCTTATCTTTATGGAGAACTAAACTCATTGCTTACATAATGCAGGCTTTTGGGGGAGGCATGTTTGCTCTGTTCCTAGTATTTTACCTATTCTTTGTGATCAAAGAATAACAATAATTTCTTAAGTTAAATACAGCTTTATGAAACAGCAGGGAATAACCGCTGTAGAAGCAGAATGCAAGGGGATCATGTTGTATGTGTGTGATTTTTGGACTTGGGGAAAGAGTTCTCCTTTAATGTATAGATAAGAAATGAAATGGAATAAATATATGTAAAATGAGCCAAATCTCAGAAAAACTACATCAATTTCATGTTTAAATCAAGTAATAAAGTTTCAAACAATTATGTGAAGAAAGCAAAATGTAGAGCATTATTTGTATTACTTATGCTATTTCTGATGAGCGATACTAGTCTATTCTCCAAATTGGCATTAAAGGGATCCCTAGGGGAGAATATGGTTTGTATTCCTGGGGTCACTTTGGAAGGATAGACATTTGTCATACAAAATTGACGCTTCCTGGATTAATCATCCAGAAACTTTACTACGTAGTTACGTTTGATTCTATTAACCTTTAGGATAGTAAAGAACTTCATTTAAAACTTAGTCTTACAAAAATGTTTTGGCCCAGCTTCTTATGCTACATGAAGGACACTAAGAGCCACTTCTGTGTGAAGAAGTAGAACTATCCATTCCCAGCAAAGACTGAATCATAGTGAGACAGAGCAAGAAAACGGGACCCAGAAAGCACACCGCTTTCCGGCCTCTTCTCATTCAGGACTTCACTCTGGCTTCATTTTGCTTTTTGAAGCAAATTTCCTATGACTTTGTTTTTCCCCAGAACTTCATATATCTTAGTATTTTATATATATATAATCAAGGGGGATTGGAGGTTATTTATCACACTTCTGCTCCCTTTCATGTGTGTGTCTTCTTTCTCTAGCTGATTCTAAAATTGCCAAATGTTTGAATAGATGTTAAGTCGCGTAGTTGTGTGGCTATATCCATTCTAGCAAAGCAATTTAATGCAAAATGAAATTTTACAGTCAGACAAACGTGTGCATGTGCGTGTACATGCACACACACACACACACACACACACACACAATCTTAGTCATAGGATGAGAAAGGTCCTGAGATGTCATCTCATTCAAAACTTCCTTTGTTCAGGCGAAGAAATGTAAATACAGAAAATTGAAGAGACTTTTCCAAACCAGACATATCTGGTAGTGGAACCAAGTTTCAAAACAAGTTCTTGTACTCCTGATTTTTTTTCCATCCTGTTATTTTTCTTTTTTCTTTTCTTTTTGAGACAGGGTCTCACTCTGTCACCCAGGCTGGAGTGCAGTGGTGCAATCGTAGCTCACCGCAGACTCAAACCTCCAGGCTCAAGTAATCCTCCAACCTCAGCCTCCTGAGTAGCTGGGGCTTCAGGGGCAAATCACCACCCCTGGCTAATTTATGAATTTTTTTGTAGAGACAAAGTTTCACCATGTTGCCCAGGCTGGTCTTGAACTCCTGAGCTCAAGCAATCCTCCTGCCTCAGCCTCCCAAAGTGCTGGCATTACAGGAGTGAGCCACTGTGCCTGACCCCTACTGTTCTTTATCAGCGGTATTTACCACTATTTGTGCGTGTTATAAAATATCTATCAAATATCTCCCAACTTACACATGGTTTTTTAAAATGTGTTTTAGGATTTTTGTTTCAATGTGTTTTTAATTCATGCTTTCTATTACACATATATATATATTTTTTGAGATGGAGTTTTGCTCTTGTTGCCCAAGCTGAAGTGCAATGGTTTGATCTCAGCTCACTGTAACCTCCACCTCTTGAGTTCAAGCAATTCTCCTGCCTCAGCCCCTGGAGTAGCTGGGATTACAGGTGCCCACCACCCACACCCGGCTAATTTTTTGTATTTTTAGTAGAGACGGGGTTTCACCATGTTGGCCAAGGTGCTCTCAAACTCCTGACCTCAGGTAATCTGCCTGCCTCTGCCTCCCAAAGTGCTGGGATTACAGGTGTGAGCCACTGCGCCTTGCCCATGTTTTTAAACTTAGTCAAAGACATAGAAATTTAATGAAAGTAAGTGGGTACACAAAGCAAGAGGAGAGGTATGCTTTGCCTTGGCTTTTCCATGCCTTCTGTGACCCTCACCACTGGAGGAGGAGGTGTATGGAGGCAGGTGACCGCACAGGTAGGATACCATCAGAGTTGAGAAAATAGATGACTCCTCTCCTTCTTTACAGGCTGCTGTAAAGAGGATGAGTGTCTATTATATATTTGAATGATAGCCTTTCTAGCTTTCCCATGGTCCAGCAAATGTTTACAGGGCAGTCAACCTGCGGACCCTTTCATTCAAGTGGTCTCGAAACTGAGTTTGTGCCTGGGTGCTCTTAAACAACTTTATATCCAGTTTTCTCATGTGTCAGAAAGTGGACCCCCTATTGGCTGCCTCTTGACTCTGGTTTAATCCCTATTTATTTACATGGTTCCATCATCAAATTTTGTCTAAGGACTACAATAATAAATCAAAGTTCCTCAACTTATTATAAGCAGCATGTAATATGAAAGGCAGGTGGACGAATTTGTAAATTATTCACCATATGTGCATATTGCTATTAGTCTTTGAGATGTAAAAAGAAAAAATATTTTTCATGATCTTTTAATATCTGTACTATGTGGCAAATTTAGATGCTTTTTATATATTTTCCCAATTTCCAACAAGTGATATGTGTGTATGTATTTACATGTAACATATATATTTCTGTTCACAAAACACTTAGGGTTATATGCAAGCATATTATGACTACTTCTATATAACATGAAACATATGGATAAGAAATTCTCAAGTCAACCAAATGTCCAAATAGTTTGTTCAAACTCTATCTCACTTCTCAGAAGCATCTGAAAGCCGAGCATCAGAATCTGTTTTTATGTGGATGTTTTATATAGACTCAGCCATGCTTTATTTTTCAGAAGGAGTTCAAATAACTAAAAGCAAGTTCAAGTTCCTACAGCCTAATGCAATATTTCTTACTTTTTATGACATATGGAAATCTCTTTTATAGCTCTAACAAACCGGGCCATGGCCGCAACCTTAGGCTTCTCTTTCCTTATGGTGGCAAATCAATACTTAACGTTACAAAGCTGGAGAGTTAGAATTAACATGATTCAATCATACTCTGTGGGTTTTCCAGGAACTGCCAGAATTTACGTGGAAGTCCAGTTAAACAACATTTTAGAAATGCTGCAGCAAGTTCTCACCAACTTCTGAATTTCTTTCTCTTCAGGTGTATTTTAAGCAGTGATTAGTAATCAAAAATTCCAGTTGGGCAAATATTTATTGAACTCGGGGCAAAGCACACTGCTTGAGATTGGGGATCTATGCGTGAATAGAGCTCCTAATTTAGTAGATGACTCAGTGGAGCATGTAACTAAATTGTAACTCAGTGCAGTAAGAGACTTAAGTAAATTCCTAAGGGGAGCTAAGAAGAAGGAATTCATTCTGACTTGAGGAATTAGGAAATGTTTCACGGAGGTAACAGGGGCCTTTGTGCTGCTCCTTGAATTAGGGAAAACAAACATCCTGGGTGACCAGGGATAGTCCCAGTTTACACTGTTATCCAGGTGTAATTTATTTTTTTAAGATAAGGTCTTGCTCTATCACCCAGGCTGGAGTGCAGAGGCATGATCATGGCTCACTGCATCCTCAACTTCCTAGGCTTGAGGGATCCTCCTGCCTCAGCCTTCTGAGTAGCTGGGATTACAGGCACATGCCACCATGCCCAGCTAATTTTTTTTTTTTTTTTTTTTGGTAGAGATGGGTCTTGCTATGTTGCTCAGTCTGGTATTGAACTCCTGGCCTCAAGCAATCCTCCTACCTTGGCCTCCCAAACTGTTGGGATTACAGACGTGAGCTGCAGTTCCCAGCCAGGTGTATAGTTTAATACTGCCCTTTTACTCTCAAAGGTTTTCTTTGGCCAATAAAATATATGATCACTCTAGCATTAAAGTGTATATTACATGTTGGCAGGGAGAAGAAGGGGAGGAAATTTGAGTTGGACCAACAAGCAAACACAAAAGGCATGGAAGAATCAAACCTCTTGGTGTATCTGGAGAAAAAACTGCATGAATCTTTCTCTTGTGTGCACAACTGAGGGCATTTTTTTCTTTTCTATTGCTGATGGAACTGAAATGGGAGTATGTTCTACAAGAACTGGCATGGACTTTCTATTTGCATATTTAAATTATTTTTCTTTCTAGGAATGTGACTGCTGTGCAGCACAGGCCTCTTCCTATATTTATCCCTTATTTTCCATGTTCATTTGATCAGACAGTTTTATTTCTGGCAATTTTCACATCACAGGGAAAGAGAGGGAAATTAAAAACCAATTCATACATTTCATTATCTGCCTTCTAGCCAGTTAACGCTGAATTAGAACACACAAGATGCTTGAACTTTGCCCTTGTACTTTCTAAGAATCAAAATGTTTAAAGAGAAAACAACCCAAATTAGAAAGACTTGATTGCTGTCTTTACAACTATTCAGGGGGAAAAGATGGAATATGCTGATATAAGAAAATCTTAACTAACTTGCATTGTTTTAGGACACCAGATTTTCATTATTAGTTTTTATGTGATAAAGCCTATTTCTGATTTCCCTTAGGTATTTTTTTAGCAGAAAGATTCTAAATTTAGAACAAAGAAACAATATATATGAAAAAATAATATAGCCAGACACAGGTCAACTAGGCAAGTCCAGCAATAACTGAAAATTCTGTAAGTGGCAATGGTATGAGCAGATGGGAAAAGGTAGTTGCTGTGCTTCATCCAAAGAAAGAGGGGTGCAGGGATAAGGTGGGGGACCAGCTCTCTCCCCTTCCCTCTTTTCAGGCCTGGTTGTCTTTCTAGAGCTCTTCTGAGCTGGTAGAAACTTCAGTCCACATTGCACATGCCCCAAGCGCCATCTTTCCCAGCCCAGTTTAGTACCAAGCTTTCCCATAGCAGGAACCTGGGATCCTGTTCATCAGCTTTTCTCGTGAACAGATGATATGAGGTCTACCAGTCTTCAGAAAGGGCTTTCGAGGCTTTTGAAATTAGCCAAAATGTCAATAAACTCAGAAAAAAATTTGTATTTGACAGTTATCTAAAGTAACCTGATTTTTCCCATTTCACATGCTTATAATAAAATAGTAAACCCAATTGGAGATGTGATTTTGATGAAATAAACACGAATCTTTCCATCTCCTCTTTAGGCTCTCATCTTCTCTCATCATGCCTCTCACACTAATCGTTTTTAGCTGCCTCTAGTCCCTTCCCGTTTCAGTTCATTTCAGGGCTGCTTCCAAAATGATCTAATTTTTGACTTCATTATGCCACTTTTAAAAGCTTCCCAATAGCTTCCAGTGCTCCAGGATGAAGCTGCAGTTAACCTGAAGCGTGGCGTGCAGTCTGTGCTCAGTTACTTCTCCAGCCTTACAACAGTTTCCCTTTGATACCTGTTTGTTGCCTTTGCAGATTTTCGGCCTGGTGACCCTGAACTCTCTAGTGAGACTTCCCTGACCTTAGTTATGCTCATCTGCATATTGTTATACCAGTGACTGGATACTCTCATGGGCCTGAGTGTTCCTGAAGGGGTTGTTTATCTTTGTATCATCACTCCTTAGCAGATTTCCTGGTACTGTGTGTGGAGTAAACAAGCAAAGAAAAAAGGTAGCTGAGTTAGTTCCCATTTGGGAAGAGACTTCTTAAATGAAAACCACAAATAGTTTTGATTGCCTCCAAATGATTACCTGTGTGTTTGAGGCCACATTTGGCTAATCACATATTCCTATAGACTGGCAATATGAGGATGTATGTGCACAAGGATACCAGAGCCAAACAAATATATGGAATTTCTTTTAAAGTTGGACAAAATAAATTCAGTTTTCTATAGATGAACACACAAATCCCCACAAATCACTTTCATATAAATATGTTTTATTGCAGAGAAGTTATAATTATTTACATGCTGCAACACGTCACAACATAAATTTACCAAATATTTCATGGTGGGATGCTGTAGGTTTCAGATAATAGTTTTAGGAGAACCACAGATTAAGTGAAGACACTTACAGCTTTATTGACTCTACGACTCTCGGTTGCTAAATGCTAGAAGTCAAAAGGCAGTGTTTTTTCAGTCCTACCTGTCATAACTTGCATGCAGAAACCTAGGAAGCAAATACAAGAGAACTGTCGAGTTTCAAATCCATATTGCCACCAAAGTTTACAATGGGTTGAGTTATACTTCATGTTGTAAAGCATTTAATTCTTGCATAAAATATACAATTCTATTAAGATTGGTATAAATCTACTTATTTATAAACCCTGGCTTAAAAACAAGGACAGGATGCAGCCTGCACATGCATTGAGAAGGACAACCTAGCAAATGTTTGCGACCTTAAAAGTGTTTATTCACTTTCTATGGTTATCAATCTGGAAAAATAACCTCCTGACTTGTAAATTTCAACTTCTCTTGTTGATAATGGCAATGAAACTCTCAGAAAGACTCTAGGCACTCTCACTGATTTATGCTGGTGGAGAATAATCTATGAACTATAGAATGTCGCTAAGATATAATTTGGCAAGTCTTTTTAACTCACATCTCTAGCAGGATCAATCCTGAAGTGCAATAGAAAGTCACTGATGCTTGACTGCATAATTCTCAAGAAAGGAATCAAGTGCTAACAGATTTCAGACATAAATGAAACAAATATGTGGGTCTAGGAACTTCCAACCCAGTTCACAAAGATTCCTTAAAGGAGGTCACCAAGCATATAGGCCTTCATTGAAAAGGAAGAGATAAAAGAAATAAATGGTGTAAAGACACAAAAATAGAATTTCTATATCTTCTCAAACCGACCCCACCAACCTGAGTAATGCATAAAGTCAGCAAATGGGTGAGGAAGATTTGCGCACAGCTTTGTGAAACAGTGAAGTGCTTGCTTACTCCTGAATAAAAAAATCACTGAGAAAAATTTGATGATGAATATGGAGAATTCTGTTTTTACCTTCCACTGAAAATACTCTCTAAGAACAGCCCTATATCCACCCTCTGATCCTGTTTCTCCATCTTTTATCACCCTAGCATGTCCTCCTTGCTGCTTGTGACATAAAAAATAGTTATTTGTGCTGGGAGTGTCCTGGCCAAATAAGCAGTTGATACTTGGGTGTTTACAGGGAGAAAAAGGGAAGTCTCGGTTCTATTTCTGAGTGATTCTTCTTTAAATGAAATGAGACTGAGCTTTGGAATCTCACTGCATGATCATGTCGGTAGGGCTTAGTCGGCAGCTTAGGATTCCCATGCCAAGAGATCAGTGTGGAATGCAATAAGCTTTATAAAATATGCTTTGGGGGCTGCTTTGCTTTGCAAATGGACCTTACATGTTACATGTCGAGCAAGTGGCTCACAATGGCAATTTGCAGGACTTAGACATTTTCCAGTGCTTGGGAGAATGAAGATTCCATACCACCTTATAGGTTTTGAATAAATAAGGTTATAAAACCTCTTTGGGATTTGAGCCCAGCAAGTTCTACCTGTAGCTGAAGCAATGAATAAGAGTTTATGAGAATAAATACTTTAAGGTATTTTAAAATACTGTATTTTCAGTACACATAATAAAAATATATCCATACAATGATCTTGATGCTACCATAATTTTTCTCTTTAAAAAAATAATCCCTTGAAAGTGCTATCAGGAGCTACCTGTGTTTTTTTTTGAAAGGCAAACTTCCTGGGTTTATAGTACTGCTATAATTCTTATGTCATCCCTAGAGTCTTCCCTTTCCAATAGTAATAATAATGCACGGTATATTTTTCTCACTCTTAGCTTCTTCCTTTGGAAATGCTGCTAAGTAGGAAATACTGAAAGAGTTAAAAGGGACAATTAATTGGAATGAAGGCGTTATCTATCTCTGACTTTGAATAAACAACGGATAAGTTGTCCTTAACTTATTGAGACATATGACTAAGTAGGACCACTTGATCTCCAATATTAATAAAGCTTCTGAGTCCTAACAAGAAGTGCAAAACAAGTAACTCAACTTGTATAAAAAACCCTGATTAAGACAGTATAACAAACCATGATGTGAAATAATAGAGTCAAATTCAAAGTCACAATATATAAACCACAGCCAAAACTAAAAGTTTTTATAGTAACAGTTATGGCTTCCCAAGCCAGAGAAAGCTTACTGTACTTCAAGAATCAACTAAAGTTGATAGATAGCAGGTATTCTGTAAGGTGCAATAACAATTGAATAGCTGCAGATTGCATAAATGTGTTGTGTCACATAATACCAAAGTTATTTGCAAAAATTATACAATCTGGAATGCTTGAATATGAGACACAACGATATACTGAAACATACATTTATAAGAAAATGAGAGCAATCATTAATATAAAAGATATTTTTGGGATGCATTAAGTTAGCAGTGCTATCAAGGTTAAATAGGTAAAGTAAGTTCTTCTCGGTCAGCTACTTAGAATTTCAGTTATATATGTCTTATACCTTTTCTTTCTTTGCAAATCTGGTACGTCTTCTGTGTCTCCTGGTTTACCTGGCTTAGGATCTTCAAAGTCCCATGGATACATATTGATCAGGGCAGACATTGTGGGCTATTTTCCTTAAACATGCTGAAATGGAAAGATTTTCCTAGTGTTACCAAGGGAAGGACTTTCTTGACCAAAGTCTGACTTCTCCATTATGACGTTGTTGCTCTTGCCCCCCTGGTCCTCTTCTACCCATGCCTTTGACTTTACCTCACCATCTGTCATGTTTTCCTTGATTGACAAATCCTCCTTGGGAATATTTGATTCTTATATCTTCTGTCTCATATCCAATCCGGGGTTCCCTCCTTTTCCTCTTCTTCCTGGAGATGCTACACTTTAAAACTATCCCAGATCTCTTCTTTCCTAGGCCCTGCTATCTTATTTGCACTTAGAGCAGAAGAGGCAGGTAAAGCTACACTTCTTCCAGCATTTGGTTGAGCTGGGGTCTCAAACTCCCAAGGACAAACCTCTGCTCGTGATGTTAAAGGTTGCTGGAAGTTATTACTTGAGTTATAGGAGCCACGCACATTCTCCTCAGAAGAAGATGTCTTTTTTTCCTGGTGTCCTATTTGGTTGAGATTTTCATTCTCTGTTTTTGATGCTACAGCTTTGGGGGGCAGTTCTTCGCTCTGCCCAGCACACACATTGGCTGCACGAGGCTGACCTCCGTTCTCCTCTTTTGCCCTCTCTGGGAGAACTGGAGTCTTGGAAATCAAAAGCTTCTCATCTTCCAAAATGGACTGGCCTTGGCTCTCCCAAAGGCATACTTCAGCCTTATCTATGCGCTTCTGATTGGATTGCTGACAAACCTCAGCTGCCTTAGGCTTGTGGTGAGATTTCTCCTTTAAGGAAAAAGTGGGGTTTTTCTCCATTTCAGAAGCCACAATAGATACGTGCTTTTGAACTTTTGATTCTGAAGGCACAGGACCAGGGGTCAGGTCATAAACCTCCCAAGGACACACCTCCCCAATGTCAAAGTTGTCCTTCATCTGGGTGGTGCCTGGGTTCAGGTCAGAATTGGCAGTGGTGGGGTTGACCCTTTGTTGTTTCATAATCCCAGATTTCTGAGGCTTTCTTGGCTCCTCCGCAGGATTTGAGTTTTGGGGGGCAGGATCTTTAGTCTCTGTGTTATCAGAATTTGAGTGATTTCTGTTTGTCTCTTTATCTTTTGGCAAAGGTTTCTGGGATTTAGTGCGTTCTTCCACACCTGCTGTTTGGGTTTTCCCAGCTAATCCAAGAGTCTTCTCCTTGGCGCTTGCTATGACACTGAGAGACTTCTGTAACATCGATGTTCGTGGGTGCCCAGTTTTCTTCTCTGAGCTGAGGTTGTGAGCGCTTGCTGACTTGCACACCAACGGCACCGACTCCGTGGACTCAGCCTCGCTGTCTTCTTTTAGTTTTTGTGTTAGTTTTTTACCCGACAGGGATTCCAGTGTGGAATTTTCTGTTGTCTCCTCCTCTTGGCTTTCTGTGGGTAGGCTACTGGACTCTTCCGTTTGGTCTCTCACGTGGTCATAAGTGCTGTGGGATTTCTTGAGTGAGAAGACTCGGTTTTTCAGGGTCTCCTCCTTGGATTTCCCTGTGTTCCCTGAAGACTCTGGGGGGTTCTTCCTGATGAGGGCAGTGCCTTTGGCTGTGCCATGGTCGGCGCCCTCCTTGTCCTCTTTAGAGCACTGCCGGCTGACTGTCTCTGGGATCTCCGTAATGCGTCTCATGATGGAACGACCTAGGCCCTTCTTCGAGCACCGCTTTTTCTGGAGGTGGGGGTTGTTTGTGATCATCTTCTTTCTTTTATATATTTCCAGTTGGGCATAGAGTTTTTTCAGCTCGTCCTGCCAGAACAAAAGCAAATTCAAAGAAGTGTAGAATTTAGTGTTCCAGTCATAGAAGATCACTACATGGTATTGGAATTCAGTAAACTTGGGCTCTAATTTGGGGCAACTGCTCTACAGCTTTCTCTGACATATGTACTTGTCGATTTTCTCACCATTTGTACTTTCTGATTCTTTTGTGTTTTGTTTCACATAAAGTGTGGACCTTAAGACATGAACTCACGTATTCTAACCTTGCTTCAAGGAGCAAGCACCTTCTGATTTGTACTTTTCTGATTTGTATTTTCTGATTCTTTTGTGTTTTGTTTCACATAAAGTGTGGACTTTAAGACACGAACTCATGTATTCTAACCTTGCATCAAGGAGCAAGCACTTTGTACATTCAAGTTGTGAGGACCAGACTGAGCCTGGACCAGAACAAAACACAGCATATTGTTTATAGGTGAACCATATCCCTGAGTAGTATTGGAAGAATCATGCAGCCATTGATAAAGTTACATGTGATGTTAGATTAGGCTTAGAGGGTAATAGTCCGTTGACTACTAAAAACATCTGCTTCCTTCAGATGCTGATATGTCGTCATAGATTATTTTAAATAATCCAGGCTCTCCTCTCTGCTCCACAGATCTATCCTACCTTTCCCTAAGCAAGATGTTATAAACATGTATTATGGAACACGTTTAATCAGTTCAACACTATGAATACCAGTAAGTCAGTTAAGACTACTGAGGTTGACCAGGTTACTATAAAAGTTGAAATGGCCTGTGCATTCTAATTTATACTATGGTTCATATATTTTAGAACTGGATTAACTCTGCATTTGACATCTTCAGTTCATACCCAAACACATTCCCTCTTTCTGAGACATACATGCACAAACATGAGTGTACATGCATGCACACACGCACCCCAACCCACACACGCCTGCCTGTATAAATAAGGCTAATCTGAAATAGGAAGAAAGATAGAGTACTGGCATTACCCGAATGTCCTCTGGATCCAAGCTGTGCTCACTCCAGGCTGAATTGATACTGCTGTTCAGGTAGGATCCAGATCGGCCCATGTCTAGCTCATCCTCATATGCTTCTGTAGCAATATCATCTCGTGGGTTATTGCTTGAATGTGAAAACTGAAACAAATTCAGTATGAGCAGTAGACATTAGCTCACTGTAACGCATTGCATATATCTATATCTATATCTATACCTATATCTATATAGGTATCTATATCTATACCTAGATCTATCTATCTATCTATATATATAGATAGATAGATAGAGAGAGAGAGACACAGACAGACAAACAGACAGGGTCTTGCTATGTTGCTCAGCCAGGAGAGCAGCAGCTATTCACAGGCATGGTCATAGCACGCAGCAGCCTCAAACTCCCGAGCTGAAGCCATCCTCCTGCTCCAGCCTCCCTGGTAAACGGAATCTTTACTTTACTCTTCCACATATGTTTGTGAGACCCACAGATGCCATGAACTAAAGGCCACAAATCGTGAATATCATAGAGTTCCTGCCCTCCAAAATATCATACGCCACTGGTTACACCACCTGGAGGTCATTTATAAAAATGAAATTGTTTTTCTTGTTTTTAAAGTCTTGGAGACAATTATGAGTTTAAGAAATAATGTCATTTGTCATATATTGTCCATTTCCTGCTTTTTTATTTTTCCTTGGCACTTACCTCTATCTAAAATACTATTTAAAATACTTACCTTATTTATTTATCTTGTCTGTTTCCCCTTCCCCAGATTATAAGTACCATGAGAATACAGGATTTTATCTGTTCATTTCTCTTATTCTAAGGATATATAACAATGCCTAGCAATGCCCCTCTATAATATTTTAACATTCTCTTTTTATTGAGATAGAATTCACACACATACTATAAAATTTATAACTTTAAAGTGTATATGTCAGTTCTTGGTACATTCATGAGGTTGTGCAACCATCATCACTATTTAATTCCAGAATAGTTTTGGAATATTCATCTCAAAAAGAAACCTTGAATCCATTAAGCAATCACTTCTATTCATCCTTCCTCCAGCCTGTGACAAACACTAATCTACTTTATGTTTCTATAGATTTGCCCATTCTGGACATTTCACATAAATGGAATCATGCAATGTGTGGCATTTTGTGTCTGGCTTTTGCACTTCTTATTGTTGTAACATGTGCCAGAACTTCATTCATTTTTACTGACAAATAATAATCCATCGTATGGATATACCACATGTTGTTTATACATTTGTCAGTTGGTAAACATTTGGGTTGTTTCTACTTTTTGGGTATTATGAATAACACTGCTATGAACATCCTTCTACAAGTTTCAATCCTCTTTGGAACTCAGTAAAAATTTATTAAATAATCTCAGTATAGCTCCATCTATCTAATAAAAGTGTAATCATATTATGCAAAGTATCAAAATAGTTAAGATAATCTATACAAATACTTGTGTCTAGTTGATGTAATTCAAGTAGGGAATAAAATAGGTATCTTGTTCTGTTTACAATGGTTTAGACTTTTCAATCAGGCTGAATCTCAATGTTCTGGTTAACTGTGAGACTTGAGGAAAAGCCTGGAGTGAAGACAAGAAATCATAATTCTGGTTTCAGCTGTGCTAACACTGTATTTTGTGGCACTGAAAAGATACACAGTGTTCTAATATTGTGTTTATGTATAAAAGAGGAAAATAATAACAATGATATAATTTGTATAATACCTTCCCCCCAGAGAAAAAAAACTCCAATATCATTTTATTTTATTTCAGGAAGCCTTACTATTATATCACACACAAAAAATCAAAAGTCCTGGCTAGTGTCATAACACACAGCCAGTTTCTGGAAGGTCCACGAGTCTAGAATCCCTGTATTCTGAGTCCTGGCTCATTTTTCCTCATTTCATGGTGCTGCCTGGACAAGTCTTTGTCAGTATCTATCATTATGGAGATTCCTCTATATGTAATAATTTATTTCTATATACATAAAAAATTATTTGAATGTTCCAAACATAAGATTTCTCTGAATATGAATCCAAACAAGAGGATTCTTAGAATAGGAGAGTTCTTTTAAAAAATGATCTTGCTGTTACAGCTAGAATGAACCCATAATAATTAAAACATACTAGACATCAATATATTTGGAAAAAGACTGAAACAGATGATGGGTTTTTGTACAAACAAAGGCATTTAAAAATTATTTAAGAAGTTTCCAAAATTCAAAGAGAAAACAGCCAGTTTCCTGAGGAGGGAGCTTTAAAACTCTTTTAAATATTAAGCAAATTTCCATACCTCCTTTTGCCTATAGGATAAACAACTCCATGTTCATTAAAAATAAGTTTTGCAAAAAAAAAAGTAATATTAGAAGAATACCTTTGGAATCAAAAGCAACCCAATGGTGACTGTCACAGTCAAATGAGTATGTGCAAAATACAGCATCAACATCCAATCAGACTGAAGTCTTGAGGCAAGAACAAATCTGAAATGAGAATTCATTGAGTTAACAATCCAAGATTAAGATTCTACTTAGAACACTAGGATTACTTGGGAACTCTTTTTTCCTCATTGTATTAAAATAAGAAAAAGGAAATTGTATTACTATTTCTATGGCATATATTTTCATCTCAAAAGAATAAAGTCTAAGCTTAATTTGATGCATAATATATGAACCCTTTATTATGATTTTAGATTAACAATAGTAAGAAAGGCAGCATAATAATTCCCAAGATTATTATTTTGTATGTAAAGTGGCCTCTAAAAATCGAAGTGGTAAATATATGTAAATTCAAGAGGAGTAGGTTACAAACTTACAATACAAATTTGTAGAGTTATCAGTTGTAATATTCTTAGTACTCATAATTTGCCTACAAAGCATCAATGTTTAAAAACAGTTATAATTAAGAAAAAGTGGACAATTATTTATCTTTGTGAATGATCCAAGCATTGAAATAAAACAATTTAATGGATAAAACAATTTAATGAAACATACTAATGGTTTATAAAATGTACTCTTTAAAATAAATTGTTCTAAATTATCAAATTGTCTAAAATAATTTAAAATGCAGTATTTAAAAATCTTATCTGATGGAGAAATTTATGAAGTTGTGTTCCAGTATGCCTCTGCAGGAAAAATGGTGAGGAGAAATTCAATACTAAGGTCTACTCTAGTAATTTGGGAATATTTTCAGAAATTAATAGGTGTATGTACACAGTTCATGTTTTAAGGATGCATCCTTACGCAGAAACCAGGGGTTGCTTTCATAAAGGTCTTATCCATTGTTTATCCGTGAAAGCAAAATATGACATTTTGCCACTTGAAATTAGAGAATTACAATTTTGTTTCACATCATCAAATGTGCAAAGTTAACATCCTAAGAAAATGCTCATGATATTATAATCACAAAACAAACATATATTAATGGCTAAAATAGGAAGAAACTAATTTTTATATCTTCATTCTACCATATTAATGACAAATTTACTAAGTAAATGATCATTAATGTTTAAAATTGTCATCAAGATGATTTCTTTCTCATTTTCACCTCCATGCTGCTCCCCTAAGGATATCAAGCTAAAATGGAAGCTCAGCAGTTACCCAAAATGGAGAATTATTTTCCCTTGTGTCTAGAGATGCAAACCAAATAGGCTTGTAACATACATAAAATACAGGGCACTCATCACAATAGCTCACGTTTCATTAAACAGGGATAGGGCTTTCTGGCTAACCATCTTCTCTAACTTCTTTGTGAGAAAAACACATACCTTGAATATGACTGCAAAACTGAACCAGTTTTGACAAAAGATTGTGAAAACAGACTTTTGACGCAGTCTGTTTTCCTGGGTCAGGCTTTTTTTTTTTTTTTTTTTGCATTGAAATAGGATCATTACACTCAGTAACAAGTAACAGTCTCTGAGGCATATAAGGGATATAACACTCTGGGAAAATAATACAAATCCAGTCTGTTGAGGGTCATTCCAGTATTGGAGCAGAAAGTTACATTAAAGGAGACATTCATAAAAGGATCCTCATGTATTGAGAATTCCACCTTAAATGCAAACCAAATAAACTTTAAAGTAGCATGGCAGTATCTAGAAGGAAAAATGCTTGCACATAATTTAAAATAGTGAAACTTTAAAAAACCACCAACTGTGAAATATACAGACATCACTCTCAATCAGTTTTAAATTACTGCCAGGTTTTTAAGGTTGCAATTCTGACTAGAAATATTTTGAGAAAAACTGGGTTTGCAGTAGTTTTAAAGCTTCGTATTTTCAAGAGTGTTTCATCTTTTAAAACATAGGTCTAAAAGCCAGGAGCATAAAATATTTGAAAATTGAGGTTAAAAATAAACACACTTAAAAGTCTTGTGCTTTCCCAAAGATTTGCTTTATGCTTAGCACTAAAAATAATAAAGGATAAGGGATTATAACAGGCTGGGAAAAACGCCTCTGTGTTATTTATCCTTCTAGACTTAATTCTTTGCTGTTAGTTTATTTTTGTGCAATTTGACAATTTGGTATGAATAAAGGTAAATCTGTATATAATGTATAGTCATAGTTTTTAATTTATATATGTATATATACATACATAGACATAATTTTTTTAAGCATATAAGAAAGAACACATGCTATATTGATAGAGAATATATTTTTCACTGTTGGAAGCCTTATTTTATATTGTTTCATTCAAGGAAAAAATTACCAAGATGGATATAGCTGATTTAAATTATTATGTTATTGCTTCTTATTCTTGGACTTTATAAATATTTGAACCATCACATGTATAAGTTCAGGCCATATGTAAATAAGACATTGTACATACTTGATTGGTTTATTATTGCCTATTGCTTTCTCCCTATCAATTCCCCCAAAATCAGTGTTATGCAGATTTACTGTATTAAACTACAATTCCATTCCTTCATCCTTTATAGCCATATAAATTATATTTCTGAGAGTAGCTAATATATGCTGTGATTCCTTAAAGTCAATATACCACAGTCTGATCCAATCTAGGCAGAAAGATATAGTGGGTCAAATTTGGAATTTAAAACATAGGGCTTCTTCAGGTTTATTTAAGCTTGCTAAAAAATCAAAGCCTACCAAGCTAGTTAGTCTTTCTGTGTCACACTTGCTACCAATGGAAGTTCTCCCTTTTCAGAAGTAATAGAGGTCCACACAGTTGTCTGGAAGAAAATTGATCTTGCAAGTACATCATGTCTATTCAACACCAAATTTACTAGGTTCAACATGGAGCATTCAATCAGAGTGTGTGTCTATAAGAACCAAGCTCATGTTCATGTGATTATTCTGGTTGGGCCAATGAGTTGCTTGGGGCTCTGTAGGAAAGATTTACAGCAAAGTAGTAAGGCTGTTTTCAATCAGTATTTAACATGTACTTCCCGTCACCTTGAATCAGTAGAAAAACAGTATTTTCTGAAGTGTGGATGCTGTTATCAAATGTCAAGTGAGGTTTGGGGGGATTCCATGGTCAATTAAGTTTGCAAAATGCTGGTTAAATAAAATTAAGTAGGTTTCCTTGCAGCAGGACTTCTCAGCATGCTAACTTGCATTGTGACACTCTGAAAAGGAGACTATAAAGTGCAATGTATCATAAATATACAAACACACATAAACACCTAAAAGTGATATACTAAGGTGTTAACAGTGCTTATCTTTGGGTAGCATGATTGGGGAGTTTATTTACTTTTTTCTTTAGGATTTTTCTGTAACAACCATCTATTGCCTTATTAAACTTTTAAAAGATTCATTTAAGAATAGTTTACCATGCCTACTCCTGAAAGAACCTAGGCCAGTTTAAAGTTTGACATATATTGAGAAATGAAATTTAATGATGAAAACTGAACAGAGTAAACTTTAAGGAATTAAAGGATATTTAGATATTTATTAAACTTCTAAACAGATTTAAGTACTTGGACAATTAATTTTTTTCTAAAAAAATCTAGCAGTTTATTATAAGGCTAAAGTGCACAACCTTCTGCACTACATAAGCACATTTTGACCATAGAAGACATTTAAACTCAACTCTGAGAAGCCTTCTTACTGGTTTACAACTCTTTAGTTGATTTGTTAACTTTAGTTGATTTGTTAGTCGATTTGTTAACATTTAACTTGTAACTGGTTGTAGAAAAGCATGTTTGTTATATCTTGGAATATGCTTGATATTCTGCAAATAAGCAAAAAAGTAGCTTTTCTTGGAAGAAAGTCTGGGGAATATGTCAAGGCTGTTTGAGCTCTGGCAACAGGAGGAGACATTCTATGGTGCTCAAGATATTGTTGACTGAGGGCATCCCCTCTTAGGTCCTGAAACTCCAGTCTGAGTAGCTGAAAAAGCATTTCTTCCTTTGCGTATTTATAATCTTATATTTCCATTCTTATCTTTCCTTCCTCTTCTAATGTCTTTCTCTCCTCTCTCAGAGAGGGCAAGACAAAGCAAAGAGCCCAGTTCTCTAGATTCCTGGCCTCTTGATGGAGTCTCCAGGGTTCTCAGACCATAGATACCTCCTCTTCTTATTTAAAAGTTTTAAAAGTGTAGGCTGTAACTGAGGCCCACTGCTGTCTGGCAACGTCTCTTTCTAAAGATGCAAGATCACATCTTCTGACTGCTGACTAAAGTCAGAGAGGATAGGCATCCTACAAAATTCCCCCAGACCCACAACTGCCTTCTCCCACCCGCTCTTCCATTCTCACTGATCTCCAGGAGAGTCTGAAGGCCAAAAAAGGAATTGAAACTAAAGAAAGGGGATCCACTCTTTCCACTGAGGCCAGAGACAAATACTCAACATCTCTAATTTTCTTAAGTGTGTCCTAACTTTCCATATCTGTCAAGCAATTGAATGACATCTTTTTGTTGCTTTTTAAATGATAGAATTCCTTCTTTTAGTTCTGCCCTGAGAGTTTCATTTCATTTTCAAATATGAATCAGGGATACATTTTCAGAAGATAAGTCATATATATTTCATTTTGTTCACTTCATGATAAGCCACTGTCTTCCTCCTGTGTTCTCATCTGCTAGAGAGAAACCTGGGATGATCACACAATAGAGGACCAAGCTATACATTCTTATCCCAGAAATTCATTACCAGAATGTGTGATAGCACCAAAGCCCATTGCACATGATAATCTAGTCATCAGATTGAAGTAGTTTTTGTGTTTTGAATTCCACAGAATTCATACATACAAGTTGTCTATATGTCTATTGAGATTTTGAAAATATAAACCAGCCCATTAAACATAAATGAAAATATAGATAAGTTAACTGTATCTGCTTTACAATGTATGCACGTATTGCATTATATCTTCATAATGAAGCTACATATTACAAACAATATTCCATTACATTTCCATAAGTGGCTTAAGATAATACAATAACATTGAATTAACCTTCAAAATAGAAGAAGGCAATAAACAACACAGCCGAAGGAACTAAGAACAACAGCTTTAAAAACAAACTATTCATTTTCCAAATCTGTAAAAGAAATTAGTCCACTTATAAAATGCTATCTTTGCTAAGTCTTTCTATTATGCATCTTATCTAATTTTGTTATTTAAACAGCAACACATCAGAAAAATAAAATAGTTATTTACTAGCTCTACAGATCACTTGCCTAATTGTATGGAATATAGCAGAGATGATGAGCTCATTGTGAACTGCAACAGCCATATAGCGGGGCTCATGGAATGCCGATGGGACTGTCCGCACTGCATAGCAGAGATAAACACCCCACAAGAGGAATAAAAATTCAGCTGTGAAAATAACAAACCATTTTCATGAGTTTTATAGGTGAAGAAATAAAATTCTTCTTTAGCATGCATTTTGTTTATTATTCAACATAAGTTTTTTATAAATAGATGGGTTAGAAAGTCTTATTCACATACAAATACAAATGCCATATATTTTTAAATTTCATTCAGTTTATGGAATATTTTTCAAAGGGTACACTTTGTTGTTATTGCATTTAATTTAAAGGTACACTTTGTTGTAATAGCATTCAGAATTTTCTAATTTTTTGATAATACCTTGCTTTTTCTGAAAACCACTGTAAACTAATTTTCCATATCCCTAACCTAAGTTTAGGATGCTCGTGGAACACTCAGGTCACAATAAAGTTACCAAGGCAACAACAACAACAAAAGTTTAGAACATGTTTATATGCAGCTTCTAGAAATTTAAGTTCTAACTGCACTAAGCCCAGTACAATAAGTAAAGATAACATTGCCAGCTATGTGAGAACACAGGTTGCTAAACATTCAGTGGCATATTTTATAAATAAAACCTTGTTTTGTCACACATGACAGAAATCATGTCTTCTGTGGGTTGAGTGTGGAAAGGTTTAGGAAAATTCACAATCACCTTGTTTGATCACTGAAGCCAGAAGAGACGAGCACAGTGTAGCAGCTAAGAACGAGGACTTCAGCACCGTGTTAGATATAATTCTGATTCTGACTCTGGCTCTATCCCTAAATAACTTTGCATAATCTTAGGCAATTTACTTAACCTCTCTGGTCAATTTCTTCATTTGGAAAATGAGGATAATAAAAGTATGTATTTCATGTGATTATGTGCTAATTAAATAAAATAATGCATAGAAAGCACTTAACATAGTTTCTGACACATAGTAATTGTTAAATAAATGGTTTTTATTATTAAACATTTCATTTGACTTTTTTCCCCAAACTAAATATTGCTATTTTATCTCATTTTGAGTGATAATCTATACAACCCATTTTATCTATCTTAGTGGCATGACCTTTCTGGAAGATAGTGTCTAATAAGAAAGTTCTAATTTGGAGAAAACATTTCATCAAATGCATTATCTAGATGGAACTTTCTTGTAAACAGAAACATTGATGTCCACTCAAAACATGGATCATCCATCCAAAAACCAAGGTGTTTTCCTTGCCAAAGTTTCAGTATATTTCAATCAGCATTTAAATGGTAGGTAGGGCCTTAATTATTTAAAATCCCTTAAAGAAACAAATGTCTCAGGAGCTACTCTAAAACCCTGATGTAGCCGGAAGACAAAAAAATTAATGTCACTCCAAACTCTCCATGAGATCTAGTGTAGGTCTGTCTTATTCAGCATGGTGGACCTTGGCCATGCTATGAATGTTTCCAGCCAAGTTGTATTGGATCGAGCAAAGGGAATCGGGTAACTCTGAGATTTTCATGTATAATTTCCTTTCCCAACTCTTGTATTTCTGTCCATGGAATTACCGTTGCCTTCTTTACCCAGGTTTGAAATCTCCAACTTTCATTTCTACATTTCTTTCTTTGAGTCATTTCTCAGATGTATTAATTCTCTCAATGCCCACAATAACAATCTTTGCCTAAGCCGCTATCAGTTTACTCCTTATTTGCTGAAATTATTTTTCAAGGGCTCATCTAAACCTGACTTGGAAACTGGTCTAATTGTCCCACAGAACTGATATTTGTGGTTTCTTTGAATAAAAATAGAAATTGATCCTCCCAGTCTTAAAATCTGAAAAGGTTACATTTGTCATATCTGAGTTCCTTTTTCAGGAAACCAACCATCAGTCCTCCAGATAGAATCAAGGAGCTGAAACTTACCAGATCACTGCATCTGGACAATGAGACACCAGATCCCTCACCCATCATGATTGCCTAACCAACCACCTGCTTCCTGTTGACCAACTTCTCTTTGTTACCCCTCCCTAATTCCTGTTTTCCACATATGGTTACATTTCTTCCCTGCTATATAAACCTCTAATTTTAGTCGGTCAGCAAGACGGAATTGAGACTGATCTCCCAGCTCCTTGGCTATAGTACCTGATTAAAGCCTTCTTCCCTGGCAATATTGTTGTCTCAGGGATTGGCCTTCTGTACAGTGATCAGTAGGACCTAGACCGAAACCCTGGCATTTCAGTAACAGTTTCATCTGTGTTAACACACTCTTCATAACAGTAACAGGTTCATTTTTCTGAAACTCCATTTTGATCATATTGGGACTTGTCCACATCTGTGCCACTGCATTTGGGTTAACCCAGTCACATCTCCATTAGAAGGTTCATGCATACCGGGCCGGGCACGGTGGCTCACACCTGTAATCCCAGCACTTTGAGAGGCTGAGGCAGGTGGATCAGGCTGGTCAGTAGTTCAAGACAAGCCTGGCTAACATTGGTGAAACCCTGTCTCTACTAAAAATTAAAAAAATTTAAAAAATTAGCCTGGTGTGGTGGCACTTGCCTGTGGTCCCAGCTACTCAGGAGGCTGAGGCAGGCGAATTGCTTGAAACAGGAGGTGGAGGCCTCAGTGAGCTGAGGTCATGCCACTGCACTCCAGCCTGGGTGACAGAGTGAGACTCTGCCTCAAAAAAAAAAAAAAAAAAAAAAAAAAAAAATTCACACATACCTACTTACAACCCTGGAAATAATTCCTGTCCCAAAGGAAGACCTTATGGCCTTACTTTCAACACTATCTTACTGCACAGCCTTCACATTAGCTGCCCATGTTGCTTGACTTTATTTATTTATTCTTGCTTGTGGTTTCTAGACCTTGACTTCTACTGTGGTCTCTGGCCTTCGGGTCAGCCTTCTGTGAGGCGTCAACGTGTCTTCATTCAGAAATGCTCAGTGGCTCACTATTATTTCACAAATCCTGTTATCCCGGCATTCCTAGCCCTCTACAATATGACTTCATAATATATATGTAACACGACGTCTCAGTACTCCCCAGCATAAACTCTTTGAGCAGACCTAGAAGGTCTCTTTGTCCTCTGAACACTCCAAATCTTTTTATATTTTTATTTTTTTTGAGACAGGGTCTTGGTCTGTCACCCAGGCTGGAGTGTTGTGGCACGATCGTGGCACACTGCAACCTCTGCCTCCAGGGTTCAACTGATTCCTGTGCCTCAGCCATCTGAGCA
The DNA here is from genome assembly GCF_000001405.40 of Homo sapiens. Classification (NCBI taxonomy): domain Eukaryota; kingdom Metazoa; phylum Chordata; class Mammalia; order Primates; family Hominidae; genus Homo; species Homo sapiens. The sequence continues at coordinate 25,585,866 of NC_000010.11, read as the reverse complement.
GCAGAGATTACAGGCATGAGCCACCATGCCTGGTTAATTTTTGTAATTTTAGTAGAGATGGGGTTTTGGCATGTTGGCTGGGCTTGTCTCAAACTTCTGGCCTCAAGCAATCCACTCACCTTGGCCTACCAAAGTGCTGGGATTACAGGCGTGAGCCACCACTCCTGGCCCGTTCCAAATCTTGGTCTTGCTTCTGAGCTATTGGTCTTGCTCACACTATTGCTCTCATTTCTAGTGGGAGCTAGAATTTCAGGTGGAAAAATCGTAATCAATGTTTCAATGTCCAGTTGAAGTCCTATTTCTATCACAAAGCCTCCTGAAATGATTATAACCTACATTGAATTTTCTTCCCTCTAGTATCTTTATAGTTTTTACGTATACAGCACAATGCAGAGAATACCACCCAACATATAATTAGAAGAAAATTGTTCATGGGGTCTTGTTAGTTGACACCCATCCCAACTAGTTATGAACTACGGGGCAGGAACTGAGTTTTTCAGTTTTTTTCTCCCTTTGCCCACATAGGTGGTAGCAACAGTACTGGGACAATGTAGATAAGATTTAGTAAATAATTGTTGAGTAAGTCTAAATGATGTCAGTTTCATGTTTAAGTCATTAGAGATGGAGACTCTGTTACCTTGCCCCTCCATCTAACATTGCAGGGCCTGTTAAAGGAAAATAAGCAAGCCATTAGCCTTTAGTTTCTATTTGCTTGCATAAGGGTTCCAGGCATACAAACAGAAACTAAAGGTAGAAGCATTCTTTGTAACTGATTAATTGTGAAGGAAGCTTCAGCCAATCATAGACAGCCAAATAGCTGATTGGTTTTGTAACCTGGGACCTCCCACTGGACAATATCCAAATAAGGCAAACACCTAGCTCTAGCCAATCAAGTAGTTTGTTTTGTTTTGTTTGTTTTTTAAATTTTGCTTCCATCTCCAGCCTATAAAAGTTGAATGCTCAGGCCGCCACAGCAAAACCCACAACCTCCCTTTGGTTTTGGTGCTTCCTGATTCATGAATTGATCTTCGCTCAGATAAACTGTTAGATTTTCATTTTGTCTCCAGTTTTTCCTTAAACAGGCTTATAAGTGATCTAAAGATCATACTGGCATCATTAACTGTGTTAATCTGAAACTGATGCACTACTGAGTTTGTGGTACTGTGCCTGGCACAAAAGAATGGTGAATGCATAAGTATTATTAAGTACCACTAGCACAAAAATATGCTGTAGTTGAAGGATTCACACGTAGCTGCATTATGAAAACAGTATCTCCTGCTACTTACCACACAGTTTTTACATAATGTTATACTGAAGATTCAAAAAAAGAAAAGTAGTTATCAGGTTAATTAGTGTGCTACAATGGAGAATTATATTTAAAAATATAAGACAAAATAAGATTTCTCATAACAGCTCGGTTGAACATTAAAATCATTTCATTAGCAATACCAAACAATATGCTGTAGCTGAAAAACAATTTATTATTCAAAGTACCAATTAAACTAAATGTGATATATAAAAGTTGTGCTTAGGAAAAAAATCAGTTTCGTATAATTAACTTCAGACTAGCACTGCAATTAGTAAAGAAAATATGCAGATGTTACCAAATTTGCGGTGTTATTACGTGGGAGTTGAAATACGTGTTGTGCTTCTTCTTTAGAAAATAATTTCTGGTGTTAAATAATTTTGATGAAAGGCATGAGTATAGTTACAAAAAGGACTGCATTTATATTTCGAGATCCTTTCAGAAACTGAAGTCTTTTTAATCTGTATGGAATAACACTCAGTTTAAAAGTTAACTACCATAGCCTTTGAAAAATTAATATACTATAAGGAGAGTATTTTCAAGTTATTTTTTCAAACGGCTGGGCCAAGCAAGGAAATGAAAATTAGTATAAGTTCTTTGACACTGAAGGTGCTCCAGTTCTGTGATCCTAGACTACCCACAAAAGCTGAGAGAAAAACAACTTCAAAGTGCAAATGCCACTCAAGCTGTGGTACTCTGATTTACCCTGTTGCAAAGGCGTTTTGTATTAATAACACTTTACCCTGCTTTGCCGCATTAAAAATTACCTTTACACAGCATAAATAAGTATATAAATGATAAAACGTTTAGGTTTTATTTCTCAAGTGTCTCTTTTAATGTCCTCTTCTATTTTTCTCTATATCCTATCCACTTAAAAAATTCATGGTTAAAGTAAAAAAAAAATATTTACAATTCTACCCAGGATAACTCATTTTGTTTTCTTTCTAATGACAGAGTTGGTGGCACAGAGGTTATCACTAAGTGTTAAATCAAACAACTTCAATAATTCTTGAATACCTTCAATTCCAGGATTCTAGGCTTCAGCTAGTATAAAGAAGCTTGAATATAAATAAGTATTTATATTATAAGCCCTAGATATTCTGGGTGGTTATCTGGTTCTTCTTTGGCTAAAATAAAGCCAATTATGAGTTACACTGATTAAAACAATGAGAATGTCTCTTCTGTTAGAATTGTTAAGTTACAAGTGACTTTATTAGACCATATAGTGAACAGGTACATTTTTGAGTGTCTGTGCTGCTGGGAAGCAGGTAGTTGGTGAGCTGCTGTTATTCTGCTGGCCTTAAAGTCAGTTGATTCAGCTCCGAGATAGAGAAGGATACAGAAGACGTTGCAAGTTACAGTGCATTTCACAACTAGGACAATGGAGGCTGGGTATGTGTTCCCTTTCCAGCTCTCTGGAAGCACAGAGCCCCGGGATGGGCTATAGGATATGTCTGCAGAGAACCTCCGTTCTCCAGCTGCACTCGCCCTGTGAGCAGCAGATTGGAGCCTAGAATCCGAGTCTCTTAGTTCCTGACCAGTGCTCCCTAAATTACATTCTTGGCTGAGATTTTCTTAACCCCTGGAAATATTTTTATCCTACTGAAGAAAACAAATATTTTTCCAGGCAGCAATTGTTTGTATTTAGAACAGCTGATACATTAATTAGAATTGAATAGCCTGTGGTAATTAAAGGAGCTCTCCTCAGAAGTAATTTTTGTCCCCTCAATTAATCTGATTTCATACCTGACATCTGTTGAATGGACCCGGGCACTGTGCTAAATGTATTTTGTAGATTATCTACCTTTGTGAAGGTTTTATTGTAGAACTTGTAACTCCTTTAAAAAGGCAGGAGTAACAATTTTGAATGCTGAGATGTCAAGCTTGGGTCAGAAATACTGTTGGGAATAATGGGGAGTAACACAGTCAATCATACCAACAGTATGAAGTCACATAGTGACTTGATTACTTTATTCTCTTACCACTCCCTAGGAGCTGGGGGCTCTCTGAGGCCAGAACTGTCGGAATGGCCACACATTTACAGGCTGGCTTTTCTTCATTGCTTCTGTTCACACTTCGCTAGAATGGGGACCAAGATATTTTTTCCTTATTTTCCATTGCATCTTAAGTAAAAAGGGTAGGGAGACTATACTGTTCTCTCTCTGGCATATACATTTAAGTTTTCAGTTTCCCATGGGGTGACAGAACTCTGGCAAAACTCAGCTACCTCAGAGCTTATGGATACACATTAAAGAGTGGGGACATGATGAGCTCACAAAGGCAGACTCAGATGGAAGTCCTCTCAGAGCACAGGGTCCAGGTCAGAGGAGCAGGCTATGTCTTCCATTTCGTCTCTCTGTCTGATATGGTTTGGCTGTGTCCCCACCCAAATCTCATCTTGAATTGTAGCTCCCATAATTCCCATGTGTTGTGGGAGAGACCCCCCACCCCACCATGGGAGATAACTGAATCATGAGGGTGGTTTCCCCCATACTATTCTTGGGGTAAGTCTCAGGAGATCTGATGGTTTTATAAAGGGAAACCCCTTTCACTTGGTTCTCATTCTCTCGTTGCCTGCCGCCATTTAAGACGTGCCTTTCACCTTCCACCATGATTGTGAGGCCTCCTCAGCCATGTGGAACTGTGAGTCCATTAAACTTTTTTTTTAAGTAAATTACCCAGTCTCAGGTATGTCTTTATCAGCAGTGTGAAAATGAACTAATACACTGTCATTTGCATGGGTATTGTTTGGGGAGGGAACTGGATATGGGATCGCTTGCTACTATTATCAAAGTGTCTGATTTTTGATCTTTTATGAAAGCCTGGTAGCTTTGACTAGTGATCTGCCTTCCCTCGGGCTGCATCACTAGAAATTCACACATGCTATTTGAAGTGCTAGCTGGCAGGCTACCACGAAGACTGCTGTGGGAGGTTATTTATTTATTATTTACATTCTGCCTTTGTGGAAACTGTTTTACTTCTTTGAGGCACAGTTATTTGAATAATGCTAAAGGGCAAAGAGAAAGTAAAGCACTTTTCAGAAGAGGTGGTATACAAATAAGAACTCCCAGTTCCATCATTCTGAAGACACTCAAGCAAGTGCTTTCAGAAGTATGTGTAGTTTTTAGTGATGTAGCCCTAAGCCAAGACAATGTGGTCAGGCTTCTATCCTTTGATTGAAAATTAAAAATACATGTTTAAGGTCACACATGGTGGCTCATGCCTGTAATCCCAGTAGCTTGGGAGGGAGGATTGTTTGAGGCCAGGAGTTTGAGACCAGCCTGGTCAACACAGCAAGTCTGTCTCTCATAAAAATAATGTTTTAAAAATTAGCGCCGGGCGCGGTGGCTCAAGCCTGTAATCCCAGCACTTTGGGAGGCCGAGGCGGGTGGATCATGAGGTCAGGAGATTGAGACCATCCTGGCTAACAAGGTGAAACCCCGTCTCTACTAAAAATACAAAAAAAAAATTAGCCGGGCGCGGTGGCGGGCGCCTGTAGTCCCAGCTACTCGGGAGGCTGAGGCAGGAGAATGGCGTGAACCCGGGAAGCGGAGCTTGCAGTGAGCCGAGATTGCGCCACTGCAGTCCGCAGTCTGGCCTGGGCAACAGAGCGAGACTCCGTCTCAAAAAAATAAAATAAAATAAAATAAAATAAAAAAATAAAAAAATTAGCTGGGCATATGGTGGTGCACCTGTAGTCACAACTACTTGGGAGGGTGAGGCAGAAGAATGGCTTGAGTCCAGGAGTTCGAAGCTGCAGCAAGCTATGGTCACACAACTGCACTCCAGCCGGGGTGACAGAGGGAGACCATGACTCAAATTTTTTTAAAAATAAAAATGTATGTTTAAAATAGTAACAAGTAATGCAGTGTGCATTAAGGCATATGACATATTGGAATAAAAGAAAATGTATGTAATGAATCTAAAGAACGTTAATCTGTCAGATACGAGAAAGTCTAATCTATTTTCTGTAACATTCATTAAATGGCACTTATATCACATTTCACCTGTCATAATAAAGCCTAATCTTCTAGGGTAATTAAGTATTTAAATCCTTAAAAACAATTGCTATTTTAGAATTTCCTTATATAACTCAGCGAGAGAGATGCTGTATTTTTCTCGGTTCTTTCTAAACATTGGCATATGACTAATTAAATTACTGAACACACTGCCTGTTTTTTGTGTGTGTGTTAAAAATATTGTACCAGGAAAGACAAGAACAAAGGAGAAAAGCATGTCAATAAAGAAGAATAAAGACTGTGTATTTTCTATAGTGGCAATATTTTATATTATGTGAAATCCATGGAAACTAATACTTTTGAACAGTGGAGTAATCAATGCTGGAATTCACTAAAAGCACAAATATTTAAAAATTTCCAAATGGAATTAGACTGAAGCCTATCATACCTGTTTAATTATTGCTTGTATCTTCATTTACGTCTTTCTTTTCAATGTGGTGAATAAAATATATAACAAGTGATGTCAAGCTCTGAGTTTCCAGAACCATGAGACTCCTCATGTATCAGTGGACTTTCACAACCATGAAGAGAGGTGGAGGGTAGGGGGAGAGAACTTAATTTATAACAGGATTCCTATCAGGGAATAGTTATTAGATCATATAAATGCTGTTAAGAAGAGTTAGGCTATATCAGTGATACAGAAAGAAAGAATTACAGGAGATGATAGAGGATGAATAGAAGCCTAGATAGGGCTTTTTGGATATATTGTGCCAGGAGGGCAGTAAAATAGATTTATTCTCAATTACATAACTTTTTATAACATTCTATCATCACCTAACTTCTGGAAGAAACTGTGGAAACAGCTCAGCGCTTGCCTGGGTCAATATTAAAGTTTGATGCACAGATTTAACCATGGAAGGGAAGTTCTAAATGTCCTCGATGCTATCATTTATTAGCTACTTTTTTGCGGTCTTGTTGTTTCTTGCAGGTAAGGTAAGAATCTGCCCACTTGTTCTAGCTTATCTTGGTCACTGGTTCCGCTTCAGTATCTTCAATGTATGTTCTAAATGTGTAAGCACAAATTGAGTGCTATCCAACTACATATGTCAACGGATGAACTCCATTACATCACTACCTCTGTTATAAAATAAATGTATTTTAAATTTGGGTCCCCCATACTGGAGGACCTGCCTGCCTGGGATATCTAAATCTAGGTGTCAAGATCTGGTCTATTTGACTCTAGGGGTGAAATTATAACAGTTAATTCAGGCATGAGAAGTCAATTCTACTTACTTGTCAGTTTGTATTATCCAATTAGAAAACTCATAGGGGAATAAAGTTTTGACTTTTTAATATGACAAGTTTAATGTGATTGCAAAAAATCCTGAACATGGACAATTGACTGCCAATTTACCAACCAGGGTAGGAGGATTTAGAAAAAAAAAAAAAATCTGACAGTCGTACAGTTGTACTACCAACAGTTTCCAAAATGAGTATGACATGATACTTTGTTTTCTTCATTAATTTAGGAGAATGTTTCCCAGTCTCAACCCCTTTAATCTTTATTTTTTTATTTTTATTTTATTTTTTTTGAGACGGAGTCTTGCTCTGTTTACCCAGGCTGGAGTGCAGTGGCGTGATCTTGGCTCACTGCAAACTCTGCCTCCCAGGTTCACGCCATTCTCCTACCTCAGCCTCCTGAGTAGCTGGGATTACAGGCGCCCGCCACCATGCCCAGCTAATTTTTTTTGTATTTTTAGTAGAGATGGGGTTTCACTGTGTTAGCCAGGATGGTCTCGATCTCCTGACCTCGTGATCTGCCAGCCTCGGCCTCCCAAAGTGCTGGGATTACAGGTGTGAGCCACCGTGCCAGGCCAACCCCTTTATTCTTTAGATAGCTCTAGGACAATAGTGAAATAATCAAAATGTTCATTAAATCTATTTTATTCTGTTTCAATATTTGTAATTACACTATGTAATCTTTTTTAAGTTATAGTTTTCCTTTGCCATGCAAATTTGTACCAATCTATTATGACTGTTGGAGAAGTCAAAGGTAGAGTTTCATAAAATGGCCAGCAATTATCCATTAGTTTCTATAACTTGCTCCAAAATACCTTCCCCCAAATTTGAACTTGTACATTTACCATGAAAATGAAGCTGGGGACAAGTGTATGACTTCCACAGTCTTTAGCTTTAACCTGTTTCCTCATACTGGTCTAAGTCTGACAACAGAAAATATCACAAGATAAAGACAGCTGACTGCTTTGTTCTTTCAACAAATATTTTTCAAGATCCTACACCTGGCAGGTTCTCTGTCGGTGTCAGGGATAAGTCTGAACAACGTAGGCCATGTTGCTGAGGAGCACGTAGCTACAAGAGGGAGGAGCAGATGGAAAGATTCTTTTGTCTTCAGTGAGCTACAGAAAATATATTTAAACGTACTCAGAAAAGTTCAGGGTACTGAGTCATATAATGATGAGTAGTGTAAGTACCATAGTATGTATTGTTATTATAGATGTAGATGATTCTCAAAAAGGTATGGCAGTTTAAATGTTTATAGGAATTATAATCTGATCTAAAAATGTCTTGGAACATCCACATTTTAAAACTCTTTCCACCAGATGAAAAAGTCATTTGTTAAGAAAAACTGACTACTCTGCCTGAAAAGCACTTCTCACATTGTCCAGTGTCCATGTAGCAATGTCTTTATCCTTATTTTTTCCATTAAATCTTACCTTATTTTTTTATACACAGGACTAACAAAATGATTGAAAATTATAAACGGACATAAATGACAATGTGATTCTGAAAACCATTTTCCCCCTTCTATGTTTTAAAATCATTTCTTCAAAGAAGAAACTGTGGCTCTTTTAGGTTCTGAGATTTTTCCAACCTATTTTCTATACGTGTTTTCTCTTTTGAAACACTTGTGTTAGGAAAATCATCTATCTGAGCAGTTTTGGAGCAGCCCTGTGCAATGAGCAAAAATAGAATGAGCCCGGTCTTTCAATGTATGACCCATATTTCTAGCCAGAGCTCTACTTCAGTGGAAAAACTAGTATTTCACTCTCTCAAATGATTTATTTTGAAAAAGGGATTGTTTTTGACGGGTAAAGCTGATCCCAGAATGCAAATGTACTAACATATTTAACCATCACTTTTTCTTTTTTTCTGAACGAACTCTTGACACTAATGTAAGTGCACACAGCTTCTTGAGAAAGTCTTCCCACCACCCTCACGGTTAAGCCTATTGCCTCCCTCTCTACAGTCCCTTCCTATATGGGAACATTACCTCTTAGGATCCAGGAAATAATTTAGTGTTCAGTACAGGTTTTCTAGCTGACTGAAGATATGTGGATTTATTTTTGATTAACAGTCTGAGTATCAAAAACATGTTACTTATAGAGCTCTATAAAGAGACTGTAAAAAGGCACACACTACACGTTAGAAACCATTAAATTAAGAGGTTAAATATTGATGCTGCATGCTGAAAGAGAAATAAATGAAAACTTTTATTAGGATAGTGTGAAAAATAATTACAACAGCCACATGTCTCAGATGTCTTAAGACAGTCCTAATTCCAAATATTATTTTTTAAAATTATGTGCCCTGACTTTTTTTTTTTTTTTTTGAGAACACTGTCACTATGGGATGAGCACACTTTGGGAATTAAGGTGTTACAGTAGTTTATAGGACAAAAGCAATGACTGTGAGATGACAAAAACACCATCAAAAATTTAACTTCCTCTTCTTGGTCCCTGCACTCTCATCACGAGTCTTGATTTTCTAAGAGACCCTAATGTTATTGCCTAACACCTTTAGGGGTATTAGTTTAATTTCTGCTTCTTAAGTTTTGATACTTCTCATTCCTGAAGCCATGACCTAGATCCTACCACTATAATCAATCTCTTCTCTTAGCTTCTCTGTACCTCTTTAACTGAGACCTGGTTATTGCCTAAGGAACCGCATGCCCTGCAGCCATCTCACGCTATGAATCTTCATTTTCTTTTGCACTATCTATCTCAGGGTCGTCATTACTCTCTATGTCCTCTTTCCCAGTATTATTCAAAATTAATGTCTTTTAAAAATGCCCATTTTCTTTTCATAGTTCCATTACTGCAAGTGGAAAAATGTGCTGCCTGGTAAGTAAGTTTTCTCTCTGGAGGAGAGCAGAATTTAGGAGGAGTAAAGTACAATGAAAACAGTCTATGTTACTAAAGAGCTATTGTAGAGGGAGTAAATGAGCTAGGAATGGGTTGTGATCAGAAAGGAGTTCTTCATAATTCAGGAATGAAAAACCGAATCCCGTACATCGTCATTTATAAGTGGGAGGTGAGCTATGGGCACACAAAGGCATACAGAGTGGTATAATGGACACTGGAGACTCAGAAGGGGTTAGGGGATAAGGGATAAAATACTACAGACTGGGTACAATGTACACTCCCTTGGGTGACAGGTGCAATAAAACTTCAGATTTCACCAGTATACAATTCATCCACGTGACCAAAACCACCTGTACCCCAAAAGCTACTGGAAAAAAAAAACAACAACAGAATTCTTCAATGTCTTCAATGAATGACTTTGGAGGTAGGGGAGTTTTAGATAACAGAAAGTTCATATAAAGTGAGAGTGGCCACTGGAGATGAGGGGCCCAAAATGTTAGATGAGTCTGGCACAGGTTGTGGTGTTACCTTAGATAATATGAAGGAGAAAAGATAAGAATAAATGTGGATATGGGAAGATTTATAGATATGAAGGCAGGAATTTGAAGACATTTCTACGTTATGGCTCCTGTTTATTTTTTTTCAAGTAGAAGTCATCTAAGAGAAAAGGGAAACATGGAGAGTTTGGAGGTATGAAAAGAGGATTTGAAATAATAATTGAAAACAATGTTCTAGTGTTTGATCGGGGAACAGTAAGAATGAATGGAATGGCCAGGGCACTATTGAGATTAGTTATTTTTATGTTCTCATAAGTTCATCTGACTCCCTCCGTGGAGTCAGCAGTTCTGTACTTTAGAGTAATATGAGAATCACCTGGAACACTTACGAAACACAGATTGCTGAGCTCCACTATCCGGGAGTGTCTGATTGAGGAAGTCAGAGTGAGCTCTGAGAATCTGCATTTCTAACAAGTCCCCAGGTGATGCCGCTGCTGCGGGTTCTGGGACCACACTTTGAGAGCCGCTCTTTCTCCCTTCTAATGATTCCAACTCCCAAACCCCTGAATTTGGTGAGTTTGGTGCATTTCACTTAAAAAAACAAAAAAACCAAAATACATCCTTATAGTCATCTTGATTGAATTTACCGATTCATTATATCACTTTTCTGCTTCTCTAAATTCCTCTAAGACTTTTTCAATAAACTTAACCATACAGTATTATTAACAGTATACTTAATAAACTCACAATATACTCAACCACCTAGCATTACTCACAATGTATTCCATCATTATCTTATTTTCTAGGTAGGCATTTCCTCCATGTTTCATACAATTTCCACCCACTTCCATCCTTCACTATTTTTTTTTTTTTTTGAGATGGAGTCTCGCTCTGTTGCCCAGACTGTAGTGTAGTGGTGTGATCTCAGCTCACTGCAATCTCCACCTTCCAGGTTCAAGCAATTCTCACACCTCAGCCTCTAGAGTAGCTGGAATTACAGGTGTGAGCCACTGCCCCTGGCCCATCCTTCACTATTTTTTTTGTTTTTTATTTCTTTGAGACAAAGTCTCACTCTGTCTCCCAGGCTGGAGTGCAGTGGCATGATCTCGGCTTACTGCGACCTCCGCCTCTTGGGTTCAAGCGATTCTTCTGCCTCAGCCTCCCAAGTAGCTGGGATTATAGGAGTGTACCACCATGTCTGGCTAATTTTTGTATTTTTAGTAGAGACGGTGTTTCACCATGTTGGTCAGGCTGGTCTCAAACTTCTGACCTTGTGATTCACCCACCTCGGCCTCCCAAAGTGCTGGGATTACAGGCGTGAGTCACCACGCCCAGACCTTCACTGTTCTTATAAAATGAATGTTCTTTACACCTCTTTACAGTAATATAAACATTACCCATGGTTAAAGAACTTGTCCTTTATAAAAGGTTCCTGAGTTCTGGTCCAAACTGCTTATCCTTTTACTAAACTACTACTGCACCAAGAATCTTCACCACCTAACTTTGCTTTTTAATAACTTTTAATAATTCTCATGCATCTATGTGAATCAATAATAAGCTATCTAATGAAAGGAATAATGACTTTATACAGGTTACTATCGATTATATAATTCTATATATTTCTACATAGAAATCACAAATATGATCCTCTTTGGAATGCAAAATAAATTTTTTAAAGGTCTCAAATGCATCTCAATTCCAATGCATAAAAACTTTCTTGGTGAATAGGCCATGCTATCTGCTTGTTTGTGTCATCATGTATTTTGAGGTTTTTTTTTTTTTTTTTTTTTTTTTTGTAAAACAGAAAAATAAAAACTAGTGGCCTTTGCTTCATAAGAATACAAGGAAATGATTTTTCCTATCTGGTTAACCTGCACTGAGAGCATAAAATAATGTCAGGGTGAGTAGAAATTTTTTATCTATACAATTTAATTTTCATATCCAGACTAAAGTCAAGATCAGAGTCGCTTCCTACCTTAGTGCTGTGATTTATCTTCTGTTATATTACCCAAAATATAATAAGCTTTATATTATAATCATTCCCTTTACATACCCATATGCTTCACTATTACAGATATCAGGTTTATAAGACTCCTGAAATATCCTGCCCAGAAAAATATTCCTCCATTTGAACTCTAAACTAAATACACATTTTATTAGCTTCCAGCAAAAGACTATTTAGCCAACAACTGCAAAATATGAGGGAGACAAAAAATGGGAATCAAACTCATGTTTCTATCTTTTATATCTGCCAAATACAATTAAGGTTTGTCCTGTGGCTTACTGAGGGGAACAATAAAATATCCCTTTTGTTGTATGTTTAGGGACGTAGTTTAAAATAGACTAATATGAGCAACAGAAAAATTCCTATGTGTTTTCCTCCTTTTTTCAAAACACTGGGCTGCCAGAAAAATAATCCGTGTTTTGGGCCCAAGCCATGATGCAGCTCTTCAAAGTTCTCCAGGTTCTCAGCCACGTAGCACTTACTACACTCATGGAGCATGGCTTAGTCTTTGTGTAATTCTAAACCTCCAGAGAATTATAAATAAGTTGTCTTTTGAGGTCAGCAAAGGAAAGATAGATTAATCAGAAATTTTGCAGAGACAATATTTTTACAAAGACTGCCCTACATATCAAGTCTGATACATTATAGGGCCAACATTTTATTTAAAAAACCAGCGTGCTTCCTTTTTTCTCCCAAGTAAGGAAATAAATCAAGAGAATAGCCAATATTAATCAAATGGGGAGCAATTGATAAGAATGAGAAAAGTAAGCTCTTTATACACAGAAGTTGCCATTGTTCGTTTCTCCTTTCTGATTTATTTGATTACATTTTATCAACAAAGCTATATACCTTTGAAAAACAATAGAAACTTCCAGAAAAAGTTTGCATCTCACATGCCATTACTGCCATTTCCATGTTATCTTACCAGAATCACATTAGGTGAGATTAGTTTAGGCTTTACTAAAGAGTCTGGCAAGACTTTTAAAGAAGTCAGTTGTAATGCTACTGAAAAATGGTAAGACCATCATACGAAACAAGTGACCACATACCAACTGCTGTCATGTAGTCCCAGCGGTCAATGAGGCACATATTGAAGATGAGGTGATCGGATGTTTTCCCCTGGCCAATAAGTGAAATCTGTTTCTCCAAATTCTGGCACACAGATGAAGTCCAGCCAATGAGAAACCAAAACACTACCAAGAGTATTACTGCCAGCATCCTCATGACCCGTCCGCCAGTCATATATGGAATTCGTTGAGCCGTTCGTGAAAGAAACACCTTCAAAACCCTAGAAAAGCAAAAGTTCAAATGTGAAAGCAAACCTAACATTCAGAAAGTATAACTCTAAAATAACTTATTTTTCTAGGTAAAATGTAAACCCACCAAAATCCAGCTAATCAGAGTTTGCTTTGTTTTGTATTTGTTTTTGTTGTAGAGACAGGGTCTCGCTATGTTGCCCATGCTGGAGTGCAGTGGCTATTCACAAGCACAATCATAGTGTACTGCATCCTTGAACTCCTGGCTCAAGCATTCCTCTCGCCTCAGCCTTCCAAGTAGCTGAGACTCCAGGCACGTGCCACTGTGCCTGGCTTATGCAGAGTTTTAACATGAGAAAATTCAGAAACAGTATTGCTCATATTTTTATTTAATTTTATCTTAGTTTATCTTCCAGTAGTAAAACACATATCTTACATTAGAGTCCATTGAGTCAATAGGTTCATATACAATGGGATGTCTTTGAGCGTGTCTTAATATTTCAAGGAAAATTCTCAGGACTTTAGAAAGATCCGTAGGCAAACATTGCTCAAACAAGGTTTCTGGGGGATCAAAAAATAGTCCTGAAAGTAAGTGGTTGTATTTTACAATATTATACTAACTCAAATAACTTCCTTGAACCAGTTGTTTTTATAGTAGAATGTTATTAAAGATATTTTCTGAAAATCATTTCATATTACCTACTTTCATGGTCATTTTATCATATTACCAAAAATAATATGAAGTAATAATAAAAATGAAAGAAATATTTAAACATTTGGTAGACTAAGGCCATTGCATTAAGGAAGAAAATTGGGATGACCTATAGGAAATGTGATTTTTAAAAACTAAGAGTTTTTTCTGTATATATCTCAGATGAATAGCCAGAGTTGAGAACTACTAGATTAGATGATATCTAAGCACTGTTCTATCTCTAAATATTTTCTGAAGACAAAATGCACCCTTACTATAGGAATTCTCTACCCATTCTTCAATTTCATTTCTAGAATATTCTCGGCTGATTTTAACTCCCTATCCCATTCTGATATTTGATGTCACAAAATTATGATTTGACATAAGCCACCATGAGTGGTTTATGATACTGTGAGAGTATCTGTAATCAATTTCCATAAAGCATAAAAATAAACACATTTTCTCAATGTTCTATTCTCTCCTTCACTTCATTCTTTGAATAATTTTAAGTCATATGAATTTTTTATAAAGATTATTCTAAATCCAGAAATGAAGCCAATACACCTGAAATAGCCTAGATGTACTATGCTATATTTTTCCTCCATATATAGACCTTTGGCAATTCTCCCTGAATTAACACAACACATCCATTAAATTAACCCCACTGTCCTTCAGGACAGAGGGAAAAGTTATTTAATTATTAACAAAATACTTCTCAATTTTTCTGTGGAACGTCAGAAATATAGTAACAGATACAAGTAAAACAGAAGATCTCTTAACCACGCTCCATCTCATCAGTTCCCCAGATTAACAGTTACTCTCCATTCTGTATATGCAATATATTAAGTGCCATCCATGTCATAGTGAACGCTAACACTGGCGAACGCTAACACTGGCAGGTAATATCTTCACTATGCCTAATCACTTCTGCTCCAACCAGTTTAATTACTATTTGTTATGAATCAGGTGTATTTGTTCCCAAATTATGCCCACTGTTATAACTAAATATTAAATAAAATAATTATACATGATTATGAAACAAAAGGAGACTACTCTATTTTATTTTTTTTAAGATGGAGTCTCACTTTGTCACCCAGGCTGGAATGCAGTGGCGTGATCTCAGCTAACTGCAACCTCCACCTCCTGGGTTCAAGCGATTATTCTCCTGCCTCAGCCTCCCAAGTAGGTGGGACTACAGGCATGTGCCACCATGCCTGGCTAATTTTTATATTTTTTTAGTAGAAACGGGGTTTCACCATGTTGGCCAGGCTGGTCTTGAACTCCTGACCTCAGGTGATCTGCCCGCCTCGGCCTCCCAAAGTGCTGGGATTATTACAGGCGAGAGCCACCGTGCCCACGCAAGGAGACTTATTTCTATGAAACCTCTCTTGAATGCTTTGGAAAGATAAAACATTAAAATAAAAAGCTAACTTAGTGGAAGTGAAGAAATTTTAAAATAGAGAGTGGTCAATAAACAAAAACCTAGAAAAATTCGACACTCAGATTACTTCAAAAACATTTAACACAATGCAGTAGATAATACATTTTGGTGATTTATGCTATAGAGAGAACAATGAACTCTAACTATCAAACCCATAGTCAAAAAGAGGCCTTATTTCAAAAAGACTGGTGAGTAATTATTTGTGTTTTAAATTACAGTATCTATATACTTTTTAAATGCTTTTCTACTTTAAAAAACTTCAACAAATTGACCAAATATAATATGAAGTCCAGTTATATTGGATAAGAAGGTTTCCATTGTAATTAGCAGATTAAAAGATTCAAGAATTCTACCTTAGAAATAAGAGAAATTTCTTGGAAAATTAATATTTTTGCCAGTTCCAATCTTATTTTCTGTAGCAGAAAGTTGTAATCATAATGTACACATATTTGTTTCTGGTTGAACCTGGATGAATTCTAAATTTTGAATGACTACATTCTCCAGAGAGAACCTGACCCACTTTTCTTCCATAGTTTGGCAAGGGCAGAAAAACATAAAATGGTTCCAAATTCTAGCTTTACTCTTAATGTAAACATTTTAAATATAACGAACAAACATTTATATAGTGACAGCCATATGTTAGGCATCATGCTAGGCAATGTGGAAGGTATAAGATATAATTTTTTTCTCTAGAAACTTACAATTTAACTAGAAGTAAGTTTGCAAATAGCTACCATATGCAGTAGCTAACATTATATATTGTATGTGGCTAGCAAATCTACTAACCCAATAGAACAGGTAGTATTTGATCTGGGCTTTGGGGGATATCAATAGGTAGAAATGAAGGAAAGTGGAAAAGATATAAGGGGATATTCTAATTGATGGGAATCAAAAGCAGGGAAATGCAAGGTGTCTTTAGGTAGGGACAGTAGGGGGAACTGGTTGGCAGGAAGCAAAGTTTGGTTCTCAATACCCAGCAACTCCTAGGGAGTTTTCAAGTTAAGGCAAGGAGTTTTCATCAGGTTGAGAAACAGTGCTTCAGAGAAAAAATAGTTATGAACTATATATTCTTTCCATGGTTAAAATGTGATAAATATTTTTTTTGATACTTGAGTTTCACAATTCCCATTGAAACTTTAAATCTCATAGAGAGCTAATAGTGGATTTGTTAACTGTCTCCTTTAAAATACTTCTTAACCAGTTAAGTTTTTTCTTTTGCAAAGGAAATCTACGATTCCAGTTACAGTAACCTTTTACTCAAGAAATCCCATTTCCAAATTATCAAAAATGTTCATGTTTTCTAGATGGCCCTTTGGGTATTTATTGTATAGCTTGAGAATTCAAGATTGTCAGATCCCTATAATCTCATTTCAAGAGAGCAAAACCAAAGCAAAATCCCTCATGAGTCTTCCATTATTGATTTTACTGGCTTTCAAATAATAGAAAACATAATAAACACAACTCTACACTTCAATCTAAGCATTTCAGGATATTGGTTTTTGTAAAATGGAATAAGATGTATTTTTCTAGGATTGTCTTAAAAGAAGCCTAGAGGTCAGACTATAAAAAAGAATATGTAGACATGCATTTGTATGAAATACAACTGTAGAAAAAAATTCAAATCATTGGACTTCCTATATGGATGACTTTTCCACTATTTTTTCATAGATAAGTCTTCAGGAGACCATGAGTTCAGAATGTTTCACTATTTCTGAAGGAAAGCCCAACATATATGGGAAGACTGCAAGAAACTTCCAAAATTTCATATGAAAAGGCATATATAAAGTGTACATTCAATTTTCATTAATAGCAGATAAATTCATGGAAATCATTCTGAAATGACAAAGAAAAAGGACAACCCAGAAATTGTCATTATATTCATCTGCCTCTGTTTTCTAATTTTCTGTACATTTCTGGTTCAAGCTATATAGCTCACCATAAGAACTTGTACTTGGGTTATCCATGACCTTCCTCCAAGAGCTAATTGATATTGTTCACTTCTTATTTTACATGGTCTCTCCCCAGCTTTTGGTGTGGCTGGAACCTTCAGCTTCCATGATGTCACATTCTCTTGGTTTTCTTCCTAGTTCTCTCTTCCTACTTCCTTCCTACTTCTCTCTTCCTACTTTCTTCCTACTTCTTGGCTAGCTCCTTTTCAGTCTCTATTGCAGACTTCTCTACCTCAGTCTGTCCCTTGAATGGCAGTGTTTACAAGGATCTCCTAAATGTGGCCATGTTATATTATCACTACATATTGCACCCAAGAAACTCCAACGGCTCCCCATCTCAGTTATCTATATGCCAGCAAGTCCCACCTCTATATCTCCAGTTCAGATCACTCTCCTGAGTTCAGTCCCTGTATACTCAGTGTCTTACTGGACATCAGCAGGGCCTGAAACAAAATCACCCCCTCTCCATTCCTTCCTTCTCCAACCCACTTTGCTGTTCTCCAACCTACCTTTGCTGTTGTGTTACAGCCCTATCTAACTGTACAAAGCAGAAGCTTAGGAATAAACTTTGATTTTTCTCCCTTATCCACATTCCAGCAATCAAATGAATCATTAAGAATTTAATGTCTACCTCTTAAATATCTTTCAAATTCTTCTATTTTTCTCCATCCTCACTGCCACTATACAGCTCCTGGCCACCAACTCATTCCTATAGTAGCTTCCTAGCTAGTCACCTTACTGGTCTTGCCCACCTTCAATCCACACCCTACGATGGACAACATGGTCTTTCACTATTGTGCATCTGATCGTATTGCTTCCCTGTTTACAATCACTGGCTCTCCACCAAAATTTAGTATGGTAAAACACTTCTAATAATTGGTTCCTCCTCACCTCTGCAGGTGCATCTCTCTGCACTCTCTACATCCTATAGTTCTGCAGGTCCCTCTGGATGACATGCAGTTATCCTCTATCTAAGCCTTTGCCCTCAGCTTTCCTCACCATCCCTCCTCCCACCTATACAAACACAGTGTTTTGCTAAATCCTACATCTCCTTCATGTCTCCGTTTAGATGTTACTTGCCATCGACACCAGCACTTACCAAACAAGTAGCATCAATTTTACCCAGAAACTTGTTATGAATGAGAACTCTTAGATCCCACCCAGACCTACTGACTCTGAAACTCTGGAGGGATGGTCCAACAATCTATTTTAACAAACTTTTCAGGTAATTTTGATGAAGGGTAAAGTTTGAGAACCGCTGCTCTAAACAGTTTTTCCTAGCAGATCTAAGATTGGTGCAGGTGCCTTTCCAATAGGCTGACCGCTTTAGCCTGCCAGGTAGATTTTTCCGTTTTTATTATGCCGATGACAGAATGCAAGGCTTCTAATAATAGCTTTCCATTTTCAGAACATTTGCATTTGTATGTGATTTTGCAGTATCTCTTCTATTTATAAAAAAAGGAATGAAAATATATATCCTCAAGCCATCCAGTCTTCTGTCCTATTACCTTAATTGGAATAATCCTAATGTCCTGAGCTTCTTCTTTAGAGTCTAATTTCTATTAATCTTACCATGTTCGTAGAAATTCCAGAGAATAAATGTTTGTGATAAAAGGTATGAGGTGACACTTCTCGTAAGAGTAAAGCCAATCAATTATTGACAAAAGAGTCCTGAGAGCTAACAATTCAAAAAGTGCTGGAGGTTTCTGTCATTCTGCTATTAATGGTGACAAATCCCATGTTCATTAAACTTTTCATCAATTTCTCAAAGTTTCATTTTCAGAAGTAAAGTAAAGTTACTTCTTGGTCAGTGGATGAATTTTAGATAAACACCTAAAAAGACTGGCATCACTGGCATAGAAATAGGTTTTAGACACTTATCAGACATGAAGTTCTACAAGTTTATTGTGAGTATATTAAGTTATTGCTATTTCAAGAAAGAAAATTCACAACTGGGTTCTAAATATATTGACTAATTTTTGTCAGTTTCTGTGAGCTGCATGAGTTCTCATATCTCACATTGTTTTTCCTTTTTTCTCACCTTCCTTTTTTCTCTAATTGAAGGTAGACGGAATAAGGAAGAATAATGAAAAAAGGAAGGAAGGAAAGAAGGGCTGCAAGACTATTAAAGTAGAATCTTAGATGGTTATGAGAGGAGGGGCCAGCTGGGCTTCCTGGGTTGAGTAGGGGCTCAGAAAGCTGTGAAACTCACTCATTTCCTGCATCAGGACTTACTTCGGTCCGGGATGAATAATATTGAAGATATATGCTTAAAATATTCCTAACACCAGGATCTGTGTATGTGGTTTTCTTCCCCAAGAAAGCTATAAACAGAGAAAATTTTGCTGTAAGCTTCCCTGTGTCCTCTCTCCCTTACCTTCCCCCAAAACTAAAAGGAATGTTAACTGCCCATTTTTCTGTGACCAGCAGAACTTATCTATGCTCCCAATTCCAATTCCTTGTAAACATACTTTATAAAGTCCTGTAAGATCCTGTCTCCTTTGCCATGCCACTGCAGGGTTATAAAGTAGATAAAACCTAAGTTGCAATTCCGGTTTTCCTCAAAATCTAAGACATGTCACAAAATAATTTACTGCCTTTGTTTCTCGCTCTAGTAACATCTTCCCGCCACACATATTTCTGGCCTTAAGGAGTTTAAAAGGCAATTGTATAATCTAACTCTGGCTACCCATTCGAGACCCCTTCCACACTGTGGAAGCTTTGTACTTTCACTTGGCTCAATAAAGCCTACAGCTTTTTCTTGCCCTCGGTCCCCTGTCTCTATCACTCACCACGGTCAGCCGCCACACCAGTTCTTTGGCGTGGCTAGGCAAGAACCTTAAGCGTTAACAGTTAGAGCTGAAATGCCTCTCGGCATGATCTGTTCTAATCCCCCTAATGTGTAAAAGACAATTCTGAGGCCCAGTGAGGGGAGTCATTTATCTAAAGCAAAACAGTCAGTAGCAAAATCATCTCAAAACTCCTATCTTCTTACTCTCATGTGAGTACTTTTTTCAGTTACAGTATTTTACTAAAATAGAACTATCTAGCAGCTGGTTCAGGGCCATATCATCTTTTAAAAGCACAACAGGAATCTGCCTTTCAAACATGCCACAATCCCTCTACTTTCCTATATGCTCTTTTCTCTCTAATCTGGATGCTCGTACCTTTGAATGCCATGCCGTCTGTCTAAACTGATTCAAATCCCATTTATCCTTGTACATTCATCTCAGGAACCTCATCCAATTTACATCTTTGTCTGATAGTCCCAGGCCACAAAATTTTCTCCAATTATCACTATTATTCAGTTGGTATTTCCTGTACCCTTATAAATCTTCCTGAAGTTGGGAGATGTTTATTTTCTAAGCCCCTACAGAATCTAGCACATGAAGGCAAGAAGATTTAATTGACCAATTAGTTAAACATGTCCTTCTGACGGTTATGACCAACAAGAAAAAGTTTTATGGTTGATACAGCATCCCAGAAACTCGAAGAAGCAGGGTAAAATGGAATTTGGAAGAATTTTGATAACAATATAGGATGTGAGAGTAAACATTAGCTCCTGTTATGTGTCAGTATTTTCCTAAATCAGAGGTTCAGTGCTGAAAATGGCAGTTATCTACCTGTTTTCATGTTCATTATAACTCAGTAAATACAAATGAATAGGCAATTTAAATACAATCTCAAAAATGATGGAATAGGGAACTTCAAAAGTCTATCAGTCCATAAAAGCAATCAACACACTAGCAAGAACTGTTAGAGTCAACTTTTTTGGAATTCTAGAAACTACTTAGGAGCTTATAGAAATGAAGGGGATACTTAAGAGAGAAAAAACAAAAACAGCTGAATCTGAGTAAAAAAGCTATGCAGCATTTCAACTTTCTTTGATTCCGTCTCATGCTCCTGAGCTCAATGGCGGCCTTCAAGACATCTGCATGCTCAGGACACGTACCTAGTACTAGAGGAGCACAATGGACCTTATTTTCAAAGAACTGCTGTTTATTTTGGCCTGGTTGGTGGATCCCTGAAAGACTGACTCAAAGGGCTTGCTTTTGTTTTACCCAACTGCTAATTTTCCTAGGGCTGACAAAGCTAACGGGTGTCATTTATCTAAAAGTTTAAAGGCAAGTGGATTAGTCAATGCTACCCGGGACAATGAATAATGGTTAAGACAAACAATCGACTAAACAAAAAGATTGGGAAGAAAGAATGGGAAATGAGATGATCTGGGGAATAAGAGCATTGAAAAGTACCAATATATTTCTGGGAATCTAGAAGCCTGGAACATTCTCACAAAAGGCCTGAGAAGGGCCCAAAGCTCTCATCTCCTGCCGACCTCAGGCTCTGCACATGCAGGAAATAGAGGCTCATGTGTGTTGATGACATACCCAACACACAAACATGCAGTTCATCTGCAAAGAATTCAGATTTTAAAAAGTATTTTTTGGTCCAAGCTTTATGAAAATCTCTGTTGAATTACCAGCTGACTACTAACCCAACAGAAAAGAGACTTCAATGGCCACACAAAACAAAGAATACAGACTATAAAAGTCACTTAACAAACCAGCCTGGAAAGGATGGAGAATCTGATTTTTGGATTTACCATAATATAATATTCAAAATGTTCAGCCTCTAAAAAAAAAATGAGGCACGCAAAGAAACAAGATTATAGGGTCCATAAGCACGAAAAAAGAAAAGACACTAATAGAAACGATACCTGAAGACATCCAGACATTAACCTTATTAGATAAAGTTTATTAAAAATTTTTTTGCAACTTCTGATAAAATACAGATGCATAAAACAATAAGTATAAATCTGTGTTAATGAGTTCATAATGCTTAAAGATATAATTTGCAACAATAAAAACATAAAAGAGGAGCATAAAAGTTAATAGGAGCAAAGTTTTTGTATACGTCTGAAACAAAGTTGGTATTAATTTGAACTAAACTGTTATAAATTTAGGGCATTAACTGTAATCTCCAGGGCAACAACTCAGAAAATAACCAAACCGTGTAGTAAAATAAACAAGAAGGGAATCAAAATGATATATTAGAAACTATCGATTTACCAAGCAGGCAGTAATGGTGGAACTGAGAAACAAAATGGATGTAAAATATATAAAAACAAATCACAAAATGGAACAAGTCCTTCCTTATGAGTAATTATATTAAATGGAAACTAAAAGGTAGAAATGGTAGAAGAGATTTTTTAAAAGATGATCCAACTATATGTTTTCTATAAGAGAGTTACCGTAGATCTAATGAAATAATAGTTTGTAAATAAAAAGGTAGCAAATGATATTCTATGTAAATAATAACCAAAATGGAACAAGTCCTTCCTTAAGAGTAATAACATTAAATGTAAACTAAAAGGTAGAAATGGTAGAAGAGATTTTTAAAAAGATGATCCAACTATATGTTTTCTATAAGAGTTACCTTAGATCTAATGAAATAATAGGTTGTAAATAAAAAGGCAGCAAATGATATTTTACGTAAATAATAACCAAAGTAGCTATATTAATATCAGATAAGATATACTATAAGGTAACATTTGTTGGAGACAAAAAATGACATTATATAATTATAAAAGGGTCAATCCCTCAAGAAGATGAACAGTTATGAACATATCTGTACTAAACATCAGATCCCCATAATATATGAAGCAAACAGGAACAGAACTGATGAGAGAAAAAGATAGTTCAATAATAATCTAAGTTGGAGACTTCAAGGTCCTGCTCTCAGTAATGGATTGGATATCTGCACATACAAACAATAAGGAGACAAAGGACTCGAACAGCATCATAAGCCAACTAGACCTTACAGACAAACACGGGGTATTCATCTCCACAGCAGCAGAGTACACGTTCTTGTCAAGTGCACGTGGAACATTCCCCAGGACAGACCATATGTTAGACCACAAAACCAGTCTCAATAAATTTCAGAAAATTGAAATCATACAAAGTATCTTCTCTGACCACAGTGAACTGAATTAGAAATCAATAACAGAAGGAACACTGGGAAATTCACAGATAAGTAAACATTAAACAAAATACTCTTAACGAATGGGTTAAGGAAGTACCAAAGAGAAAACAGAAGATAAGCTGACATAAATGGAAATAAAAACATATCAGAATTTATGGATTGCAGTAAATGCAGTGATTGAGGTAAATTTATAACTGCAAATGTTTATATGAAAAAAGTCAATAACCTTATCTTTTACTTTAAGGAACTAAAAATCGAAGAGAAAATTTAATCCAAAACAAGCTGAAGGGAGAAAATAATAAATATTAGAGTGAAAATAATTGAAATATAGAGTCGAAAAACAGCAGACACAATTAAAAACAATCTAAGTTGGTTCTTCCAGAAGATAAACAAAATTAACAAACCTTTAGTTAGACTGAGCAAGAAAAAAGACTCATTAGAGTCAGGAATGAAAGTGGGGATATTTCTACTGACTTTATGTAAATAAAAAGAATTATAAGAGAATACTATGAATGGTGAATTTTGTTATGTAAATTTTACCTCAATACAAAATATACAATGGTTCTCTTTCTTGCAAAAAAAAAAAAAAAAAATTCTTCTGCATCCTCCTGAACATTGCAGACCCAGTCTCTTATAGCCCCAGGGTATCTTCAGCCATCTGGTGGTTGTTCTCCTCCCATATGTGAGATTCAGCAGGCTTAAAACCTGGGTTCTGCACTAATTTCTTACCTGCGGTATGACTATTTTAAACTTATATGCACCCTTCCTTATTCATCAGAGTTCATTGTGTAATCGTAGATCTGTAAGAAAAGACTGAGGAAATGTGATAACATATCATGGTTGATTCCCTCAAATATAGGCCAACAATGCTGAATGAACTCAAATCAGACCTTAATATTAACTAAGCATAAACACCTGTTCCCTAAACCACTCCTTTGAAGCCTTTTCAGTTGTAATAATATTGCAAATAAAGGACATTTGATGGCCATTGGGTGTTTGTGCTCCAAAAATGTTTAGTTTTGAAAAGTTTGGCATAAAAGCTTACAGAGAAACAGATTTAAATATAGATACTATTGGTCCCTCCCCACTGCTTCCCCTACTCCCAGCTTACTACAGAAAGATATTTCAAACAATAAGCAGATGGTCAATTATTCTGAAGATCAAGAAGAAGCCAGATTATTCAGTTTGGGAATTACATGCTTGTTTATTTCCTTATATCCAGAGTAAATATGAATTCTAGGACCATGGTCTGCCAAGTACCTATTAGAATAAATTCTGTCCTTAAATCTCAATTATCTAGCACTGATTAATCAGCAGAAATAATTTTAAATTTTATTCCAGGATTATTTTTTTAAATGTAATGTTTTACTATTTAATATAACATTTTGGTATTCAAGAACATGAATTCAGATAGACTATAAAAACAAATTTATTACAGATGGTTGCATAATAGCATCATTACTTAAATGAGCAATTTTACTACAGTCTCAAAAGGGAAACATCACTAATTGCATCACAAAATTGCATGGTTTTGTAGATAGAAAATACCTAAAATGACACCATCTTAATGTTAATATTTAAATAATCTTGATCTGCTCTTACTCTTAATTCAAGATTTAGTTTTTGTGGTCTAAAAAAGCCTTTTCTCTTAAAAAAAAACACACATTAAGTATTTCCTAGAGATATCACAAGGGAAAGCTTTTTGAATCTGTTTTCTCTGTAATCAAGATTGTCCAGATTGAAATGTGGTAGAAATGACTAATAGCGAAAATGTTTCCATTTCCAAGGAAAGTTTCCATCTAATTTTATAAGACCTAATTGCTCTACTTTTGCAGCCTCTTTAGCATACTATTATAGATTAAGAATGGTATTAGACCACAGGGAACCACAAAAAGATGACAAAATTCTTTGTAAATATGAACTTCCCATTTAACTGGTGTGATCATTTACAAAAAGACAAATATTTAATTCTCAAAGCGTAGTTGCACATTAATATCTTTATGTACTTTAGGTGTTAGTCCAATATAAAAGAAGTTTTAAAAACAATATTTTAGGATGGGCGCAATGGCTCACACCTGTAATCCCAGCACTTTGGGAGGCCAAGGCAGGCGGATCACAAGGTCAGGAGATTGAGACCATCCTGGCTAACATGGTGAAACCCCGTCTCTACTAAAAATACAAAAAATTAGGTGGGCATGGTGGCGGGCACCTGTAGTCCCAGCTACTCAGGAGGCTGAGGCAGGAGAATGGTGTGAACCCGGGAGGCGGAGCTTGCAGTGAGCCGAGATCACGCCACTACACTCCAGCCTGGGTGACAGAGCGAGACTCCGTCTCAAAAAAATAAAAATAAAATGAAAAATAAAAATATTTTAAAAAATCCTACTTACCATTGCATTTACCTTAACCTTAACCCACAGTAAAATACACAAATACGTGATGCAACCACAAAAGTAATTTAGGAGGTTCACTGTGTGAGTACGTAACAGTTGCTGAGTTTGACTGCTCATATTTATAGCTGGTTAGATAGTATTATTAATATTGAAGTAGAATAACTTACAGTCACACTGTCAATGAAACTTTTGGAAACTAATTATAAAGTGCTATTGTGATTACTCTTTGGTGGTTGTGCTGTTTGTTTTCCCTTCGCACACCACTATATTAAAAACTCTTGACTTAAATTTCCTTGCAGGTCCCAAAGTGTCTTCCACACCACCTTACCTGTTACAGATCAGAAGAGTTACATATTGTGACAAAAGGCCTCATCTACTTTTTAGTGCAGACTGATTCCTCCATTAAAACTGTAATACATGGTCAAAGTATAAAACTATAAACAAATGTAAAGAAATTAAAACCATCTAAATAGCACTAGTTATAAACACTATTAGCTCTTGGATGGTTTTTACTCTCTAGTATTTTTTCTGTACATAAAATATTTTATAACATTAGGATTATAATATATCATTTATGTAATGCTTTTCTCATAATATGGCTTTCTGAGCATTCTCATAACATTCTATCTTTGTAAACAACATGATCTTTGATAGCACATACCATTTACTTAAATCATTATTTCTTTATTATAAGCCACACTCTAATGAATATTCTTGCAGGTAAATCTCTGTTCACACCTAATATTTTTTTCTTTAGATTTCAAAAAGTAAAATAACCCAGCTTTTAAAAAGCTCTTGATACACATTGCTACATATTTCAGATGAGCTGTATCAATTTACTCTCTCTCCAGCATAATATGAGAGTGTCTTACCCCACTGAATACTTACTATAAAGACAAAAATAGGCCAAAAGTAAAATAATGGAAAAAAATACCATGCTAACACCAATCAAAAGGAAACTGGAGTGGCTATATTAGCACCAGACAAAATAGATTTCAGAGCAGAGAATATGGCAAGGGATGATGAAGGTCATTTCATAATAATAAAAGGTTTGATTCATGAAAAGGACATAACAACTCTAAATGTTTATGCATCTCAGAATGAAACTTCAAAATACCTGAGGCAAAAACTGAAAGAACAGTGAAGAAAATAGACAAATCAGAAATTTCCAACCCCTCTCTCAATAACTGATGGAACAAATAGAGAGCTAATGAGTAGGGATATCGAAGATTTGAACAGCATTACCAAACAACTCCCAAATAGAAGAAAACACGTTCTTCTCAAGTGCCCATGGAACATTTACCAAGATAGACCATATTCTGGGCTTCAAACAAGTCTCAATAAATGTAAGCGGATTGAAGTCACACAAGGTACGTGCTCTCACGACAATGGAATGAAATTGTAAATCAATAACAAAAAGTTCATGGAAATCCCCCTAATATTTGGAAAATAAAAAATCACACTTCTAACTACCTTATGGGTCAAAGATAAATCAAGTTTGAAATTATTTTGAACTGAATGGAAATAAAAACACAACTCAGTTGTTTTGGACTGAGCATGTACAAATGCTGGGTGAGGGGCACCAGAGTAAGCGGCAGCCAGGTGGGCCTCTGGCACATCACAGAAATCATGGGTGCAGCCGTCCAAAAACAAGCCAAGACCCTGACTCTGGGCCCAGGCGACAGCAGGGAGGTGCAACAGCAGGCAGGTGATGCCAGTGAACAGCTTGCAGGAGCAGAGCCTCACCTTGACCTTTAAAGAAACCTGCCCCTCCCCGTTTTGCTGCCTGAAGTAATCTCATTTCACACTCATTCTCTTACCGACTTCACATAAAGAAAAGAAATATTTCCACTTGAGGGTATACAAGATTTGAACAGAGAGTTGCTAACGAAGAATATTAGGATAATAAAGTGTTTATCAGCTATAGTCTGCTAAGTACTAATTCTGCATTACCAGATGGGTTTTTATAAGTTTAAAGTTGGTTGGAACACACACTCACGTGCGCACGCACATATAACAAGTTGAAACCAAAACAACTCAGGCAACAAAAAATCTTGGGTTTCAGATATGGCACATAGCTCTTAAACTACATATTTTAACCAAGCCTCTTTTCAGAAATCTAGACATAAAATAGTAATGCTGTAATTAGAAATTAGAACATGTATATAAATATTTTTTAAAAAGAGAAGCTCCAGATTGAAAAGCTTTGAACGTAGATGTTAAATAAAGTGTATTTCAAAGTCATGTGTCATACAACAAAGCAAGTAGGACATCTGCAGATGGGACAAAATAAGTAAAGCTTTAAGTCTCCTTAGTTCTGAGTGAACTACATTCTGATTTTATTCATATCCAATAGTTAATGTGTTCTGAAAGGAAGGACCATTAAAATGATTTTGCTTTTATTTCTATTTTTATTCAAAAGGTACTCATTGATGTTACAGATTTTATATGAATACAGACCTCTAGTTAATAAAACATGTCTTGTCAGTATGCTTATATTTCCCAAATCTCTTACTTCTATGAGTAGACTAAACATACTAATCTATAAATGGAGCTACTCATGGCAGAAATCCCTGATTCGTTTCTGAAAGTTAAATGTATATACCAACCCAGTTAAAAAGCATTAGGCCATTTAGCTGGGGGCCTCTGCATGCCGGACAGGACAGTAGGATCAGAAGTCACTGGAGGCGGCAGGGTGGGGAGGAATGAGCAGAGGGAACTATCTCATCTTCTAGCCAGTTAGAGATTTTACAATTAAAGAGTGACTCTTTGGAGCTTAGAAAGTTTCATGCTTGTTTTCATGGTTTCTGGGGGAGCCATTCCTAATGATAAGCTGTGTGCAAGATTCCGAGGGAGCTCCAGGAAGCTCCAGACAGACTGCAAGTATGCCAAGGAAGAGAAGACGAATGCAGGAAGTGAGAGGTCACAGCCTACTTATTCCTCAGGTTTCAAGGGCCTCCCTTCTGTGCTTCCAAGCATATGAATGATGAAAATGACAAATAGGTAGGGTTTGTAAAACTAAGACCCATAACTACACAGAGTTTCTGAGATTTAGCTAGAGTAGAGATAGCACACAAAACGGTCTGGGCACCAGCATGGGTCTTTGTGGTGCATTCCACACTAGTGCTTCCTCGATTAATAAAATCATGAAGAAAATTTATATTTGTTAAGAGCCAAAGGACTTTTGATCTTTCCTGTTAAGTACAATTTAAAATGATAAAAATGTCCTTAGGGAAACCTTAAATCTTCATCTCAAAAAGCCTAGGGTGGCACTTTAATAAACAGGAAAAGAGAAAGTCAAGTCAAGCCACTTACAAAACTTTTTTTCAACGTTTTTAAATGCTAGTATGAGAGTTAGTTCTGAAAGGTCACTTCAATCCTTAATCCTCTAAGCATTCATCTGGAGCATGTTAATTTTCTTTAAGATGTTTGGCTGTTCTACTGGTATATCTGAAGCGTGGGTGTATGAGGTAAGGCTTGGATATTTTCCAAATCACCTCTGCGGCTAGCAGACTTTCCTTGGCTTTCGAACTTGCTCAGCTTCCTGTCCAAATAGTACACTCATTGACTGGGAAAGAGACCTTCCTCAGAAGCTTAAGAATGAGTCCTGTTTTTCTGGTGAATCCCGTGGTTCTTAAGAAATGTCGCTATGAGTAATTCTCCACTTAAAGATACTCTGCACCCCAGAGTAGGCAGCCAGTAAAGACAGAAACCTCCATGAGTTCAGCAGAAAGGAGGGCCTGAAATCCATATCATTACCAGGATTCACATGGCAAGGTCTTTCCATTTTCTAGTCAGAATGCAATGTTCACAGCTACATGTTCAAAAGATGCTTTATTGGTGTATTATTTTGGCTGAGGTGGGAAACTGGCTAAAACCGTTTTGAAACTGCTTCACGTTAAAACCCTTGGGGTCATGACTTAGGATCTTAAACAGCATCCACCTGTGTGCTGGGTGGGGTCAATGGAAGAACACTTTTATTAGAGGAATCTTCTGGATTCCAGAGGCATTTATATTTTGGCCTTCATAAACGAGGGCTAAGCAACACTGTTCTGTGGTCTGTTGAGGCAGATGAGTCTACACGCAATCAACCAAGTCGAATAACTGCACTTCAGGCACTTCAGTTTAAGACGCCATCTTAAACTCTCTGTTGTCACCTAGTGGTTGTCACAAGCTAAGCTGCATTTACGTATCCTTATAAGAATACATAAAATAAATAAATGTAAATGTCTTCCAGTCACTTTTCAAACTTTACTAGGAAACAAACTAAAACATTTAAAATAGAAACCTTCCCCCAAACTGTAAATATTTGGTGCTAATGAGGACAGTGAAGAAAACAGCTAAGGGTTGTACCCAGAGCAAAGAGTACTGAATAATGCATGAAATGACAAATCCCAGGCCAGAGCCAGAAGATAGCTTTTCACAGGCTTGCTTAAAAATTCATTTGAAACATAGTACAAAAAAAAAGTATTTTGTTTTTTTTTTCTTGATTAGCCTTAGAAAAAGGAAAAGCCCAAGAGTCTTCAGAAACCATATTATAGGAAATAGGAAAATGTTCTTTCAGCATTAAGTTTTTAAATCTTTTTTCACCCCCTTTCATTTCAAACATTTGCTCACTCTGCCTCCTGAAAATATATCTGGCTATTCTGAGCGTAGAGATACTGCCTTCTCAAGTTTCTGTAAAAGAAAATTGCTTAGCAGGGGGGTTCTGTGAACCCACATATCATGGGAATGCTAGGTGTTCTTTTAGATCTGCCCCACATCAGTATATACTAAGTCAAACACATCCAAGGTTCCTGAAGGAAGTTCCTTTTTGTAAATAAACATCGTTTGTGCCTACTTCAGCTCCTTTTCCTTTATGATCCACACTGACCTAGCTAAAAGCTGTACTCTTTCCTTTCTTTCCTTTCCCATTCTTCCTCTTAACTTATAGATTCAATGCCATCCCCATCAAGCTACCAATGACTTTCTTCACAGAATTGAGAAAAACTGCTTTAAAGTTCATATGGAACCAAAAAAGAGCCCACATCGCCAAGTCAATCCTAAGCCAAAAGAACAAAGCTGGAGGCATCACACTACCTGACTTCAAACTATACTACAAGGCTACAATAACCTCTTTCTTTTTCTTTCTTTCTCCTTCCTTCTTTCCTTCCTTCCTCCCTCCCTCCCCTTCTTTCCTTTTCCTTCCTTCTTTTCTCTTCTTTTCTTTTCTTTCTTTCCTCTCTCTCAAATAGTTTCAGCTTTGAATAAATTACACCACATCAGTGGCTTGCCAGTGAGGTGGGGCTATGTGAGTGGTCTGCCTGGGGTGTAGGCAAAAAGAGGACATTCTTCCAAATGTCTGTGAGAATTTAAGGCAATAATAAAGCCAACTAAAAGCTGGTCTTTTTATAATCACCATATACTGGTGATTCTAAACAATGGCAGTGACAAAAAACAGAATACACCTTTCTAAAGGGACAGGCCACTTCACCCCGAACCCCAACTTGGTGCAACTGTATTTGTTAATAAACAAGGGACCCTTTTATAATTTTCCTTCAGATTATTATAGTAGTCTTTGGCCATATGACTCTGAAATGTGGGGAGAGACCATCATAGAAAAAAGTGGGAGATTTGGTAAAAGTGAACAAAACCTTTACGTTCTCATCCCAGACTAATAGTATTTATCAAATGAAAATAGCATTTATTTTCATCTCTGGTGACAGAATGTGATCTTGTTCCTCTTTCATGTTTGTTTCAAGTTTTCAGTGCTACAGGAATTCTATAAATACTACAATCAATTAGTGAGAGACCCAGGTGATAAGAGAAAGAAGTATCTAATAATTCCACTAAGCCAGAAGGGAAATGGCTGAAATAAAACAAAAACTCAGATCTTTATTGCGTGTCCTATCCTCAAGGGACTATAACAGTCATTTCATAAATCAGTATTCATAATTTCCTGAGAATTTTCTGCCTAGAGAGGTATGGTTTACTTTTAATTTTTTAAAACCTTGAAATGAAAAGTGGAATTCCTATAAAAATGAAGACATGGTATTCAAAAGGCATTATCCCTTAGCTTGGGTTACTTTGATCCCTCAAGCTATCCTGGATCAGCTCCTTCCAAAGTCTTGTTCTTTAGCTTTCCCTTCAATGGGTGACATTCCCCCTATCCTTCCAATGAATCCTGTTTTTGCTTAATTTAGCCATAATCCATTTCTGTTCAGCGAAATCCATTGGTTCTGTGCAGCCATAACCCATTTTGTTTGCAACCAAAAAACCCTACTTGACATATTTACCTACATTCAAATTATACTTAGTCCCTACAACTTTACCATCTTAAAGTTATTAAACTTTAAACCATCTTACGGATGAGAAAACTAATTCTCAGATGTTAATTTATTCTTTGTTGTATAAATAAGTAATGGCAGAATTGAAGTTCCAATTTGGATTTGTCAGGATTTACATCTTTCCTCTCTATCATGTCATCACAAAAGCTTAGACGTCCCTCCTTCAGGGCCATATGTTTCTTGACTCTAGGAGACACCAGCCAAACCCACCCTTTGCAGCTCCATTCACTAGGACCGTCCACCCATTCGTTCATTCAACAAGTATCTCAATACATAATATGGGAAAAATATAGCACTAAATCTGGGGAGCACAAAGCTGGTTCAGCTGGTCCTTCCTTCAGGTTGTTCACATTTCTATGGGATGCTGATTGTTCAGTTTATAGATGTAAACAATGTTGGGATCAGTTAAATTTAAGCAATATAGAGAAAAAAACAGAATATAATAGTAAAGCCATATGGTTCACAGAGGATAAGAATGATTCAGCTCATTACATTAGCAATAGTTTCAATTTAAGCCTTTGGTGGAGAAACTCTTCACTGCAATGACTTCTAGAGATACAAAGTCAGAGGGAAAATAGTTTTAATTTCGAATAGTTTTAATTTCATTTTTTAAAATAAAAGAGATAATGTTATAACACAGTTTCCCAAATTGCAATCATTTGCATACTAGTGTCAAGATTTCTGCTGTATCTGTGCATCAGCTAATAATTTCTTTAAGTCAATTTATATTTATTGTTTTAAAATATTTAAAGGAAGCTTTATATCACTACCTTATCACTATCTAGTGATAGTCACACTTTCCATAAATAGAAAATAACTAAAAAAATAAATGCAATGAAAGAAAGATGATGAATCTTATGGAGACAGCATTGCAGTGAAAAGCTCTGAAACTGAAGCCTGATCTGCTCTTCATTGCAAAGGAAGATTGGCAACTATTCAGCAAGTGTTAAAGACCTACTAGTTCCCAACTAATCTTTCTGCTGAAAATAATCAGAAGGATTGAAGGAGAACCTGCATGGAAGTAATTTTCTCATTAAATGATTCAGTGCTACTGAACATCGGGTTTCACATCCCCCTAAACATACTCTCGCAGACCACAGTGTTAGGTGTTCCAGACACTTGGAGACAGGCTGAGGTACAGCACAGTGAGTCAGGGGAATATGAATGGGTTATGTGTGGAGAGAATGACGGGAAGCAGCTTCCAGGGCTTCATCTGACATTTTTCATTCATTCACTCATCTACTCATATGTATTAAACATGTCCCATGGGTCAGTCATTTGTGCTGAGTGCTGGGGATTCAATAATGGTATAATTCTCACTACAAGGAGAAAGTAAATGAAAGTGAAGACAAATAAGAAAACTATAAGGCACCATAAGTATTATAATAGAGGACCCACTAGACACTAAATGCTAGACTAACAGGGACAGAGTTTATCTTCAAGTCTCAACGGGGTGTCTACTCTTTCAGGGTTTCTAGAAGGCTTATTGTCCACATGGGCTGTCATTGATTTCTCCTTTTCTTTGGTGAGCACCAGCTGGAAAACAGCTATCATATAAGAAATGGAAACCTGGAAGGTAGTTGAAGAAGGATGCCGGAGGGAAGTGTGCTGTGATGTGGATAGAATACAGTGAGAGTCAGGGAGAACATTAGAGACTGGTCTAATCTCTCCTTTTGTAGGAAACAGAAGCCTATGATTTATTAGAGTTAGAGGCTAAATTGGGATTTAAATAGGATCTCCTGAAACCTAATCCAATATCCTTTGTACTTTACCGCATATATAAGAAGGGAATCTTGAGAGTCAAACACATTCACTTTTTTTTCCCAAAAAGATAAAAGGATAATCTAGAGCATTCTCAGCAATTAAGTACCAAAAGAGAAAAAATGAAAATAAAGTTTCTTACGTGGTAGACAGTGTAATTAAACCACTGCATGACCCATATTAGGAGATTTTTATTCAGAAACATGTATGGCCAGACTAGCATGAACATATGAATGGCTTACCATGGTTGTCGAAACAGCTTTAAAGCTGATCAGTACAAAGGGTTTTCTTTATAGGGATACAGTTCTACCCTGCAGGGAAAGTTTATTGTTTATCTCCTATGCTCTTTGGCACCACTTAATTCCACTTAATTGAGACTTTCTTTAAACCTGGAAAAAGGAGGCAAGAGAGCGCCCCGGAATAATTTCCAGCCATTCCTA
Organism: Homo sapiens; assembly: GCF_000001405.40. Lineage (NCBI taxonomy): Eukaryota > Metazoa > Chordata > Mammalia > Primates > Hominidae > Homo > Homo sapiens. Next base: position 25,551,700 of record NC_000010.11, on the reverse strand, counting down.
GCCTTTGTAGATAGGTAGTTCATTTTGTTGCTTCCCCTGCCCCACCCCAATATTTAGGTGGTTTAGAACTAAGTATTAGGGAACTTAGAGCATTCTCCATTTTCCAAGGCTGATAATCACTGAAGCACACTGGTTTAGGAGAAAAGCCAAAAGCACTATTTTCTGAACTTTACCCATCGAATATCAGCAGGATTACCTTGGGGTATGGAACTTGGGAATGGCGGATGGTAGTTTTTGTCAAATAAGTGTGTTTCTGTATGGGATTCTATGGTCACTCTGGATATGTATCCTTATTTCAGCTGTATTACCTTTGTATTCCTTCCTGCTCTGAACTAGTAAATACTGTTTCATATTTTAAACTTTATTAGGAACTAACCCTTTCCATAACCAATGACACATTTTATTGAAGCATCTTGTTCAAACAATTCAGTTGTATTAAATATTTCCCTGAAGAATCCAAAAGATGTCACACCTTGAAAGTGAAAAATATATAGTATCTTGCTATGTAAATTCTTGAAACTGAGCCATTTAAGTGGTCAGCCCAGCTAACAATTATGTGCCAAGCTGATTAGTTTGATCTTTCCATGAGAATGACGATGAATAAAATGTATATACCTGTGAAGTTTGAGAGTGACAGTTCCGTAAACAGTAGCAAAACCGAGAAGACGAGCCCATCTTAGGAGAATACAGCGAAATGTGCTTGGCTCAAAGTACAAAATAACAACCTGTGGGATGAAAACAGAAAGAGACCTTCAGGATCAACTGATGACCCACAGACCCAAGTCAATATCTCATAACCTGATGTTTCATACATATGAATTTTGATATACACTCATCTGAATACTTCTTTAAAATACTATTTTGACCATTTATTGTCCAGACCAAAGAAATACACAGTCTCCCTACTGCTTATTAAATAAAATCTAAATTCTTAAAATTTTCTAACTTTGGGGGGAGGGATAGCATTAGCAGATATACCTAATGTTAAATGACGAGTTAATGGGTGCAGCACACCAACATGGCACATGTATACATATGTAACAAACCTGCATGTTATACACATGTACCCTAAAACTTAAAGTATAATTTTAAAAAATCTAACTTTTAGAAGTTTCTATAAACTGTCTCTAAGTCTTTGGTGTATGTCCAAACTTACCTCTCCTTATTGTCCAAAACGAACAAGTGAGGATAGTCCCACTGCCATTCTCCCCCCAGAGCCGATTGTTCCCACCTCCACACTTCTGGCAATCCCTTTCCCCCGTCTGAAACAGCCCTGAGATTGCCGTATACTGCATCTTGCAAACAGTCTACCACTCCATATTTACTACTTGGCTCAATTACCTCACTAATTCCAAACTTTCTCACTCCAGAGTTTTCATTCAACAAATATTAAGCATTTACCCTGAGCCAGGCACTGTGCTAGGTGCTGCTGATACAAGATACAAAGGCCAGGAAGAGGGGGAAAAGAGACATGGAAATAGGAAATTGCATTCAAGTAACATAGGTACTGTGATAAATATTTCTACAATTTCAGTGGGACCACAAAGAAACGAGCGGCCAATTCCAGGGGAGAGTGAACAGATAACGTGCAAGACACTCCACTACTCTTCATATGCTACTGTGCAGTTTTGAGTGAGTCCTTGTAGAATAAGAATTGGTTTGACCCTGCCTAAGAACCTTGCAGTGCTAAAGGATTAATACTAGTGAAGAGCACAGACTCTCAATCTTTGCTGGAGCAGCTGGCCTGAACTGTTTCTGCTAAAAGCAAGGTCGTAACAGAAAATATGCCCACTGCCAAAACCCTGAGTATGATTTTGTTTTTCCCTGCCAGAGTTGTGCATATTGCTGGGGGCCATGGGGTAGGTACTGACATTTTCTTGCTGATATTTTACAAATATAGCCCCTCTCTCTAGCAGTGCCAAGAATGAATTACCTAAACTCCCCTGGCATTTCTCAAGTATTTCTACTACACAAAGACATTAAGTTCTCAAGGAATGGAGAAAATACGGACAAAAGTGTTAAGGAGAAATTAAAGAAAGGTAAAAATAGGTGTGAACAGGAGACAATGTTGTTTTGCGTGCTCCTGAAGTCAAGCAAAAATATTCAACTTTATTACTTCACATACACAGAATTTGTCCTTAGTCTTCCAATTTACTAGGTCTGCGTGAAGATACAGATAAATATTTTCCTTCAGGATTTAATCTACCAGAAAAATGTCTAGATTCAGGAAAAAAAAAAGTAAAAACCTGTTTTTACTGTTTTCACAAAACAAGTTAAAATTGTACAAATTTGTATTCCAAGTTTGAGCTCGGGTATTTCAGACATATTTCTTTGCATAGTAGTTCAATAGGAATAAAGAGTTCTGCAAAGCAAGTTTTATTGTTTACTAAGGACTTGAAGCTAAAAGGGGGAGGAAAAACTTAGGAGGGGGAAGACAAATGGAGAAACCTTGACAGAAGATTGAGGTATGTGGGGAGCATATGTGCTCCTTCTCATGGAAGAGAGAATAATAGATGAGAGACTACACATACGGGGGTCTGAAGTCTGGAATATGTAAAATCTCAAATATTTCCACTAGAAATGGCCATAGAAATTCTTCTGAAACAGTGGATTCTTGGGAGCTGCAAAATCCTATCAGTAAAGCTTTTCATTATCCACCACGCTTTCTCTAGGTAATGAATGAGCAAAGGTGAACAACTGTAATATAGAAGTCTGCATAATTTTTACTTAAAAATACTCATTTTTGAGCTGTCCGGGAACTACTGATATACCTTCAAACTTTTTATTTCACAGATAAAGAAGTTCAGGACTTGTTAATATAAGTGAAAGATTGGGTTGGCCAGAAATACATGAAATAACAATATTTTTCAGCATCCATGGTGGAGGTATAAGTTTTAAAATAATAAGAAATGAAATTCTAGTAAACTAAATAAAATGTGTTATTAAAAATAGTTCAGCAAATAGTGGACTGTAACTCTTAGTCTGCATGTGCCTCAGGCAAAGCTGGTGGTAGGAGAGAGTACAGGCTTTGAATCCAGTCTCCCTCGGTTCCAATTCTGGGTCTACTCTTTCTTAGTTGTGGGGCTTCCACAGTTTATTTAATATTGCGTTGCCATACTTCAGTTGTCCCATTTGTAAAATGGGCACAGCAACAAAATACTTCATCTTGGAAATATATTGAAGCTTAAATGTAATAGTGTGTGGTAAGCAGTCAAACACAGTGCCTGGTACAATGAGTATTCAATAAGTATTGGCTAATATTATTAGGAGAGTTGATTTATTTATGCTTTGTTCTAAAAGTTACCATTCTCACTGCAGCACAATTATATCTCATCATCTCAACAAATTCTTTTCTGATCAACCCAGCCACCCCTTCTTTTGAATTCCTACTATGACTTTTAGACTATATGCTTCTTCTACTGCATCTTGCATTGTAGTTATCTGTATGGTTGCCTCTCTAAATTAAATGTAAAATTGAAGAAGGGCCTGTTCCTCAGTATATTCTGTGTGCTTACAAACTAAAAGTTTATACATATTAAATATTTGCTCAATGATCTATTTTAGCCAATTTTAAAAGGAAAATGTTACCTTCAAAATAAATGATTTGAAAACTGATTAGGGCTTCCTAATCATTAGTATCCTAATTGACATATTCAATATTTATTTACTCTTTGTGAGGCAGTAAGGGATTTGGAAGCCATAAAAAACATCAGATGTGGATTAGGTCTTCAAAAAAGTTATACTTTCATAGAGTGAATGTTACAGGTAAGTGATAAATATGATTCACTAAATATTTAGGCAACACTTACTATATGCTAGACACTAAATTAAGCATCTTTGCATACATTTACTCATTTAATCCTCACAATACCTTAGAAAGACGAGACTTTGATTTTACTGAAGGGAAATAGGGCAAAGATAATTTAAGTGATGTGCTCAGGGCTACACAGCTAGAACTGTCAGAGCCAGGATCTGAATCCAGGAAGTTTGGTTCCAGAGTTCATGCTCATAAGAACAATGATGTCATCCTGCCTCCTAACTGGCTCTGCTGTGTGGGGGAGGTGATGAATGCCATCACCCTGTGAAATGCATTATAATGAGGATTTCAGAGGAAAGGGAAATTACTGGCAGTGGAAACAAGTGAAATTATCCTGGAAGGGCTGACAAGTGAGCGAGAACGAAAGGAGGAACAGGCTTAAGTGTTCATTCAGGCAAAGATGAAAGAGGGAGGGAGCCCAGGACAAAAGCATATTGTGGGAAAGTTCCGGAGTGTGGAGCGTATAGTTACAGCCAGTAAGACAAGAGGAATCATGTAAAGAAAGCTTTAAAACAGATGGAGCCAGATCATTGTAAGCTTTGAATAATAGGGTGGAGAATTCAGATTTTATTCCAGGAGCAGTATACATGGCATTAAAGCTCTCTGAGTTGAGGTCAGCAGTGTGTGCACCAGGGAATCCATCCGGCTACAGCACGGAAGAGCATAGGTTGGGCTATGGAAAGGGGAGAGACTGAAGGCGAGAGGACCAGTTGGAAGGAAAAAAGAAAAACCAAGTTCATCTTCCCCACCAAACATTTTCCTATTTCTTATTCCACTGTCTGTCATTGCAGTTCCCAAATGGCAACTGATGGGATCTTTCTCATCACCTCACTTCCCTGCTTAGAACCTTTCAGTGGCTCTCAATACTCTTAGGAAAAAGTCAAAATTATTTAAGATGGTTAGCAAGAGTCTTCACACTTGGAGCTAGCTGATCTCTACAACATCACTACTTCCACTAATCTGATCCCTGCGGTCCTTGCATTTGCTGAATCTTCTGACTAGATATTCCTTGCACAACCCCCGGCTCACTTGTACCTGGCTTTCTCCTGTTCACCCCTTCAAGCCTCAGCCCAAATATCCCTTCCTCTAGAAAGAACATGCCTCCCCTGTGGCTTAGCACACTGGCCCTACTTGTTAATCATGTCTTCCCTCCAGTAGGCTGCAGGCTCCGTGACAACCATGGGTTTTCTCATTCACTTCTGTGACATTGGCACTAGCAGCGTCCTGGCACACAGAAAGTGCTCAGTAAATATTTCTTGGATGAAAGGAAAAATAAAGCTATAGGGCAAAGGCAAAGAAGGATGTAACTAATATGGTGAGAGGGAGAATTCATTCATTCATGGAGATACAGGAAAGAAGATGCCAAATGAAGAAAACTGGGCAACCTGTTATTTGTTGAGGCAAAAGGGAATATAGTGTCAAACATAATGTAATATTTTAAGCCTGGGTGACCTGGAGGATGATTGTACTTGAAATGAAACAGCAAAAAGAAAAGGATGCATAAGTCTGCAGAAGACATCTAGAAGTCTGCTTGATTGCCTTGACTCTTTGGATACTGAACACAGCTAATGGGGGTGAACAAGAGAACCACAAAGGAGAAGACTATTAGGCTTCTCAAATATGCACAAAATAAAAGAATGCTTTACAATAGAATAACTTTTTTGCAAGTATAGACACACCACTAGAGACTCATAAAATTAATCTCCACTGTGTCTGCTGAGCAGACACAATGCCTACTGCTTTTAAAAGAGAAATGCTAACAAGACACAGTGGTCATTCCCTGCCTCATCCTGCATGTCTCAGCTCAGGGCGGGCATTCATGACTCTCTCCAGCATCCCTCAGACTGAGTTAGGTTTCCATCTTATTTGCACGTTATTTACTCTCAATGAATGCTGAGCTTTCCTTTGTTGCACTCATCAGCTCTCCTTGGAAATAATTCTTTCTGTAATTCATTTGTTTAATGTAGCTACCTAGTTTATAAAGGCGCACGAGGGCAACGATTGTAACTAATTCTTGATTGCACGTCCATTCCCTAAGATAGTACCTGGCAATAGGAGATAATCAGTACATGATGTGGAAGGGATGAGATTAAAAAAGGAAGGAAGGATGGGAAGAAGAGAGGAAGTGAGCAAGGAAGGAGAATAATATGTTCATTTTTGGAAATGCTGAGTAAAAGTGCCTATGGGACATCGAATTCGGATCTAGGTTTGTAACAGTTAATATAATCTGTAACAAGCTGAAAACCAAAATCAAAAATGAGATTAGAAAGTTCAATATTTTCAAATCCCCCAAATTTAACTTTTTATCATTAAAAATATTATCTATAAACAACCCCATCAAAAAGTGGGCAAAGGATACGAACAGACACTTTTCCAAAGAAAACATTTATGTGGCCAACAAACACATGAAACAACGCTCATCATCACTGGTCATTAGATAAATGCAAATCAAAACCACAATGAGATACCATCTCATGCCAGTTAGAATGACAATCATTAGAAAGTCAGGAAACAACAGATCCTGGAGAGGATGTGGAGAAACAGGGATGCTTTTACACTGTTGGTTGGAGTGTAAATTAGTTCAGCCATTGTGGAAGACAGTGTGGCGATTCCTCAAGGATCTAGAACCAGAAATAACATTTGACCCAGCAATCCCATTACTGGGTATATACTCAAAGGATTATAAAACATTCTACTATAAAGACACATGCACACATATGTTTACTGCAGCACTGTTCACAACAGCAGAGACTTGCAACCAACCCAAATGCTCATCAATGATAGACTGGATAAAGAAAATGTGGCACATATACGCCACGGAATACTATGCAGCCATAAAAAGGATGAGTTCATGTCCTTTGCAGGGAGATGGATGAAGCTGGAAACCATCATTCTCAGCAAACTAACACAGGAACAGAAAACCAAACACTGCATGTTCTCACATATAAGTGAGAGTTGAACAGTGAGAACACATGGACACAGAGAGGGGAGTATCATACACCAGGGCCTGTCAGGGGTTGGGGGGTAGCAGAGGGATAGCATTAGGAGAAATACATAATGTAGATGATGAGTTGATGGGTGCAGCAAACCACCATGGCACGTGTATACCTATGTAACAAACCTGCACGTTCTTCACATGTATCCCAAAACTTAAAGTATAACAAAAAATATTATATATAAACATATATTTTAACAAATTATAAAACATTCCTTTTGAAATCTCAGTGACAAATTTCATAACAGACTAACAGTGAAGAAATTGAGAAAATCAAGCCACTAAGCTGAAGAATTTATGAATTATGATAATAGTGATATACTGATAGCTATCATTTTTATGTACCAATAACAATAATAGCTACACATGCCTCCCAACACATACGCACTGATAACCATGCTAGACATATTACCTATATTTAGGGTCCAAAATATACTTTATTATCTCTATTTTAAAGAAAAACAGACTGAGTTGTAATGGGATTAACTAATTTGCCCATGGTTATCAAAATAATTTTTAAACAAGAACCCATAAGAAGTTCCTTTACTGGAAGAACTGCCTAAGGCATAATTCCAAAATATGTATCACAAAAAAAAAATAAAACACTATGCTGATTCTCTTTCTGATACTAGGGGCCAGTGATAGTTATAAAGACGTTGCATTGAATTTGTTGGCCACAGGAGTAAAGCATACCACTCTATTTATTAAGTAACCTAGGGACTGAAGAGCTTGCATAATTGCTGGATGAATGATCACAGCATATAAAGTATAGGCGTTGTAAAATGAGACATCCTAGGTTAAAGAGGATGAGCTGAGTGGAAAAGACATCCAGGATCAGCAGCAGCAGATGTCACACCCAAACTACCAACTTCCCTTTACCTTTAAGAATGCCTCTTGGGAACTCACTATAATTTGCCTAGAGGTTTGTTTCTCCCACAGTCTTTGAGAGCAAGGCTTCAGTGTGAAGACCTAAGGTAGATGTACCTCGGTGTGTGTTTGAAGGACTTGGTTCATAACCATGGGAAGTTTTTTCAAATGCTCTCACAATTCATATACCATGGAATACCATTGAGCCATAAAAAATAAAATTTTATCTTTTGTAGCAAGGTAGATGGAACTGCAGGCCATTATCTTAAGTGAAACAACTCAGAAGCAGAAAGAAAATTCCTGCATGTTCTCACTAATAAGTGGAAACTAATAATCAGTACCCAGGGACATAGAGTATGGAATGATAGACAAAGGGGATTTGGAAAAGTGGAGAAGTGAAAGGAGGTGGCTGATGTGAAATTACTCAGTGCATGTAACAAACGTTATTTAAGTGATGGATACATTAAAAGCCCAGTCATCATTACACACTACAGCCATGTAACAAAATTGCACTTGTACCCCTTAAATTTATACAAAAAATTCAATCAAATGATCTTAGTGGTAGGATACTCAAGGCATCGAGTTTTTAAAAAGTATTGCTGGCTGGGTGCAGTGGCTCACGCCTGTAATCCCAGCACTTTGGGAGGCTGAGGTGGGTGGATCACTTGAGGTCAGGGGTTTGAGACTAGCCTGGCCAACATGGTGAAACCCTACCTCTACTAAAAATACAAAAATTAGCTGGGCAGGGTGGTGAACACTTGTAATCCCAGCTACTTGGGGGACTGAGGCATGAGAATTTCTCGAACCTGGGAGGCAGAGGTTGCAGTGAGCAGAGATTGCGCCACTGCACTCCAGCCTGGGTGACAGAGTGAGATTCCATCTCAAAAAATAAAAATAAAAATAAAAAATAAAAAGTATTGCTGTGGTAGAAACAGCCCTCCAGGCTTTCCTCTCAGGTACAAAGAAATCTTTGAAATTATTCTCCCATTTCAAAGATTTCAATTTCAATAACAAAGAAGTTATTCTCCCATTTAATTGAATGTGATTTTGTTAGCATGTTTTGAAGTCTGCTTGATTGCCTGGACTCTTAGGCTACTGAACACAGCTAAGAGGGGAGAAATAGAGAAATATAAAGGAGACTATTAGACTTCTCAAATATGCTCAACTTAGAAATAGAACTTTTTTTTTTTTTTTTTTTGAGATGGAGTTTCACTCTTGTTGCCAGGCTGGAGTGCAATGGTGTGATCTCGGCTCACTGTAACCTCCACCTCCAGGGTTCAAGCGATTCTCCTGCCTCAGCCTCCCAAGTAGCCAGGATTATAGGTGCCCACCACCACGCCCAGCTAATTTGTTGTATTTTTAGTAGAGACGGGGTTTCACCATGTTGGCCAGGCTGGTCTCCAACTCCTGACCTCAGGTGATCCACCCTCCTTGACCTCTCAAAGTGTTGGGATTACAGGCATGAGCCACTGCGCCTGGCCCATAGAAGAACATTTTTAACAGAATAACTTATTTGCAAGTATAGACACATTGATAGAGACAGAAAATTAATCTCCACCATTTCTGCTCAGTAGATACAATGCCCAGTGCTTTTAAAAGAGGGATGCTGACAAGGTACAATGATGAGAAGAAGCCAGCATGGTCCAAAGCTGTTCCCAAAGCTCTGAGAGTCAAAGGTGTGAAGCTCTTGGTTTAGGCCTGATCTCTTTAGAATCTGAGCAATAGTGTTGAACACAGCAGTTCCCCTTTCCTAGTTGACTCTCCAAGTGTTATTTGCTTCAGTTCAGTGAAACTGGTTGTGAATTTAACCACTTTGACAGGTAAGTGAGGTGTTATGTGCTTTGGGGTTTCTGTTAGTAGAGAGTGTGAGAACAGTTTTACTTACAAAAAGAAATAAAAGAAAAAAGATTACTGTGTACTAGGAGGCATGGTAACAGACTCAAGTGGCAAGATTTTTGTTGATGAAGTTGTCCTTTGATAAGGATTTGAAGAACATCTGAGGCTTTAACGACTTTATAATTTATAATTTATAATATATAATTTATAATTATAATATATAATATATAATTTATATAATTATATAAAATATAATATATAATATAATTTATAATTTCCCCCTGCTTCCTAGTCAAATATTTTCCAGAGTTGCTCATCCCCAGGTTTGCTATGCTGCCAACAATCCTAACAACATGGGAAGAATTAAGCCGATAATTTTCCTTGATGGAGGACACTCCACAAAGGTCATACTAGTACTAAACTAAACCTTGTGTGTAACCTCTCCAGGTTTGCTTTGTTTGAAGTAGGAGGCTGGAAATGAGTCATTAGCCAGAGCCACGTTCATTGAAGCACATTTATTCAGGATCATCTTTTATGGGCCTTTATTCAATGTCCTGTGGTGTGTTCTAAAATTTTTTTTTTTTTTGAAACTGAATTTCTACTTTACACCATACATAAAAATCAGTTACAGGTGCACAAAAGACATAAATGTGAAAGGCACAACATTAAGACTTATAAAATAGAACACAATCTCTTCATGATTTTGGTGTAGGAGATAATTTCTTAAACATAACTAAAAATTTTTAACCACACAAAAAGTAAAAGATCAAGAAATTTGATTTCATTAAAATCAAGAACATGGAAAGAAAATGAAAAAAAATCATATGCTGGGAGAAGATATTCACAAGACACAGAATTGGTACAGTGCTGTTATCCAGAATATGTAAAGAATTTTTATAATTCCATAAGAACAAATAAGCAATTTGCAAAAATACACAGTGAGCATTTTAGTGGAATTATGATTGGCAAGTCCTCACTAGTAATAGATGATTTATTATAATAAGATATTATTTTACACTCATTAGTTTGGTAAAATTAAGTCTGGCAATCAAAAATCTTGATATGTATATGGAGGAACAGGAACTTTTATATATAGCTAGTGGGAAAGTAAAGTGGTACATTCCTTGTGGAAAAAACTTTTAAATTCAAATTGTACACATGGTCTATACCTAGCTATTTCATGTAGGTGTAGGTTTTAGATAAACTTTATATATATATATATATATATATATATATATATTTTTATTATACTTTAAGTTCTAGGGTACATGTACACAATGTGCAGGTTTGTTACATATGTATACATGTGCCATGTTGGTGTGCTGCACCCATTAACTCGTCATTTATATTAGGTATATCTCTTAATGCTATCCCTCCCCACTCCCCCCACCCCACGACAGGCCCCGGTGTGTGATGTTCCCCTTCCTGTGTCCAAGTGTTCTCATTGTTCAATTCCCACCTATGAGTGAGAACATGTGGTGTTTGGTTTTTTGTCCTTGTGATAGTTTGCTGAGAATGATGGTTTCCAGCTTCATCCATGTCCCTACAAAGGACATGAACTCATCCTTTTTTATGGCTGCATAGTATTCCATGGTGTATATGTGCCACATTTTCTTAATCCAGTCTATCATTGTTGGACATTTGGGTTGGTTCCAAGTCTTTGCTATTGTGAATAGTGCCACAATAAACATACGTATGCATGTGTCTTTACAGCAGCGTGATTTATAATCCTTTGGGTGTATACCCAGTAATGGGATGGCTGGGTCAAATGGTATTTCTAGTTTAGATCCCTGAGGAATCACCACACTGTCTTCCACAATGGTTGAACTAGTTTATAGTCCCACCAACAGTGTAAAAGTGTTCCTATTTCTCCATGTCCTCTCCAGCACCTGTTGTTTCCTGACTTTTTAATGATCACCATTCTAACTGGTATGAGATGGTATCTCATTGTGGTTTTGATTTGCATTTCTCTGATGGCCAGTGATGATGAGCATTTTTTCATGTGTCTTTTGGCTGCATAAATGTCTTCTTTTGAGAAGTGTCTGTTCATATCCTTCGCCCACTTATTGATGGGGTTGTTTCTTTCTTGTAAATTTGTTTGAGTTCTTTGTAGATTCTGGATATTAGCCCTTTGTCAGATGAGTAGGTTGCGAAAATTTTCTCCCATTCTGTAGGTTGCCTGTTCACTCTGATGGTAGTTTCTTTTGCTGTGCAGAGGATCTAATTAAACTAAAATTCTTATATTTTTCTATATTTGGCAAGAGATGTGCTTCCATACGTGGGACTTATTTAGTGATAAAAATGCATGTCCTTCAAATCTTACTATAGGTTCATTTTTGATTCCATAGTAATTTTGGATTCAAAATAACAAAAGTACCTAATGCAGCTTTACATTTATACAATTACCACATACATGAGAATGGCTATAATTGTGATTATGTGTCTTTATACAACCATGGTCTAGAACTTAATATTTGGCTCCTATTACCCCAAAACAACAAAAATTGAATAGCTTCCATAGTAATACAGAAGTAACATTTTAAAAATTATAAAATATACAAGATTTGGGGGTTAATGTGGCAGCAGATGCTATGCTGTACCCCAATACATCCTCTCCAAAATTCCCATAGAATACACCTGAAAATGTCCAAAAAAAAAAAAAAATTAAAAGGGGTTACAGGTCTAAAAACCAAGGGCAAAGAGGACAAGTTCCCAAAGTCTTAGTGGTGATTCTACTCACAGCTTGGTAGATCTTATCCAATAAAGAAGTACCTTTTAAATAAAACACCACAGGCCTCATTCTCTGAACCAGAATAAGATCTAAACCCCCCACACATAACAAGGAAAGATTTTCATTCATACTCCTCCTCATTGGGGTCTTCTAACTCTGAGACCCATAGCTTTTTGCTAAACAGAAGATCAAATTTAAAAAATCCTTGGTCATGCCCCAACTAGGCAGCAGCTTTATTACACATAAGCCAGTCTTGGAGCCTCCCAGTCCAATACTGCTCCTCCCCTAGCAGCACCTCTCATCTCCATCCATGCATAGGTTAGAACACCCAGGATGCAGCACTACATTCATAAATGTGACATTTAGCGGCTCAAGGAAAAGCACAGCAAGATGCAGAAAACCAGCGTGCTGGGAGGGCACACAATGGAAAGTCCAGGTGCCCTCCCTGGTCTCGGTTTTCCCATCTCTCTATGAGAAGAGGCGCTTCATGGAAACAGCCCATTCTAATACACATAATAAACAAAGAAACATATGACTATTTTTGCTCTAAACTTTCACAACTTCTCCGTGTATGTGTTCAAAATAGATACCGTTTTGGCCAAGAATAAATTACGATGCGTGACTTAAGACAGAAGTTTATACCATCCTTAATAATCATGTCCTCAAAAATAAAAAATATGGGAAAGCTCTCAGGATTTATGTTTAGTGAAAAAATAAGCAGCACCTAAAATGTATATAAAATATACAGTGTGATAGCAGTTATGCTCAACATTTATGTGTAGCCAGGCACCGTGACACATGCCTGCAGTCCCAGCTGCTTGGGAAGCTGGGCAGGAAGATCACATGAGGCAGAAGGATCACTTACGGCCAGGAGTTCGAGGCTATAATGTGTGATAATCACACCTATGAATAACCATCGCACTCCAGTCTGGGCAGTATAGTGAAAACCCATCTCTTAACAACAACAACAAAACATTTGTGTGTATATATATGTACATACATAGAAACATACACAGAGAAATGAAAGCACACTTGTCCCCTGTTTATTACCCTGAATTGAACATCCTTAATTTATTCTATAAAACAAGGCATAAGGAGCTATGCATAAAAGCTAATGGGGAAAATATCCTGGAATGTCTGTTCCCTAGAACTTAAAGTATAATTTAAAAAAAAGATATTCATCTAAAATATCTGTTCTCTATAATTGCCAAAAAAGCAAAACAACAACAACAACAACAACGGCAAATCTGAAGCTTTGGCTCTGATTTGGCTTCTTGTTTTCTCTCCTGATATCCTTATGAGCAAACTGCATGTGCCTCTGAGAGAAAAACACACACTAGTGAGCAGAATGTTGAGTACTGTGATCAAAGTATTATGGTAAAAATTTTTTTCATTTTGTATTGTTTTGAAAAGATTGATCTTTTCTAAAATGGACAGTGTATTAGTCTGTTCTTGCACCACTATAAAGAAATACCTGAAATTGGGTAATTTAAAAAGAAGAGAGGTTTAATTGGCTCACAGTTCCGCAGGCTCTACAGGAAGCATGGCTGGGGAGGCTTCAGGAAACTTACAATCACCATAGAAGGTGAAGGGGAAGCAGGCACATCTTACATGGCAGAGGAGGAAGGGAGTGAAAGAGGAGGTGCTACACACTTTTAAACAACCTGATCTTATGAGAACTCACTATCATGAGAATGGCAAGGGGGAAATCCACCCCCATATCCAGTCACCTCCCACCAGGCCCCTCCTCCAACACTGGGGATTACAATTCCACATGAGATTTGGGCGGGGACACAAATCCAGGCCATATCAGGCAGTTAAGCTCCAGTTCAAATCCTTACTGTAAATGTGTATTGAGAAAAGGTTAATTTTCAATAATATAAATATATATAAAATTGTATGTGTGTATATACATAACACACAAAGTAAACAATGTTGACAGAGATTCTCTGGTTTTAGTATTAGACATGCTTTCAAGTCTCAGTATCTTACACATGTTCTGTAATCAGAAAAAAGTTAATTTAAAATAAGAAACTACTCCAATATCTGTTACAGGTGCTTAGTAAATGGTAAATAACATATTTATGTCATGATACAGTCAAAGAAGTATATGGTCTTATGCTTTAGAAATAAGATAATCTTATTAGGTATCATATTACTATATTAAGGCTGAAAGAGCTAAATGAATTAAGAGTCCTCAGAAATAATGGAAAAATGGATAGTTCAATAGAATAATTCCTGGGAATTACTTTGTTTTGGTTGGAAAGACTATACAGTAAGGGAGGGCCTCTGCATGAGTATGCAGTCTGTGCATTACACAACTAGCAAGAACATCTTGAATGCATTGTCTACTTTAGATTGATTACAATCATTTTCTGGCAGATGACAATAAAGTGACTTGAGACACAGGTGGAGTTTAGCCTGGAAGTGGTGCCACTGGGTGAGCTGGACCACTTAGGACTCTGCCATAAAAGGGGCTTAGAACAGTGTTTCTCACATCTTCACGTGCATACGATCATCTGGAGAGCTTGCCAAAATGCAAAGTGTGCTTCAGTAGGTTTGTGGTGAGGCCCAAGATGATGCATTTCTGACAAGCCCCTCGGGATGCTAATCCTGCTGCTCCTAGGACCACAGTTAGAGTAGCATGGGTTGGCTGAACTGGGCAAAACCCAGAAAGTGAAGCCTGCCAGCCCAAGATAACTGAATCTTTCAGTTTAATCTGTGCATATAATGGAAAGATAAAGTTAAATCTTTTGAATCATCTCCTAAAATATGACTAAAAAAAAGATGCAGTTTATCAGCTAAGATATTTGGCAGAGAGGTTAAAAATATATTTCTCAAGAAATGGACAAATGCAGAAACAAATGAACTCTGAATATGATCAATGATTTACTGATTCAGGAATTTTCTTTTATAAAGGACAAAAACAGTACAAGAGTTGGTAAATGGGATGTTAACGAAGGCCATTAGAAACTGGAGACTTTACACTTCTTCATTCAGAATACAAAATACTTGTAGCACACATCTCAGAAAGATTTGTTTTCATTACTGGCCAAATAATATGCCTGGTTTAGAGCAAAATAAAATACACACACTTGGAAATACTTAATTAGCTTCAGTAAAACCACTATATGTAAAGGAGGCTGGAGATTTAATATAACAAATAATGTAAAATATATTTGCATTATTTTACAAATGAATTTTCTTTAATAAAGAAATTAATATCTTTAATATTAAAGAATTAAATATTCTTCAATAAAAATTGAAGACTTTTATTTGTAAAATAATACAAATATATGAGCTACCTACTAGTCAGGTGGAAAGGAGCTGCAGCCTAATGCAGTGGGTAAAACAAGGAATTTGGTGTTAATTGCCCTAAATGCCAGGCTAGGCTTTACCACCAATGAGAAATATAACCTGGGACAAATTCCTTAATTTCTCTGGGCCTCACTTTCCTCAACAGTTTAGTGGGGACACAGTGTGGATGCACTTAAAACAGTACAAAACAATGGAGAAATGCCAGTTTTATTACTAACATATGAGGATTACTTTTGATATTTGTCACATTTGAATCAACAATCTATTTAGTCTTATTCTAAATGTATCTTCAAATAAGGACAGAAAAGAAGCTTCTGAATAGTGTGGAGTTGAGAATGGGGTATAGAGAGAAGAGGAAAGAAGCAGACTAGGCAAACTGAGCTTTGTCGAAGCAGAGTCAGAACTATTAATATGATGGATAAAACCAGGACAATCAAGGTGCATTCATTATCTACTTGTATATAACAAATACCACAAACTTAGTGGCTGGCTTAAAACAATACTCATTTCTTATCTCACAGTTTCAGTGGGTCATTCATCCAGGCACTGCCAGCCTTAGGGTTACTCACACATCTGTAATCAAGCCATTACTCAGGTCTGGGGTTCCATCTGAAGGCTAAACTGGAGAAGGATACACTTCCAAGCCCATGCTGCTGTTGTCAGCATTTGCCTCCCTGAGGGCTAGAGGAACTGAGGCCCTTTGTCCTTGCTGGCTGTGGGTTGGAGGCCATTCTCAGTTCCTTGCCATGTGGGCCACTCCAATATGGCGCATGCTTCATCAAAGCCAGCAAGAGAGAGTCTTCTAGCAAGATGAAAGTTGTAATTTTTTTAACCTCATTGTGGAAGTCACATTCTTTCAATGTTAATCTGTTTGATTGATTAGAAACTAATTAGTCAAGGGGTGAGAATTACATAGGCCATGATTACCAGGAGGTAGGGAACATTGGAGCTATTAGTTATTTACCACAAAAAGAGACTACTTTTATATCATCAGAAATGCTGTTATCTACCTGGGTTCAAAGCAAATGATGTAAGAGGAATATAGACTACAAAGCTATGAGATCCCCAGAGTATGCATTTAGAGAAAGAATAATGTGAAAAACTACTTTAAAGGAGAAATTTTTGAAAGCAAGAAAAGAAATCCAGTAAGGCTGCCTTCTCCAACAGAGTCTAACCCATCTTCAGGATCATGATTCTTGACTAAGAACTGCTGAGAAATGACTACACATAGCTCATGACTAAGAACTGCTGAGAAGTGACTTTTTTATTGTAATGTTTTAAACAGTAAGAAAAATGGTATGGTCATGTTGAGGTGGGAGATGTAATTCGGATCCCTGTCTGTCTGTCTATCTGTCTATCTAACTTTTTGAGATGGAGTCTTGCTCTGTCACTTCTTGCTCTGTCACGCAGGCTGAAGTGCAGTGGCACAATGTTGGCTCGCTGCAACCTCCACCTCTTGGGTTCAAGCGATTCTCCTGTGTTAGCTTCCCAAATAGTTGAGATTACAGATACGTGCCACCACACCCAGCTAATTTTTTTTTTTTTTTTTTGCATTTTTAGTAGAGACGGGGTTGTACCATGTTAGCCAGGATGGTCTCAAACTCCTGATCTCAAGTAATCTGTTTTTGTTTTGTTTTGTTTTGTTTTGTTTTTTGCATTTTTAGTACAGACGGGGTTTTATCACGTTAGCCAGGGTGGTCTCGAACTGACCTCAAGTAATCTGCCTGCCTCAGCCTCCCAAAGTGCTGGGATTACAGGCATGAGATACCGCGCCTGGCCTAATTCAGATCTTTAAAAGTACATATGTCTATGTTTAAATTGTAACTAAGGAAGAATGAAGATGTCAGGTAAAACCTGGCAGATTGAACATGTTTATGTCTGCTACTTTTGGAAACCCTAAATGACTGTAAAAACACTCAAGGCCAAAAAAGAATCTCAGTAAGAATGACAACAGATGATAGATATCAACATAATTATAGAGAAGAAAAGCATGTGCCAAAGCATAACCAGATGAAGATGTCAAAGAAAGCTGAAAGCTGGCCCAGGAGAGAAGGAAGCAACTCAGAGTCTATCTCATTATCTTTTTGGTGAGGGGTAATAACAACATCTAATGAATTCATGTTATATTCCAGTTACTTTTTAAGTGCCCTACATAAAATAACTTGTTTATTTCTTACAACAATACTGTGATGTAGGCATTATTATTACTCCCACTTTACATATGGGGAAGCTGAGGCAAAGTTAAGGAATTTGCCCCAGGTCACATAGCTGGTAAGTGGCAGAGCTGGGTTTAAACTCAGCTGGGGTCTGGAGTCTGAGCTCATTATTGCTATGCAATACACCTTACCTTTACAAAGGAAGGACAGAGTAGAAAGATTAAAATTAGTGATCTTTGATGGAGGCTGGATGTTTTAGAATGCCTGGTGCTATAAAATGTTGACCAATTTGTTCAATGAAGTGAACAAGGCAGGGTTGAACTGAACACTGCCGACAAGGTAAAAATAACTTCCAAGGAAAATAAATGAAATATATAAAGAATGAAGTTAACAAATGGTAAAATGAATGTTTTAAACCGAATAATTCATGTAGAAAAATTGTGAAAGCAGAGGGACATCACAGAGATTAAACTACTGAGAGAGAAGATACAGCCATAGTCATGAGAAAGAGTGGAAGCCAGGAACCAGTGTATTGGTCTTCCACCCTGATTGAACACCAGAACCAACTATAATGGTTTAAAATATATATAAGTCCAGGTTTTTCTTGTAGAAACTGATTCAGTAAATTGAGGGCAGAGACTGAATGATTTTTTTCTTAAGGTTAACAGGTGGTTTTAATTTGACAAGGACTAAGGGCTGCTAATACTAGTCCACAGCCCAGAAGCAAGCCACGTGTGGAATTGGGATAGCTAAAGCTCAGATTAAGGCTGGGGATGGAAAATGTCTAAGAACTACTACAGTGCAGCGAGAATTCTATTTCTAGAAAACTGCCCTACATAAACATCCATAAGAAATAGCAGAAATATATATGCAAGAATATTCACTAAAGCATTTTTTGCAAGACAAAAAACACTGAAAACATTCTCCACTAGTAGGGGACAGGTTCACTATGGTAATTAAAGTTACAGCCATTCAGTGGAAAACCATGCATTAAGGGAATTAAGCGGATCTGATTCTGTTGCTATGAAAACACCTTTAAGATAAATTGTTAAATAAAAAGAAAGCTGCAGAACAGTAATAGCATATGCTTCTGTTTGTATCTACATCAAAAGGAATATGTAGATGCACATTCAATAGACCATGAAGACTATCTCTGAATAGGTTGGCTGGGAATGAGAACGCAAGGGGCAAAAGGAGATTTTACTCTTTAAGTTATATGCTTTGGTATTTTTTTTTTTTTACAACAAATGTGTCACTTTTGTAATAAAGGAACGAAACAATGCATAAAAGGATTTCTGGTTAGGTCATTGCATAAATGCCTGGCTCTTAAAATGGGGAATGGAGGGTGTTTTCTACACACTGGGGATCAGAGAGCAAAGTGGAGAAAGTATCATATGTAATATCTATATGGTGACTTTATGTGGAGGTGGAAAGATACAGAAAACGACCCAAGGAGAAGCAAGAGAATCTTAAGAACTCCAGACCTCAACAAAGAAACAAAAATGCAGAAGAATTCACAGGAAAAGAGTTGAGGTATGGTATTTTGAGAAGAAACATGAAAAAATGATGATGAGACACAATATAGAATTAAATGATAGAGGCAAAAGCTTTTTTACAGCCAAGAACAGAATACACATAAAAAATGCATCACTCTTAGGCATACCCTGTCCCTGGGAGTGGCCCACCTCTTTAGCTTAGTATGGTGCCTCATCCGTTTAACAGATAGTCTTGCATAGACCATTCTCTGGTGAAAAACAAACAACGAAACCCACCTCTTTCTCTTTAGGGTCCAAAGATTCATGTCAGTAGTCCTCCTTCTCAACTTGGTTAAAGAAAATGTGCAAAACATATAGTACAACAGGTTCCAAAAACCACAAATTACACTAGAAATCTAAAGTCATAATTATGCAAATTGCAGTTACAACCTAGAATCAGAATTGTCCTGATAGTCCTATGTCTCCCTCTGTGAAGAAGTCACCATTTCCGGTATGATCTCCCCATGCTCCAGGCAGAAATAAGCATCTATTTCTAGAGGAGCAGAGTGGTATCATGGAAAGATGATAAGCTCTGGAGGCCCAAGGGACTGCTCTGCCACTTCCTAACGGCATGACCTTGAGCAGCCCACTCTGACCATCTCCTCCCTCATGTGGAAAGCTGAGTAATAATCCTCCCTCCCTCACAAGATAGGAAGAATTATGTGAAAGCACTGACAACTAAAGTGGTATAATTATTTCTCCTATATTTATTCCTTAAAGATTGATGCAAAACCTTTTTTATTCCTGTCTAAAGCGAGCATGAGGTGATCCTACCAGATCCTTATAAATTCCCTCAATGGCAAATTAACATAAATAATACCAAATCCTATGACGAGGGAGCCACTTTGCCAGCCTGTTTCAGTCTGACTCACTGCCTCATCTCTTTCGAGAGGACACTTTCTTATTACTCAGCCCCAAATAAAAAGGGCTGAAAATAAATATCTAGGTGTAACTATAGGTTGCCATAAAACTTTTTCAGATTTGTCAGTAAACAGTAACAAATGGATGTTCTCCACATATTTTTAGTCTTCCTCCTATTCACTTTTCTAGAAGGCTCTGCTTAACACATGGTCATTATCAATAATCAAAACCAGCATGGACGCGGGGTTTTTACTTTTTGTTACCTACTTGATGTTTCTCTTTTCCTGACTTGAGATACTTAGGACGATAAGTAACTTGCCCAGGACAACATAACTGAATGTGTCAAAGGTGGAATTACCCTAAATTGTCAACATTTTCAATCTCCACACAAGGTGCCGTTCTCTATAAAAAATTTGTTTTCATATAAAAATATATGTTATCTTAAAGGTTCCAAAAAAAGAATTGTTCAAGAATATTTTTCTTACTAATCATTGGAATGTCTAAAATACCTACCATTAGCATTATTTTTTAATCTTCAAAAGATCCCTAGACATGTATCTGAAAGGATTAGAGTGATGACTCTGAAAGCCACTTAGGACAGAATAAGCTCCTGAAGGAAGAGGCACAGAATGGGTAAGTTTTGATGCAAAGTAGAAGGGAAGAAAATATTCAGGACATGGTCTACTGCTCGGATGGAGAGATCCCAGTGAGGCCATCTCCAGCAGACCAGAGAGCTGACACAAGGCTGGAAAAGGGCTTAGTACTGATGAAGAAAGAATTGTTCAAGGAGAGGCAGAGAGTGACTGAGAAGGAGTTAAACGATCCTTGACCTGTTTCCTGTCACTTCCTCTAAAGATGTCTTATTGCATCAAAATTGGTTAAGTGTTATCACATCAAGATTGCTTAATGTAAGCAAGACCTGAAGCAGAATTTGTCTCTGCATACGTGCTTATTTTTCTGGATAATGGATCAGCTTTGTTTGTTTTACATGTCTTTAAACTCTCCTGCCTGTTGCGGACTCACTAGCAACAGAGCACTCCTGCTGCAGCACACCTTCTGCGGGGAGGTGGGGCAAGGACGCTTAGCTGCAGATACTTCAAAAGGCTGTCAGATGGGCCTCCTGCCTTTCCAGTGTCCAGTCAGGTGTGAGGTCCTGTGGATTCTACATCCGTAATAATATTTTATCGCTACAGGTCATTTTGAGCTGCTCTTACACTTCACAGAAACAGAATCAAAGAGTGTGTGTTCCTTTGTGAGACTGAGTGACTACCGCCTTCTTGGTGCCGTAACCAGATTCACGCTGGCATTAAAATATGCCCACATATTGGGAAAGCCCTTGGAGTTCTGTGTTTGTTTTTTTAATAACACTTTTCACTTTTCTCATGTATTATCTTATTGAAGAAGCCACACAGTTACTGTTCCACTTCAGCTCATGAGGAGACCATCTCAGAAGTATAAGGACGACAAAGATCTTCAGCTGCCACCCATCTCCCGCCTCCCCACCTACAACCTATAAGAAGCAGAAGGGCTGAGGAGGCAAAAGGGGGAGAGGATGAGTCTAGACATTTTCAGTGGTGACAAACTAAAGCAGTAAGATACGAAAGGCCAGTAGGTTTTAATTTTCCTAATCAAACGGATGGAAAAGTGAGACAAAAATATATGAAAACAATTGTTGGTTGCTTGGCAGTTGTTAGGGGAGCAAGAGAAAAATATGGGCAGAACGGGGCAGGTCTAGGCACTGGAACCAAGGCCTGCTACTCAAAACAGAGGGAAACTTGAAAGTGAAAGATCAGGCCATGGTCCCAGTGGCCAGGAATGAAAAAGGCTGTCGTGAGAGTGACTTTTCTCAGGCCAAGGCATAGTATTCCTGTTTCCTTTAACCCCATCTCAATCTTCACATCTAAGTGATTTGGGTGTTCATGTGTCTCACCACAATTTCTTGGCATTGTTTTTTATTAGTAACCTTTATATTGCGCTTTTATCTTGTACTTGTATCTGAGAGTAAAATAATGAAGCACAAGTAAAGGCAATATCTGAGTAACGGGGGCAACCTCCAATCCAACTTGCCACTCCCCGATCCCTGCAATGAGAGGCTTCCAAAAGATGCTTTTTGATAAGAAGTCTTTCTATGAATTCCAAATTATTCACTTTATCTTTTATGTCCATTGATTTGTATATACTCTCAAATTGATTTTTTTTTTGAGGAGTCTCGCTCTGTCACCGAGGCTGGAGTGCAATGGTGCAATCTCGGCTTACTGCTACCTCCGCCTCCCGAGTTCAAGTGATTCTCCTGCCTCAGCCTCCTGAGTAGCTGGGATTACAGGTGCCCGCCACCACGCCCGGCTAATTTTTTGTATTTTTAGTACAGACAGGGTTTCACCGTGTTAGCAGGACGGTCTGGATCTCCTGACCTCGTGATCCGCCTGCCTCAGCCTCCTAAAGTGCTGGGATTACACGCGTGAGCCACCATGCCTGGCCGTATGCTCTCAAATTGTTGCCTAACCTGGTTGTTACTTCCTCCCATATATTTATCCAGTTGTTTCAGCACCGTTCGTTGAAAAGACTTTACTTTCCCTGTTGAATTACCTTGAAACTTCCATAACAAGTCAATTGACAGTATATGTGTAGATATATTTCTGGTTGCTTTATTTTGTCCCATTGATCTATTTCTCTCTCCTTAGGCCAATTAACACTGTATTAAGTCCTGTAACTTTAGAGTAATTTTTGAAATTCCATAGTATAAATCCTCTAGCTTTGTTCTTTTAAAACACTGACTTAGCTAGTTTGCATCATTTATTTTCTATATAAATTTTAGACTAAACTTGTAAATTACTAAAAGAAAAGCCCGCTGGGGTTTTGATTACAATTACAATGATTCTACAGAACAATTTGAAGAGAACTGACACCACTTAATTCATGAACATCATGTGTTTCTCTATTTAGGTTTCCTTTATATTCTCTTAACACTATATTCTAGTTGTCAGTGTAGATTTCTTGCACATTTTTTAATAAATCTACTTGTATGTATTTAGTGCTTTTAGGTACTATTGTAAATGTAATTTTAAAATATTCATTCTCCAGTTGTTTGCTACTGTATATAGGAATATCCTAGAACCCTGACAAATTCACTTATTAATTCTAACACTGAAGATTTCTTCAGGTTTTTTAATGTACCCAATTATGTTGTATGTATATTTTAAAAATATTTTAGTGCTTCCCATCTAATGCTTGGATCTCTCTCTATATATCTATATATATATAGATCCAATTTTCTAATACTTTGTTAAGGAATTTTGATAATTTTAATTCTATGTTCATAAGGGGTATTGTTTGTCATGTTCTTTTCTAATTATATCTTGGTCAGGTTTTAGGGTCAGTATGGTAGTATGAGCTGATATCAGGATATTGGAACAATATGAATTGGGGCGTATTTCCTTTTCCTCTATTTTCTGAAAGAGTTAAGATTGACACTATTCCATTCTTAAATGTGTAATAGAAATAGCTAAAGATATCTTTGTCTATAGCTTTATTTCTGAGAAGTCTTTTCATTATAAATTTATTTATATGAAAATGTGTATTCAAATTTCCTATCTCTTCTGTCAATTTTAGTAAGTTGTATTTTTCAAAAAGATTGTCCATTTCATCCAAGTTGTGGACTTTGTTGGCATCAAGTTTTATTGTAATACCAGCTTATTATCCTTTTAATCTCTGCAGGATCTCTAGCAATATTTTCTTTTTCATTCCTGATACTGGTAATTTGTGTATTCCATTTTTTTCTTGATCAGTCTTGCCAGAGGTTTATCAACTTTATAACTTAAAAAATAACAGCTTTTGGGTTTCTCTATTATATGTCTGATTTCAAGTAGATTCTTACTTTATTTTTTCCCTTATTCTACTTGTTTGGGGTTTGATTTGTTCTTTCTCTAGATGCATAGGGTAGAATCATAGTTCATATTTTTTCTAATGTTAGCATTTAATTCTGTAAAGTTCCCTATAAACACTGCTTTGGCTGCATCCTACTAATTTTGATATCTCACATTTTCACTATCATTCCATTTGAAATATTTCTAATTTCCATTTTCTTGTTTTACACGCTAATTGTTTAAAAATTGTTTAATTTCCAAATATTTGGGGCTTTTAAGTTAACATATCATTGATTACTAATTTAATTCAAATTGAAGTCATAGGATATTCTTTTTTTATCTCCATTTTAAAAAGTTTATAGGGATTCATTTTATGGTATACCATATGGTTATCTTGGTGAACATTTCATACGTACTTTAAAAAAATGTGTAGTTTTGTGTATATCAATTAGTTCATCTTTTTAAGTCTATACCACTTGTACAGTTTTGTTATTTATCATCATTATTTTGCACAAAGGTGTAAAAATCTCTGACTTGACTGTGAATTCATCTATCCTTTTAGCTCTGTCTTATCTTTTCCTTTATGCATTTTGAAGCTCTATTATTATGTGCATATATGTTTAGAATTGTCATGGCTTCCTGATGAATTGAGTTTTATCATCATGATAACATGTCCCTCTTTTTTTCTGTGAATATCTCCTTTCTTGAAGTCTATTTTGTCTGATATTAATATAACCATTCCAATTTTCTTATGACTGTATCTTTTGCAATCATGTTACTTTTATCTTATCTATACATTGTACAGCATATAGCTGGGGCTTGCTTTTTTGCCAGTCTGGTAATCTTTGCCCAATTGCTTCCCAGCCTGTGAGTGGGCTTCCAAAGCCCTGAGTCTCTCTGCAAGCCAGTCCATCAATCTTACTTCACTGGGGTTGTTTCTTGATTGTCTGGCATCTGTGGACCAGCTCTGCCTATGTAACTCAGCAAATTCCTCTGCCATCCAGTGGGCTGCAAACATACCTTCTGCAACAAGGTCTGAACCCCAGCTTTACAGAGGAAGCCTCTTTCCAAGTTTATCCTTTCTTGAGCATGCTCCTTCAGCCTTATATTATTGAGTTCTCTTTATATCTTTACAGTTATTGCCCTATCATAGTTTAACAACTCCTTACATAAACCCACTATCCAAATTACTGTACAGTTTCTGTCTCTTGATTGGATCCAGATGAGTACATCCGCCTCCTGTGGCCCCCTCCTTTTCATAATTTACCCCCTCAATTTCCAGCTTCTCTAGCAGGATCAAACTCTATCCTCTGACATCTTAAGACAAACAGATTGCAGCTTTTTGCTTAAGTGCTAGTCTTCACACACTACATAAACTGGGAGCGCCCTCTGCAAAAGAGTAGGTAATGTAGCCCCCTACCTAGTGCAGTTCCTTTATTAAAGGATTAAATCCCTTCTAGTTTCTGCCTGCTTTTGATAGTTTTTCAGTTTTTTCAAATAATTGTGTTTTTATATATTTTCCAGAGTTGTATCTGCTGGAAGGTCAATTCAACATAACTGCTCAGTTATTAGAACCAGAATTGCTATGACTTTTTTTTTTTTTTTTTTTTTTTTTTTTAGACAAAATTGGACTGTCGCCCAGGCTGGAGTGCAGTGGCAACGATCTTGGCTCACTACAACCTCTGCCTCCCAGGTTCAAGCAACTCTCCTGCCTCAGCCTCCCAAGTAGCTAGGTTTACAAGCACATGCCACCACATCTGGCTAATTTTTGTATTTTAGTAGAGATGGGGTTTCATCATGTTGGCCAGGCTGGTCTCGAACTCCTGACCTCAGGTGATCCACCCACTTCAGCCTCCCAAAGTGCTGGGATTACAGAAGAGAGCCACCGTGCCTGGCCCTACTATGACTTTTATAAATAGCTTTATTGCAGTGTAATTCATATATCATTCATTCATTTGAAGTATAGTCACAGAGTTGTACAATTACCACAATCAATTTTTGAACATTTCCCCACCTCAAAAATGAACCCCATAATGATTAGCAGTCATTCCCCCATTCTTCCCCTGCCACAGGCAGCCACTGACTAGTCTACTTTCTGTCTTTATAAATGTGCTAATTCTGGACAATTCAAGTAATGGAATCATGCAATCCATGGTCTTTTTTGATTGCTTTTTTTGATTTAGCACAATGTTTTCAAAGTTCATCCATACAATGTAGAGTACCATACAATGTATGCTACTGATATACTGTAGCATGTATCACTACTTCTTTCCTTTTTATTAATAATATTCCACTGTATAGATATAATACATTGTGTTTATCCATTCATCAGTTAATGAACATGCGAATTGCTTCCACTTTTGAGCTATTATGAATTATGTAGCTACGAAGATTCATGTGTAAGTGTTTTTGTGGACATATGCTTTCATTTCCCTTGGTTATATACTTAGGAATGGCATTGCTGAGTCATATGGTAACTCTGCTTAACATTTTGAGAAAATTTTCAACTGTTTTAGAGAGTGACTGCACCATTTTACATTCCTACCAGCAATGGATGATGTTTCCAATTTCTCTACCTCCTCGCCAACACTCATTGCCTATCTTTTTTATCTATCTTTTTTATTACAGCCATCCTTGTGGGTGTGAAGTGTTATCACATTGTGGTTTTGATTTGCATTTCCCTAATGAGAAATGATGCTGATCATCTTTTCATATGCTTATTGGCTATCTGTATATATTCTCCAGAGAACTGTCTATTCAGATCCTTTGTCTATTTAGTTGGGTGAATTGTCTTTTTATTATTGAGTTGTAATATTCTGGATATAAGTCCCTTATCAGACATATGACATACAAATATTGTCTCTTATTCTGTGTGCTTTCTTTTAACTTTCTTGGTAGTATAACTTGCAACATAGTTTTTGACTTTGATAAAGATCAACTATGTATTTCATCTTTTGTCACTTGTGATTTTGGTGTCATATCTAAGAAACCATTGCTTACCCCAAGGTCATAAAAATTTATATCTATGTTTCCTTCTAAAAGTTCTACAGTTTTGGCTCTTCCATTTAGGACTCTGAGCTGTTTTGAGTTAAATTTTATATGTGGTATGAACTAGGGATCCAACTCATTATTCTGCTTATGGATATCCAGTTCTTCTAGCATCATTTATTCAAAAGACTATTCTTTCCCCATTGAACATTCTTCACATGCTTATCAATTGACCACAAATGGAAAGATGTATTTTGGAACTCTCTAAATTTTATTCCATTGATCTTCATGTCTGTCTTATCTCAGTACCACATTATCTTGATCAGCACAGCTTTGTAGTAAGTTTGGTGGAAGTAAGGGAGTATGAGTCTTCCAATTTTGTTCTGCTTTTTGAAATTATTTTAGATATTCTGGGCCCCTTGCGTGTCCATATACATTTTAGAACGAGCTTGGAAATTTTAACAAAAAGATAGCTGGGTTTTCATAGGCTTGCACTGGATCTGTGGATCAATCTGGGGAGTACTGCTAACCTATTCAGTTTTCTAATCCATGAGTTCCATTTATGTAGTTCTTGAACGCCTTTTAATGATGTTTTGTAGTTTTCATTGTATAGTCTTGCACTTCTTTTATTAGATTTGTAAATATTTTATTCTTTTTCTAATGGAATTGTTTCATTAATTTCATTTTAGGATTGTTCATTGCTGGTATAAGAAAATTAAATTGCTTTTATATTCTGATCTCGTATTCTGCAACTTTGCTGAACTTATTAGTTCTAAAGATCTTTTTTTTGTGCATTCCTTAGAGTTTTCTCTCTATAAGATCGTTTCATCTGCAAATAGAGACAGTTTTACTTCTTCCTTTCTAAAGTAAAAGCCTTTTTTTTCTTCTTCTTCATTTTCTTGCCTAATTGCTGTGGCTAGAATCTCCAGCACAATGTTGAATAGAAGTTGTAACAGTATAAATCATTGTGTGATTCCTGATCTTAGAGGAGTATTCTACAGATGTCTGCTAGGTCTAGTTGGTTTATACTGTTTCCTTGTTGATCTTCTGTTTAGGTGTTCTATTCATTACAAAAAGTAGGGTACCGAAGTCTCCAAATATTTTGATTAAATTGTCTATTTCTCAGCTACACAGCTTTCTGTAGCAGAAAAACATTAGAATTCGAGGAGTCCAGCTACTGACCAAAACCTATGTCTGATTTTTCAGGCCCAACCACAGGCAATTATAAAAACTTTACCTGGCAAACCTTTTACGGGAACTCTGTCCTCCCCACCTGGTGCACAGTCTTGATGTACTGCAGTTGCTAGAGGGGGCTGCAGTCAAGGACTCAGGCTCCCTGGCTAGCCATGCTCTTACTCATGTCGCATTCCTAGCAGAGCTGTCTCCATCCAAGCCATCCAAGAGTTCTTCCACACAGAGGACCTTAAAGATGTTTTCTTCACTCTGACTCAGTACTCTTCCATTTCTAGCCCTTCTCCCAACCCCTGGATCCACAGGACTTCAGGAGCCTTTTGTTCAGGGCTCCCACTGCAGTGAGACATTCCCCATGCCTGTGTTGACCCATCTGACCCTTGTGCATGGTGCCATCCCATGGGGAAAAATGGAACAGCAGGGAAGACAGCACTTTCTTCAGTTCAGCCTCTTGCTTATACTAAGTGATGAAGGGCTTGACTGTTTCTTCCATTTCGGCTTGTTGCCTTAACCAGTTACTCTGACATCTAGCAGCTCAGCTTCTCCAGTTCAGCTCAGCTCTTGAAAGTACTTTTAAATACAATTTTACTTTTTTTAAGTTTAAAAAAAATAGAAATTGAGATTAATATAACCTTGACATCTGCACACCACACAAATTAATACGTGTATAAATTTTGTTACAATCACTATGGGTCTTTAAAAAACTGAAAACTTTACCCATATTAAGGAGAAGCTTCCTAATTCCCCTTCACAGTCCCATGTCTTCTACTTTCTCTAGAGGCAAGCACTAAAAAGTCTGACATAAAGCCATCCAGTACATGTTTTCTATGTTTGTTCCATTTATATGTATCCATAAATAATATATAAGCGTATTTTGTGAGTTTTCAAACTTGTATGTAAGTAGTCAATTGTGTTTCAGCCTTCTGCAACTCACAGGTCTGTCTTTATAGTGAATTCAATTACATAAATGCAATTTCCTCCAAGGCAAAGTCAAATCCAGATCCCTTTTCTCATTAGTCATTTCCCCCCAACATCTATATCTCATTACCAAAGCCAAAGAGAATTTGATGGAAGTTGGCATTGCCATCAACAGGGTTACAAGGGAAAAGGAGGCCATGACTCTGCTGGAATATCTCTCTTTATAAAAAAGTAAGCCTACAATTTCCTTGAAAACAGGACTCAGATGGATGTCCAGAGCTTTTTAAAAGCAGGCGATTTATTACATTCCCTGACCATGCCAAGCACTGGGAGGGTAACGGGGTTAACAGGAACTAGCTGAAAACGTGGATCTAAATATTTTGGGGAATTTCTCTAAAACTGCCAAGAAATGACAGAAGTGAGAAGTGCTGTTGAGAATACCTATGTCAATACTCTTAACTTACATAGTAAGAAGCTGAGACCCCAAAAGACTAAGTGACTTGTGCTAGGTCACACAACTGGCTACACCAGAATTATAACTCAGTTCTGATCCCTTGTTCTCTGCTTTTTACCCTAATTACTGGTTATTAAACTGGCCTCTGTGGAGACATCTCAGAGGTTATTTATGACAGTCAAAAGAGAAGATCAAGCAAGTGAGTTTCTGGGCCCTTATCTCCTTTCACCCACAGTGCCTCAACTCTGAAAAATTATCATCTTCTTATTGTCTATGTAGGATTCAATGACTACTCCTTCAATACCTTTTGGCAGCAGTTTTCATATAAACTAATATCTGTAGGATTTTTTTCTGCCATTGCTTTCATACCATCAGCAAGATAACAGTCTACTAAAGTCATTTGATGTGTGCTGCATTAGCATGGCCCATGTGCAAGGATGACACACAAATTCATGAAGCGTTCCATGTTTTACTGACCAGCAGCTCTTTCACCCCAGATCTTCCCTCTGACATAGTCTACCAAATGAGAAGAAACTAGAAAAACAATTCTGGTAATATGACAATACAAGGTTCTTTAATGCCCCCAAAAGATCACACTGGCTCACCAGCAATGGATCCAAACCAAGAAGAAATCTCTAAGTTGCCAGAAAAAGAATTCAGGAGGTCAACTATTAAGCTAATCAAGGAGGCACCAGACAAAGGTGAAGTCAAACTTAAATCAATAATATGATGCAAGTTAGGAAGGAAAAAAATCTTCAGTGAAATAGATAACAATAGAGGAGGGAGGAGCCAAGATGGCCGAATAGGAACAGCTCCGGCCTACAGCTCCCAGCGTGAGCGACGCAGAAGACGGGTGATTTCTGCATTTCCATCTGAGGTACCGGGTTCATCTCACTAGGGAGTGCCAGACAGTGGGCGCAGGCCAGTGGGTGCGTGCACCGTGCGCGAGCCGAAGCAGGGCGAGGCATTGCCTCACCTGGGAAGCGCAAGGGGTCAGGGAGTTTCCTTTCCGAGTCAAAGAAAGGGGTGACGGATGCACCTGGAAAATCGGGTCACTCCCGCCCGAATACTGCGCTTTTCCGACGGGCTTAGGAAATGGCGCACCACGAGACTATATCCCACACCTGGCTCGGAGGGTCCTACGCCCACAGAGTCTCGCTGATTGCTAGCACAGCAGTCTGAGATCAAACTGCAAGGCGCCAGCGAGGCTGGGGGAGGGGCGCCCGCCATTGCCCAGGCTTGCTTAGGTAAACAAAGAAGCCGGGAAGCTCCAACTGGGCGGAGCCCACCACAGCTCAAGGAGGCCTGCCTGCCTCTGTAGGCTCCACCTCTGGGGGCAGGGCACAGACAAACAAAAAGACAGCAGTAACCTCTGCTGTCCCTGTCTGACAGCTTTGAAGAGAGCAGTGGTTCTCCCAGCACGCAGCTGCAGATCTGAGAACGGGCAGACTGCCTCCTCAAGCGGGTCCCTGACCCCTGACCCCCGAGCAGCCTAACTGGGAGGCACCCCCCAGCAGGGGCACACTGACACCTCACACGGCAGGGTATTCCAACAGACCTGCAGCTGAGGGTCCTGTCTGTTAGAAGGAAAACTAACAAACAGAAAGGACATCCACACTGAAAACCCATCTGTACATCACCATCATCAAAGACCAAAAGTAGATAAAACCACAAAGATGGGGAAAAAACAGAACAGAAAAACTGGAAACTCTAAAACGCAGAACGCCTCTCCTCCTCCAAAGGAACGCAGTTCCTCACCAGCAACAGAACAAAGCTGGATGGAGAATGACTTTGACGAGCTGAGAGAAGAAGGCTTCAGATGATCAAATTACTCTGAGCTACGGGAGGACATTCAAACCAAAGGCAAAGAAGTTGAAAACTTTGAAAAAAATTTAGAAGAATGTATAACTAGAATAACCAATACAGAGAAGTGCTTAAAGGAGCTGATGGAGCTGAAAACCAAGGCTCGAGAACTACGTGAAGAATGCAGAAGCCTCAGGAGCCGATGCGATCAACTGGAAGAAAGGGTATCAGCAATGGAAGATGAAATGAATGAAATGAAGCGAGAAGGGAAGTTTAGAGAAAAAAGAATAAAAAGAAATGAGCAAAGCCTCCAAGAAATATGGGACTATGTGAAAAGACCAAATCTACGTCTGATTGGTGTACCTGAAAGTGATGCGGAGAATGGAACCAAGTTGGAAAACACTCTGCAGGATATTATCCAGGAGAACTTCCCCAATCTAGCAAGGCAGGCCAACGTTCAGATTCAGGAAATACAGAGAACGCCACAAAGATACTCCTCGAGAGGAGCAACTCCAAGACACATAATTGTCAGATTCACCAAAGTTGAAATGAAGGAAAAAATGTTAAGGGCAGCCAGAGAGAAAGGTCGGGTTACCCTCAAAGGGAAGCCCATCAGACTAACAGCGGATCTCTCAGCAGAAACCCTACAAGCCAGAAGAGAGTGGGGGCCAATATTCAACATTCTTAAAGAAAAGAATTTTCAACCCAGAATTTCATATCCAGCCAAGCTAAGCTTCGTAAGTGAAGGAGAAATAAAATACTTTACAGACAAGCAAATGCTGAGAGATTTTGTCACCACCAGGCCTGCCCTAAAAGAGCTCCTGAAGGAAGCGCTAAACATGGAAAGGAACAACCGGTACCAGCTGCTGCAAAATCATGCCAAAATGTAAAGACCATCGAGACTAGGAAGAAACTGCATCAACTAACGAGCAAAATCACCAGCTAACATCATAATGACAGGATCAAATTCACACATAACAATATTAACTTTAAATGTAAATGGACTAAATTCTCCAATTAAAAGACACAGACTGGCAAATTGGATAAAGAGTCAAGACCCACCAGTGTGCTGTATTCAGGAAACCCATCTCACGTGCAGAGACACACATAGGCTCAAAATAAAAGGATGGAGGAAGATCTACCAAGCAAATGGAAAACAAAAAAAGGCAGGGGTTGCAATCCTACTCTCTGATAAAACAGACTTTAAACCAACAAAGATCAAAAGAGACAAAGAAGGCCATTACATAATGGTAAAGGGATCAATTCAACAAGAGGAGCTAACTATCCTAAATATTTATGCACCCAATACAGGAGCACCCAGATTCATAAAGCAAGTCCTGAGTGACCTACAAAGAGACTTAGACTCCCACACATTAATAATGGGAGACTTTAACACCCCACTGTCAACATTAGACAGATCAACGAGACAGAAAGTCAACAAGGATACCCAGGAATTGAACTCAGCTCTGCACCAAGCGGACCTAATAGACATCTACAGAACTCTCCACCCCAAATCAACAGAATATACATTTTTTTCAGCACCACACCACACCTATTCCAAAATTGACCACATACTTGGAAGTAAAGCTCTCCTCAGCAAATGTAAAAGAACAGAAATTATAACAAACTATCTCTCAGACCACAGTGCAATCAAACTAGAACTCAGGATTAAGAATCTCACTCAAAGCCACTCAACTACATGGAAACTGAACAACCTGCTCCTGAATGACTACTGGGTACATAACGAAATGAAGGCAGAAATAAAGATGTTCTTTGAAACCAATGAGAACAAAGACACCACATACCAGAATCTCTGGGACGCATTCAAAGCAGTGTGTAGAGGGAAATTTATAGCACTAAATGCCCACAAGAGAAAGCAGGAAAGATCTAAAATTGACACCCGAACAACACAATTAAAAGAACTAGAAAAGCAAGAGCAAACACATTCAAAAGCTAGCAGAAGGCAAGAAATAACTAAAATCAGAGCAGAACTGAAGGAAATAGAGACACAAAAAACCCTTCAAAAAATCAATGAATCCAGGAGCTGGTTTTTTGAAAGGATCAACAAAATTGATAGGCCGCTAGCAAGACTAATAAAGAAAAAAAGAGAGAAGAATCAAATAGACACAATAAAAAATGATAAAGGGGATATCACCACCAATCCCACAGAAATACAAACTACCATCAGAGAATACTACAAACACCTCTACACAAATAAACTAGAATATCTAGAAGAAATGGATACATTCCTCGACACATACACTCTCCCAAGACTAAACCAGGAAGAAGTTGAATCTCTGAATAGACCAATAACAGGAGCTGAAATTGTGGCAATAATCAATAGTTTACCAACCAAAAAGAGTCCAGGACCAGATGGATTCACAGCCGAATTCTACCAGAGGTACAAGGAGGAACTGGTACCATTCCTTCTGAAACTATTCCAATCAATAGAAAAAGAGGGAATCCTCCCTAACTCATTTTATGAGGCCAGCATCATTCTGATACCAAAGCCAGGCAGAGACACAACCAAAAAAGAGAATTTTAGACCAATATCCTTGATGAACATTGATGCAAAAATCCTCAACAAAATACTGGCAAACTGAATCCAGCAGCACATCAAAAAGCTTATCCACCATGATCAAGTGGGCTTCATCCCTGGGATGCAAGGCTGGTTCAATATACGCAAATCAATAAATGTAATCCAGCATATAAACAGAACTAAAGACAAAAACCACATGATTATCTCAATAGATGCAGAAAAGGCCTTTGACAAAATTCAACAACCCTTCATGCTAAAAACTCTCAATAAATTAGGTATTGATGGGACGTATTTCAAAATAATAAGAGCTGTCTATGACAAACCCACAGCCTATATCATACTGAATGGGCAAAAACTGGAAGCATTCCCTTTGAAAACTGGCACAAGACAGGGATGCCCTCTCTCACCACTCCTATTCAACATAGTGTTGGAAGTTCTGGCCAGGGCAATCAGGCAGAAGAAGGAAATAAAGGGTATTCAGTTAGGAAAAGAGGAAGTCAAATTGTCCCTGTTTGCAGACGACATGATTGTTTATCTAGAAAACCCCATTGTCTCAGCCCAAAATCTCCTTAAGCTGATAAGCAACTTCAGCAAAGTCTCAGGATACAAAATCAATGTACAAAAATCACAAGCATTCTTATACACCAACAACAGACAAACAGAGAGCCAAATCATGAGTGAACTCCCATTCACAATTGCTTCAAAGAGAATAAAATACCTAGGAATCCAACTTACAAGGGATGTGAAGGACCTCTTCAAGGAGAACTACAAGCCACTGCTCAATGAAACAAAAGAGGATACAAACAAATGGAAGAGCATTCCATGCTCATGGGTAGGAAGAATCAATATCGTGAAAATGGCCATACTGCCCAAGGTAATTTGCAGATTCAATGCCATCCCCATCAAGCTACCAATGACTTTCTTCACAGAATTGGAAAAAACTACTTTAAAGTTCATATGGAACCAAAAAAGAGCCCACATCGCCAAGTCAATCCTAAGCCAAAAGAACAAAGCTGGAGGCATCACACTACCTGACTTCAAACTATACTACAAGGCTACAGTAACCAAAACAGCATGGTACTGGTACCAAAACAGAGATATAGATCAATGGAACAGAACAGAGCCCTCAGAAATAACGCCGCATACCTACAACTATCTGATCTTTGACAAACCTGAGAAAAACAAGCAATGGGGAAAGGATTCCCTATTTAATAAATGGTGCTGGGAAAACTGGCTAGCCATATGGAGAAAGCTGAAACTGGATCCCTTCCTTACACCTTATACAAAAATCAATTCAAGATGGATTAAAGATTTAAACGTTAGACCTAAAACCATAAAAACCCTAGAAGAAAACCTAGGCATTACCATTCAGGACATAGGCATGGGCAAGGACTTCACGTCCAAAACACCAAAAGCAATGGCAGCAAAAGCCAAAATTGACAAATGGGATCTAATTAAACTAAAGAGCTTCTGCACAGCCAAAGAAACTACCATCAGAGTGAACAGGCAACCTACAACATGGGAGAAAATTTTCGCAACCTACTCATCTGACAAAGGGCTAATATCCAGAATCTACAATGAACTCAAACAAATTTACAAGAAAAAAACAAACAACCCCATCAAAAAGTGGGCAAAGGACATGAGCAGACACTTCTCAAAAGAAGACATTTATGCAGCCAAAAAACACATGAAAAAATGCTCATCATCACTGGCCATCAGAGAAATGCAAATCAAAACCACTATGAGATATCATCTCACACCAGTTAGAATGGTGATCATTAAAAAGTCAGGAAACAACAGGTGCTGGAGAGGATGTGGAGAAATAGGAACACTTTTACACTGTTGGTGGGACTGTAAACTAGTTCAACCATTGTGGAAGTCAGTGTGGTGATTCCTCAGGGATCTAGAACTAGAAATACCATTTAACCCAGCCATCCCATTACTGGGTATATACCCAAATGACTATAAATCATGCTGCTATAAAGACACATGCACACGTATGTTTATTGTGGCATTATTCACAATAGCAAAGACTTGGAACCAACCCAAATGTCCAACAATGATAGACTGGATTAAGAAAATGTGGCACATATACACCATGGAATACTATGCAGCCATAAAAAAGGATGAGTTCATGTCCTTTGTAGGGACATGGATGAAATTGGAAATCATCATTCTCAGTAAACTATCACAAGAACAAAAAACCAAACACCGCATATTCTCACTCATAGGTGGGAATTGAACAATGAGATCACATGGACACAGGAAGGGGAATATCACACTCTGGGGACTGTGGTGGGGTGGGGGGAGGGGGGAGGGATAGCACTGGGAGATATACCTAATGCTAGATGACGAGTTAGTGGGTGCAGCGCACCAGCATGGCACATGTATACATATGTAACTAACCTGCACAATGTGCACATGTACCCTAAAACTTAAAGTATAAAAAAAAAAAGAAATAGATAACATAAATTAAAAACAATCACAATTTCTAAAAATGAAGGACATACTTAGCGAAATGCAAAATGCACTGGAAAGTCTCAGCTATAGAATCAAACAAGTAGAAGAAAGAACTTGAGAGCTCAAAGACAAGGCTTTTGTATTAATCAACAAAGACAAAAAATTTTTTAAAAAATGAACAAAGCCTCCAAGAAGTTTGGGATTATGTTAAATGACCAAAGCTAAGAATAATTGGTGTTCCTAAGGAAGAAAAGTTTGGAAAACATTTGAGGGAATAATTGAGGAAAACTTCCCCAGCCTTGTTAGAGATCTAGACATCCAAATATAAGAAGCTCAAAGAACACCTGGGAAATTTATCACAAAAAGATCATCACCTAGGCACATAGTCATTAGGTTATTTAAAGTCAAGATGAAGGAAAAAATCTTAAGAGCTATGAAGCAAAAGCACCAGGTAACCTATAAAGGAAAATCTATCAAGTTAACAGCAGAATTATCAGCAGAAACCCTACAAGCTAGAAAAGATTGGGGTCCCATTTTTAGCCTCCTTAAACAAAAACAGTTATCAGCCAAGAATTTTGTATCCAGCAAAACAAAGCTTCATAAATGAAGGAAAGAAACAGTGTTTTACAGACAAACAAATGCTAAGAGAATTCACAACCAAGCCAGCACTACAAGAACTGCTAAAAGGAGCTCTAAATCTTGAAATAAATCCTTGAAATACACCAAAATAAAACCTCCTTAAAGCATAAATCTCACAGGGCCTATATAACAATAACACAATGAAAAAGAAGGTATTCGGGCAACAAACAGCATGAGGAATAGAATAGTACTTCACATCTCAATATCTCAATACTAACATTGAATGTAAATGGCATAAATGCTCCACTAAGAAGAATGGCAGAATGGAAAAGAATTCACCAACCAAGTAACTGCTGTCTTCAAGAGACTCACGAGACTCACCTAACATATAAGGACTCACATAAACTTAAGGTAAAGGGCAAGGATAAAAGATACTCCATGCAAAGGGACACCAAAAGTGAGCAGGAGTAACTACTCTTATTTCTGACAAAACAAACTTTAAAACAACAGCAGTTAAAAAAAGACAGAGGGACATTATATAATGATTTAAAAAGTGTCCAACGGGAAAATATCACAATCTTAAATATGTATGCACCTAATGCTGGAGCTCCCAAATTTATAAAACAATACTAGACCTAAGAAATGAGACAGACTGCAACACAATAGTGGGAGACTTGAATACTCCACTGACAGCTCTTAGATCATCGAGATAGTCAACAAAGAAACAATGGATTTAAACGTACCTTAGAACAAATGGACTTAACAGATATGTTTAGAACATTGTACCTGACAACTGCAGAATGTACATTCTATTCATCAGCACATGGAACATTCTCCAAGACAGACCATATGATAGGACACAAGACAAGTCCCAATAAATTTAAAACAATTGATATTATATCAAGTACTCTCTCTGACCACAGTGGAATAATATTGGAAATCAACTCCAAAATGAACCCCCAAAGCCATGCAAATACATAGAAATTAAATAACCTGCTACTGAATGATCATTGGGTCAAAAATGAAATCAAAATGAAAATTTTAAAATTCTTTGAACTGAAGGATAATAGTGACACAACATATCAAATCCTCTGGGATACAGCAAAAGCAATGTTAAGAGAAAAGTTCATAGCATTAAATGCCTACATCAAAAGTCTGAAGGAGCACAAATAGGCAATTTTAGGTCACACCTCACAGAACTGAAGAAAAAGGAACAATCCAAACCCAAACTCAGCAGAAGAAAAGAAACAACGAATATCAGAGCAGTGCTAAATAAAATTGAACCAAAAAAAAAAAGATAAATGAAACAAAAAACTAGTTCTTTGAAAAGATAATAAAATTGACAGACTGTTAGTGAGATTAACCAAGAAAACAAGAGAGAAGATCCAAATAAGCTCAATTAGAAATGAAAGATATTACAACTGATAACACAGAAATACAAAAGATCATTCAAGGCTACTATGAATGCACAAAAACTAGAAAACCTAGAGGAGATGGACAAATTCCTGGAAATATATAATTCTCCTACATTAATCCAGGAAGAAATAGAAACTCTGAACAGACCAATGGCAAACAGCGAGACTGAAATTATAATTAAAAAATTGCCAACAAAAAAAAAAAATCCAGGACCAGATGAATTCACAGCTGAATTCTATCAGACATTCAAAGAAGAATTGGTACCAATTGATCCTATTGACACTATCCCAAAAGATAGAGAAAGAGGGAATCCTCCCTGAATCATTCTATGAAGCCAATATCAACCTAATTCCAAAACCAGGAAATAGCATAACAAAAAAAGAAAACTACAGACAAATATCCCTGATGAACACAGATGCAAAAATTCTTAATAAAATACTAGCTAACTGAATCCAACAGTATATCAAAAAGACAATCCACCATGATCAAGTGGATTTCATACCAGGGATGCAGAAATGGTTTAATATCCACAAGTCAATAAATGTGATATAGCACATAAACGTTATTAAAAGCAAAAATCACATGATCATGTCAATAGACATAGAAAAAGCATTTGACAAAATCCAGCATTCTTTTATGATTAAAACTCTCAGCAAAGTCAGTACAGGACGGACATACCTTAAGGTAATAAAAGCTATCTATGACAAATCCACAGCCAACATTATACCGAACAGGGAAAAGTTGAGAGCATTCCCCCTGAGAACTGGAACACAAGACAAGGCTGACCACTTTTACCACTTCAATTCAACATAGTACTGGAAGTCCTAGCCAGAGCAGAGAAGAGAAAGAAATAAAGGGCATCAAAATTGGTAAAGAGGAAGTCAAATTGTTGCTGTTTGCTGATGATATGACAGTATACAAAGAAAACCCTTAAGACTCATCCAAAAAGCTCCTCGAACTGTTAAATTAATTCAGCAAAGTTTCAGGTTATAAAATTAATGTACACAAAGCAGTGGCTCTGCTATATTCCAACAGTGACCAAGCAGATAATTAAATCAAGAATTCGACTGCCTTTATGATAGCTGCAAAAAAGTAAAATACCTAGGAATATACCTAACCAAGAAGGTAAAAGACCTCTACAAGGAAAACCACAAAACACTGATGAAAAAAATTATACTCAACACAAACAAATGGAAACACATTCATGCTCATGGATTGGTGGAATCAATATTGTGAAAATGACCATCCTGCCAAAAGTGATCTACAAATTCAATACAATTCTCATCAAAATACCACCATCATTCTTCACAGAACTAGGAAAAACAATCCTAAAATTCATATGGAACCAAAAAAAGAGCCCGCATAACCAAAGCAAGACTAAGCAAAGAGAACAAATATGGAGGCATCACATTACCCGACTTCAACCTATACTGTAAGGCCATAATCCCCAAAACAACATGGTACTGGCATAAAAATAGGCACATAGACCAATGAAACAGAATAGAGAACCCAGAAATAAAGCCAAATACTTACAGCCAACTGATCTTCGACAAATCAAACAAAAACATAAAGTGGGGAAAGGACACCCTTTTCAACAAAGGGTGCTGGGATAATTGGCAAGCCACGTGTAGAAAAATGAAACTGGATCCTCATCTCTCACCTTATACAAAACTCAAGATGGATCAAAGACTTAAGTCTAAGACCTGAAACCATAAAAATTCTAGAATATAACACTGGAAAAGCCCTTCTAGACATTGGCTCAGACAAAGACTTAATGACCAAGAACCCGAAAGCAAATGCAACAAAAACAAAGATAAATAGAGGGGACTTAAACTAAAGTGCTTCTGCATAGCAAAAGAAACAATCAGCAGAGTAAACAGACAACCCAGAGAGTGGAAGAAAATTTTTGCAATCTATACATCTGACAAAGGACTAATATCCGGAATCTACAACAAACTCAAATCAGCAAGAGTAAAACAAATAATCCCATCAAAATGTGGGCTAAGGACATGAGTAGACAATTCTCAGAAGAAGATATACAAATGGCCAACAAACATATGAAAAATGTTCAACATCACTAATGATCAGGGAAATAAAAATCAAAACCACAATGCGATACCACTTTACTTCTGCAAGAATGGCCATAACCAAAAATTCAAAAAATAATAGATGTTGGCAGGGATGTGGCAAAAAGGGAACACTTCTACACTGCTGGTGGGAATATAAACTAGTACAACCACTATTGTAAACAGCGTGGAAAGTCCTTAAAGAACAAAAGTAGAACTACCATTTGATCTAGCAATCCCACTACCAGGTATCTACCCAGAAAAAAAGAAGTCATTCTATGAGAAAGATACTTGCACATGCATGGTTATAGCAGCATAATTTGCAATTGCAAAAATATGGAACCTGCCCATATGCCCATCAAGCAATGAGCGGATAAAGAAATTGTGGTTTATACATACTGTGAATACTACTGAGCCATAACAAGGAACAAAATAATAGCATTCACAGCAACCCGGATGGAATTGGAGACCATTATTCTAAGTGAAGTAACTCAGTAATGGGAAACCAACCATTGTATGTTCTTACACATAAGTGGGAGCTCAGCTAGGAGGATGCAAAGGCGTAAGAATGATATAATGGGAGATTCCCAGAAAGGGTGGCAGCAGGGTTGAGGGATAAAAGACTACACATTGGGTACAGTGTACACTGCTCAGGTGATGGGTGCACCAAAATCTCAGAAATCACCACTAAAAAACTTATTCATGTAAACAAACACCACCTGTTCCCCAAAAAACTATTGAAATAAAACATAATAAATAAATAAATAAATAAAACAAAGTCCTTTGATGAATTCTCCACAATTCATCTAAACAATTAGATTGTACTGGGCTAAGCTGCCAAATAATATTACTATCACCTTTGTACTCATTTACGTATCATGCTAAAATAAGTAAAACTAAGGGGTTTACAACATGGCTATTCTATTAAAATGTGAAGCTCCTATACAATATCATCTTTGGAATTAATTTATTAGCTATATAGTATATACTTTTTTATTTTTCTTTGAACTATTTTATCAAATAAAGGTACATTCGGAAACACTCTTGGTTGTCTATCTGAACAAAATTATTCTTCTTCATTACCAACAGAATTCAGATGTTATTCAAGCGTCCAACTCTGTGGAAGACTCTATTTTCCAAAGATGAGCACACTGATCTATGTCTCATCCCACATGCTCTTCTTACTATGTGATGCTTACTTACCTCCTTGCACCTTGTAACTGCCTCGTCCAGTAGAGTATACTGGAAGTGATGTTATTGGGACTTTGGAAGTTAAGCCATAAAAGGCAATATAGGCTGGGCACGGTGGCTCATGCCTGTAATCCCAGCACTTTGGGAGGCCAGGGCAGGTGGATCACCTGAGGTCAGGAGTTCAAGACCAGCCTGGCCAACATGGTGAAACCCCGTCTCAACTAAAAATACAAAAATTAGCCAGGTGCAGTGGCACACACTTATAGTCCCAGCTACTCAGGAGGCTGAGGCAGGAGAATTTTTTGAACCCAGGTAGAGGTTGTGGTGAGCGGAGATCGCACCACTGCACTCCAGCCTGGGTGACAGAGCGAGATTCTGCGTCGAAAAATAAAAAAATAAAAATCATAAAATAAAAGGCAATACAGCTTACACCTGGTTGTGTTCTCCTTGGATTGCCTGCCCTTTGAACATGGGCATGTTTTGTAAGGAAGTCAAACATCCACACAGAAAATACACATAGGTGTATATGTTTCAGTTACAGCTGTAGCTATTATAGTCATCCCAGCCAAGAACAAGCACCAACAGTAAATGTCTTAGTGAGAAACCTTCAGAAAAATGTCATCCTAAGCCTTTAAGTCTTCCAGAAGAGGCTCAGACATCCGGGAGCAGAGAGAAGCCATTTCTGCAGTAGCTTGTCAGAATTATTGACCCACAGATTCCACGGGCATAATAAGTAGCTGTTTTATGCCTAAGCTTTGAGGTAATTTGTTATGCAGCCATAGTAACTGAAACAACCCTGCGCACGAAGTCCATGATATTCAGGGGACACTTACTCTATATATTGCCCCAGAGGTGGATTCTGATTAAATTAAGCATGTAGTTCTCAATCAATCAGAAGCGATTGTGCTCCCAGGTGACATGTGAAAATGTCCAGAGACATTTTTGATCATCACAGTGAGGGAGGCGGTGCTTCTGGTGTTTAGTGGGTGGTTGCCAGAGATGCTGCTAAACATCCTACCATGCACAGGACAGCCTACCCCCTCCACCAACAAAGAATTATCTAGGCCAAAATGGCAATAGTGCCAAAGCTAAGAATCCTTGAACGAGGCCAATAGCTTTGAGCACATAGACTTTACCAACTAGTAGCTACTTGTGAAGGAAATTCTTAACAGGTAAGTGGGAGAAAAAAAGATGCTAAGGCGTGTTAAAACATACCTGCAGCTGACAGACTAAATGGACTCCCTGTGGCTAAAATAAAGCATACCAGAAACAGAACCAAGCAGCCATAGCAGGGAGAGGGGCTGGTCAAATACCCTTATATTACTAATTGCAATAAGGTCTTCTTTCCTGTAAGTAAGCAGAAACTAGTACTTAAAAAACATTATCAAAACAGCTTGAACCAGGAGTTTCCCAATTGACCCTGGTGACCTGCCAGATGCCAGCTGACCTGACTTCCCCTACCCCCGACTTGTGGTCCCATCAGCAACTCTGATTGGACAGGAGACTGACCTTGCAAACATTCTTTCCTGATAAACAGCTAC
Source organism: Homo sapiens (assembly GCF_000001405.40). Classification (NCBI taxonomy): domain Eukaryota; kingdom Metazoa; phylum Chordata; class Mammalia; order Primates; family Hominidae; genus Homo; species Homo sapiens. The sequence continues at coordinate 25,508,575 of NC_000010.11, read as the reverse complement.
AGGCCTCAAGCTAGCGTCCGCCAGCATACAGAGACTGTGCACAAAATGCCTTTATACCCTCTAGTTCACCTTTTGTTGTAAAAAGCCAAATTCCGCTTCATTTTAATGTTAAAACTCCACCCTAAAATGAACATAGAATATATGTGACATATAGGTTTGCCTACTGCATATGTGCTTGACTTCCCTTATAAGTACCCGTAATTTTCCCCAAACCTGCTAAAAATGCATGGAAGGCAGACCTGAAAGACAGGAATGCCAGCTTTCCCTCTCCCTCTCCCTCTTCTGAGCATGTGGTTTCAGTTTTCCTGGAGGTGACTTTCCCTGATTTGCAGATTGCCTCTCTGAAGATAAAAGTGTTCTCCTTTTCCTTCCTCCACAGATCTCATGGTCACTTGTTAACAGCAGTTACAAAAAAAATAAATAAATAAATAAAAAGATTAAATTCTAGCATCTAATTCTAAAAATTATGATGAAGTTGGAAACCAAACACACACAAAAACACCAACTACCGTCCCTTGACTGATATGGGAATTCAGGTGGAAATTTCCATTCGTAATCATCCCGCCTTTTTTGTTACCTTAAAAAACCGTCCTTATAAAATTTCTGTCATGAAAATGACTAACTTAAAAAAAACCTGCACATCAGAAATTATGGCTACATTTTATGGAATATAACTTTAGTATTGTAGGTTCTTCCTTAGTAAGCATTCAAATTGATTGCCTTGGGTAACAGTCAAGCTGGAATCCTAGATTTCCGGAAGTATAAATCTTTGACTTCTTTTGTGTGTCAAAGGAGCTTTGAATTTTCCTTTTCCCCTTTGCCATAAAGAGAAATTAACTGATGACTCTGATAATTTTATTTTAAAATAACATACCAGAGTGATTGTCATGTCAGATCATTGTTGCAATGTCATTAAATTTTTTAAAAGATTTTCCCTGATACAGTATTATCTTTTCTTCCTTTGTGATATATAGCTTGGCTTTTAAGAATGCTATAAACATATTTCTATAGTCAGATTTATGTTTCCTTTTGCTGGTAGAATCTGTGCAGCATGGCATAGATTTCTCGAATTGTACAAACACAACATGAAAATTACTGCTTTGTTGCATATACATTTGGGCTCCCAATCACCTATGTTTTATAGATAGTGTTTTCTATCTACCCCCAAACTGTTTACAGACAGAAACATCTCTGAATGTGTGTGCTTCCTGGTTCTATCTTCTTTCTGAAGGGTGGTGACTTTTTAACGAGGCTCCTCAGCTCTGTGTAGTCATCTTTAGTGCTGTTCAAAAATATTCTTCTCTTTCCATGCAGGCAATAAATGATTAGACTGCCATTCCACTTCTTCCTCTTAAAATTAGGAACAGCCATATGATTTTTCTTGGGAGCTGCATGAGCCAGTGTGTACTTTGCCACATTCTCCTTTCCATCTGTCCTATGGCTAGCAATGCTCCATGTAGCTGTCTGGATCCTGGAATGAGGACAACCAGCATGCTGACCAGAGGCCCTGGCTGATGCATGATAGATTTATGTCATGAACCCGAAGCAAACCTTCTTGTTCTAAACTATTAAGAGTTTGAGATTGTTCATTATCACAGCATAGCCTAGTGGTATGTGTCATAGACTTTGATGAATAGGACATTACAGTCAAAACTCCTTTGTGAGGTTGACCCTCAAATAATAACACATAATGTCTGTACTTTGCATATCAGATACATAATTCTATGTTAAGCAATATGTAGCAAAAGCTAAGTTGCAAGAAATAAGAAAAATATACTCTCCCAGCTACTCTTCATTATCTGAATTAAGGCATACTATCATCAGAGTACTGCATACTCATGCTACATTGGCTGGGCCTGTATGGATTTTCCTGAATTGTATTTTTGTATCATGCTATCAGCCCTCACTGATGATTAGTTCAAGATGTATCCCTAAGAAACTCATTACTGCACTTGTCAGAGGAACGTGAACACACAGCAGAGTTGTCTCTTTATGTGAGTCTTTGAACTTTGGTATGAAGAACGCCTGTGATAAAAGGGGTTTGTGGTTAACAGTGCCTATTGTTTCAACAAAATATAATAGAATGCTTCAAAGATGACTTTCTTCTTTACTTATATTTTCATATGCTTATTTAGCTATCCTGCTGTTGGGTTAGATTAGGACTATACCAATGGATACCTATCCCTTTAAGCCTGAGAGATCTGCCTAAGTTGGGGTCCACTTTCTGGAGGATAGTTTTTCAATAATCTCTTCATGACTATAACTTTATGAGACTTAACAGAATGTCATCCTTTGAGTAATATGTATGGACAGCATATCTTATTATCTTAATGCTACTATCACCATAAACATTTCCTGAAATTCCTCCTTGATGGTTACTTTTAGAAGCATAGAAGTCATGTAACAAAAATGATCCATAACTGGCTATGGTGGGATTATAGCACTTAAAGGCAAATCACACTTGTGTGCTACAGCCAGAACCTAGTGTCGAGTTGTTCAAGAGATCCAAAATAGCTCAACATTGATTGATTGCTTAAAATGTGTCAGATACCGTGTTGGACCACAAAGAAAGCTAAGACCTGCATTTGCTATGGAGGAATTCAGAGTCTACAGATGGAGACAAAGCTGTGCCTACATCATTTCAACTCAATGACAAACGTGTACTGGTAGAAGGACATGCACAGGGAGGAAAGCTTGGGTCAGAAAACTTTCTTGATGACAAAAAGCCTGAGTTGAGCCTTACAGGACAAGTAGGAACTACCCAGTTGAAAAAAAACGAAGGAGTGTTTGCATGAGGCACATACAAGAGCATGAAGGCGTGGGGTAGTTTTGTGATTGTGAAGAAGCACAAGCACTATCAGATTTCCTGGAGTAGAGGGTGCTAACAGGGAGGCTGGATCTGAGGACAGCATTGTCTCTGAGTGCCTTGCATACTATACCATACCAAGGAGCTGAGATTTCATCATACGGTTGATAAGATGCCACTGAGAGGTTGTAAGCAGTAGAGTAACCTAGTCAAACTCATGTTTTTGAAAATTTATCCTGTCAATTATGTGGAAGATAGATGGAACTGAAGTAAAAGGTGCAAAAGAAATCCAGAGATGAGAGAAACCATAGGGACTTGGAGATCTAGAAGATGCAGACACCGAGGTGGACCCAGAGGAATCATCTTAAAGCATGAGGCAAGAGTAAAAAGGATTTGTTTACCAGAATGAGGTTGTTCTGAATTTGTCTGCCTTTATGTTAAGGAGTTATTCTACAGTCTTAGAATTCTGTGCTCAGAAACAGAGCAGCATAGACTCTTGGATTTATTTGAATCCAGAAGGGACATGAGAACATACCTCACACATCTCCTTTACTTTCAAAATCAACAGAGAACAGAAAATACACAAAAAGGCTTTCATTGTCAACATCATTATCAAAATAAGAGCTAATGTTTATACAATGTCTATTATGTGTTAGGCACAGTTCTAAGTTTTACACGTATCATCTAATTTAATCCTCATAACAATTCTATGAGGCAGGCACTATTACTGCCCCCATTTTACAGATGAGAAAAGTGAGGAATATAAAGATTACATAATTTTCCTAAGACTGCACAGCTAGTAGGTGCTGCAGTTGAATTCCAGGCAGTATTACTTTAGAGCTCATGCTCTCAACTCCGCACTGAACTGCAACTGCTCTCAATTCAATACTTACTGCATCTAAGCCACACAGGTAATAGCTGACCCAGAACGAATACTCAAGTTCCTAATCCAGTGCACATGATAACATGATAGAATGAAAACTTTCCCATGAAAGGATAAAAAAAATTTATATAAACTTAAGAGTATTCAGCTGTGATAAAACGGTTAGGTCAGTAGGAAAAAGCCACACTCCTGCAGGTAGGAGGTGAGATGTCACCTAAAGAACAAGATTCTCAATGAAGTCAGGCACTCGGGGAAGAAAACTTCTCTCCGGGAAAGTAGACCCAGTGGGAGGGCTCCAGCGGGCAGCAGAGTTGAGATGTGCCTTTGTTGGTCCTGACTGTGAAGGTGACTGTTTAACATACCTTCAGATGATGGATGTGAAGATGCTATCCACCATGTTGGAAGCTAGCCAAAGGCTAGGAAGTAAAGAACCAAACAAGGCTAAGAGATTAGAGTCAATTCTTGTGAGACAGGGCTCAGGCAGTCAACCCCTTGGAGCAAATAAAGATAAAAGCAAGTTAAGGAATGGGGGGCTCAATATATTTAGAAAAAGGCAGGGGTACTTGGGCAGCCCCACTAATTCACTTATTCTGCCATTCACTCACTCATTTATTCAACAAATATTTGAATTCATATAACAGGCACTATGCTAGGCAAAGGAGAATAAATCAGTAAATTAAAAATGTAGTAAAATAGGGCCAGGTGTGGTGGCTCATGCCTGTAATCCCAGTACTTTGGGAGGCTGAGGCAAGTGGATCACTTGAGATCAGGAGTTTGAGACTAGCCTGGCTGATATGGCGAAACCCTATGTCTATTAATAATACAAAAATTAGCTGGGCATGGTGGCAGGCACCTGTAATCCCAGCTACTTGGGAGGCTGAGGCACGAGAATCGCTTGAACCTGGGAGGTAGAGATTGCAGTGAGCCAAGGTCACCCCATCGCACTCCAGCTGGGGTGACAGAGCGAGGCTCTGTCTCAAAAAAAAAAAAAAAGTGAAAATAGAGTTGAAACCAAATGAAGGGGGGACACTATAAATAAGTAAACAAATTGATATTATGAAATATTATGTGACTAAAGAAAGAAATAGCATGCAAAGAGAGAACACAACAGTGAGAGTGGGAGCTGTGGGTAGACCAGAAGGCTTTCTGAGGAAGCAACATCATAGCCAGGACAAGAACTTGGTTTTCAATCATGTGACATGCAGTAAACAAAAACTGCAACCTGAGATCACAGCATGCCTATTTGTGCAGAGTTTAATACATTCCAGGGAACTGGTAAGGAATAATATACCCAGAGATTCTCCCTGTAATACTGACACAGTAGAGATTTTGAATTCTGCTTTAGTAAGAGAGCTAAATTCCTTGCCTATGCTGACTGCACTTTCCTCCCATTTCTATTTTTCTCCACTCTTAATAATGCAGAATCTGTTACAAGGCAAAGGGCAATATGTCCACAGATACTTAGATATCCATGACAAAGGTTGGGATTTTTTTTTAAACTAAACTGGAACTGAATTAAATTATTTTTTTGTCCCAGATAGGAGTGCAGTGGCATGATCATAGCTCACTACGACCTCAAATTCCTGGACTCAAGCAATCTTCCCAGCTCAGCCTCCTAAGTAGCTAGGACTAGAGGCATGTGCAACCATGTCCGGTTGATTATAATTTTTTTTTTTTTTTTGCAATGAGGTCTTGCTATGTTGCCCCTTCTGGTCACGAGCTCCTGAATTCCTGGTCCCCTTAGATCCTCCCATAGTGCTGGGATTACAGGCATGAGCCACTGCACGTGGACCTCAATTAAATTTTAATTTCATATATATTCCTAGATTTTCCTACAACTATAAAGTTACACTCATGATTTCAGAGCAAGGATTTTAAAATGATCTTCCCTAAAACATGTTACCAAAAGAGAAGCTTTGCCTTTTTGATAGCACTATATAACAATTTTAAAAAGGTGGCTTGGGAACTTTCTATGGAATTGCTGAGTAATCCTGTGTTTGGTGCCCTTTTTTTGTAAAGGAACCAGCCAATTTACTACCCACCTTTATCATTTTTGCCATTCCAGTGCCTATAGAAAGGAATGTGATAAATTCCCAGCACCTTTATATGTGAAAGGTACACATGCAGGGAAGAGAAGCTGCAAATGTACCTCAGAGCCTTTCCTTGCTTGAAATTTATTCACAGTCTGTTTGACAGCAGACATGGTCCTGCCTATAGATGGTGTCCTTGGGAATTAGCAACTCACTGCCTCTTAGTTTGCTCATTGTACTTTTTGCAAGTTAGTCCCCCATACTGAAAAACCTACCGACTGTTTGGTGCTTCATTACCCAGCAGGAACATGGAAACTAAGCCAGATTATTTTCAGTGTTTGGAGGACTACTGGGCTGCAAAGTGGTCCCACCTTGCCCCTTACTCACATTGCTGTTTCCAGGGCAGCTCTGTGAATGTGGTTCTAAATGACAGCCTCACGCAGGGTTTTGGTTGTACCCCACAGTTACCTCAGTTCACCGTGTACAGGATGATAAATGTAAAATGCTTGACACATGGGAGATGCTCAGTACATGAAAGTTTTCTCCCCTGTCACGGGTCCTAGGGAGGGTGGTTGATGGTGGAAATACCCTGGCTATATCTACTTTAATCAGCTCTGCAGTGAGCTGTGGAAATCATGACTGGTCTGAGGTTATATAAGCCCATCTCTGTCTCAGGGGAAGCTTAAAATAGTCTCAGACTCAGGCATTCCTGCTTTGGAACTAGCCCTGGGCTGAATTGTTTCATCTCAAGAAGCAGGAATTAGAGCCTGTAATCTTCCAGGGCACTGGGCGTGTTTTCTAGCAGCACCCAGGAGGAGAGTAGCAGATTTGCTTTGGAGGCAGAAGCGTTATAGAGCTCAGAAACAGTTCCCTGGTATGGTGTATGTAGGGAGAGACAAACAGTTTGCAAGTGCTGGGGGTACCAAGCATACGGACAGCAGTGTGAGGAGATGAGAAAGGGAGACGAGGGACTGGTGTTGAAGTTCAAATTAGCCACGTAAGTTGGGTAGTTTCTTTTCTGGTGTTTGTTCTGTCTTCTAAACACTAGAATGGAAACTATGATTTCCCTCAGTCTATTTCACAGGTTATTAGGATAATTTATGAGATATTGTCCAGCACCCTCATCAACCCAGTTTGCAGGTACAAGTCTGCTCCGGCTACTTGAGTCGGGAATATACACACGTCTCTCTGAGCGCACACTGGCCAGAGCCGCATTCCCAAGTCTGTTTCATGTGGGGTGCAGCCCCAGTCCACAGCAGTTTTCAGACTGTTTTCCTGCAGGTTCTATGTTCATTCAGCAAGTATTTCATACGTGCCTACTATCTGCCAGGCAGAGCTAAATGCTGAAGAGACACAAAGAAAACATGAGCCTGCCTTAGTGCAAATTGTAAGTTAGTAAGAGAAAGACAATACATGAGTAAACATATAAAGATATAATTTCAATTTATCATGAAGGAAAAGTAGATTCAATCATAGAAAATCATGGGAGGAGAGACCTTTGATAAAGACGGTCAGGAAAGGTTCCTCTGAAGAAAGTGGCATTTAAGCTGAGACTTGAAGGATGAGCGAGTAGAAGGACGCCATGCCCCGAGTGAGACTGCGCAGTGCAGCATCTCTGTGAGGGGTCCCCACGCTGTCTGGTGCTAACCTATCCCACTCCCGGCAACTCTCTTCTCAAAGCCGCCTTTGACTTTTTCTATTCTGTGCCATGACCCGGGGGATTTCTCCTACCCAGCTTGCTCAACAGGTCGGAGTCCCTGATCTTCCCTGTGCCTCTTCCTGGCTTCTATCTCCTACCAGAAATTATCTCCATAAAGCAACCTCCATTTACGCGTACGATAGGCTGATACCAATGCATGTTGTATAACTTTGACTCTTAAAGCACATTTTCCTTCAGTATGAATGTGACTTGATGCCAAACATAGCTGGAGACCTCCAAGCAAACTTTTCAGAGAAATAAAATGTTGAAATGATTCTCAAATTAATTTGATCTAACACAGCAACCTATTTTTGCTTCCATTCTTCTACCTTGCAGCAGTTTAATTTATATGCCAATAAGCTGCCATGTGCAATAACTTTGTGACTGTAAATGCTGTTCATTTATCAGTTACTTCACGCTGTCTATACCTCTCCAAGATTTAAATGCATGCATGTGCCTAAATGTTAAGCCCAGCCAGTTCCACAGGTCAGCAAAGAAAACAGAGAAAAATCTAACAGCATTTATGGTTTAATTCCAAGCGAACAAACACTTGATCATTTAGTGAAGATTGATCATCTCAAATAAATTACTGTGTAAAGGTTATATATGTCACATTCTAGAGTAACTTAATAAGGGTCCTGTCTGACTTCTTTCAGGATTTAGAAGTGATAGCAATTCAATCTGTGCTTTCATTTCTTCCTTTTTGTTCTGCCAAAAGGCACGTAGTAATCCCCAGGAATTTTGAAAAAATCCAAGTAGACCGTCAATTTAAAAGCAAGTATCATTCTAAAATCCAATGAAGGCCTCACACAGGCACCTTTTTCCATATTTATCTGCAGTACATGAATTCTTTTGTATAAAATCCAGGTTTTTAAAGAAGTCTCCAGCTCCCAACAAACCAAATTCAATTAAAGTAATGACTGCCAGAAACTACAAGCTCAAATTACTACCAGGTTAAAGGATAGGAATTCAAACACACATCTGTCGTATCTTCCTCTGTTACCATCAAAGTTCACATGTAAGTGAAAAGTTCACATGTAAGTGAAAAGTTCATATGTAAGTGAAAAGAAAATTCACAAATGTCTGATCTTACGAGACAAATGGATTTAGTCTCTTTTAAAAATCTGGTTAATCATATGCTAAAATCACATCAAGTGAAGGCAATCAACCTGTTGGGCTCAAAGGCTTCTCATTGAACTTGGAATAAAATCCAGCTCCCTATGGTCACCAAGGCCCTAGGTAAGTTAGCCCGTCTGCCTCTCTGAGCTCACCTCCTACTGTTCTTCTCCCTTCCCACAGTGACGCAGGCACACTGGGCCCCTTTTCCATCCTCCATGTCAAAGCCTATCCTGCCTCGAGGCTTTCCACTTGCTATGCATGTTGCCTGGAGTGCTGTTGTTGTGGGTGTGTGCACAAGAGTGGTCCCTTGTCTTCATTTATTTCTTTTGTCACATGTCACTTCTGCAGAGTGGCCTTCTAATGCCTCAACCCAACACCCCTCTCCCATTTTGTATTCTTTATAGCATCTATCATTATCTGAAATGTTTATTAGTTAATGTCATTTTCTGTCTTCTCTGCTAGAATATCAGCTTCATGAGAGCAAGAGTCTTGTCTCTTGTTAACTGCTATATCCTCCAAAAGCAAACAGGTGATTAGTTCAAAGGAAATACACAAAGGCAAGGAACAAACATGTGATCTTCACAGAGCAGGAAGAAGCCTCCTAGGCTCTTGGCTGAGATTCCACATACCACCTTGGTACCAAGGCATCCCAGCACCCGCTCTTCTGAATGGTGGGTTAACCACTCATCAGGAGACTTTGCAAAAGGGTTTGGAGCCCTGGGTATGGAGCTTGTGAGCGCACTGTATTTCAGGAAAGGTAAATTGTCCTCTCACTGAATCATAATGAAATTCTTCCAGACTCTGGAAATTGCGATGTTATTGGTTTTTTGTGAATTATAATTCTGTTACAGTTTTACTGAAATCAGAAAACTTTTAGAAAAATATAAAGAAAATAAATGAAATATATCGACTTTTATCAGCTTGCTGCTATGACAATCTTCTGGCTAAAATATAAATAATTTCACAGAACTGAGATGTTTCTGCCCTTCCCACTTAACCAGATTCCTGAGAATTCAATTCTGTATTCTTCCAAGTCTGAAATATCTTAGTCACACCTGAAGGCATCCTTAGGCCACGAGAAGAGGCCCTGCAGGCTTGTAGGGTTCCGAAAGTCCTCAAGCAAATGAGTCATTGCGCTCCAGTCTCAATGCAGGGGATATATTGCCTTTTGACACAAATCCGACAGCTGTGCCATCCAGCACCTACTGATGGCATTCCAACATCTTCTAGGCAAAGGCTGTTCTAATGCGAGCAACCCTATTCACCTCCCACACAGCCCTACATTCAAAAATGGTTTGCTGCCCAGGTGACAGACAGTGGGAGGATTATTAGTCATATGTAATATCTACTTCTCTTGCCAAGCTACAACCCAAAATCTAGACACAGAAAGCCCAGGTTTACAAATATTAGACAGCTGGGCACAAAACTAGCTCCGATATTGTGCAAACATCTATGGCTTTACCTTCAACACATTACAGAAGTGATTCTCAAACTTGGGTGCGCATTAGAATCATCTGGAGAGCCTTGAGAATGCTGGTTCCCGGGCCCTGCCTCAGACCAATCACAGTAAGTATCCCTTGATGTAGGACTCAAATGTCAGTAATTTGTAAAGGTCTTAGATGCTTCCAATGTGTGACCAAATTTGAGAACCACTACATTACAAAGAGGTCTGTATTTAGAGCTAAGTGTGCCTTCTGGGCTTCCCTTAAAATTCTCAACATAATGAATGACTGCATTTTTACACAACACGCACACACATAGGCAAACTGCATCTATTCCGAAAGAAGTCGGGATAGTGGTTACTCTGGCAGACTGTAACTGAAAGGGAACTGAGTAAGGCATGTGTTTGGAAGCCTGGTAATACTGTAGTTTGGTTACACAAGTGTGTTCATTTGTGGAAAATTAAGCTGCACACTTCTCATATGTGCACTTTTCTGCGTACAATATACATTAAGCAAAGGTCAAAACAAAACCTTCCTCTTTCTCTTTCTGCTCCTCATACTTTCTTTCCTTTCACCAAATTAACATTTTAAAATTTATTTCCAAAATGCTAAACTGGTCCAAGATCAAGTGAAGCCACATTTAAACATTAAAACCCAGCAACGTTAAATTATTTTTACAAGGTTTAGTGATACTGATAATATTAAAATGGATGTGTCTTGATGACATATTTAAGAGGAAATAAAAAGGTCTCCATAATACTGTTCAACAAAAAAGTAGAAGGGTACTCTTCTTTGTTCCCTTTTTACAGTACACATAAAAATTTAATTCTACATTTGTCATCTCCCTTTAGATCTTAAACTCCATGAAGGCAGAGATTATTTATCCCTTCTTCACCATTTTATTCACCTTGCTAAGCACACAGCATATAGTATTTGCTTAATAGCTCATGAATGGATAAATGAAAAAAAATCCAACAAACTAAATACCGAGAATAGAGACTCTCTCCTGAAGAGTCCTATCTTTTGAATATTTTACACATACTTGTTCCAATCTGTCTACACGCTAGTACTAGACTAAAATATCTCTTTAATTACATCACCTCCTGCTTTACAAAAATGGTTAATGCTTCCCTATTGTCAAATTCAACTTCTAAGTTGTTCCACTGACTGTTAATAGGCGCTTTATGTTCTTATTTCTCATAACTCTCCCTCACATCCACCTCATGGGAAATACATTGGGAAGTGCTGTATTAAGCAAAGTTAAGCCTTTAAATACCAGTATACATGTTAAGTCCACAGGAGGGCATGTATCACTTCTCAAGTTTACTTAACCCTAGGACACTTTATTCAAAGAGCATCTCCTGGGATTATTGTTTCATGGAGTCCAATTTGGGAAACATTAGCTTCCGTTATACAATCAAAATTCCTCAGCCTGCTATTCAAGGACCTCAAGATCTGACTCCCCTTCTGGCTTTCTCACTCAGTTCTTACACACCAAATATGCTTGGAGCTCCTATCTCAGCCTCTTAATGCACACCATTTTACTTCACTGGGATACTTTTCCTCACCTCCTTGGCCCGTCACCTGTCCAAGCTCAGATCCCAGCTCTTGCAAGCCCACTTCTTTGACCTCTGCAGTCCACAGGATTCTCTCTTTCTCCTAAGTTCCCACTGCTACTGTCTGTACTATCCATTTGGCAACTGAGATACTTCCTCGTTGATCAAACAACTGTTCCTCACTGCTAGTAATGTTACCCAACTGCAACAAGGTTTGTGTATAATTTCCCGTAGACTGTAAGCTCATGATGCACAGGACTCTGCTCTTTTCTGTTTCTCCCTCAAATGGCCTGGCTCGGTGTTTTTGGCACAGTGATTACTGAATACGAGTTAACAGTGGTTCTAAGGTGTACCCACATGCTGCTCTTGTAGGATAATCCTTATCTAATGCAAAATGAGAATTAGACAGCTATTTCAGCAGTTAAAGTTCCTTCTTTCCTCTCAAATGCCTCCTAATTCTTCCAAGCATCCTTTACCAGCTAATTGGAAAAGCACCAAGGATTTCTACTAACTTTAAAACTCCCCAGAGTCTTTTACTTTTCACCTTGTTAAACACCTGCTTATCTACAGAAAAAGTAAAATTAAGTCTGCTTCATTTGTTTAGAATGAGATCCAAAAGACAGGCATGTGGAGTTAAATGCCTGGCGTAAAGCTGTAAGGTGAGCCATGGTCATATCTGCACAGTGTCTCTCCATTTCTCATGTTAAAAGACAGCAGCATTCCAAAGGATCCCGTAGTATAGTCGACGTGCAGAAGTAACTGGGGCATATATGGACATGTCACAGCCAAGGCCTCTCATGTCTACCTTCACTAATCTGAAATCACAGCAGGATAGAAAGGTCAGAGCCCAGTAATCAAAAGGATGTTCACATGGTTGGGGGAGCGGGGACAAGTGTAATAGAGGACATTAATAAAGTAATAAAGTACTGAATTAGCCTTAAATCCTTGCTTCTTAACCAGGAGTAATTTTTGCCCCCTAACCCCAGGACACATTTGGCAATATCTGAAGATATTTTTGGTTGTCATAACTGGAGCTGGGGTGCTGTCTGCATTTAGGGGGTTGAGAACAGGGATGTTAGGAGACATCCCTGTTCTCAGGCATGAACAGCCCCCTACAACAAACAGTTGTTCAGCCCAGAATGTGCTGAGGTTGAAAAATCCTGCTCTAAAGGAAATGATATAAGCTAAGGTGGAGGCAAAATTTCTTATTTTACAGCTGAAGGAAAGAAGAAAAGAGGTTATTGTTTAATTTAAATGGGTACTAGTAATTTTATGATGCAGGTTGCTAATAATTTTAGGGAATCTCCACTAATCTCTGTAATAGATGGAGATAAAACCCATAGAAACACTTAAGAGGAAATGCGCCGACAACATACCACTCATCATCATTTGGTCATTTCTCTTTACTGTTGAATGACATGGTAGCATACAACATTAAAAAAAAGTCAGGCCTGGGCACAGTGGCTCACACCTGTAATCCCAGCACTTTGGGAGGCTGAAGTGGGTGGATCACGAGGTCAGGAGATCAAGATTTTCCTGGCTAACATGGTGAAACCCTGTCTCTACTAAAAATACAAAAAATTGGCCGGGCGTGATGGCAGGCACCTGTAGTCCCAGCTACTCAGGAGGCTGAGGCAGGAGAATGGTGTGAACCTGGGAGGCGGAGCTTGCAGTGAGCCAAGATCGTGCCACTCCAGCCTGATGGACATGGCAAGACTCCGTCTCAAAAAAAAAAAAAAAAAAAAGCAGAAAAGAATGATAGCTTAAAATAATTTCAAAAATAGCAAAAGTATGGAGTTATCCACGAATTTTTACCTGTTAAGTCAATAAATAAACTTCGGTAAACTGAATTTGTTCCTCATGTACTTATATATCTAAAAAAAAAAAAAAAGTTAGTGGATTATACCTATCTCTAAATGGTGAGATAACTTCCTCCTCTCTGCTTATCTATGCTTTCTAAATTTTCTACGGTGAATCAATCCCCACCATTGACCTGCAGCTTCAGAAAACTACTGCTTTCCATTACTACATATTAAATTTGTCTTTCCCAGGGTTTCATATAAATGGAATATGGGACGTGTGCTCTGGAGAGGCAACATGCTCCTCTGTTGGTGAACATTTGGGTTGTTTCCAGTTTGAGGCTATGATGAATAAATGACAAATAAAACTTACTCTTAAAAAATAAAATGTATTTTAAAATAGCAAACTAGTTTGAAAATATTTAGAGTTTAAACTTAAAAGAGTCCATGTATTTAAACCCCCTAATACAGCAATGCACTTTATAGGCACAATTAGAAATTCAGATAGTCACATCCAAAGAACTTTGCTGTGGAGTGGTTTAAAATCGCCTGAAACATTAAAAAAAAATAAAGTCCAGGAATAGTTAAACAAAAAGTCTGAGCACACTTAAATAAATTTTGGTACTATGGTACATCCAGATAGTTGACTACTACACGATTGTTATAAGCTGTAATGTTGCTGAATACTTACGCCTACAGGTAAATGATAAAGGAATAATATTATCTACAGTAGCAATCCAATTTTTATACATAGAAAAAAGCAGTACCAAACAAAATACATGATTATACTAATGACAGTTATCTCTGAGTGATGGAATATGGGAGGGCTTTACTTTTTTCTTCATATAGCTTTACACTGAATAAACTTCTTAATAAAACATAATAAAATTTTATGATAAAAACATGAAAAATTAATATCCATTAAGATACTAGTGAACAAGTGTTTAACTCATAATATAGATTGGTAAATTCTCTTTGCATATTGATTTATGCTATCCAAAACAATATTATTTAGCAATACTATTACACATACCAAAGATTCTTTCCCCCCAACCTCAGGTATCATGTTAGATTTTATTCTTGGCTTTCCTCTCCCTCTCTTTTTTCCTCAAATTAGTACCAGGACTATTGAGAAATGCAGAAGTCAACCCTCCTCTCTAGTATGCAACACTTTTGTGACTTTATTATGGATGAAATTGTTTCAGCTCTAATATACTGTAGAAATCAGATGATACTTGCTTTTGTGTTACATTTTTGAAATGACTTAAATCTTACAGGGAGTCATTTATTATTGATTTAAACACCCTAAGCAGCCATAAGGAAAAGCTTTAGCGCAATAAGCAAATAACTACAAAATCACCTCAACTACTTTTTGTAAATAAAGCAGAAAGGTCATCTGTTTTGTTAAGTCTAATTAAACAATCTGGATCTGACTAAGCTGTCACAAAATATACACTTTCACAGCCTTGAGATTCAAATGATATTTTACTATAGACACTTAATTTACTAATCTATATGGTTAACTTTGTTTGCTTAATTTCTCAACACAGATACTAAAAATTTGTAACAGATGAGTCACTAAGAAACTTGACTGCCTGAATCAGATAGTGTAAGAACATAATTTAGACATATTTTATTTCTGCTCTGTTTATCCATCTAAAAAGTCTAGGGAGTTTCCTGAGTAATGGGGTACCTGTCTCCAGATGCTCTCCTAAAAGGCTAAAAAATGAAACATTTTTTTTTAGAAAGCCCTCTACCCAAACTATCCTTCAGAATGGATTCAGTCAGTGAACGCTTTAAAAAAGAACTCTTTCAGAAAACATCCTATCTTCTTCTAAGAGTGACATTTACAAAGAGCAGCATGGGGCTTATCTGAGTGGTGCAGAGATAAACTTGGCTGGAATAGAATGACACTGGGTTATGCGAAAGGGAGAGGAATTGCGTGAGTAATGCTGAAGTCAGACCAGAGAGGACAAAGGCAGAACACAGGGCATTTGCTGCAATTGTGTTGAAGCAGGCCCCATGCTAGGGAACCTCTCAAAGTCTAGCTCTTCAGTGCTGCCTGAACAAAGGCACTCATGACTCAACTATAAACACACCCCCAAAACTCTCTTCTCGTGAAAGGCCTATATGTCAGTAACTTTTAAAAAACCTACTAGAAAATGTGGTTTTCTCTTAAATTGCAATTCTGTATGTGAGGGTTTTTGCAGTCATTGTTGGTTTTACTCTTTGTAAATGCTAATTTTTATTCAAACTTGATAAATCATTTTCAAATATTGAAAAGGGAAATTTAGGCAGTCTCTTATCCAAAAATTGGATATTGAAATATATTATATATTAATATATTAATATTTGTTTATATATCAATTATATATTAATATTAAAATATTAAAATACATATAATTAGTATCAAAATAGAAAAAGATCATTTTTTATTGATTGGATAGCTTGAATTGTTTATCACTTGTTGTAAGACCAGTGAAATGAGTTCACTATGTGTTTTCATTTTTATCCCTTCATGCAAATTGTCTTGGTTTATTCATTGCTCTAGTCTTTTTTTGTGCATGGACCACGTTCACATTAAATGTTCCATAAGCCTTCTCCACATGCAGATATAACAGTCAAAAATTCTGTAATGTTTTGATCCAGAGCATAAAGAGCTTAGAGTACAAACATGAAAACATTTTTCTTTTCAAGGTAGTGTTGAAGACTAAGGGATGAAAATGAATGCAGTAGGAAGAACAGCTCTTTCACTAATTGGAACATACAGTGGACAATCAGTGCATCTTAACATGGAAAAGTCCCAAGCAGCTTGTGACAAAAAAAAAGAAAAAGAAAAAAAAAGTGCCACTGAAGAAGCTAGAGATGGTGGGGGAAAGTCTGTAAGCAAGGGATTGTTTCTCATGGAAGAAATTCACCAGCCTGTTTTCTATTTGAATAGTGTTTCTGACTCAAGGGTTGGCAGAGGCAGGGCCTGGTGGGAGGTGTTTGGGTTATGCAGGTGGATCCTTAATGAATTGCTTGATCCTATTCTTGCAGGAGTGAGTTCTCACTCTTAGTTCCCCAAGAGCTGGTTGTTGAAAAGAATCTGGCATCTTCTTGCTCTCTCTTTCTTCCTCTCTCACCATGTGATCTACACAAGCTGGCTCCCCTTCGCCTTCCACCATGAGTGGAAGCAGCCTGAAACCTCCACCAGAAACAGATGATGGCACCAAGCTCCTTGTACAGCCTGCAGAACCATGAGCCAAATACACCTCTTTTCTTTATAAATTACCCAGCCTCAGGTATTCCTTTATGGCAACACAAACAGACCAAGACAAGGATGTTCTTCATAGCAATAACTATAATGACAAATATAGGAAACCACATGTCTATCAATTGAGAATGTGACAAATGCATTTTTGACCTATCCATATAATGATAAGCTAAATAGCTAAGTAAAATGTTCTTCAGTGATATAAAGAACAGATATACATTTAAGTAAACAAGATAATTGCTAAATTGTTAACAATTATAAGAAATAGAACTATGGGTATTTTTTACCATGCTCATAATTAATTTCAATTCCTAATTTTTCTAAAATAAGTATTTTTATAATACAAAACCCATCAAGAATTACATGTTTAAAATTAGAGAATAAATTTTAGGACTTTTAGGGTGATAAATGATAATTTATCTCAATAATTTTAAGAAATGTATATTTGAAGATAGTTATTAGTCAACATTCAACTAAGCTAAGCTGCAGAAACAAATGAACTCTGAAATCCTAGTGACTTAAACAAAGGCTTATACTTCATTCTTTTTTAAGTCCATTGTGGCTCAGGCAGTCCTTCTCTATCTTGCAGCCATTCATGTAGAAAATATGTCCTCCAAAATTACCATAGCAGAGGAGGAGAAATATAAAGGAGACACACTAGGGTGTAATTGCTTTTTACAAATCATTGTTCATATTTCATTGCCAGACCTAGACATATGGCTCTTTAACTGCTGGGAAGGTTGTGAGGCTGGGAAATGTAAAGAAACAGAGTAATACTGGGTGAGCAATAATTGACTCTTTTACAAAGATCTATAGAAAAGCTTTGATGTGATAATTTTTGATACACACACACATACACGCCATATATGGCCATATTAAAAATCTACCTTGAACATCACAAAGCTCAATTCTTCATGCTTTTATTTGGTTTCCAAGGTTTCTAAAATGAATGTATTTATTTTATTTTCCTTATTAATGAATATTAGGACCCCCCCAACACAAATTTTCACTATAAACATCCTTAAACATATCTACTTACAAACTAGTATGAGTCTTTCTCTAAAGTATATGTTTAGAAGTAGTACTGTTGGGTTGCGTATTATTTTGTGTATACACACTGTATATAAAAATGTGTATCTAGAACTGGAAATACCATTTGACCCAGCCATCCCATTACTGGGTATATACCCAAAGGACTATAAATCATGCTGCTATAAAGACACATGCACACATATGTTTATTGCGGCATTATTCACAATAGCAAAGACTTGGAAGCAACCCAAATGTCCAACAATGATAGACTGGATTAAGAAAATGTGGCACATATACACCACGGAATACTATGCAGCCATAAAAAAGGATGAGTTCATGTCCTTTGTAGGGACATGGATGAAATTGGAAATCATCATTCTCAGTAACCTATCGCAAGAACAAAAAACCAAACACCGCATATTCTCACTCATAGGTGGGAATTGAACAATGAGATCACATGGACACAGGAAGGGGAATATCACACTCTGGGGACTGTGGTGGGGTGGGGGGAGGGGGGAGGGATAGCATTGGGAGATATACCTCATACTAGATGACGAGTTAGTGGGTGCAGCGCACCAGCATGGCACATGTATACATATGTAACTAACCTGCACAATGTGCACATGTACCCTAAAACTTAAAGTATAATTAAAAAAAAGACAAATCCAAAAAAAAAGTGTATGTATCTTTAATTTGTATAAATATTGATAATTTGCATTCCAAAGTGTCTCTGCATACAAACACAAGGAAGAGTTCCAGTTTAGGTTTATGTTTCCAAATATCTCCACAACCAATGGATGTGAAATGGAATCGCAGTTTAACTTTGCATTTCCTTAACTGCTCTTGAGGTTGTACAGTTCTTTATGTGAATATTGCCCAGCTGGGTTTCCTCTTCTGTAAATTTTCTTCTGATATATTTTAGCTAGTATATATGCATTTCATCATACAAAAAGTTTTGAATGTTGAAAATATAAATCTGCTTTTTTTCTTGCTGTCTGTGTACTAGTCAGTAAATCTTTCAAGGTCACAAAGATAGTCTTCTATATTTTCTAACAGTTCAACTTTTTAATTTTCACATTTATATTTCTAATTTGTATGACTTCTCTGTGTGTATGGTATGAGGTAAGAATCTGATTTTAGTTTTTCCATAGAGAAGTCCTTGTCTCAGTAGCACTCATTCCCCCACTGTATTTATATCACTTTGTGCATATATCAATATCCCATACAGATTTGCAGTGGGAACACATGAAGGAGGCGACTGAAGGGAAGGCAGCAGTCTAAGGAAATCTCCTCTGGTAGACCTGGAGGACATTGAGAAGCTAAATACCTGAAGAAGGGAGAGTACAGCTAGGGGTAGAGAGTTGAGGAGACCAAAAATGAATAATTATTTGAAGAGGCATTCTAGTGTGAAACCTTTGTATTCTTTGAAAACTTAGTGCCTCATTCACTGTTCTACAGTATCTATTAACATGATTTACAAATGGTTTCTCAGAATACATGTTTTCTTAACACTTTTCAAATTCACATCAGCCATTCATACAATATGAAACCTCATCACTGCTTCGTGGATTGAAGAAAACTTAGAAGTATGGGATGGAAATAAAAATAGAGGTAAAAACTGAATATATATAAGAAATACCACTTGCCAAGAGTCCTAGCCCAGTCCCAATAAAATTTATACAGTTTTAAATGTGAAGTTTCCTTAAACTTCTTTAGCAACTCTTGCTGTTTGAGATGTCTCTAATTTATAGATAGGCAGAAATTTCAGTAGGTGTTTATCTTGTTCCACTTTGGAAAAATCATTTGGAGGAAAATGTTTTATTTCATTATTTTCCCTTTTAACTAGGATTTCAGGCCAACAAGTTTTTGTCTACTTTTCTCCCCTGACTTCAAAGAAATTCTAGGCATTTTGTTATACATTAAAATTAGCAATTTGTATAAATATTATCTTCCTTTTACAAAAAGCCCATGGCAAGGGTAATGCATCCTAGAGTAAAATCATAGTTTTTTTCCCTTTTTTTCATGAACTTTAGCACACTATACTTAGTGTGCCTACACTATAGCTTAAAATAACTTTCAAAGGTTTTTGAGCCACTGAAATTAGTGCACCCTAAAAAAGAATAGAGCTGTTATCAGAAAAAAACAATATATGAAAATCTATCTTAGGTGAATCCCTCTTTAGTAGTCATCTAATAGCCTCATAGATTAAATAAGCACTTTCTTTCATGTCTGAATCACATCTATTACATAATTACTTTCCTTCCAAGCAAGTGAAAGAAAGAACAAGAAGGAAGAGCTATATAAAGATTATAATTAATAACTGATAGGCAGTTTTCCACAAAACGAAGCCTGTATTGTGAGTTACATAATCAGTACCTCAGCAACCTCAGTTTTCTTCTCAAAAGTAAGGGCTAGGAAGAATCAGAGATGAGACTTCTTTATCTTTTTTTTGTTTCACAAAGATAACATATATGCATTGTGAAAATGTAGAAATACAAATAAGCAACTTGAAGAAAACAAAAGCCACATGTATAGCAGAGATAGAGTTTTCACAATACACGTAATTCTCTTCTCCCTTATGAAAAGAATCCCAGTTTTTCAGTTGGGCACAGGGCTCCCCTATGTAAATGACTATTTCCTGGCCTCCCTTGAAGCTAAGCATGACCTTGTGATTAAATTCTGACAAATGAGGTTAAATGGCAGAGAAGTGTAATATTCCTTCCCCATGTCCCCTTTCCTGCTGCCTCTTCAATGGATAAAGATGCAATGGTTGGACACGGTAGAGGGAATGGTAGTCACCCAGGATCCCTAGCACTTTGAAATACCATTAGCTTTGGACTATCCACTTCCATACTTCTCTTATGGGAGAAAGAAAGAAAAAAATTTAGCCTTTTAAAGCTTCTCTTCCTATGTTCCTTGGTACTCGCAGCCAATCCTAATGCTAAGGTATTCTAATACTTCCATTTAATAATTATTTTTATTACCTAGCTTTTGAGCTTTTAAATGCTCACAATTATGTGCTATCTCTTTAATTTTTATTTTTAGGTTAATTGGTTAGTTTATTTAATTTACACTGAAAACTCATGGAGTATACAGCTTCCTTAATCTAAACGCAATTTTATTCATCTGAACTGCAGTACATAGGTGTCAGAAGAAAAATGCTTTTCCTTTTTCTTGTCAAAACTTTCAATTTCTGGGGAAGCAAAATCAAACAATATACTGAAAGCCCAGGCCTTAACTTACCCTATATGAATAAAATGGGTCTGCATGCATAAAGTCATTTACTCTCCCAGGATACTTTCATTATTTTCAACTTACAGATAAGGAAGTGGAGGTCCAAAGAGGTGAAATGAGTAACCCAAGGTCACAAAGCTCGTAAGAGGCAGTTACAGTCTGGCTCCACTATCCACATCCTTAACCTCTATACTGTGACTGTGAACACTAGAATACAAAGGCACATTCCTAGCTGGGACAGCCACTATGCCACTGCAACAGATGGCTGGCATCGTGGGAATGAGGGCCTGGTATTTACGGCCAAGGAGGAAAATGGCCTTTTTATGTGAATTTTCCTAATTTTTAAATGATATTGCCAACAATTTACAGAAAAATAAATTAGTCCTCGTATAGAAGTGCAAATTTCTCCAAAGCACAGATTCCCGGTATAAGCTATAAAACAGGAGGGTTTTTTTGTCTTGTAGGCTGCTTATATTGAAAATATGGCTTTGGATATTAGAATGTCTCAGAGACTTGTGGTGGCTCTGATTAAATCAAGATCACCTGATGAGCATGTTGAATTTGAATGTTATGACTGGTGTGGCAAGCAGAATAACAGCACCCACAGATATCCACCTCTTAATCCCAGGAACCTGTGAATCTGTTATATCGTGATTCCCATTTAAAAGGGGGATAAAAGAAAGGGTTGCTAACATACCAAGAGGGACTAGCCTAACATGAAAGTGCAGACATTCACTTTATTTGCTATATGAATTCTCCCCCTTTTCCAAGGTATTAACAGAAAATTCCCATTTATCTAGAAATAAAACAACTGGAAAGCTCAAAGAATAGAAAATTCCCATTTATCTATTTTTTTTATTTCACTTTCCTGGTAATTCATATTTACTGTATTTTACCAAAAAAAAATGGTCTATCATAGTTAGAACAAACAAAGCAAACAGGTAGAGAGCAACCATTCCTTTACCACATATAGTTTGAAAAGCTACGGCAAATGGTTTGCAGAGAGTGGTTCAAGGACCATGGACCAACAGCATCAGCATCCTTCCGGAATTTTGTAAGAATGCAAATTCTCCAACTTTGTCTTAGACTGACTGGATCAGAAACTTGAGGGTGAGGTCCAAAAAACCACGTTTTAGCAATCCTGGGTGATGCTTACACCTGCTGAGGATATGCACTTCATCGACTAACGTATTCGGGGTTGGATAAGGGTTAGTTGATAAAGGGGCATATCCTTAAGCATTCTGCATTCATAAAATCATGTAGTCTCCCATGATGACGTTATTACTTTCATTTTACAGATGAAGAAATAGAGGTCTAAAGAGGCTAACTAACCCAACGACACAGCTAGTGAGGGCCAGTTATAATCTGGCTCCACAGTCTATGCTCCTAACTGCTATACTGTAAAGCTCAAGATTGTTCAGATAAGTAAGCATGACTTAAAGTAGATACTGGGTACAGACAAAAGAATGAAGAAGGTCAAAGTTGAAAGTAGGGTTTGAATTAGGATGTCATCTGAATATGTCTATTTTTGAATTAATCATGTTTATATGATCCCTGCCTTAGCCCATTTGGACTGCTCTAACAAAATGCCACAAATTGGGTAGCTTAAAAACAACAGAAATTTATTTCTCCGAGTCCTGGAGGCTGGGAAGATCAAGGGATCCATAGATTTGGTGTCTGACAAGGGCTCACTTCCTCAGAGATAGCTTTCTTCTCACTCTAACCATGGTGGAAAAAGTGAAGAGTCTCTTTCAGGCCTCTTTTAAAAGGGCACTAATCCCATTCATAAGGGCCCCACCATCATGCCTTAATCACCTCCAAAGGCTTACCTTGTAGTAGCATGATCTTGGGGGTTAGGTTTTCAACATGAATTTTGGGAGGACAGAAATATTCAGACCATAACAAACCCCAAAGCCTAGTGATAGCACTGAAAATAAATCTCAGTTGGGAATACTCAAGGATAGACAAATCATACAGACTATACATATCTAATCACAAATAACATTTACTTTAGATAATTTATATAAAGTATTTTTAAAGATTTGTCAATAGTGATATTTTCACAAAATACCATGTATTTTCTTCATATTTCAGCAACTGTAACATGAAGCTATTCATATAAAATAATGACAGTTTTAGATAAATGTATAACAAACTAAACACATAAATTGAGACACTTTTCTGATAAATTCTGGAAAAGCATCTTGTTTTTTCTCCTAAAAGTTCACATTGCCCCTTCTGATTTTAGCTATAGATCCAAATGCTCCATTCAATCTCACGTTTACATGGCTCTGGATCTTTTTAGGGTGGGCTTTTATTTATATGATTCTATTTAAATATGATGTCTTTATATTTCTCTTCTTTTGCTATTTTCTTTAAATATCTACTTTATTGAACTGTGACTCTTTAGAGACATTATGTAGCCCTTGACACTTAAAGTATGATTTACACCTTGTCAAAATGTCATCTACTTCTCATTAAAAAAAAATACTTGCAACCATTTTCAGTGTACTTTTAAGCCTTTTACAATTTTTTCCAATATCTTTGAAGATAAATTATTTCTCAGGACACATTGCTGAACTCTAACAACTATTTTTTTTCTGTCTATAGCTATTTTCTTAATTATATTTCAAACATCTCTAGGTATTTCGCATATTCTTAGGTCAGATTGTTCACCTATAAGACCACAGAGATAAACGTAGACATCACAGTATTAGTCGTCTGCTAATAGAGATGTCTGACAATTCTGAGCACGTTTCCCAGAGACTGTTAAAATTCTTTAAAATTGCATTTACATATAATACATAATATCTAAAGTATAGATTGTTAGCCTTTTAATTAACTGAAAAATTGCTAATCAGGCTCTAGAAATGAATAATTACTTATGTGTCCTGGACCTGCATGGGAAAATTTGAGAAGCATTTTTGTATTCAAGGAAGAAACAGTAACTACTGGAAGAGACAGAAAGAGCCCCTGCCATGTTTTGCCCATGAGCAAAGACATTAACTATAGAAAGAGAATTAGAAATGAACTGATACTTCACCCTTTTCAGAATTTTCTTTCTACATAGCAAAAACACTCCAGCTATGACATTGCTGCAGAGACAACATTTCTTATCTTTCGACTCAAACTGTCTCACTGTCAAGTTTTCTATCATGCTAGAGCCAGCATCTTCTCATTTATTCCCATGAAGGTAATCTCAGGATCACTGATGATGTTCTTAGTCTACTGCCAAATTGTGTCATTTCTGCCTTCACATCACCACTGAATCTGTTTCCATTTGATCTGACTGGAAATTCTCTGCAATGATGGTGGTTTATTCTCATTTTAATGTTACAATTTTTGAGTTAACCTTTCCTTGCTTATTCTAAAATAATGAGTTCCTTAACTTCCTTTCACTGAGAAGTGACATTTGAGCAAAGATTTAAAGAAGATGAGAATGTGAGCCATGGAGATACGTGGGCTAAGAGTGCTCTAGGAAGAGGAAGCAGACAATGCCAAGGCTGCAGGGTGTGTGTGCCAGGCATGTTCAAGGAAGAGCAAACAGAACAGAATTGCCGTGGCAGAGGGAACAGATAACAGTGGGGTAGGGCTTTAGGTGGGAGAAGTTAAGAACAGCCAGATTACATAGAATGTTATAGGTTAGAATTCCGGTCTCTTTATTATCGGTCTTTTCTATAAGCCCATAGGGAAATTAGAGATAAAGATTTAGAGAGACACAAAGATAAAAACAGAGATGCCAAGCTATACATTTATATTCTGTGTGCTGCATGTGTATAATTGCTTTAGTTAAAATTATATTGAAATTCAACAAACTTTTTAAGTGCTGTGATGGAAATAGATGCAGCAGACGTGGTCTTGGTCTTGAAAGATTTACAATTAAAAAAATCTGATTATAACTTAAAACATCAAAAAGAAATTTTAAAAGGTACAAGAATTTGTTATTAATAATACAAGGGAAGAAGAGCCATACTCCACATGTTAATCTATGAAGAAATTTCTGAAAAATGTTCATTATTTAACAAATATTTTTTAAGCATCCAGTATGTATTAGGCACTGTTCCAGGTGCCGAAAAACAGCAGCGGATTCAAATTTTTGTCTTGAGAATTTAAATTCTCGGGTGAGGTGAGGAGAACAGCAAATAAATAAATAAATAAGTACGTGTAAGAAATAAAGATAATAAAGTAACACAGCATGTAAAAAACGATCAATTCTATGCAAAAAGAGCAGGATGAGAGAGATCAGAAGTACTGTGAGGAGTGGGGCAGGCTGCAATTTAAAGTCGGGTAGTCGGGGTGAGCTTCATCAAGAAGAATATATTTTAGCAAAGACATGAAAGGGGGGAGGAAAAAGCAATAGTCAGTGCAAGCGCTTTGAGGTGGGATTGTGCCTGGTCGGTTTGAGAACAATGAAGAGCCCAGTGTTACTGGAAAAGATGAGCAGGGTGAAGAGATAGTGTTACAGGAGCAGATCATGAAGGTCTTTTCGGTCTCTAGGTTTCATTCTGAATGAAATAGGGAGCTAATGCAGGGTTTTGAGCAGGGGTAGCACTACCTGACTTAAGTTTAGAAAAGGATTTCTTGCTACTGTGTTGAAAATAGACTATAATAGGCCAAGAGTGGAGAACAGGCATACTAGTTAACGGGTTGTTTTAATAACCTAATACTCAATGGTGGTGACTCAGGCAGGAGTGATAACAGTGAAAGTAATATGAAATGGTTAGGTTATTGATATGTTTTGAAGGTTGAACTAAGAGGACTTCTTGATGAGTTGGATATGTGACATGAGAGACAGAAGGAAGTCAAGATGACTCCAAGATTTTGTCCTGAGAAACAGAAAAAAATTGAATTGTTAGAAGCTGGAATTGGGGAACTTGCTGGAAGAGCAGGTTTGGTGGTGGTGGTGGGATTAGAAGTTAAGTTTCAGACGAATTAACTGCAATGTCTATCAGACTCCATGTAGAGATTTTGAATAGATACACGCACATACAAGTCTGGAATTCAAAACAGAGATTTGAGCTGGAGATATAAATTTGGGTGGTGTTGGCACGCAGAGTATATTAAGCTATGAGAATGGATGAGATCATAAGGGAAAAGAGAAAAGACCCAAGAACTGAGTTATAGCTGTACCAAAAGGAAGGGAGACAGAGAATTCTTACATGCCTACTTCAGAGTTCAGCAGGAAGCCTTGTTCCAGTCCTGAAACCGCAATCTGTTCATTAGATAATTGAATTTTAAGCCAAGCACAGTGGTTCATGCCTGTAATCTCAGTTTTTTGGGAGGATGAGGTGAGAGGATTACATAAGGCCAGGGGTTCAAGACCAGCCTGGCCAATACAGCAAGACTTCATCTCTAAGAAAATTTAAAAAGTAGCCAGGTGTGGTGGCATACACCTATTGTTCCAGCTACTTAATAGTCTGAGGTGGGAGGATCGCATAAGCCCAGAAGTCTGAGGGTGCAGGGAGCTATGATCATGCCACTGCCCTCCAGCCTGGGCAATAGAGTGAGACCCTGTCTCTTAAAAAAAAGAATAGAATTTTAGGGCATGGAAGGCCAAAGCAGAACTAGGGAATTTTCTGGTAGAAACAGCATCATCCCAGATTGGTGGGAGATTTAGAGACATGTCATCTTTGTTGATGTACCTGTGTGGCACACTAGCTAAAAAAGATAGCCAGAGCTAAGGTATGGTCAAGCAGGAAGGCAAAGCACCAGATTATAACACAGCCTGAAAATCTGAGGCTCCATGTGATTTCAAAATGATGGCGTAGCCTCAGTCTGTTCCCCTCCGCCCAGTCCTCTACATGACTATGTATAAAACAGACACCCTAAAAACCTGCCTCATTCAAAAATCAAAAATAGAAAATCAAAACCACAATAAGCTACCAATTCACACTCATATGGATGGCTACTATAAAAATATAAAATGGAAAATAACAAGTCTTGGTGTGGATATGGAGAAGTTGAAACACTCTGCATTGCTGGTGGGAAGGAAAATGGTGCAGCCACTTTGGAAAAGAGTTTGGCGATTTCTCAAAAAGTTAAACATAGATTTACCATATGATGCAGCAATTCCACTTCTAGGCATAGACCCAAAAAATCGAAATCAGGGATTCAAACAGATACTTGTACACTAATGTTCACAGCAGCATGCAGTAAATTCCTATAATTTGATGTTGCCTCAGCATGCATTTTGAATATAGGTTTAACTTTCTCATACACCGAACAGGTCCCAGTTATCCTTGACAGAATTTCTAGCTCCCTGACCTCTCCTAGTTCCTTAAGGTGGTCAATCCAGATATCTGGTTTATACATCACCTCCTGATGATCATCTTCTTGGGACATATACTCGACTCTATTTGACTCATCTCACTGACCCCCATAATCTGCATAAATGCAGAAACTGCAGCTTGGCGTGCAGCGGCCACACCATGACACTGCGGAATGCATGCCTGCTTGCTTTAAACCCACCAACTGGAACTCCCAGCAGGAAATCTGCTTGGGTGACACTCTGTGCCCCAGTAAAGGTCTCAGTCCATAGGTCTGTCTCTGTCTGGCTCCCCACCTGCTGGTTGAGCTCATCATCCCTGTGACCTTTCCCTCAGCTCTTCTTGTACCCCTAATCACTCATGAACCTGTAAGTAATAAACCGCTTCTGTGTTATTTATTTTGCTGTGTTGCCTCCTATGTGTCTGACTGACTGACACACATAAGCCCAATTTTTCTCCCGATTGAGGTTCTTCTGGAGAGTGGCTATCTTGGCAGAAATAAACTCAGACAAGAGCCACGAAGGTGTCTTCCAGTACTAATACCTGATGAAAGGGATACCCGGTCACAGGCTGGACACTCAGGCAGCAGGCTGTCCACCAGGATAAAAGAGTATCTCCTGAAAGGCACACGGTAAACATCCATGACAATCCCAATACAGAGAAATACAACAAGCATTATTCACAACAGCCCAAAGGTGAAAACAACCTAAGTGTCCAGTGACGGATGAATCAACAAAATGTGGTATATATCTACAATAAAATATTATTAAGCCATATAAAGGAATGAACTTCAGATACATGCTACAAGATAGATAAAGCTTGAAAACACTATGGCAAATGAAATAAGCCATGGACAAAAGAATAAATGTTGTGTGATTCTGCTCATGTGAAGGCCCTGGAAAAGGCAATATCATAGAAACAAAGTATAACAGATGTTCAAAGGCTGGGGGAAGAGGGAATGGGAAGTTATCGTTTAATGAATACAGAGTTTTAGCTTGGGATGATGAAAAAGTTTTGGAAATCGATAATAGCCATGGCTGCACAACACTGTGAATGTGTTTAAAGCCACTGAATTTTGCATTTAAAATAGTTACACTGGTAAGTTTTATGTTATGTATATTTTACCATAATGAAAAAGAATGGTTATAATAAAGATGAATAAAAATCAGAGAACCACCATGGCAGACTCTTTGTTTAAATATTGGTGGGAAGGGGGCAGATAAGGAATGTTAACAAAAGGGACATTATCAAATAAAACAGATAAAGATTCAAGTAGGTAATTCTCATGGCCTCAAAGAAATTATACAAAACATGTTCCTTCTGACAAATAAACTCAAAGAAAAAGATACTAGAGAGTAAAGAAGAGATAAGAAAAACAAAGAAAGAGATAAAATGGCTCCAAGAAAGCAGGGATGTAGAGGAGAAAAATGAAAATAAAACAAAAACATTGGAGAGGTCACAGAAATATCAGAATTGACTCATGCAGGATAAACATAACTGAAATTGCTGTAAAGGTCATAGAATAAAGACTTGAGGAAACCACACAAAATAAAATGGGAAAGGACAAAGATATATAAATGTGATGTATCCATAACTTATGTATCACGAAGAAGAGGAGAAATATAACAGAAAAAAATAAAGATAATTTTTTTAAAATCTAGAAATAAAAGGGGTCTTAAATCTATATATTGAAAGGGAATATCATAATTGAAATAAAATGATAAAGAACAATAAATTCAGGCCGGGCGTGGTGGCTCATACCTGTAATCCCAGCACTATGAGAGGCCAAGGTGGGTGGATCAATTGAGGTCAGGTGTTCGAGACCAGCCTGGCCAACATGGTGAAACCTCATCTCTATTAAAAATACAAAAACTAGCCAGGTGAGGTGACAGGTGCCTGTAATCCCAGCTACTTGGGAGGCTGAGGCAGGAGAATTGTTGGAACCCGGGAGGCACAGGTTGCAGTGAGCAAGATCGCACCACTGCACTCCAGCCTGACTAAAAAATGACTTTTACTGGCATCTGGAAAGAAGTATCAGGTCACCTACAGGAGACAGAAATCAAGCTATCTTCAAGATCCAATAATATTCAGCCACTAGATACAAAGAAAGGATGAAAGGAACTGTATTTGAGTTCAATTTCTTAGCTGTCATAGCTGGAGTCAAGTGATACTATCTAAAGTTGAAACATATAGCTAAATAAAAAATAATTAGCCCAATCTTTTAAATGTATTACAATTTTTTTTAACTTTAGAAAGATCTTTTAGAACCAATAATGCTTATCGTAAAATACATTAATCTAAAAATCATCGATTATAAATCATGCTGCTATAAAGACACATGCACATGTATGTTTATTGCAGCACTACTCACAATAGCAAAGACTTGGAACCAACCCAAATGTCCATCAATGATAGATTGGATTAAGAAAAGTGGCACATATACACCATGGAAAACTATGCAGCCATAAAAAATGATGAATTCATGTCCTTTGTAGGGACATGGATGAAGCTGGAAATCATCATTCTCAGCAAACTATCGCAATGACAAAAAAACCAAACACTGCATGTTCTCACTCATAGGTGGGAACTGGACAATGAGAACACTTGGACACAGGAAGGGGAACATCACACACCGGGGGCCTGTCGTGGGGTGGGGGGAGGGAGGAGGGATAGCATTAGGAGATATACCTAATGTAAATGACGAGTTAATGGGTGCAGCACACCAACATGGCACATGTATATATACGTAACAAACCTGCACACTGTGCACATGTACCCTAGAACTTAAAGTATAATAAAAAAAAATTAAAAAGTGACAAAATTAGTAATATCTGGGTTTTGTTAAACTGATAAAGATCACAGTTAGTATCTTTTATAAAATCTCATAGCTTAATCCACCATCCATCCATTTCTTTCTCTTCTCTCTACACACACACACACACACACACACACACACACACGCATTATATATTTCATCTATTTCTATTTCTATATGTATCTACACATCTGTCTCATATAATTAAATGTACACAATGACTATTTCTGGATGATAATGACTTTGATCTTTTACCTTTTTCATTGTGTTCTTTAATTTTGTTCTACTTTGTAAATAACGAGAGATTATTATATTTCACTAAAGCAATAAGGTATTTTCAAGAGGCATTTTCTAATAGGTGTTTACTGTAGCAAAGATGATAACCTGTTGCTTTTCACTGACAAACTAAAGCCAAGATTCCAACTCTCAATTTTTTAAGGCTCTCTAAGTTTATTAAAACTCTTTCAACTAAAGGAAGATTATTGGTTAGTTCCTCATACATCACTGATTGGAGTAAGGCTCTTAACCATACATCCTAGAATATGCACACTGGGCAGCTTCCATGCCTTTACATGATGACAGCCACTCCCACCAATGATCAGACTTCTCTCTGATGGGTTGAGTACAGAAGAGGAGACAAGCCAAGTGGATAAATGGAACTACACAGAACTTCTGGGCATCTATGGCTATTTCTTTTATTTCTCTAACCTACACTATAGAAGAGAAAAAAGTGTCTTGGCATCCCATTCTTCAAGCTTCCTGAAAAGTCCAGATCTCTGATGTCTTTTGCTCTCTATATGAGCCAGTATTTCTGAAATCCTCCAACAGTTTGGGGATTAAAAGTCTAATATTCCCATACCTTCTGAGCTATGTTAACATAAAACGGCTATCCCCATACTATTGTGTTCCCAATAGTAATGTTATGTTCATAAGTATTTAACTTTATTTCCAATTTCGTTTTTTTTTCTCTTGTATCAATCCAAATGGCTCTAAAGGGCACCAAGTGAGATGGATTCTACGGATCAGCTTAAAAATCATAGTCTACTTGTAAAGTTGGGGGAACTTTCTGTTGTCTGTCATGGAAGTCAATCTGTCACAGAAGTGAACTGCTACCATTCTGCCCTAAAAAGAACCAGGGCTCTTTGGAGAAAACGCAGATTGCAGGGTTGAGGGAATGAAGTATAAAATGAGTTTGGAACATTCTGTTGCATTAGAACATAGGAAAGTGCTCAAAGAATGATGGGGTCATATCAAAAGGATACAGGAGCCAGCCTAAAGGGGTTCTTGCTGTCAAATCTAAAGTAATTTTAGCAATGAAAATAAACAATAATAGTAATGGATTAAAACTTGGCTGCTTTCGCTATATTCTCATTGTCTCATTCTCCCTCTCCACTTTCAACTCCCTCCTTTATATCCCTTCCTTTAAGCTGTAATCATGGGATCAAATTCTCTTGTTTTTCTTCTGCTTCAGGGCAATACCTATGCTCTGGATGGGTTTTTTCTACATCGCAAAAAAATGGAGTTAAAAAAAAGTCTTAAGTTTTAGTTTAAGGTTTTGGGGTGATCATTGAAGAAAACAATCTCTTAACTGACATAGGTTCTACACCACTAAAACCAACCTGATGTTAGGTTGGAACATAAAATTGCCTTTTTTATAGTTAAGATGATTGAATATCAGAAACTTCAGATGGCTCAATAACATGGTCCATCCAAGCTCCTCGGGAACTTACACATTTAGTCTTAGAACCAAACCCTGAGCCATTATGAATTGATTCCTGGTTTCAGTCATCCTCTGTGCCTTTTGTTTCCTAATGAAGAAGGATGACTGGTGAAGGGGTACAACATGGGCCTTCCCAGCCTCCCGTTTGATGTCATTTGAGTATCACATTCATATCCTCTGTGAGAAGTACTGCCATGCAAGGAAAAGAACAGCAGACCAGAAGATAAGAGAATGGATTTAATTCTTGGCTTTCTCATTATCCAGCTGAAAAAAAAGGTGGATGAATCTGAATCATAATCGCTCTCAGCCTCTCTTCTTGCATTTACAAAATAAAGAGGCTGGAGAAAGACTGAGTTGTATATGGTGTCCCTTCTAGTTCTAATACTTTTGCAATTCTTCTTATAAGACCGGGGTAGGGAGGAACAACCTGAACGTAAGTATTACTTACATATGCATTGGAGTCCTTTACAGGAAGACATATCTACCAACCAAATAAAGTAACTAAGGTTAGAGGGGAAAGAAAAAAAAAAAAAACCCTTATTAAATGAAACTGACGGTTTAGTCAAGGCAGAACAAACTTCTAGATTTTAAATTACAAAGAATGTGCTTTACTAATCCATAAAATGTCTTTTTAAATGTAATTTAGCAAAAAAATACACTTTAGTTTTTTCTTAAAATTCTCTTTTCTTTCTTTTATAAATTATACAAAGTTGCTAGGTGATTATGAATAGTGATCACTCGTTCACAAATGTACAGACTTCAAATCATGCGTCTCTTTTGAGAATCTGTAAGAAAACGTTTGAATGCTTCAGCTCTCTGCTACCCAATATAACAATGCTAAATTTAGTCAGATTTTGGTTTGTCCTCATCTGCACAATGATGATAATCTCTAATTTGGACTTTCCAATATAAGCATTGTTATGAAATCGTCTGTAGTCTAAGATTGCTTAGAAAAGGCAAAAATAACCTTAATTCTTGCAAATCTGAACAACAATATGCAGCATATAAAGAAGAAAAGGCTCATTGCATAACTCAGAAGAACAGTGAATATCCACAAAGCCTACTTCCATGGAGTTAGCTAGCCCTAAAAACAATTCTATTTTATTCAAGTATGCTTTTAAAAAAATTGTAACCTCCCAGTAGAACTTTCATGAACAATTCTAGTATAGCCCACACCAGGAACACAGAAAGTAGGTAAGGTATTTAACAAACAAGAAAGATATTAGTCACATTTATACCAACAAATTATTAGATTTTTTGGCTATATGTGGATACTAAGTCACCTTAATCACTTAATACAGGTCTTCCTTATAGCAAAATTCTAGGCAAAACTTATAAACTTGTTTCCATAAAACCAAATGAAGCCAGTGAGTCCAGTCCAACAACCAGGTTATTCTTCGCCTTTAATCTCCTTTTCCCCTGGTATTTTATGCTGCATCCAAATCTTTATTAAATAACATGGTCCTTTCTATCTTCAAAGCATAAGCCCTAAATTAAAAACCAAGGTACAGAGTTATTATCTCGAGCCATTACAAAAAGAATTTACGTTCTGAAAGATAAAATAGCTAGTTAAGCATGAAGTCAATAGGATGAGGTATCCTAATGTTTCTGTTGGGTGGAATTTTTTTGGTAAGCCTCCGTTTTTGTTTTTTTCCTTACAAGCATATTAGAATTATCATGAAGTACACAGTCTTTTTCTTTTAATGCGTCAGTTCTCTGTATCTGTTATCACCATAAGTACAGGTCAATCAGATATCTTTTAAAATTGAATCTCAGTCAAGGAAAGATTCCCTTGTAACTGCTTTTAACATTTAGTAACCTGACACTTGCAATTCTTTCAAATGTCATACTTTTCTAGAGTACTTCTATTTCAGAAGCTTTACAATTCTTCTACAGATTATAGGACTATGCTCATTAATACAACCATTTGTTTTGAATAAGTATGAATATTAGAAGTCAAAATGAACTGAACTTCTGCTAAGTCCCAAAAATAACATGAGAAAGTGTTTTTATTGCCTAACTGCAGATGCTAAATAAATATAAATAAGGGCCCTCATTCTTAGTCTTCCACAATCAAGCAGAGTCTTTGGAGGGTGCTTCAACAGGACAGTAGGCACTAGTTTAGGGTACATTTCTAAGTTCATCTAAGTATAACTTGTTCACTCATTCCGTGCCTATTTACTGTGCTTCTACTACGGTGACAGGCACTGGGCTAATTGCTGCAGATGCAGTGCCGAGCAAGACAGAAACATGCCCTACTCTCACAGAATTTAATATCTGTGCAAGAGAATGACATTATCAAATAATCAGACTTTTGAATGCGTAATTACAAATTGAAACAAGTGTTGTCAAGAAAGAGCAGGATTCCATGAGAAGTTATTGCAAGGAATCTGACTCAGATTAGGGGTCGAGGAAAGCATTTCTAAAAAACTGATACTTATCTAGAAATCTAGAAGATGACTATATGCTAATTAGCCTAAAGGATGGTAGGGTAGGGGTGAGGAAAAGGAAAAGAGGAAGAATCTTCAAAACCAAAATAATGTAGGTGAAGAGGTCCTATCACAAGGGGTATCTTAGTTTCCTATAGCCACTATAAATAGTGTCGTAAACTTAGTGGCTTTAAACAACATTGACTTATTATTTTACAGTTCCGGAGATCCTATGCCCAAAATGAGTCTTAAGGAACTAAAATCAAGGTGTTGCAGAGCTGCCTTCCTTGTAGAGGGTCAAGGGAAGAACTTATTTACTAGACTTTTCCAGCCTCTAGAGGCTGCCTGCATTCTTGGGCTTGCAACCTCCCTCATTTATCTTCAAAGTTGGCAATGCCAGCCAATCTTTTTCATCATGCCATCTATTTGGTTGTCTCTCTTCTGCTTCCCTCTTTTCACTTAGGATCCATGGTCACACCCAGATAATCCAGGATAATCTCCCCATCTCAAAGTTTTTAACATAATCATATCAGCAAAGTCCATTTTTCCATGTAAGGTAACATATTCAAACAGGTTCCAGAGATTAGGATTGTGGACATTGTTGGAGACCATTATTATGTCTATCATGAAAGAGATCATGTTTTATCTGAGAACTGAAATAAGGTCAGGGTGGTTGGAGAGTAGAAAGTGAGAAGAAAGGTAATATAAGATGAGGCTGGGGAGATGGGCAAAGACTATAAACACCTCTATGCAAATAAACTAGAAAACCTAGAAGAAATGGATAAATTCCTCGACACATACACTCTACTGAGACTAAACCAGAAAGAAGTTGAATCCCAGAATAGACTAATAACAGGCTCTGAAATTGAGGCAATATTAATAGCCTACCAACCAAAAAAAGTCCAGCACCAGATGGATTCACAGCCGAATTCTACCAGAGGTACAAGGAGGAGCTGGGACCATTCCTTCTGACACTATTCCAATCAACAGAAAAAGAGGGAATCCTCCCTAACTCATTTTATGAGGCCAGCATCATCCTGATACCAAAGCTGGGCAGAGACACAACAAAAAAAGAGAATTTTAGACCAATATCCCTGATGAACATCAATGCAAAAATCCTCAATAAAATACTGGCGAACCGAATCCAGCAGCACATCAAAAAGCTTATCCACCATGATCAAGTGGGCTTCATCCCTGGGATGCAAGGCTGGTTCAATATACGCAAATCAATAAATGTAATCCAGCATATAAACAGAACTAAAGACAAAAACCACATGATTATCTCAATAGATGCAGAAAAGGCCTTTGACAAAATTCAACAACCGTTCATGCTAAAAACTCTCAATAAATTAGGTATTGATGGGACGTATCTCAAAATAATAAGAGCTATCTATGACAAACCCACAGCCAATGTCATACTGAATGGGCAAAAACTGGAAGCATTCCCTTTGAAAATTGGCACAAGACAGGGATGCCCTCTCTCACCACTCCTATTCAACATAGTGTTGGAAGTTCTGGCCAGGGCAATCAGGCAGGAGAAGGAAATAAAGGGTATTCAATTAGGAAAAGAGGAAGTCAAATTGTCCCTGTTTCCAGATGACATGATTGTATATTTAGAAAACTCCAGTGTCTCAGCCCAAAATCTCCGTAAGCTGATAAGCAACTTCAGCAAAGTCTCAGGATACAAAATCAATGTGCAAAAATCACAAGCATTCTTGTACACCAATAACAAACAGCCAAATCATGAGTGAACTCCCATTCACAATGCTTCAAATAGAATAAAATACCTAGGAATCCAACTTACAAGGGATGTGAAGGACCTCTTCAAGGAGAACTACAAACCGCTGCTCAAGGAAATAAAAGAGGACACAAACAAATGGAAGAACATTCCATGCTCATGGGTAGGAAGAGTCAATATCGTGAAAATGGCCATACTGCCCAAGGCAAATTATAGATTCAATGCCATCCCCATCCAGCTACCAATGACTTTCTTCACAGAAATGGAAAAAACTATTTTAAAGTTCATATGGAACCAAAAAAGAGCCCACATTGCCAAGTCCATCCTAAGCTGAAAGAACAAAGCTGGAGGCATCACACTACCTGACTTCAAACTATACTACAAGGCTACAGTAACCAAAACAGCATGGTACTGGTACCAAAACAGAGATATAGACCAATGGAACAGAACAGAGCCCTCAGAAATAATACCACACATCTACAACCATCTGATCTTTGACAAACCTGACAAAAACAAGAAATGGGGAAAGGATTCCCTATTTAATAAATGGTGCTGGGAAAACTGGCTAGCCATATGTAGAAAGCTGAAACTGGATCCCTTCCTTACACCTTATACAAAAATTAATTCAAAATGGATTAAAGACTTAAATGTTAGACCTAAAACCATAAAAACCCTAGAAGAAAACCTAGGCAATACCATTCAGGACATAGGCATGGGCAAGGACTTCATGTCTACAACACCAAAAGCAATGGCAACAAAAGCCAAAATTGACAAATGGGATCTAATTAAACTAAAGGGCTTCTGCACAGCAAAAGAAACTACCATCAGAGTGAACAGGCAACCTACAAAATGGGAGAAAATTTTCGCAACCTACTCATCTGACAAAGGGCTAATATCCAGAATCTACAAAGAATACGAACAAATGTACAAGAAAAAAACAAACAACCCCATCAAAAAGTGGGCGAAGGATATGAACAGACACTTCTCAAAAGAAGATATTTATGCAGCCAACAGACACATGAAAAAATGCTCACCATCACTGGCCATCAGAGAAATGCAAATCAAAACCACAATGAGATACCATCTCACACCAGTTAGAATGGTGATCATTAAAAAGTCAGGAAACAACAGGTGCTGGAAAGGATATGGAGAAATAGGAACACTTTTATACTATTGGTGGGACTGTAAACTAGTTCAACCATTGTGGAAGACAGTGTGGCGATTCCTCAAGGATCTAGAACTAGAAATACCATTTGACCCAGCAATCCCATATTACTGGGTATATACCCAAAGGAATATAAATCATGCAGCTATAAAGACACATGCACACGTATATTTATTGTGGCACTATTCACAATAGCAAAGACTTGGAACCGACCCAAATATCTATCAATGATAGACTGGGATTAAGAAAATGTGGCACATATACACCATGGAATACTATGCAGCCATAAAAAAGGATGAGTTCATGTCCTTCACAGGGGCATGGATGAAGCTGGAAACCATCATTCTCAGCAAACTATCACAAGGACAAAAAACCAAACACCACATGTTCTCACTCACAGGTGGGAATTGAACAATGAGAACAGTTGGACACAGGGGAGGGAACATCACACACCGGGGCCTGTCATGGGGTGGGGGGAGGGGCAAGGGATAGCATTAGGAGATATACCTAATATAAATGACAAGTTAATGGGTGCAGCACACCAACATGGCACATGTATACATATGTAACAATCCTGCACATTGTGCATATGTACCCTAGAACTTAAAGTATAATAATAATTAAAAAAAAGAAGACATCAAAG
The DNA here is from genome assembly GCF_000001405.40 of Homo sapiens. NCBI lineage: Eukaryota > Metazoa > Chordata > Mammalia > Primates > Hominidae > Homo > Homo sapiens. The sequence continues at coordinate 25,470,943 of NC_000010.11, read as the reverse complement.
AGGTGACAGCCTAGATTTGACATTTTTAAATCCCTCTGGCTACTGGGTGGAAAATTGATTTTAAAATAGCAGAGGTTCAAAAAAAAGATTATAGTAGCAACAGATATTCAGATAATTAAAAATTTTCATCAGGTTACTGAGGTCATTTCAGATATTTCATTCTTTATTAGGTGATCTGATGACTTTGGTTAAATATCTGCCCTAGGGTTCTGTGGGAAAGATTAAATGTTAAGATGCATGACACTCCATTTATACAGGAAGTGTACCAACAATAAACACTCAGTCTTTATACTGCTGCATTGCTTCTGTTACTAATTATTATGCATAACTCTATGCTAGAAAATTAGAAAACTTAATATGGATGACTTTATGAAAAAATTAATACTGATTGTCTTAGTCTGTTTGTGCTGCTATAACAACAAAATACCTGAGACTGGGTAATTTACAAAGAATACAAATTTATTTCTCACAGTGTTGGAGGCTGAAAAATGCAAGATCAAAGTGTCAGCATCCGGTTTCTGGTGAAGGCCTTCTTGCTGGGTGGAAGGGAGAAGAACAAAAAGGGCCAAACTCCCTCCACCGAGCTCTTTTACATGTTAAGGGCATTCACCCATACATGAGGGCTCTAAACACCTCCGAAAATACCCCACTTCTCAACAACATTGCATTGGAGATTAAGTTTCTAACACATACATTTTGGAGTACATGGTCAGATCACAGCACTGATTATATGTAAATATATCTCTATTTTAAGAATAAATAGAAAAATTAATTCGAGACCTGAATAAAGAACACTCGATCTACATATTGAGTGCAGGAAAAGGATTAGAAAATGATGTTATACAGGGGCAGTGTCCAAATTACATTAAGCCTTAGTGGCCACAGGAAGGATGTTGGCTTTTACTCTAAGTAAATTGGGGAATCTTTGGGGAGTTTTGGGAAGAGGAGTGACATAGTCAGTCTAATTTTCATGTTAAAACTGGCTGACATTTTCAAAATAGATTCTAGGCGGCTAGCATGGAAGAAGAAAGGCTAGTAAGAGAACATGGCAACAATCCAGGAGGGGTGGATCACAGTTTAGACCAGGTGGTAGCAGTGAATGTTGGGGGGGGCTCATTAGATTCTTGCTGCATCTTTTTTTTTTTTTTTTTTTTTTTTTTGAGATGGAGTCTCGCTCTGTTGCCCAGGCTGGAATGCAGTGGCACAATCTCGGCTCACTGCAACCTCCACCTCCCAGGTTCACACCATTCTCCTACCTCAGCCTCCCAAGTAGCTGGGACTACAGGTGCCTGCCACTGCGCCTGGCTAATTTTTTGTATTTTCAGTAGAGATGGGGTTTCACCGTGTTAGACAGGATGGTCTCGATCTCCTGACCTCATGATCCACCCACTTGGCCTCCCAAAGTGCTGGGATTACAGGTGTGAGCCACCAGGCCCGGCCGATTCTTGCTGTATTTTAAAAGGTTTTCTAATATGAGAGAAAGAGTGGTATCAATAATGAGTCCTAGGCTTTTGGCCTGAGTAACTAGAAGGATAGAGCTGCCATCAGTGGACACTGGAAGGCTGAATCTGAGGGAGAGATCAGTGCCTCTGTTGAAAATATGATAGGGAATTTTGCTGGACATGCAAATGGAGTGGTTGCCTAAGCAGCTGAATATGAGTTGGGAGCTCAGGAGAAAGGTTTGGGCTGGAGATATAAATTCAGCAGTCATTGGCATATAAATAGTACTTAAACTTTGAGGCTAGATGAGATCACCAAGAGAGAGTGTACATTAAGAAAAGCTACAAGAACTCAGTCCTGAGGCATTCAAGTATGAAGAAGTGGGAGTTAAAATGAAGAATCAACAAAGCAGGCTGAGATGGAGCAGGGAGTGAAGTAAGACAAAAACCAAAAAGAATCTGATGTCCCGGCAGCCGTACCTTTCCTTCTCTTACACCTACTCACCTTTCAGGTCTCTGCCAAGGGATATTTTATTCCCTAAACTTGATTAGGTATCTCTCCTAAGTGCCTCCACAGCATCCTGTCTTTACTGCTTTCTTAGTGTTTGTCACATTGTATTATCATTGTTTGCATTAACTCATCTCTTCCTCTACACTGTAAGCTTCTTGAAAGGAGAAATCAAGTTTGTCTTGCTGATAGAGTATTCCCAGAAATTAGCACAGTGCTTGGCACACAATAACCACTGAACGTAAGTTGGCTGAGTTGAACTTGTAAAGTCAGTACTTATCTTCTGGTTTCAGACATGTTACTGGTATGCTAGCGTCCACTATGATTACCTAAGCCACTAGCACCATACATACATTTATTTCATCATGCTTATTTTACTATGTAACAATTTCAATTTTTCCAACATTAATTGGTGTGTCTCATGGTTCTGATTCAGGTAGAGGAGAAGGAAGAAGGAAAGCGATACTTACTTGTATATATTACGCATACATACCAACTTTGCCTTTCATATGCAGTCACACTTAAGCATTTAACCTTCCTCACAAATTTGGGAAGAAAAGTATAATTAGCTCCATTTTATAAGAAAAAACAAGGTTTAGGAATGTTAGGTAACTTGTCTAAGGTCATTCAAATGGTAAAAACCAGGATTTAAATACCTGTAAAGAATTTGCGTTAGAGTAGGCAGATAGCCAGACATGAGCAGGAGTGGGGAGCCCCTGAAAAAGGGAAGTCCAAAAAATTTCGCACCCCAGAAGTTGCATGATAGATATGAGCAGAGAGAGGGGAAATACCTATGCAGAAAGGAACGCCCCCAAACACTCCTTAAGATGCCCAATGATCACTCATTCTGCAGTTAACCTGTCAGAATGTAGCTAGCTACATGCTGAGAAGAGGGAAAGAGGGCAAAGGAGAAATTCCTAAGAGATACGCAGGTGCAATAAGTACAGATTTAACCACGATACGACCTTCCTGGGATGGTGGTACGGAGCAATGCTGCCATTAGGCAGAATTCATATCTAATGCTAGGCAGCACATGTACATCAACAGACAGCAAGGGAGAATTCTACAAACCTGGGGCGGGAACTGGGTGGGGACTTGAGGCAGAAGCGGGAAACTAGTCAGAGACAAAGGCAGAGACTTGAGACACAGACAGGAACTTAAAGGGTCTGACATAATAAAATCAGCAATGCAGAACTGTTAGAGCTGCTGGCTCATCCTCTTTCAAGCAGCCCGCTTTGCCCCATCTTTCCAAGTGTACTGTTCTCTGCTACTACTTTCCACCCAGACCAGCCCACTCTTCTCTTGACGTGTACTTTGAGGACCAAGCTCCGATTTTTATCTTGCCCAAATTCCTATCTAAGGGGTCTGGGGAGTCATGCCCTACAAACCATAAATTCTCATTAGATAGGTTTTATTTAACCCTCTATCTCATGAGTTACTTTCCAATCTGACTCTGGCGTAACAGTATGTGACAAAGAAGAAAATCATAATATTTTTACCCTAGAACATGTTTCTGTGCCATATTTTGAAATGGTCCTGCAAAGTCGTCCTTTGTGGGGGCAAATTTTCATCTGTAAGAGTCTCTATTAACATAGCTAGATGTTTTTCTTCCAGGCCCTCCCAATCCTGAAGATACTGAGTGGCTAGCACCTTTTAATAGTCCGAATAGGAGACATCTGTCATCTATTGTCTCTAAGGGCAGCCACTATGAGACTTCAAAAGAACCTTGGTCTCCACAGTCTTTTATCTTAACTTGAACATTTCCTTTCTATTGATCCCAGGTCTTTAGACAGATTCAACCAATTGTCAACCAGAAAATGTTTAAATTTACCTATAGTCTGGAAGTCCCCCACACTTCAAATTGTCCTGCCTTTCTGGACCAAACCAACGTATTGCTCGAATCTGATTGAAGTCTCATGCCTCCCTAAAATGTATAAAACCACGCTGCACCCCAACCACCCTGGGCACATGCTCTCAGGACCTCCTGAGGGCTGTGTCAGGGGCCATGGTCACTCATATTTGGCTCAGATTAAATCTCTTCAAATATTTTAGAGTTTGACTCTTTTAATCAACAACTTCCTTCAATAAACCTTTGCTTACTTTACTAATTGTCTCTTGGCCAAAGTCTTTCTTTCAAGTAAGACAAGAGCCAAAACCTCCACACTTCCTAGTAACACCAGGGTGTGTGTATGTGTGTGTGTGTGTGTGTAAACAGTAACTTTATAGTATGCAACATAAAATAAATTTCTACTTTAAAAACAAAATTCTGTTACTTACTGGAAAGTATAGGAGCAGAGATCCAAAAAGGATCGTTTCCAACAGGATAAGGCCCGATGCCCGGATGCTCTGAAAAAACAAAATAAAAACGTCATTACTAACTTACATTTCTAAGCCTGGAGAATTCACGCTATTGTGAAAATGCCACAATGCAGTAGGACAGCATTCTTTGGGGGAAATTAAATAAATTAATGAAAATTGGTTAGTATTCAGGTGGGTAAAAAACTAGAACATGCAAAAAGACTGATTATAAAGGTGTTGATAGGCTTAATAATATCGCCAGTGGCTGCATGAGATTTTGTTCTCTAAAATTTGTATCATTAAAAAGCCTGAGCAGCTAAGAACACTATCTTGAAGATACTTTTGAGACGAGAAGTCTTCTCCCGATTGAAGGTCTTTTCTCGATCGAAGGGTTCGTGGTCTCACGGGCTTCAGGGAATGAAACCGTGGACCACAGCGGCGAGGGTTACAGCTTGATTAGACAAATACACAGACCCAAAGAGTGTGCGGTGGCAAGATTTATTAAAATGAAAGTGAAAGTGAAGCTTCCGCACGGCGAAAAGGGACCCGGAAGGGTTGCTGTTTCCGGCTTGGGTGTCTTATGCTTATATCCCCTTATGACCCCTCCCCTTTTCCTTTTTCTGTCCTGTAGAATTAGCTTATTTTCTATCCGCCTGTGAGTTGGTGGGCCTGATGGGTTAAAAACATCAGGCTGCAGCTAGAGCTTAAACTCCCCTTTGATTGGTTGAAGTTTCAAGCCCTCAGCTTGCAGCTATTTTGGCTTAGGGGAAAGTCCCTTTAAGGAAGTCCCTATTGACCCAGGAAGAACAGCCAACTTAGCCACTTAGTCCCTCACTTTCAATCCACGAAATTTACAAACGAGATCTTGCCTGTATTTCTAAAATATGAGCCACCAGTGCATACTGAATGCCATTCCTAAACTATTTCACAAATACCTGTGGGATAGTGTTGGTGGGTAAAAAAAGCACATGCACAAGGTCTTGAAGTCTGCGTATCTCCCACCATGCTAAAATATAACCCCTAAAACTCACAAACACAGCTTCGCTATGTGCACAATATAAATCACATTAAATAACAAGGGTATCTCACCTTGTGAACATGCATACATGTTATTCTTTACTCAAAATTCAAAAGAATTAGTTGATTTGATTTTCAAATAAATTTCTGAATAGTTTGCTAAGCATGAATATATCTAATAACCTTAAGATATTTTGTTAGACTTAAAATAGCATTATCTTCTCCAAGCAAAATTCTTAGAATTGAAGCAAGAAATAAAAGACCAGTAAAATCAATCTTATTTTCTACAATAAATTTTGCTTTAATGAATTCAAGTATCAATATAGAGCAAATATATCAATTAATACTGCAAACACAAAAACAGGTCATTTTAGGCATGCTGTGTTTTCACTAAATATAATACAAAATGTATACAGAAATTACACGTGGTGTAAATATCTTAACAGGAAAATAATTTGCAGTAGTAACAATTAATTTTGTAACAATAAAAAAATTCTGAAAGGCCAAACCACAATACTGCATTATATAAAAGCACTATCAGACAACTGGATAGCCAGGGAGAAAAAATTCTAATTCCCCTTCCAAAAATCCCTGTGGGGTATTGTTAAAGATATAGAAATACTTTGTGTAACCCTCAAAAAAAAACTCAGGGCTTGCATTAATTTAAGAATTTGGGAATAGAGAAACAAGTTTAGTCAGTGAACAGCCTTGATTATTTGAGTGGCTTCTTGCTATTGGTCATTATGTTAGATAGAAGACGCTTTTGGTGAAAAGAAAATTTCTATCAGCAAGCATTTAAATGGGTTTTGGCTGGCAGAATTTCCAAAGTGGCAAGGTACATTTGCATAGTATGCCTAATTATGAAGCTTATTTTTTAAACATTCCAAAAAAGACACAAAAAATGAAAATCCAAAATATTATACATGACTGTCTGTAAAATAATTTGTATGCTATTGGTTGGCTGAACAAGAGGACATGAAAAGCTGCTGCAAGGTACGATGAAGAAGACAGACTTTGGAGTTAACTCCATCTCAATTTGAATTATGAAATAACCACTTTGTGTTGGGCCACCTGGAACTTCAATGGTCTCACCCATAAAACGGGTATTTTAATCTTTACCTTATTAAATCTGACAGATTTATTAAATATGAAGTATGCAAAATGGCTGGCATTGTACCTGGTGCTTAATAAGTAGATACGTATTCTTCAAGGTAGAGAACAGCACCAGGATGATGAATTTGAAAACTAGAAAGAATATATCGCTAACAGTCAAATTTTGTTTAATGCTTGGGATCCAAAATGACCCAAGAGGAGATGAATGCCTCGAGTGGGGGACCTTCCCAGGGCTGTGGTCATGCTGTGGTTTGATGGCCTCTTCCATCCTGCAATATCTTCTAAGATTTTATGTCCAGTAGGCTCAGTAGCAGTGTCACAACCATCACCACCACATAACAGTAGCAGGAGTACGTGCTTTTATATATTCTCAGAGCAGATAATCTGTCTCCTTTTCATTTGTAATTGTTGAATAATCTTCTTAGGAGTTCACTGCCTTGCTCCTGGCTAAGCAGAGGAGCCCATAATTTCAGATTATAAATTGGAACTCTGACAAGTGGTTCCATAATAAAATGTAAGTCCTGTTCAAAATGCGCACTTTTTTTCTTTCAAAATATTATTTGGAAGAGCTGCCTTTGTGGCCTCACAGAATGAGAAGGAACCTAATAGGTGAGATTTTAGGACAGAGAAGAGATCCATGCTCCCCAACATATTTCCTCCACTGTCTTATTGGTACTAGAAAATCTTTTAACTGGCACAGAGCCTTTTATTTTATGCTTGGTACCAAGGATTAATATACAATTTTGTAAGTAATACATTGACAAGTTCAAAGCAAAATATAGGAATCTTGTTTAGAGTCTCACTGGTAGGGTGAGGAAGGACAGAAAAGACACTAAGTGTGTATGGGGGTGGGGGCGGTGGTTGAAAATTGAAGATGGATGAGAGAGACAATGAGCAAAATAACAGAGACCAAGAAAAAAAGTCATCTCCTTCCTAGTTATGCCTGAGATAGAAAGAAATGGTGATATGAAACTATAACCAGAGTTGTTAACTGGGAAACTTATAAAAAATCTTAATTGAAAGATGATCAGTAATACGCAGTATGACACTATTTATACAAAACACATATACATAAAACAACACTACACATTTTCTCTATGTATCCAGGCATACCTCATCTATATATCTGTCCATCCATCCATCCATCCATCCATCCATCCATCCATCCATCCAGACAAACCTCAGAAATATTTTGGGTTTGGTTTCAGACCACAGCAATAAATCAAGTATCAAAATAAAGTGAATCACACAAATTTTGTGGTTTCCCAGTGCATATAAAAGTTAAATTTACACTATAGGCTATTAAGAATGCAATAGCATTATGTCTAAAAAATAATGTACTTGCCTTAAGGAAAAAAATACTTTATGGCTAAAAAATGCTAATAATCATCTGAGGCTTCATCAAGTTCTAATCTTTTTGCTGGTGGAGGGTCTTGCCTCCATGTTGATGGCTGCTGACTGATAAGGGTGGTGGCTACTGAAGCTTCAGATGGTTGTGGCAATTTCTTAAAATAAGAAAACAATGAAGTTTGCTGTACCAGTCGACTCTTCCTTTCATGAGAGATTTCTTTGTAGCATGTGATGCTGTTTGATAGCATGTTACCTACAGTTGAAGTTCTTTCAAAATTGGAGTCAATCCTCTTAACTATAATAATGTAATATTCTAAATCCTTTGTTGTCATTTCAACAATGTCCATAGCATCTTCACCAGGAGTGGATTCCGTCTGAAAAAACTACTTGTTTGCTCATCCATAAGAAGCAACTCCTCATTCATTCAAGTTTTATCATGAGATTATGGTAACTCAGACACATGTTCAGGCTACACTGCTAATTCTAATTCTCTTGCTATTTTCACCATATCTGCAGTTAGTTTCTTCACTGAAGTCTTGAACGCCTCAAAGTCATCCATGAGGGTTAGAATCAATGTTTTCCAAACTCTTGTTAATGTTGATATTTTGATCTCCCATGAATCATAAATGTTCTCAATGGCATCTAGAATGGTGAATCCTTTCCAGAGGTTTTCAGTTTACTTTGCCCAGATCTATCAGAAGAATCACTATGGCAACGATCGCCTTACAAAATGTGTTTCTTAAATAAGAAGATGTGAAAGTCTAACTCCTTAATCCATGGGCAGCAGAATGAATGCTGTGTTAGTGGGCATGAAAACAACATTAATCTCCTTGCATATCTCCATCAGACCTCTTGGGTGACTATGTGCATTGTCAATGAGCAGTAATATTTTGAAAGGAATCTTTTTCTGAGAAGTCTCATCAGTGGGCTTAAAATATCCAGTAAATCATGCTATAAATAGATGTGCTATCACATCCAAGCTTTGTTGTTACATTTCTACAGCACAGGCAGAGTTGGTTTAGCATGATTCTTAAGGCCCGCAGGATTTTCAGAACAGTCAATGAGCATTGGCTTTAACTTAAAGTCACTAGTTGCATTTGCCCCTAACAAAAAGGTCAATCTTTCCTTTGAAGTTTTGAAGCCAGGCATTGACTTCTCCTCGCTAGCTATGAAAGTCCTGGCCTGGCGTGGTGGCTCATGTCTGTAATCCCAGCACGTTGGGAGGCCAACGTGGGTGGATCACAAGGTCAGGAGATCGAGACCATCCTGGCTAACATGGTGAAACCCCGTCTCTATTAAAAATACACACATACAAAAAAATCAGCCGGGCGTGGTGGCAGGCACCTGTAGTCCTAGCTACTCGGGAGGCTGAGGCAGGAGAATGGCGTGAACCCGGGAGATGGAGGTTGCAAGAGCCAAGATCACACCACTGCACTCCAGCCTGGGCAACAGAGCAAGACTCCATCTCAAAAAAAAAAAAAAAAAGAAAGTCCTAGATGGCATCTTCTTCCAGTAGAGGGCTATTTCATCAATATTGAAAATCTGTTGTTTCATGTAGCTACCTTCATTGATGATCTTAGCTAGATCTTCTGAGTGACGTGCTGCAGCTTCTCCATCAGCACTTGCTGCTTCACTTTACACTTTTATGTTATAGAGATGGCTGCTTTCCTTGTACCTCACGAACCAACCACTGCTAGCTTCTAACTTTTCTTCTGTAGTTTCCTCAACTCTCTCAGCCTTCACAGAATTGAAGAGAGTTAGGCCCTTGCTTTGGATTAGGCTTTGGCTTAAGGCAGTGTTGTGACTGGTTTAATCTTCTATCTAGAGTACTCAAACTTTCTCCATATCAGCAATAAGCCTGTTTTGCTTTCTTATCATACATGTGTTCACTGGAGTAGCATTTTTAATTCCCATCAATTTTTCCTTTGCATTTACAAATCGGCTAGTTAGTGCAAGAGGCCTAGTTTTCAGCCTATCCCAGCCTCCACTATGTCTTTCTTATTAAGCTTAATCAATTCTAGCTTTTGATTTAAAGTGAGTGATATGTGACTCTTCCTTTCACTTGAACACTAAAGGCCATTGTAGGATTATTAATTGGCCTAATTTCAACATTGTTATGTCTCAGGGAATAAGGAGGGCTGAGGAGAGGGAGAAAGATGGAGGAATTGCTAGTTGGTGGAGCAGACAGAACACATTCAACATTGATCACTTAAGTTCACCGTCTTATGTGGGTGCGGTTCATGGCATTCCAAAACAATTACAATAGTAACATCAAAGATCAGTGATCACAGATATGATAATACTAAAAGCATTTGCTGAAATATTGCAAGAATTACCAAAATGTGACACAGAGATACAAAGTGAGCACATGCTGTTGGAAAAATGGCTATGATAGATTTTCTCAATGTAGAGTTGCCACAAACCTTTAATTTGTAAGACACATGGTATCTGTCAAGCACAATAGAGCAAAGCACAATAAAACAAGGTATGTCTGTGTACATATACATACTAAATAGATGTCTGGAGGATACATACTAAGTTGATAACAATGTTTGTTTGTTTGTTTCCAGAGAAAAGGGTAGATTTGGGGATAGATCAACTTATCTGGAAATATGTTAATATCTTTGAAGGAGAGGTAGTCATTTATTACTATGTAATATACTTTAATAAATAAATTTTAAAAACCTTCGTGTCAACTCAACTATTAGAAAATCTATGATTTTAGGCTGGGCATGGTGGCTCAAGCCTGTAATCCCAGCACTTAGGGAGGCCGAGGTGGGCGGATCAATTGAGGTCAGGAGTTCACCTGGCCAATATGGCGAAACCCCATCTCTACTAAAAATACAAAAATTTGCTGGGCATAGTAGCAGGTGCCTGTAGTCCCAGCTACTTGGGAGGCTGAGGCAGGAGAATTGCTTGAACTTGGGAGGCAGAGGTTGCAGTGAGCCCAGATCGAGCTACTATACTCCAGCCTTGGCAACAGAGCAAGACTCCATCTCAAAAGAAGAGGGAAAAAAAAAAAAAGAAAATCTCTGATTTGGTATTATAATATGCAAATATTATGCAATAAGTCTAAACAAAGCCCTTCCTTTAACTAATATTCTTTAATGAGTTTTTATTTGGCACCAGCTGATGCATATAATCATCAAAAACTGTATCTTATAATTTTTGCAGATGAATATAAAGCTGGGGGAGTTATCATTGAGCCTAACTCTCTGGTTTGGAACCCATAAACCCTAATCAATATACCTCCCAAGTTTACAATAGAGGTGAGTATATTCTACCTTACTCCATTTCCATCCCAACTTCCCCACTTTGTAAACTTTCAGAACTGACTTATGGAGGTTTATAACAGCCAGATATCAAACCCATAGACAAAAAAATATGTCAAATTATATTATACTCATTTCTATCAAATTACATCAAAGTCAATTTCTAAATTCCATGTTTGGATGCCAAGTATAGAAGCATAAGATGAAGCACAGTTGTAATTGCCATAGAAGATTTGCCTGGGATATAAGCACCCAGAGGAAGCTAAGTCACTGGATGTAATAAGAAGAGAAGAATGCTCAAGGCTGCATTTTTAGAAGTAATTAAAATGGCTTATTATTATTTTCCTGATTCTATGGGGACTAAGTACTTCATTTATATTTTTTAAGCATTTTTAGCCTCTGGGGAAATTAATGTACATCTTGCTAAAACAAGGCAGCTATTTTTTTGGTCACTGCTGATTTCTTCAGACTTACAACATTTAGACCTTCTATTACAAAAGAAACCTCTGAAGATAAATATACTTTTATATAGTTGGACCCAGCATCTATGAGGAAAATATGAGAGAGCAATAGAACTATATTTTGAAAGAGATGAACTAGCATAAGTTTGAATGACAAACCAAGACTGTATAAATCTATATCCTTTTAAAAAAGATATACCAATGCAAGCAGGATAACAAACTTATGAGCTGTACTTTTTTATTTTTAATTATGCTATTTCAATGAGAAATTCATGGACAGAGGGACTTCATATGAAACCTGACAAACACCTGATAAAATAATTACACAATATGGATTGGAAAAAAAGATGTAAAAGGTGATCCTAAAGAGAATCTTAACATTGAGAGGTATGAGGACACTATCTTTCAATAATTTTATTAACAATTACATAAATGGAAAAGAATAGACTATATCCAGTTTGAAAGACTGCATGTAGTTAGCTTATGTTAAGAAGATCTGTGATAAAATATTTAAAAATCAATCAAATTTAGTAAAATTTGTCAAGGCACAATTATATAAAATGTGGTTAGTTAAAATCAATTTTAGGTTTTTAGGAGAATTCTCAGCAATAAAAAAGCTATTTTCATAAAAATGAAGAGATAAGGTCATGGCAGAGACTCCCAAAGTAAAATGTATGTAAGTTAGAGAATTACAAACTGATGGATTAAACCACATAGATTTGATCACTACATGGTCTGGAACTTTGGTATTAACCATTTATTAGCTGTGAGATCTTGGGCAAGTTGTTCAACCTTTGAGCCTCAGTTTCTTCATTTATAAGATGGGAGTCATAATGCCCAGGTGTATATTGTTGCAGAGATTGGCAATAATGCTGCCTGGCACAGAGCAGGGGCTCAGTCAACAGTAGTTCTTCATGAATCTTTCAAGTACAGATAGAGGAAATGAAGTCAGCAGAGAAGTGAAGCTCACTCGGCTGATCAGTGCCAGAACAGTCCTGTCTTCCATAGCTGCTGGTTCCCAAATCAGTGAGATTTCCTCTGTGCATCCAATCTGACCCTCAGTGATTTTCTTACCCAAAGTAACAAGAACAGAATATGTAATAATGTAATAACAAAAACATGTAACACTACCAAACTACTTAAAAATAAATCTCAAGTAAGGGTTTGGTACAGGTATTATAAAAAATTTACTAATCAATTTTAAATTCTTGACGGTCTTAACTAAAACACTAAAAGAAATTTCATATTGCCTTAAGTAGGTATTCTTTCTAACTTCTAAGACTTCATAAGAAAGCCCATTTTTTCATACAGCATAATTTATAGGTGAACAGTTTAATAAGACCTTTTTGAAGAGTAAGTTTATCAAAAAATAAAGTTCACATTGATTTATACATAATTTGATGTTATTTAAAACAGTATGACACACTAAATAAAAAATTAATGATTTTATATACATGTGAAATTAGAAATAACAAGTCATTCATTATTAATTATGATTTATCATATATTGCTGGGCAGAAACTTTACATGGCTATGGTGATTTTTTGTTGTTGTTTTGTTTTCAAAATTTACATGAGATGCTTGTCAATTCATTTTGCTTTGTTTCAAATAATGTGCACACTTAAATGTATTCCCCTCTAGTCTCATCTGATTTTCTATCACAAAATTGCTGACTCACTGCAGTTGCAGAGATGCAGAATAACTTAGATGCATGAGAGGGAATGTTTTGGATACCCTTCACTTAGCTTATCCCTCATGCTCATGATCAAAAGCAACTTAGCACCCAAACACTTGTTATCAGCCTTCTCCTCATCTTTCAGACCCCTTTTCTGGCTAAGAAGCCTTTCAAATACATTCCTAACATATGGATGGCTTTGCCCTTACTTGGCCTCATTTTTCCGATGGCTTCACCGTAAAAATATGCAAAATTAGCTGCTACTTCTCTGTAATCTATTTGTGACCTTCAAATTCCTTTTTCTTCCAATACTACTACATAGAGTAACTCATATTTCACTTAAGTAAATTCTCTAAATGAAAAAAAAAGCATACAGAAGTCATACAGTCAAAAATATCACATAAAGAGATCTTGTCTTGAGGGGTTATTGTACATTCTTAAATAAAGTAACATAAAATTATGGAAACAAGCAATGGCATTTGCTTAGACTTCTACTACTCATTAAAAGCTATTAACAGGCCAGACGCAGTGGCTCACATCTGTAATCCCGCACTTTGGGAGGCCAAGGCCGGTGGATCACCTGAGGTCAGGAGTTCAAGACCAGCCTGGCAAACATGGTGAAATCCCATCTCTACTAAAAATACAAAAAAAAAAAAAAAAAAAAAAAAAAGGTGGGCATGGTGGCTGGCAGGCACCTGTAATCCCAGCTACAAGGGAGGCTGAGGCAGGAGAATTGCTTGAACCCGGGAAGCTGAGGTTGCAGTGAGCTGAGGTCATGCCACTGCACTCCAGCCTAGGTGACAGGGCGAGACTCCAACACACACACACAAAGCTATTAACATTATTTTTCAAACAAAAATTAGACTATTAAAGGAACAAAGACCCCCCATGAAAAATCTTAATAATTAAACTCTAAAGATTATTAGATATTTAAAAATGTGACACTATTGAGAGAAAATACTTGATTACCCTTTCAAAGCATCACTCTTTGTTACACTGAGATAAACTCAAATATTAGTGAGTTTGACATCATTTTTTTAAAAACATAAAATGTACTTTATATTTAGAGAAGTTCAATAGACTTCACAAGTCATTCCTCAGTTTCACCTGACTGCTAAGTAAAAACAGATGTAAATAATTTTTCTTTAACATTTGAACCTTTTTAATCTTAGAAGTTTCTGGTTTTTTAAAAATTTGAAATGTCAAGAACTGTGTTCTGCAAGGTAACTACTTTAAAATTCTACTGCTCACACCTAGGCAAAACAGCCCATCAACTGGTTGCTAGAACTCATCAGTAATGCCTCAGTCTTCTAAAAAAAGGAGAAAAATGTCGTAATAGGAAGAGAATTTCTCAGAACTGTTAAGTTTATCTTTAACACACTGTCTATCCTCTGTAGTATGCTTGGAAGTGTATGAAATGCCCAGAAAAAGTGTAAAACAAAGAAACATTTCCTGTTTTGTTTGACATTTGGAGATAGCCTAAACATTCCAGGACTTGTTATGTTCCTTATGCTACACTCTACATGTAACACAACAATTTTTGATTCTGACAAGACATTTACAAGGATACAAAAGAGTGTGATAAGCGTTTCAGCAAGAAAACGAACAAAAACATGATTTAATAAGGTGTAACAGATGCCCCCTATTTGCAAGAAGAGGAAGCAGTTCAGAAATTTAAAATAGCAGTATTGTATTTGACAGGCAAGCAACAAAGGTAGACTATAAAGGGTTGTAGGGTAGCGATTGTTATTTAGATGCAAAGATGATGAAAACAGGAATTTAAAATTCAGTCTCTAAAATGGTATAAACATTTATAGATCAAGTTGGATTCCGATTTGCCTCAAACTTGGGGGCATTAAGAACTGCCAAATGGGTATCATAAAATTTAGTCCACATTGAATGTATCATTCTTAAAGTTGTCTGCCAAAGGACAAAGTGTAAAAAAAGAGGGGAAAATATTAATTAGCTAACATCCTGTTTACATTTTTGTTGTCAGTTTTAGTCATTTGCTTCACTAAATTCTGCTGTTTCATTGGTCTTTATGCTTATCAGCGAATTATTAATATGTTGCAATTACATATCTTGATATTTTAGAGTCTCATATATTCTATCATGAACATGAGTAAGTAACGATTTTCAAATAATAAATTCACAAGTCTTAACTAGATAATAAATACTAACCCGTACAGAATTCATAAAGGTCACATTAACTGATGGATGTTTTAATTAGTCTTCTTTCTTATCTGTGATGAATCCTTTGCTCTAACATAGATTATTTTACACATTAGGATCAGACTATCAACTCAGAAAGACACGAAAGACAGAAGAGAAATAATTAAATACATACAGAAATCTGACAGTAGAGAATTACTGAAAAATTAAGGCAATGTTATAAAACCAAACGTTAGAAAAAAAAGTTTTATAATATAACAGATTTTTTTAAAAGCAATTCTGTTTAACCTTATCAAAAGCTGAACTATTACTAAATCAGTCTCCTGGAAGTAACAAGCTTTTTGAAACTTTCTAAACTAATAACTCCAAACAGATGTCTTCAGACTAAACCTCTTTCTAACCTTTAGACTCATTTTTCATTTGCTTATTAGATATTTCCACCTGAATGACCTATACAGAGGCACCTCAAACTCAAGATGTCAAAAACTAAATTTTTCCAACCTGCTTTTCTATTTAAGTTCCCCATCCTGGTGAAATATAATAAATAATTTACCAATGTCATAGTCAAACTATATCTGAAAAATACATATACAGGCTAGAAATAAAGAAGTGGGTTTTATGAAATATTCATGTTTAACTTTTGGTATTTTTCAGAACTCCCAAAATTTTGTTGACCAACTGCCTTACTAAATAAATGAATGAGTGACTGACTGACTAAATAAATGATGAAATGGAAAAATCCAATACTGTTGATGCATATTCAAGGGGAGAAGAAATTCTTCATTTTTAATACATGGTCTCTTCTATGATTTAGAGAATAAGTTAAACAGTCCAAATCTTATAAGGAGAAGGAGGAGGATAAAAAAGTAAGAGAAGGAAAATGGGAGAAGTAGAAAAAACTATCTGTTTATATTTGGTTTAACATACTACTAATCTTGGTTTCATAGGGATTAAAAATGGGCGAGGCAGACAGGGTGGGTGGAGGCAGAACAGGACCCAGGTGTAAATGAAATCACTGTTCTTTTACCTTTCTCACAGATGCCTTCATCTGTTTTTACTGTTACTCTCCTGCCATTAGCCCTCCCATTTCAGACAACTAATAGCTTCGTGTCACCTTTTCTGTCCTCTCATCCAGGCTTGCCTTCTTCAAGTAAGGCACATATTTCAAAGTAATTCCCTTATCCCTCCTAATCCATAACTTTCAATTTCTTCCACGCCTTAATCTGTCTTATAAAGAAAAAGAATATAATACATTTCAATTAGGCTGTTAGTAATTGAGAGTAATTTAATCATTTCTCCTCCGGGTCGGACTTGGAAGACAAAATAGCCAAATAGCCAACATGTATATGAAATCAACATACAAAATGTATACAAAATCAACATACAAAAATCAGTTGTGCCTCTATACATCAACAACAAACTATCTAAAAAAGAAATTAATAAAACAATCTCATTTTCAATAGCCTAAAAAGAAAATATGGAAATAAATTTAACCAAGGAGGTGAAAGAGCTGTATATTAAAAACTATAAGATATTGATGAAAGAAATTAAAACACAAATTAATGTGATATCCCATGTTAATGAATTGAAAAATTTAATACTGTTAAAATATCCATACTACCCAAAGTAATCTACAGATTCAATGCAATCTCTATCAAAATTCCAATGACATTGTTCACAGAAATAGAAACAAAATCCAAAAATGCATGTAAACCACAAAAGACCCCAAAACAGCTAAAGCAATTACAAGTCAAAAGAACAAAGTTGGAGGCATCACAATACTTGACTTCAAAATATACTACAAAGCTATAGTAATCAAAACAGCATGGCACTGGCATAAAAACCAGACACGCAAACCTATGGAACAGAATTGAGAGCCCAGAAATAAATCTATATGTTTATGGTCAATTGATTTTTGATAAAGATGCCAAGAACACAAAATAGAAAATGAACAGTCTCTTCAGTAAATTGTATTGGGATAATGAGATATGCACAAACAGAAGAATGAAATCAGATCCTTATCTCACATCACATAATACACATACACAGAAATCCACTCATTAATTGGAATTAATAAGAATATTAATTTTTTAAAAGAAAACATACAAATAGCCAACTGGTATATGAAAATGTGCTCAACATCACTAATCATCAGAGAAATGAAGAAAAACAAAGATACAAGAAATAAAACTACCATAAGATGTCACCTCACACCTGTTAGAATGGCTATTATCAAAAAGACAAGAAATAACAAGTATTAGAAAAGATATGGAGGAAGGGGAATCCCTGCATACTGGTGGGATGAATGTAAATTAGTATAGCCATTATGGAAAACAGTATGATGTTTCCTCAAAAAATTAAAAATAGAATAATCGTATGATCCAGTAATCCCACTAACAGATATATATTCAAAGGAAATGAAATCAGTATGTCGAAGCGGTATCTGCACTCCCATGTTCACTGTGCATTATTTACTACAGCCAAGATATGAAATCAGCCTTAGAGTCTATCCACGGATACATGGATATAGAAAATGTGGTGTATGTACACAATGGAATACTATTCAGCCTTTAAAAAGCAGGAAATCCTGTCATTTGTGACAACATGGATAAAACTGGAGGACATGCTAAGTGAAATAAGCCAGACAGAGAAAGACAAATACTGCATGATCTCACTCAGATGTGAAATCTAAGAAAGTTGAACTCATGGCAACAGAGAGTAGAATGGTGGCTGCAGGGGCTAGAGGGCAGGGGAAGTGGGGAGATACTGATCAAAGAGTAAAAACTTTCAGTTATAAGATGAATAAGTTCTGAGGATCTAATATACAGAATGGGTGGCGATGGATGTGTTAATTAATTTGGTTTTGATAATTAATAAGCAATGTATATCATATCCTTATGTTGTACACTTTGAATATATACCATCTTTGTCAATTAAATATTTCAAAATTTAAAATAGTAAGTCCATCCAACCACAATTACCACACGTCTGTGCCTCAGTAAGACCCCTAAGGCCTTGTTGAAGACAAGATATATGAGTAGATTTGCTTCCCTTTATCTATTTCTTTGATTGAAGCAAAAGTTTGTATAATAAGGAAGTCCAGCTTTTCTGATGTGACAAGTGCCATGACATGCTGGGTGGGTGCCACTTCAAGGTCCAGAACAGCAACTCTCTTCCACTGCCACAAATATACTCCATTTACTGTAGTTTTTTCTGTTTCTTTTTTGGCTACATTTTTAAGACTATAAAAGAGATATAAATGAATGAATTGCAAAAATACAAAAGCCAATTTTGGCCAGGTATCGTGGCTCATGCCTATAATCCTAGCATTTTGCGAGGCAGGGGCGAGAGGATTATTTAAGCCCAGGAGTTTGAGACCAGCCTGGGCAATGCAATGGGACCTCATTGCTACCATATATATATATATTTAAAAGGTTTCTGGGCATGGTGGCACGCATCTGTTGTCCCAGCTACCAGGAAGGCTGAGGTGGGAGGATCGCTTGAGCCCAGGAGGTTGAGTCTGCAGTGAGCTATGTCCACACCACTGCACTTCAACCTGGGTGACAGAGCAAGGTCATGTCTCAAAAAACAAAAACAAAAACCAAACCAAACCAAACCAAAACAAAACAAAAAGCCAATTTTGGAGAATGTGGGGAAATACATCCATCTAGAACAACTCTACTGGGTAAAACGGGGACCTAGAAGTATATCCAGCATTGCTAGTTCATCCATTCAAGGGAATTTTTCTCCATGAAAGAGACCTCCTCACTCTAACAAAATGTTAGTAATAAATGTGGTAATGAGTAACAACAATGATAACAATAATGACAACAGCTGCATTTTTGTACCAGCTATCATTCTAGCACTTCACACTTATTAACCCCACAAAACACATTTAACCCTCACAACAAATAGTAGGTACGCGCTTTATAATTGAAAAAGCCTGAGGATTAGAGAGGTTAAAAAAAATATATGGCCAAAGAAACGGATGGAACTGACATTACACACTGGTATTACTCAACTTTGCCCTAGCACTTTCAACATCCCATTTTGTAAAGCTGTCATTTTAAAATAGTATCTGGATAGTGGCTCCTGAAGCAGCTTTTACTAACCTTCTACTGAAATATAAAAATGTGTGTGAAATAGGAAACCACGCCCTGCTGTGAACAGGGAATTCAAAGCAGAAATACAAATAGAAGTAAAAAGTGTGAAAAACTTGTCTTCCTCACAAGTAATTGGGAAATGCAAATTAAAATTATTCTATTTGATTTTAAACCCATTTGATTAAAAAAGTTAAAAAGACTGATACTGTCAATCACTGATTAAAATGCTAAGAAGTGGGCAATTTCATGCTAATGGAAATACACACTGATGAATCCTTTGGGTAGGCAACTTTGAAGGGTCTATGAAAATTTTAAGTGTATACTTAATTGTACCAGCAACTTCACATTTAGGGGGCTTATCTTAAAGCACTATTTAAGCATGATTTGTGTGCATATCTGCACAAAAATATATGCACAAGAATGTTTACCAAAGCACCACTGGTACAGTACCTGTTGAAAAAGTTGAAACAGTTGGAATATCCATTAATAGGAAACAGTATAACATATGGTTCATCCATATGATGTGATATTTAGCTATTTGAAAAATTAAAAAAAAAACACATATATAGACAGGCAAAAAGTTCCAAGGATTTTTTAGAAATAATTCTTAAAAATCTTTATTAGATGAAGGCATGATATGAGTATGCATGCATGTATCTAACTCTTGATGGCAGATTTGGAAAAGATAAATAGAAATGGGAGGAAACAGAGGAGCTTTTACTTTCTGCTTCATATTTGTCTTTATGTGCTAATTTTGTACAACAGTAATTAACTAAAAGTCCCTATTACCAGTCAAAGAAGGGGAAGAAGGAAGGAAGAGAGGAATTAATGAAATGAGTGCAAGGAGACAGACAATCTCAGTTTAGGTCAAAACCAACAAAATGTAATCAAAGTAGAGTCTATTTACAGATGATTTAACTACCAGAATCAAGAGTAGAGATCTCTAAATTGTCTCTAGGGTCTGGCATACTGTAAGCATTTAAAAATTTTTACGGAATAAGGAAGCAAGATAAGTGAAGGTAAAAAGAAAGGGAAGATGGAAAAAGTAAAGTCTACAGAAAAGGGAATTAAAGATTTATCATGTAAAAGAAAAAAACTCACAATGCCAATATCTGTCAAAGTGAAATTTAAGGTTTAAAAAAAAAAAAAAAAAAACGTGAAAAAGGAAAAAAGAAGGCATGAATCCCTGAAGATGGAGAGCATCTTCAGCACAGAACAGCCCCGGCTTGCCCCTCAGCTCTTCCAGCCTTGGGTCCCCCATGGCTCACTAGGCTTCTGTCAACCTGGTCATGTTTTATGCATGCAGCTGCTCCCCACCATAGGGCTGCAGAGATCCTCTTGTTCCTCACCCTGGCCTATTTCCACCTCCCTGCTCTCTCTGGCCTGGCTAACTTCAGCTTAGTCCTCAGGTCTAAGTTTCATTGACTTTTCACACAATGAAGGTGGTTTTAGTTTTTTGTTTTTCTGAATGTCTCCCATGTATTAGCCAAGGTGGTGGACATGGCAGTGTCAGGGAGGAGGTTTTTTTTTTCTGATCATTTTTATTAAATTTTGTTTTGCTTCTCAGTTTACTTAGCTCTATTTCATTTAGTAAGTCACATTTTACCGTTATTTTATAAAAACATACAATATATAAGAAATTCACGTTCTATAACTGGGTGTATTGGGATAAATTTTTTAAAAATTTTAATTGGAAAATTCATGATGTACAACAAGTTTTGATATCTGTATACATTGAGGAAGGGCTAAATCAAGCTAATTAGCATATCCATTACCTCACATACATTTTTTGTGGTGAGAACACTTAAAATCTCCTCTCAGGGATGTTCAAGTATACAATACATTGTTATTAACTATAGTCACTATTTGGTACAACAGCTTTCCTGAACTTTTTCCTCCTATTTTATTTCCTTTGACCAACATCTTCCAGTACCCACCTCCTACCCCTGGTAACCACTGTTCTACTCTCTCCTAGGAAAGTCTTTTCTGAACTAACCACATTGGGTGATGTTCCCCATGTTTTGTGCTCACTGCACACGGTACTTCATGAGTGTCACACTTATCACAACTAGAATTAATGTTGAAAGCAACATTGATAAGAATCACTTCCTTAGCAGAAAGAACTTCTACCATAAACAAACACCCAAGTCTTACTTAGTAGTGAGGCAGGCATAAGACAAGGATAATAAATCCCAATATTAACATTGCAATTTTACATTATTCTGGAATTTCCATAAAATCCAATGATGTAAGAAAAAAATAAGAGCTATCAAGACTGAAAATGAGACATCATTATCATGATCTGGCAGGAAGTTGTTGAAAGGAAATAATCAGAATCATACATAAGATTTGATTATAGGAAAGCTTCATGCGCAGCATTATTCATATTGGAGGGAAATTACAAACAATCCAAATCCCAAAAAGTAGACAAATAGTAAAATGAATTATCATACAATCTGGTGTAATAATATGATGTCATAAAATTCAAGGTTTTTGGATGCATTTAATGACTAAACAGTGTCTGATTATAACTTACATACTATAAAATATTTTCATATTAAATATTTTAAACACCAAAATTCAGAATTGTAGGTGTTTTTTACATTATTACTTAAAATTTTCAATATTTTCCAAACTCTATAAAATACATTTGTATTGCCTTACAATATAGAATAATTTAATTTCACAAAAGTATTTGACAGAATAAAGCCACAAAGAAAAATCTTCTGGAATTGTTAAAATTAAAAAGATTGACAATACCAAAATGAGAGAGGATTTACAGCAAATGGAATTTCCATACATTGATAATGGGAATTTAAAATGGTACAACCACTTTGGAAAATGGTCTTGTGGCTTTTTATAAAATTAAACACACATCTGCCCTGTGGCCAGGAAACTCTACTCCTAGGTATTCACCTAAAAGAAAGAAAAACATTTGAACACAGACTAGCACAAGACTGTTTATAGCAACTTTATTTTTAATAGCCAAAAATGGAAACAACACAAATATCTATCCAACAGGCAAAGAGAGGCACAAATTACATAACATTCATAAAGTAAATACTCCTTGGAAATAGAAAGGAAAAAGTGATGCACACAACAGACAGAGATTAATCTCAAAACTATCTACTAAAGAAGTCAGATACGGCCAGCCGTGGTGGCTCACGCCTGTAATCCCAGCACTTTGGGAGGCCAAGGTGGGCAGATCATGAGGTCAGAAGATCGAGACCATCCTGGCTAACACGGTGAAACCCCGTCTCTACTAAAAAAAAAAATACAAAAAATTAGCCAGGCGTGGTGGCGGGCACCTGTAGTCCCAGCTACTCAGGAGGCTGAGGCAGGAGAATGGCGTGAACCTGGGAGGCAGAGCTTGCAGTGAGCCTAGATCACACCACTGCACTCCAGCCTGGGTGACAGAACGAGACTCCGTCTCAAAAAAAAAAAAAAAAAAAGAAGTCAGACACAAAAGACAACATCCCCTGCATGATGTCATTTATCTGAAGTTCTAGGACAAGCAGAGCTAATCTATGCTGCTAGAAATCTGAACAGCGGTTATCTCTGGTTAGGGGTGGAGAGAGGTGTGGGACTGACTGCCAAGGGGCATATAGGAAACTTCTGAGGCTAATGGAGACTTCCACATCTTCATAGACATGTGGGTTATGTAGGTGTGTGCATTTATTAAACTGACTGCATTGTACACTTCAAAGCATTTCACTCTGTGTAAATTATACTTCCATAAAAAATAAAGGATTTGAAAATCCACATTAAAGTGATTAAAGATAAAAAGTCAATAGATCTTTATTACCTTCACATATATGAAGTCAGTGCCACCAATTTGCAAGACTTATCATGAAAGAGGGATAAACTAGCAAATAATCCCACATTACACAACTTTCTGCTATTTCTACCATTTGTTCCTTCAGTTGCATATTTTATTAGCTCACATTTAAGCCAATGACATTTTCATGCTTCCTATTCATTTACACCTATCTGATCACTTTGCAAAGATGAAAGAAAGCCCTGCAAGGAAAGGAACGAGAAACTAACAGAAACGAGCTCAGCATTCTCCACCCACATGCCATGAAAGACTCAGACAGAGCACCACACATAAGGTGGTAACTAAATGTATAAGCTTTGCAGTCTTTATGACCTGAGTTTCCATATTGGCTCTGCCACTTACTGGTTCTGGGTCTTTGGGAAAATATATTAATATTCATTTAGTTTATTTTAAAAGCTATCAAAAATTCAATTTAAACCTGATTCTTTCAAGAACATGCTATATCCAGTAAAATGTACCATAACTAATAAAATATATATGTGTACTCATTTCTCACTGCACATAAAAATTATTTTTAAAATATTATCTATAAATCTATTGTTAAATTCTGTCCTCCTTAGGTATAAACAATTTTGCCATTCAGTGAATTCTTCAATTCAATTGATATGAGTGAATTATTGCCAATATATTTTAATTGTGTTTAAATTCAAAGTATCATGTTTTATAACCTTTTAACTTGTAAGTCACTTTTTCCTGGCCTCAGATAACGCCTTTATCTGAAAGGGAACCATAAAAAACAAATAAAGCAACAAAATTCCATTTGCTGTATTAAAACTGACAGGAGATCTTGTTGGATTAATCTTCCCTATCTTATCTGCCGATTTAAAATATTACTACAGATACAAAAAAGTTGTCCTACGGCTGATGTAGAAACACTGTTGTATCATTTGCTGTTAAACATTCAGATCAATTCATATCAGAATCTATTCATATTACCTAGTTACTTACAACTGGTTTTGGCAGACACATTTTTATAGTAACCCAACACAATAAGCAAATAGGTTAGAACTTGATTTGAGCATGAAATAATTAAATAGAATGTTTCTGGTTTACTCAATTACAATGACTATAATGGCACTTCTAGCCGTTAACACAAATGGACCATATGCCAGATAAAATACAAGAAGTTCTGAAATGAATACACATGGAAAGCCATGGACAAAGTATACTCTCAAGAGAATAAAATAAAGATAATCATTAAAATAGAATGGATTCGTTAATGTTAAATCAGTACAAAAACCTATCTAACCCATTTTCAAACCCTCCTATTTTTCAATCACTGCTTTTGGAAGGCAAGAACTCTCTCACCATATGCCTGTGGTCTGAAAGCACATATCATGAAGGCTGTTCTCAAAGACTTGCAAAATTTACAAAGATGTTGTGACTTCCTGACTCACAGAGAGCTGTAAATAGAACTGAGTACTTATTTTAAGGCATCTCTGCACTAGTTCTCTGATACCAATAGAATAAATAAATCAATGCAAGTGGACATGAAAGTAATTCCATTACTTTCTCTTTCTGAATCTTAAAATACAAATCCTTCAGGTGATTAAAGTTTCGGATAAAAGACTTAGAACAAGACACCCCTTAGCTGAAATTTTCCCTGGTGATACATGATAGGAGTCTGCCTCTCTTCTTCATATCCTTCCTCTGAGGTACCTCTTCCATTCCCGTAACATCAGTTACCACTCCCTCATAGTAACTCAAATCTATCTCTGGTTCTGATCTCTCTTCTGAGTTCCAGTTCTGACTTCTCCAACTAGAGGTTCTTGAATACCTTAACCTCAGGATGTCCAAAATCAAACTCATCTTTGTCCATTCAAACCTGTTCCTTCTAAATCCTCTCTTTGTTAATGGCTTTGCAATTCATGTGGAAAATCAAATTAGAACTCTGAGAGTCCTCCTAGTCTGTCTGTCTGTGTCTGTCTCCCTCTCTCTCTCTCCCCCTCTCTCCTCTCTCTCTCTCGCCGCCACTACCAATATCATGGCATTTCTACTTCCTATGGTCTTTGGAAATTACCCCCTTTCTTCCACCCCTAGTGTTGCTGCCGTGAATCATGCTTTTCATCATTTCTCCTGGAAACTATTATAACAGATCCCTAATTAATCTTCATATTTCCAGTCTCACACATTCTAGGCTACCTTCCACATTCAACCAGAGAGATTTCTATGAAATACAAATGTAACCATGTCATTTTCTTTGTAAATCTTTATAATGGTCTGCTATACATAAGTCCAAATTTTATAAGCTCAACATTTAAAGCTGTTCATATTCTAGCCCCTACCAATCTTTCCACCTCATCTGAAACATTCCAGAGCCTACATGCTGTGCTCCTTCCAGCCAGTGACTTTCTTTGAATATACTGTACCCCTTTTAATTCCAAGACTTTTGCAGATGCTGCTCTTTCTTATCTAGGAAAGTCTTATGCATCTTTTAAAGCAGTTCAAATATCATATTTTCTAGGAAGACGTTCCTAATTTTTCCATTTAGAATCAAGCGTTACTTCCTCTGTATACCTGTTCCTTTTTTCTCATTTATTACTTTCTTTATGTCTACCATTTTTACTGGTTACTTGAAGCTGCTAGAAAATACCTTATCAAATCATACAGTACATTTCTGTTACATCTAAGAAAGACTTTATATTCCATCTCCATTTCAAGTTTAAATATTAGTTATAGTGTAGGTATAGTTTACCCCCAACTAATTAATACTAAGTCCTCATATAACTACATGAAGTATATTAATGGATTTTAGGCCACCTGTATAGATCAGAGAAGTTGAGTCCCCTCCTTAAGAAGTCTCATGATCTGGAGCTTTTCAGTCATGGATCAGAAGCATACATCACATGACTACTGTTCTCTAAGGAACTGTACATCAAAATTATGATGCTTTAAAACTCAATGATATTATAAATGGGATTCTTAAATTTCCTTCTTGATGGAAACAAAATAGTGAACTTAAGATTAGAAGCAAGTAGTGACATTATTCCCCACTGGTGGGTATTTTTTTACCATTCTCTCATTCAGCATACACACACACACACCCCTCCAAACAAATACACACATCTTCACATATACCACACCCACACACCCCACACATACCCGCACACTCCCACACACTCCTCCACACAAATGCACATACCTCCACACACACCACACACACACTTCCACACACATACCCACACGCATACATGCGCCCACATTTCCCCCACACATACATGCACCTCCACACACACCCACATACACTCACACTCAAACACCACATACACACACATACACTCACACTCACCCACATACACGACACCCCCATACACACCTACCACACACAACTACCGCACGCATACACTTCCACACATACAACCCAACACACACCACACCCACACATACAGTCATGCACATACCCTCACCCCCACTCACATATATACACATGCCCCTCCCCCACAAACACACACTCACACACACCCCCCATTATTCCTGCTCTCTGAAGTATTCAGGTTTTTGAGAAAAACACACGTCACAGACTGCAGTAGAGGAAGCTGCCTACCTGTGGTTTTCAACCACCAGGAGTAATTTTTCCCCCCAGGGGATATCTGGCAATGTTTGGAGACATTTTTGATTGTCACAACTTGCAACTAGTGGGCAGAGGCCAGGGATGCCATTTACAAAGCACAGGAGCCCTCTCCACACCAACGAATCATCTAGTCCAGCAAGCTCACAGCATACATGCTGAGAAGCCCCACGCTACAGGGAACATACCCAAAACTGCAATAGGACATAGAAAATAAATGTGGCCATGACTGACAGCATAGAAGGGGCTTCATTGAGAGCGATGGAGGAGTTGAGGTCTGAAAGATCTGTAGAAGAAACAGGAGCTGACTACATGGGGTGATGGCAGAGGGAGAAAAGTACACCAGCAGGTGTTCAGTCCCTGGGGTGCATGTCTCACCAAAAAAAAGAAGGGCATTGCTAGAGTACCAAAGAAAAGAAGAGGGGCTGGGAGCAGTGTCTCAAAACTGTAATCCCAGAGCTTTGGGAGGACGAAGTGGAATGATCGCTTGAGGTCAGGAGTTTGAGACCAACCTTAGTAATATAGGGAGATGACACCTCTACAAAAAAAAAAAAAATTTTTTTTTTTTTTTTTTTGAAACAGTCTCTCGCTCTGTCGCCCAGGCTGGAGTGCAGTGGTCCGAACTTGGCTCACTGTAACTTCTGCCTCCCAGGTTCAAGATATTCTCCTGCCTCTGCCTCCCAAGTAACTGGGATTACAGGCTGGTGCTACCATGCCTGGCTAATTTTTATATTTTTAATAGAGGTGGGGTTTCACCAAATTGGCCAGGCTGGTCTTGAAATCCTGACCTCAGGTGATCCGTCCGCCTCGGCCTCCCAAAGTGCTGGGATTACAGACATGAGCCACTACAACCAGCCTCACAAAAAAATTTTTTTTAATAGCCAAGCATGGCAGTACCTGCCTATAGTCTCAGCTACTCAGGAGGCTGAAGCATGGGGGATCACTTGAACCCAGGAATTTGAAGCTGCAGTGAACTATGATCACATCACTGAACTTCAGCCTCTGTAACCTAGTAATACCCTGTCTCTTAAAAAAAAAATAGTGGGGTGGGGAGAGAAGTCGGTGTGGAAGTTATAGAAAGGGTCCATGTCAACCATGACCATACTGGAAGTTTTAAGTGTGGTTTAGGATTTTGGTCTGTATCCTATAGCAGTGAAAAGTCATCAAAGGCTTTCGAAGAGAAGGCACTGGTATTAAAATGATAAAATCTGAATTTAGAAAACATGTTTCTGGCTGTGGGGTGAAGAATAAATTGAAGGAGGATGTTGGGTGCAGGAAGGTACTATAACAATCAGTGGAAGAAATGACAGTATCTTGGACTGGAATGGTAGCAGTGGGGATGGAGAAAAGAGAATCGATTCGACGCTGTAAAACTGATGGAACTTTGAAATGGACTTAGCTATGGAGAAAGGAATAGAGCTATGTCAAGGATGAGAAAGATGTGGTTCTTACTGGCTCTCTGATATATGGTGGTGGCATTCCCTGAGACAGGGAAGAGTGAAAGCGGTTTAGGTTTGGTAGGGAAAGATCCGGAAGTTTTAAACATACTGACGTATTAATATACTGGAGTATTAATATACAAGCAGAGATGTCAATTAGGCAGTTGAGACTCCAGGTCTGGAGAGAGAGAAAATGTCTGAGATTGCCCAGACAGAGATAATGGGAGAAGAGAGGGTTCTGGGTTCAACTGAACTGCAGCTGCTCCTGTTATTTATATGTGATTCTCATCTGCTGTCTTTGTTACATCTGTCTTATGTAGTTATATCTTTTAGCTTATTTCCCATATTTATCTCACTGGTGAGCCACTCGTGTTTGCTTTCTGCGATGTTGGTTTATTTGTTGCTGTGTTTAACTGCTCATTTAGTTTCAGGCAAGCATGTCTCAGTTTGCTTATTTGTGTCAATGAAAAAAAATAAAAAAACCTTAAAACTCCTTTCTGTTCTTGTAGCTTTTATCATCTCTCAGTCACTTCACGCTGCTAAACACCCAGAGTAGTTTAATCAAGGGCTTTCCTTCACATTTGATTTCTTTTAGAATCAGCTTTCACAGTTGTGCCCTCTCTACATTCACAGACATTTTAAAATAAAATGTCCTTCTAGCTCCTTCATGGTCTGAGACAAACAGCTCAAGGAATTTAATTTCACTGGGAGAATCCTGAATAGTTTCAAACGCCCTTAAACTCTCCATTCACGTTCCATTGTCTCTGAAATTCACTGCCCTCAAGGAACACATCTTCACTTGGTTTCATTTCTCCCTGACTAAGGAAAGCCAAAAAGAGAGATTAACCATGATATTTTAAAGTTGTAGTGTCTATGTGATTGTGACAAACACAAGATTAACAAAGAAAAGTCTCATTTCTGGTACTCAGTTGAGCAAAAATGATATTAGGTTTCAGGATATAAAAAATAATTTTCAAGGTTATAAGTCAATGATTCCCAATCTTGGAGGTATACCACAAACAGCTATGATGATTTTTTAAAGTTACATTCTTGGAGACCCTATTGCAAGAAACTCTTCTTCTTAAGGTCTGAGAAGGAGTCTGCTCAGCCTAATTTCAAAAGGCTGCACAAGAGATTTTGAAATTGATTGCATAATAGATTTAAATGACAGCCACCCAACCCAAGCACATGAGACTTCATTGGAAAGAGCAGTCACCTGCCAACAGTGAGTGTCTAATAATAGTGACTAAATAGGACAGCCAGAGTCTAGCAGTTGAAGGGTGAAGAACATGGAATGAATTACAAAGCAGAAAGGGCAAACTCCAAAAGACAAGAGCCAGGAAAAGGAAAACTGGTTATCTTGGCATGGCCAGTACACGTTTTGCTAATTGCTAACTGAATTTGGGTATAGAGCTACCTTTAAATAGAAGCAGGTAGCCAGACAGAGCACCAGAACCATGACTTCTGTGATTCTGAGTTAATAAGAAGAGTTAATAGGAAGAGAAAATTCTATGGATAAAGAGAGTCCTGAAGCTCAAAAACAGAAGGTAAATAAACAATAAATATGGATGCTCATAACCCCCATAGTAATTATGTATGAAATTTCTACTGCCATAGGCCCACAAGGGTTATAGCCTTTTTTATGTTTTAAACTTCTCTGCTATTATTATGCACGTTGCTTCCCTATCCTTTTTATTTTTCATAAGGAATACAAGGCCAAATATTTTAGAAATGAGACTATGAGTCCTACCTCTAATCTATTTTAAATTTGGGTCCTAGAGCTAAAAATTGACTGTATTACTGAAATGTCAAAGATGATCCTATCTGAATATTATATTCTGAAAGAGAAAATAACATATACCCCTTAAGAGCCCTCAGCAGTATTATAAAACAGTACTATACTTACATTTAGGAATGCTTTATGGAGAAATAAAATAAACTGGAAAGTTAAATGAATCAGCAGACAAACTTTAAATACATTTTAATTTCTCAAAAATCCTGCACTTATCTAGTACCTTTATAAATAAGAGATTTCACTTTGCGATTAATAATTAGCATTAAAGAGATTATTTAGTCTCAGAGACTTTGCAAAGCAAGATTTTAAAAGTCAGTAAGAACGTTATTTCTGTTGAACTTAAACTTTCTCATGTTAACTCCGCCTTTTTCCAAATGCAACAAGTATCTCCCTGTCAGATGTATTTCTTAGGCACCATTAGAAGGGTGCTATTATGGAAAATTGAAGGGGAAAATGGAAACCAATGTTTTGTTTCTACAAACATTAAGCAGCAATCAATGGGGGTGTTGAGTGGCCTTTTTTCTCTTTTACTGGCTACCCTAAAGGATCCCAGCTCAAGGCATGATCAACAGTGTCTTTTCAAAACAGCCCTATCCACCCCTCAAGGCTAAGTAGAGCTCGGCTCAGTCTGAAGTCAGTGGCCCAGGCCCCTGTACTGAGCCACTATTCATTCCATTCCTTTTCTAAGATCTGTGTATGGTAAGAGAGACGAGAGAGGTAATCTGGAGGAAGAGTTCAGATCTAAAATTAAAGTGAAATCCCAGGGGAAATCTATCACTTCTAAACATTACTAACAATAAAACCTACCAACAGGTTCACCTTTACCTTCAGGAAGCCAGGTTATATAATTACAGGTGTGTGGAGGAGAACATGATTTTTTTATGGACATGAAAGGGGAAGATAAGATGGAGCTCTGATTTCATGAAAGCTCATTTCTAAAAATATTCAACGGAAAGAGAAAACGTGCAGCTCCTCGCTGTGGTTGCCTTCCTGTAGCCTTAGAGACCCGTGATTTTAACTGGGTGAAGAGAGAATGCCAAAGAACAAAAAATTTTGTAGACACAATTGTAGACAATTGTTCTTTGCACTATTAAATGCAATACCAATCAAAATTCCAATAGGATTTTGCACTGAGTTTGACAAGCTTTCCACATGTTTCAAGGTAAAGACTAAAAATATCCAAGGAGTGGAGGGTATAAATTAGCTCTGCATCCTCAAGGATGGCTCCTAACCTCTCGTTTGAGGAACACTGCTACAAAAAATTATAGGAATATTAGGAAAATAATAGGAAGCTTCAAAATGCATAGAGGACATACACTATATAACACCAGCCAATGGATAGAACCAATGGGTAAGGTAGTGAGAGATGGGGGGATAGGGGCAGAAACCAGACCAGACAACTGCTATATTTTCAGAGACAGGAGACTTGATGTGGTTTGGCTCTGTGTCCTCTCCCAAATCTCATCTTGAATTGTATTCCTATAATTCCCACGTATTGTGGGAGGGACCCAGTGGGAGATAATTGAATCATGGGGGCGGCTTCCCCCACACTGTTCTCATGGTAGTGAATACGTCTCATGAGATCTGACAATTTTATAAGGTGTTTCCACTTTCGCTTCTTTCTCATTCCTTCTCTTGTCTGCCACCATGTGAGACGTGGCTTTCACCTTCCACCATGATTGTGAGGCCTCCCCAACCATGTGGAACTGTGAGTCTATTAAATCTCTTTCTTTTGTAAATTGCCTAGTCTCAGGTATGTCTTTATCAGCAGCATGAAAATGGACTAATACAAGACTTTTTCTGTAATGTGCCAGAGAGCAAATATTTCAGGCCTTCCAGGTCATACCTTCTCTGTTTTAACTATTCAATTCTGCCACTGTAGCATGAAATCAGCCAGAGGCAACATGTAGACAAACAAATGTGGCTGTATCCCAATAAAACTGTATTTGTGGACACTGAAATCTGAATTTCATATAATTTTCATAGGTCATAAAATATTTTTCTCATTTGATTTTTTTTCTAAATGGCAGCAAGCCATAGTTTGCTAATCTCTGCTATATTAGGAAATAAGACTCAAGAAATAAACCCCTGACTTCAGTTTTAACTAGGATTGGCCTAGTTATAACAATATCCTGAGTTCCTACGACAGGACTGGCTCAAGATGCCTTGAAACCATATTATTCCCACTAAAGTCATAAAATACGCTCCTTTCATTAAATTTGGAGGAAGTTCATTTAATTATGAGTAAACAGTGGTTTGCAGTATGACCTCAGGAGTATCTTTAGCCATCAATTTTTCCATTTGTAACTGAAGATGCTAATTACTGTTATATCTCTCCCTCCTGGGGATTTCTCTAAAATTAATTAATGGTCACACATATCAATGCTGTAAATGCGCTGAAGAATGGAGAATGAATTCATAAATCCACTTTAAGAACAAACAAATGGACATAAAACAAAGTGCCATTTGCAAAACATTTGCAGTTCATCAGATGATAACCATTCAGTTAACATAACTACCGATGCCAATATTTTCTACCTTTCAGTTTTTTGCCTCTTCTTCCTTTGATTAGAACTTCAGAGAAACCAACCCGATCTGGGCTTTCAGTAATCCTTCTAAGTGCACTTGAACTTCATCCTCCTTTCCCCACAGTGACAATACCAAACTTTCAATAGTCTTCTCAAATCTCTACCTAACTCTAGCCAAGAACACTTAGTAAGTGACGTTATTCCAAATCCCAGCCAGAAAATTCAAGGTAGAATTTTTTAGTTTTGTCTTAACCCCAAGCCATTGGCATCTGCCTCATCAGCATCACTGTTGCTGTAGTCACAGATAAAATTCAGATCTTCTGCTGTCCAAAGTGAATAGCTCCACCTGCACTCAGGACCCTATTCCCGTCTGTTACACATGGTTCCCTGCTGCATTGATTATTCCATGTTTCTCTGTATTTTCAACCTGTTATTCTCTCCTTTTGCTAACAATTTATAAATAAGCTCCCATCATTAAAGATGAAATGTCCTTCAATCCTCGGGCTCCTCTATGGCCATTTGGTCCAACCCTATTTTTGCTTACCTCAGAGACACACTTCTGGAAAGAATGTTGTATATTTACACTCTCTACTTTTCCATCTCCAATCCTTCTTGAGCCCACTGCAATTAAACTTATGTACCTCTGAGAAGACACTGCTCAGAAACTGCTCAGACAAAAGTTCTCAACGACTTCATAATCATCAAATCAATCTAATAGGCTCATTTCCATCTGGAATTTACTGCAAATGGTGTTAGGGCATGATCTAATATTGTATTTTTCCATATGAATAGACAGTTGTTCCTGCACTATTAAATGCAATCTCAATCAAAATCCCAATAGGGACTGGGCCCAGTGGCTCATGCCTGTAATCCCAGCAATTTGGGAGGTCTAGGAGGGTAGAATGCTTGAGCCCAGGAGTTCGAGACCAGCCTGGGCAACATGGTGAAACCCTGTCTCTACAAAAAATACAAAAATGAGCCAGGCTTGGCGATGTGCACCTGTAGTCCTAGCTACTCAGGAGGTTGGGGTGGGAGGATCTCTTGAACCCAGGAGGTGGAGGTTGCAGTGAGCTGAGACTGTACCACTGTACTCCAGCCTGGGCAAGAGAGCAAGACCCTGCCTCAAAAAAGAAAAAATCCCAATAGGATTTCACACTAAGTTTGAGACAAGTTTTCCTAAATGTAATAAAGAAAAGACTAAAAATATCCAAGAGATTTTGAAGATTAATACTATCAGCTACCAACAGTTTGTCCCAGTAAAACAATAATTAAAACAGTGGCAAAGTTACCGTGATAAGCTTATATTAGGCCTCCTCCTTCTTAATTGTTCTGCATCTCCTGCTACTGTCAACAACTCCCTCTGTTTTGAATCCCTCTCTCTCTTTTTGTCTCTGTGAAACTCCTCCTTTAGGGGTAGCTCAGACCTCATCCCTCCATTGCTTTTGCCTCTTTCTTTTCTTCTATCTATTCCAAAGATTGTTTCAAATGTCTTCTTTCCTTACTCTAAACACTTCCCTGAAAGAGCTCAGAATTTTTTGTGTTTTTAACTGTCACTGTCTAGTCAACATGCTATTTTTTTCTGCTCCTTCTCAAATAAGATTCTTGGAAGTTTTGGTACAAGTGCTTTCTCTACTTCCTCAACCATCATATAAATGTGTACTGCTAAGTTTCCCAATAATGTTGCCAAATCCACCGCATCCTTCTCACTCCACATTTTATTCCATCACGCAGTAGTATCCCTGATAGTTGGCTGGATTTTCCTTTTTAAAAATTCTGTAGCATGACAATGATCTGGCTTCCTTCCACCCTCTCTGGCCACTCTTGAATTATTCAAAGGACTTGCATTCTACTTTAATTCAAAATGTTAAAGAGTTCAGCTCTGGGCATTTTCCTTGTTTTCTTCTTTCTATACTTCCTACCTAGATGGTCTCATTCATTCTTGCAGCTTAAATTCTCATGTTTTAATGCTCATGACCCTCATTTATAGCTCTTGCCCCAATTTCTCTACTAAGTTTCCAGCTCAAATATCTACCTGCCCACTTGGCATTTCAACTTGGATTTCTCATAGACAGGTTAACCATTAGGATTGTCAGATAAAATACAAGATGCTCAGGTAAGTTTGAATTTCAGATAAACAACAAATAATGCTTTAGTATACACATGTCTCATGTAACACCGGGCACACACTTATGCTATAACATTATTCATTGTTTATCTGAAAATCAAGTTTAACTAGGGATTCTGTATTTTTATTTGCTGAGTTTTTAAATCTAGTTTCAAGATGGAACTTTTGATTTTTCCTTCCCTCATCCTGGAAACTATCCTCTACTCAGTGTTTTCCATTTTTTTAATTTAGTAAGTAGTCCCACTCTTCACCCAGTTCCCCAAGCTTCAGGAATCAATATGGATTTCTATTTTTTCCCATTCCCCTCACATCAAATTTATTAGCAAGTCCTGCCAATTCTATCTCCAAAAATGTATCTTCCAGTTAGCCACTCTTCTCCATCTGCACTACCACGACTATCTCTTACCCAGACTAATTCAAGAGACTTCTTGTCATTTCCCCCACTTTTACACTTGTCCCTTACTAATCTATTCTCTACAGTGCAGCTAGAAAAGTTGGTTTAATAATCAATCAACAGGACCACCTATAAATGAGATCCCGATAAACAGATCCTCTATTCCCTTGCTTCAAATCCTTGAGTGGCTTCTGACTGCACTTCAAATAAAATAAAACTTGACCATGTCCTGTAGGCCTCTGGATGACTGAGTCCTGACGACCTCTCCAAACTCACCTCTCCACTCTGCCACTGTTGTCCATCTGTGATGGCATCCTTCAGTTTCTAGGACACTTCAAGCTGCTTCACACTTGGGTGCCTTCATAGACATAATTTTCTTTTTCTGGGATACCCGTTTTCTACCCCTATTCTTCCCCCCATCCCCACCTCCTGGTTATCCTTGAGGGCACAGGTTAAATGCCAGGACCTCAGAGAAATCTTCAGAAACAACCTCATTTAAATAGATTCTCCCCAACCCATTATCTCTCCAACCTTATTATCCTTTCTCACTTTGTTACTTTCCTTCATGTCACTTAGCATTATTTATATTAATTTATATACTCACTTGTCTTTACACCCCTACAAGATTATGAACTCTACCCATAGGATCACAGAGGATGCCTGTTTTGTTCATCATTTATAAACAATGCCTGAGAACTTAGTGCACCCTCAAAACACACTGAATGAATGAATGACTTACAAACCTATTTGTGTACTGCCAGACCACATGTCTAACATCCTTAGATAGCTCAACAATTTATCTCAGCTGCCCACAGGATAAAGTGCAAATGCTTAGCCAGGTTTTCCAGGGTTCATATTGAAGTATTTAAATTTCTCAGAATGTATGTGTGCTCTCTAACATCTAATGCATATATATCTTTCTGCCTAGACTGTCCCTCTTATCTTCTATTAGTCTGATGAATGAAATTCCTTTTTCAAGACACTTCCACACATTTAAGCTTCACCACAACCCTAGGAGACTAGGTTTATTATTATCTCCCTTATACAGAGGAGAACACTGACATAAAAGAAGGTTTAAAAGCTATCACATGAGAGGCCAGGAAAAAAGCCCTAGATAGATGGACTTTAACGTCTGTGACCTTAATCACTATTCTCAACACACTGTGCTACATATATTTATATATATTTCCTTATATTCCTTTCTCCATTAGATTGTGAGCTTCTCGTGGGCAAACAAGTATCAACATCATTTTCATAAACCTAGCTAAACATTCCTAAACAAATGATTAATGAAGGCATTAATTTATAACTGTGCAAAGTCCTTTGCTTATGTAACATTTGATGGGATTTAGTGAAAATTCTAGAAATTTGGAAAAACCACCAACGATTTATGTCTCATAATATTTTTCAAATAGCAAGCAATTTGGTATATTTATAAAGCTCTTTTTTAGCATATTTGATAAGTAACTGGCTTTACTACTCAAATAGACATAAGTAAATATAAGTACCTCAAGAGAATGTGGTAATAGAGCTTGGTAATCATTAAGCATTTTATATGTCTTAAGACATATACAAATATGTTATAATCACTTTACTCATTCTTCATAACTCATAATTAGTATTGCTACCACCAGATGGAGTAGCAGGTTATTTAAATGATTTCTTTTTGTTTGTTTGTTTGTTTTTTTGAGACAGAGTCTTGCTGTGTCGCCCAGGCTGGAGTGCAGTGGCGCATCTCGGCTCACTGCAAGCTCCACCTCCAGGGTTCACGCCGCCATTCTCCTGCCTCAGTCTCCTGAGTAACTGGGACTACAGGTGCCCTTCACCATGCACGGCTAATTTTTTTTATTTTTAGTAGAGATGGGGTTTCACCATGTTAGCCAGGACGGTCTCAATCTCCTGACCTCGTGATCCACCCACCTCGGCCTCCCAAAGTGCTGGGATTACAGGCGTGAGCCACCGCGCCTGACCAATTTAAATGATATTCTTAAGGAGAACACAGAGAAAGAGATCCCAGTCAGGTTCAGTGGCTCAGGTCTGTAATAACCAGCATATTAGGAGCCCAAGGCAAGAGGATCACTTGAGGCCAGGAGTTTGAGACCAGACTGGGCAACATGGCAAGAACCCCACCTGTACCAAAAAAAAAAAAAAAAAGAAAGAAAGAAAGAAAGAAAGGAAAATGCCCTTCAGATAAACTAATTTTCTCCCCTGCTTCTCTCCTTATTTACCCTTACCACCACCTTGACATTCATATATGCGCACGCGCACGCGCGCGCGCACACACACACACACACACACACAACACACACACACACACCCCTAACTAAACCATTTCCTTTTTGCTCCTTGAGTTCAGGCATTAAATGATACTGCTAAATTCAAAAGCGTGTAGTAACACCAAAGAGCAGGGCCAAGGAACATATAAAACCATTAAACTGGTGCTATGGAAGAACTTAATTTATTCAGTTTGCTATAGGCATCCAGCAAGAATGAGGCATCTGGCACGTTAAGTTTCAATGAGGCAGAGAAAATAACAAAAAAAGAATTTACGCAGGCCTAGAACTTAGATTACTACAATGGGGCCAGAGTTGACTGGGTCTATTCTTTCAAAGTTTAAGAGCGAATTACATTGTAAACGTGTGAGAGATAGGACAGCACAGTAGTTAACAGGTATGATGGGCTGTAAAGTCAAACAGACCTGAGTATAAATCCCAGCTTCCCCAAGTAACATTAGGCTGGTTTCTTAAATTCTTTAGGCTTTGGGTTTATTCAAATGTAAAATGAGGATAATATCCAACTAAAATGGTGACTGTAAGAATTCTATAGCCCCAAAGTCATTCACTATACGTGATACTGTTTGATGATACTATACATGATACATTATACTGTTTCATTGTGATCACAGTCTGATACATTCTTTATTTCTTTATTATCTATCACTACCAACCCCACACTGGAACAGAAACTCCTTAAGGGTACAGTTCTTGTTTGTCCTGTTCATTATCAGACACTCAGTATGGATAATAATTCCAAGCAATGAGGAGATGTTCAGCAGATGAATGATGAATCAAAAGAATGAATGGAGGAAGGCAAGCAGAGAGTGAGGGAGAAGAATAAGAGAAAGGAAAAAGAAAAAATTGGGAAGTGCTCAAGCCTGGTGCTTAGGACATAATAAAATTTCAATAAATGGTGGAAATGTAATAGGGAATGTGATGGTTAAATACTACATTAAAAACATTTCACCCATCATTTAGTATTTTACAAGTATTTTATAGGTTACATATGTCAATGCATGATGACCTAACCCAATTTTGAACATATAATTTTTCCCAGCTTGCACTACATATAGTGCTATAAGTATATGTACATATATGCAGGTATTTGTAAATCTTTGTGCACATATATGTTTAGTACAGACTTCTAGAATTGAAACGACCATGCACTTTTAATTCTATTACATCTATACCAAACTTCACCCAAACATTCTATCAGTTTATAGTCATCAGCAATAGATGGGAGTAGGTAGTTCCTAACACCTTCACCAACAGAGAGAATTATTATTTTTATGGACGTACATGCCATTGCTTTAATTTGCATTTATTAATACTCGTGGAAATAGAGAATATATTTTTATTAAGTTCTGATTAATACTCTTAGCCCGTTTTTCTATTGAGTGTTTTTCTGCGTGATTCCTAAGAGGTTTGTTTGATTGGTTTTTAGGTTAAGGATGCTAATTCCTTGCTACTATATAAAGATATACTAGTATTTTTCATTTACCTTTTAATTGTTTAAATGTTACATTTAGTTCTAAAACCCACCCTTTGCATTTTTTTTTATTTTATTATTATTATACTTTAAGTTTTAGGGTACATGTGCACAATGTGCAGGTTAGTTACATATGTATACATGTGCCATGCTGGTGTGCTGCACCCATTAACTCGTCATTTAGCATTAGGTATATCTCCTAAAGCTATCCCTCCCCCAACCCCACAACAGTCCCCAGAGTGTGATGTTCCCCTTCCTGTGTCCATGTGTTCTCATCATTCAATTCCCACATATGAGTGAGAATATGCGGTGTTTGGTTTTTTGTTCTTGCGATAGTTTACTGAGAATGATGATTGCCAATTTCATCCATGTTCCTACAAAGGACATGAACTCATCATTTTTTATGGCTGCATAGTATTCCATGGTGTATATGTGCCACATTTTCTTAATCCAGTCTATCATTATTGGACATTTGGGTTGGTTCCAAGTCTTTGCTATTGTGAATAGTGCCACAATAAACATACGTGTGCATGTGTCTTTATAGCAGCATGATTTATAGCCATTTGGGTATATACCCAGTAATGGGATGGCTGGGTCAAATGGTATTTCTAGCTCTAGATCCCTGAGGAATCGCCACACTGACTTCCACAATGGGTGAACTAGTTTACAGTCCCACCAACAGTGTAAAAGTGTTCCTATTTCTCCACATCCTCTCCAGCACCTGCTGTTTCCTGACTTTTTAATGACTGCCATTCTAACTGGTGTGAGATGGTATCTCATTGTGGTTTTGATTTGCATTTCTCTGATGGCCAGTGATGATGAGCATTTTTTCATGTGTTTTTTGGCTGCATAAATGTCTTCTTTTGAGAACTGTCTGTTCATGTCCTTCGCCCAATTTTTGATGGGGTTGTTTTTTTCTTGTAAATTTGTTTGAGTTCATTGTAGATTCTGGATATTAGCCCTTTGTCAGATGAGTAGGTTGCGAAAATTTTCTCCCATTTAGTAGGTTGCCTGTTCACTCTGATGGTAGTTTCTTTTGCTGTGCAGAAGCTCTTTAATTTAATTAGATCCCATTTGTCAATTTTGGCTTTTGTTGCCATTGCTTTTGGTGTTTTAGACGTGAAGTCCTTGCCCATGCCTATGTCCTGAATGGTATTGCCTAGGTTTTCTTCTAGGGTTTTTATGGTTTTAGGTCTAACGGTTAAGTCTTTAATCGATGTTGAATTAATTTTTGTATAAGGTGTAAGGAAGGGATCCAGTTTCAGCTTTCTACATATGGCTAGCCAGTTTTCCCAGCACCATTTATTAAATAGGGAATCCTTTCCCCATTGCTTGTTTTTCTCAGGTTTGTCAAAGATCAGATAGTTGTAGGTATGCGGCATTATTTCTGAGGGCTCTGTTCTGTTCCATTGATCTATATCTCTGTTTTGGTACCAGTACCATGCTGTTTTGGTTACTGTAGCCTTGTAGTATAGTTTGAAGTTAGGTAGCATGATGCCTCCAGCTTTGTTCTTTTGGCTTAGGATTGACTTGGCGATGCAGGCTCTTTTTTGGTTCCATATGAACTTTAAAGTAGTTTTTTCCAATTCTCTCAAGAAAGTCATTGGTAGCTCGATGGGGATGGCATTGAATCTGTAAATTACCTTGGGAAGTATGGCCATTTTCACGATATTGATTCTTCCTACCCATGAGCATGGAATGTTCTTCCATTTGTTTGTATCCTCTTTTATTTCATTGAGCAGTGGTTTGTAGTTCTCCTTGAAGAGGTCCTTCACATCCCTTGTAAGTTGGATTCCTAAGTATTTTATTCTCTTTGAAGCAATTGTGAATGGGAGTTCACTCATGATTTGGCTCTCTGTTTGTCTGTTATTGGTGTATAAGAATGCTTGTGATTTTTGCATGTTGATTTTGTATCCTGAGACTTTGCTGAAGTTGCTTATCAGCTTAAGGAGATTTTGGGCTGAGACAGTGGGGTTTTCTAGATATACAATCATGTCATCTGCAAACAGGGACAATTTGACTTCCTCTTTTCCTAATTGAATACCCTTTATTTCCTTCTCCTGCCTGATTGCCCTGGCCAGAACTTCCAACACTATGTTGAATAGGAGTGGTGAGAGAGGGCATCCCTGTCTTGTGCCAGTTTTCAAAGGGAATGCTTCCAGTTTTTGCCCATTCAGTATGATATTGGCTGTGGGTTTGTCATAGATAGCTCTTATTATTTTGAGATACGTCCCATCAATACCTAATTTATTGAGAGTTTTTAGCATGAACGGTTGTTGAATTTTGTCAAAGGCCTTTTCTTCATCTATTGAGATAGTCATGTGGTTTTTGTCTTTGGTTCTGTTTATATGCTGGATTACATTTATTGATTTGCATATATTGAACCAGCCTTGCATCCCAGGGATGAAGCCCACTTGATCATGGTGGATAAGCTTTTTGATGTGCTGCTGGATTCAGTTTGCCAGTATTTTATTGAGGATTTTTGCATCAATGTTCTTGCATTTCAAAAGCCCAGTGACCAGAGAACGTAGGCATTCCTGATCCCTAACAAAAGAAGTTTTAAGGAAAGGTAATCTACAAATGAGCTAAATAATTTTCACAATAACAAGAAAAAATAAACATTTGAAACTCTGAATTTGAGCTGTGGGACTAAGCTTCATTTGGAACTCATAAAATATTTGCTTTTTGACAAAATACATGGAGGTATGTGTTGTGTGCTTGCATGGAGGCCATATATTTTTCAGATAAAACTTCTTCTAGCATTTTAGTGACATATACCATGCATATTTGTTCGAAGAAAAGTAAAAATTGGTAAGAATTGAAAGTGCTACATTTTATTTGAAATTCACTTATGTTTAAATAATTAGGGAAAGGCACCTGTGACAATACTTTTCAAACTATCTCAAGTTCAAAATTCCTGAGAATTGGCTAGTAGGCTATGCAATGAGATAACTCCCAGTAAATTCAATATATCTTGGACAGATATAGTATTTCATCCTCTGTAGAAACCCTGAATGTTAATATAATTCTTCAGGTGGGCTATCCCTAAACAGAACAGTTCCATTGGCCATGCTGATTTTTCTGCTTATACCCAACTGTAACGCTAAAGATGGCCCTACGCATATTTCACAGGCTCCGAAGAAGATAATTTGGAAATTAATTCAAAAAGCATGATTATACTGCTCTAAACTTCAAGCCTAGCACTTCAGGTTTCTTCATATATACATCTGAATTTACTGCATGAAAATAAACTGTTATGCAAATAAAATCAAGCGTCGCGTTACATAATCAAATATTTCATTGTAAATGACATAAATTTTAATTATTAATTATTACTTGTCTTCTTACCCCCATAAGGACAAAGGTACGGAACTGAAAGCAGTGATACATTCTCCTTTGGTAACTCTTGAAATGGTCCGGAAATCCCTTCAATCTGTCTTCAAATACACATAGGATATTAAAAATTCATCTCACATTAGCTAGTATAATATGATTCCTATTTGTGGATTCCATATTCCCCTGAACTGCTTACGACATTAATCAAGCTTGACTTTGGAGTACATATGCTTTTTAATCTCAAACTCTTGGACCCCTTAGAAGAGTTCTCTGGATCCGATTACACTTATGTCCAAAATATGTTAGCCACTGAAATGACAGTCTCATCAGTGCCAGCTAATCTTTTTATATAATTAACGAAGAGTTTGGATCTACTAGATTCAAAGAGTCAAAGAATATTAATGCTTGAATTTTTAAAGAAGTTACCTAGTCAAATGTGTCATTTTAAAGAAAATGAATATCAGCAGAATTTTAGTCTCTTAACTCTCAAGTGACAAGAAAATAGATATTAAACAAAATGATTTTTAATATAAGCAATAGTAGTACTGTTCAATAGAAAAACAAGTAAATATTTTACAAAAATGAAGTTTCTTTTATAATATTACCTTAACATTGTTTTGCTATATTATCTACAAATCCATTTCTTCATCAAATACATCCTGTCAGTGAAACAAATGTATAAAGCAATCCAACATAATTTATATATTCCAACTCATTCATCTTTTAGTAAGAGGTATGACTATAAAAGAATGATGTTAATTTTGTTATTTTATATATAAAGAGGAAGATTGAGTAATTATTGTACGGACATAGTCAGACAGGTTTAAATTCATTAAAACCATGAATACAAGGTTACCTAATCAGCCCTACACTGGTTATTATATTAAATGGAAACACATATATAAAAGTAAATGTTAACTTAAGAAAAACAGTAATGATGAAATCTGTTGTGGGGTGGAACAAATATGTAAATTCAATCCAAAGTCCGCAAAGCTCATATGTAAGAACTTGATGTGAAAGGAAGAATCCATATCAAGTATAAGATTTTCTGACTGATATAAAATACTAAAGAATGCAAGTACTTCTAGGTGGTATGGTGATGTGAGCAAAGCATGCAAGTGCCAGTCCACTCTCATTCCAAAATTGAAATTATGTAAATTATACAAATTTAAAAAACCTATATTAGCAATAACAACCAGCCATCAGTGGTGTTTCTATATCAGTAAATGGGAAATTTTATAGGTAGATACAATACTGACTGAAAGAAACTATTATGGTCCAACCAGTGACCAGTTCCTGAAAAAAACATATTCTCTGCATTTCCCTCATCACTGAGTAGGCTTAAGGTTAGCAACAGTATAAATAAGCACACACAGCAGAGGTCAAACTTGAAAATGGTGTAGCAAGAGGTAGGAGTAAAAGAGGGTGGCAGGAAGTATATGAGTCTCCCTCCATAATGATTGTTCCTTATCAGAAGCCCAAAGAGTAAGTGCCTCCCATGTCACTAATACAGTGGTTCGACCTTCTCCCAACACCCTTCACACCCACTGCTATATCGTTAATTGATAATCATCTATTTCTCTTTAACCTTCTCTCTGAGCTTTGGAGTTACTCTTGACAGAATTCTGCTTATCCACCATTTGACTATAGATTAATATAGGAAAAGATAAGGACAAAAAGACAAAGTTAGTGCAATTGAAAAAATTCCATAATTTTTGAAGAACTGTTTCTCAAAGAGATGTATAGCAAAAAAATATTAAAACTATCTAATTTGAATTATTGGCAATAATCTAGAGGACTTTGCATCATTGAAACTGTGGTAAGTAAAACTCATACTAGCATACATCATTTTATCGAGCTTCACTTTATTGCACTCCACAGATACTGCATTGTTTATAAATTAAAGGTTTGTGAAAACCTTGCATCAAGCAAATCTCTCACTGACGTTCTTCCAACAGCATGTGCTCACTTCTCGTCTCTGTGTCACATTTTGGTAATTCTCACAACATTTTCATTATTATTATATCTGTTATGGTGATTGGTGATCACACATCTTTCATGTTACTCTTGTAATTGTTCTGGGGCACCATGAACCTCACCCATGTAAGACAGCAGACTTCATAAATCTTGTGTATTCTGACTGCTCCACTGACTGGCAGTTCTCCTGTACCTCTCCCCATCCTTGGGCCCTATTCCCTGAGACATAACAATCTTCAAATTAGGTCAATTAATAACCATACAATGGTCTCTAAGTATTCAAAAAAAGGAAAAGTCACATGTTTCTTACTTCAAATCAAAAGCTAGAAATGATTACACTTAGGGAGGCATATCGAAAGCTGAGATGAGCTAAAAACTAGGCCTCTTGTGCCAAATAGTAAATTAAGTAGTATATGCAAAGGAAAAGTTACTGATGGAAAGTAAAAGTGCTACTCCAGTGAACATACGAATGTTAAGAAAGCAAAATAGCCTTATTGCTAACATGGAGAAAGTTTGAGTGGTCTGGATAGCAGATTAATGCAGCCACAACATTCCTTTAAGGCAAAGCTTAATCCAGAGCAAGACCATAACTCCCTTCAATTCGATGAAGGCTGAGAGAGGTCCATATTTTACATATGATGAAACTCATCTAGAGAGATTCCATGACTTGCTAAACTATGCAACCTTAGCGTCATA
Organism: Homo sapiens; assembly: GCF_000001405.40. Classification (NCBI taxonomy): domain Eukaryota; kingdom Metazoa; phylum Chordata; class Mammalia; order Primates; family Hominidae; genus Homo; species Homo sapiens. The sequence goes on along the minus strand of NC_000010.11, from coordinate 25,426,074 downwards.
CAACTAGAAAATTAAAGAACCAGAATTTTAACTTAGTTTGTTTAACCCCCATACCTTCACAGATAAAGAGAGAAAACATAAAGAACAATTGCACACAGATTAAAAACAGTTGCTCAATATTAAAATAACATGTAGATAGGAAACAGCAGCTTGGAAACTGCTGAAAGCTGAAGGAGTGAAATAGAGCACAATCTTGATCTGCTTCTCAAAGCACAAAGGAAACCATACAAATATAACACAATAAAAATATAGAAAAAGGAAGCTGGATAGCCAACCTATATGCAATAGGAGGTCCTAAGAGAGAAGCCCAGGAGTGCTAAAGCAGAAGAGGCAATATAAGAAATAACCCATAAAATGGGATTGTTTGTTTTGTTCTTGCTGATTTGTTTAAATTCCTTGTAGATTCTGGGTATTAGTCTTTCGTCAGAAGCACAGGTCGTGAAGATTTTCTCCCACTCCATGGGCCGTTTACTCTGCTAATTATTTCTTTTGCTCTACAGGAGCTTTTTTGTTTAAGTACCATATATTTACCTTCATTTTTGTTGCTTTTGCTTTTGGGTTCTTGGTGGGCTAAGGACATGAATAGACAACTCTCAAAAGAAGATATACAAATGGCCGATGAACATATGAAAAAATGTTCAACATCACTAATTATCAGGGAAATGCAAATTAAAACTGCAGTGTGATACCACTTTCACTCCTGCAAGAATGGCCATAATAAAAAAATAATAGACATTGGCATGGATGTGCTGAAAAGAGAACACTTTTACACTATTGGTGGAAATGTAAATTTGTAAAACTACTATGGAAAACAGTGTGGAGAATCCTTCAAGAACTCAGGATACAAAATCAATGTTCAAAAATCACAAGCATTCCTATACACCAATAACAGACAAACAGACAGCCAAATCAAGAGTGAACTCCCATTCACAATTGAAGAGAATAAAATACCTACGAATCTAGCTTACAAGGGATGTGAAGGACCACTTCAAGGAGAACTACAAACCACTGCTCAATGAAATAAAAGAGGAGACAAACAAATGGAAGAACATTCCATGCTCATGGGTAGGAAGAATCAATGTCGTGAAAATGGCCATACTGCCCAAGGTAAATTATAGATTCAATGCCATCCCCATCAAGCTACCAAAGACTTTCTTCACAGAATTGGAAAAAACTACTTTAAATTTCATGTGGAACCAAAAAAGAGCCCGCATTGCCAAGATAATCCTAAGCAAAAAGAACAAAGCTGGAGGCATCATGCTACCTGACATCAAAGTATTCTACAAGGCTACAGTAACCAAAACAGCATGGTACTGGTACCAAAACAGAGATATAGATCAATGGAACAGAACAGAGGCCTCAGAAATAACACCACATATCTACAACCATCTGATCTTTGACAAACCTGACAAAAACAAGAAATGGGGAAAGGATTCCCTATTTAATAAAAGGTGCTGGGAAAACTGGCTAGCCATATGTAGAAAGCTGAAACTGGATCCCTTCCTTACACCTTATACAAAAATTAATTCAAAATGGATTAAAGACTTAAATGTTAGACCTAAAACCATAAAAACCCTAGAAGAAAACCTAGGCAATACCATTCAGGACATAGGCATGGGCAAGGACTTCATGTCTAAAACACCAAAAGCAATGGCAACAAAAGCCAAAATTGACAAATGGGATCTAATTAAACTAAAGAGCTTCTGCACAGCAAAAGAAACTGCCATGCCATCAGAGTGAACAGGCAACCTACAGAATGGGAGAAAAATTTTGCAGTCTACCCATCTGACAAAGGGCTAATATCCTGAATCTACAAAGAACTTAAATTTACAAGAAAAAATCAAACAACCCCATCAAAAAGTGGGCAAAGGATATGAACAGACACTTCTCAAAAGAAGACATTTATGCAGCCAACAGACACATGAAAAAATGCTCATCATCACCGGCCATCAGAGAAATGCAAATCAAAATCACAATGAGATACCATCTCACACCAGTTAGAATGGCAATCATCAAAAAGTCAGGAAACAACAAGTGCTGGAGAGGATGTGGAGAAATAGGAACGCTTTTACACTGTTGGGAGTGTAAATTAGTTCAACCACTGTGGAAGACAGTGTGACAATTCCTCAAGGATCTAGAACTAGAAATACCATTTGACCCAGCAATCCCATTACTGGGTATATACCCAAAGGATTATAAATCATGTTACTATAAAGACACATGCACACGTATGTTTATTGTGGCACTGTTCACAATAGCAAAGACTTGGAACCAACCCAAATTTCCATCAATGATAGACTGGATTAAGAAAATGTGGCACATATACACCATGGAATACTATGCAGCCATAAAAATGGATGAGTTCATGTCCTTTGTAGGGACATGGATGAAGCTGGAAACCATCATTCTTGGCAAACTATCTCAGGACAGAGAACCAAATACTGCATGTTCTTACTCATAGGTGGGAATTGAACAATGAGAACACCTGGACACAGGGCAGCAAACATCACACACTGGGGCCTGTCATAGGTTGGGGCATGGGGGACGGATAGCATTAAGAGAAATACCTAATGTAATGATGAATTAATGGGTGCAGCAATCCAACATGGCACATGTATACAGATGTAACAAACCTGCACATTGTGCACATGTACCCTAGGACTTAAAGTATAAAAAAAAAAAAGAACTAAAAGTAGATTTACCATTTGATCCAGCAATCCCACTATCAGGTATCTACCCAGAAGAAAAGAAGTCATTATACTAAAAAGATATCTGCATATGCATGTTTATAGCAGCACAATTCACAATTGCAAAAATATGGAATCAGCCCAAATGTCCATCAATCAACTAGTGGATAAAGAAAATGTGGTGTGTGTGTGTATATATGTGTGTATATACATATATACACACATATATACATATACATATATATGTATATGTATATACATATATATGTATATATGTGTAGACATATACACACACACACATACATATATATACACACAGACATACCGTGGAATACTACTGAGCCATAAAATGTAAAACAATGGCATTCGCAGCAACCTGGATGGAACTGGAAACTATTATTGTAAGTGAAGTAACTCAGGAATGGAAAACCAAACATTGTATGTTCTCACTCATAACTGGGAGCTGAGCTATGAGGACGCAAAGGCATAAGAATGATACAATGAACTTTGGGGACTTGGGGGAAAGTGTGGGGGGGGTAAGGGAATAAAAGACTGTACATTAGGTACAGTGTACACTGCTCAGGTGATGGGTGCACCAAAATCTCAGAAATCACCACTAAAGAACTTATTCGTGTAACCCAACACCACGTGTTTCCCAAAAACCTACTGAAATAAAAAATAATAACACAAGAAATTCTCCAATCTCAGGAAAAAATTCAAGCTGAAATTGGAGAGTATATGTCACATTTTTTTTTTTTTGCAAATACAATGAAAAGAGAACAATAGATGATAGTAAGAGAAAGTCAAAAAGCATTCAGATGAGGAATTTTGTTATATAAAGCAGCAGTTTCCAACCATTTTGGCACCAGGAACTGGGTTCGTGGAAGATAATTTTTCCATGGACAGAGGTGTGGAGGGTGTGTGTGGGGGTGATGGTTTCAGGAGGAAACTTTTCCACCTCAGATCATCAGGCATTAGATTCTCATAAGGAGTGCACATGTGCAGTTCACAATAGGGTTTGTGCCCCTATGAGAATCTAATACCAAGGCTAATCTGACAGCAGGTGGAGCGTAGGTGGTAATGCTGGCTCACCCATCGCCACTCACTTCCTGCTGTGCAGCCCCAGGGGTTTCGGACCCCTGCTATAAAGGACAAAAAGTGGGCCATGTTCAATTCTAGATGATAAATAAAGTGGTAATAACAGGGCTTTTGGACAAAAAGACAGTAACCCCAAATGCTGCCCAGAGCCACGTTGTTGCCATATAGAAGCAACAGTCGGTGGTGGGTGAATGGTCAGGTGTGACAGGCATCTAAAACTACCATTTACTGAACAAACGACTTGAGGATACAGACAATTCATAATGAGAAAATATTGGCCAAAAGTCAGAACTCAAAAGCAAGAAATTACAGTTAGAAAGGTCCAATAGTGAGCAATTATACAAAATAAACATATAGAAAGTCCCCACAATTTCCTTAAATGTGGTGAGAATCAAAAAACATTAGAGAATTGTTTTGCCTTTGAAATTGGTTGCTCTTATTGAAAATTGATGGCAAGTAACTCTTGATTAAATTTTAATAAACTGGGAAGGGGGAGAAAAGGAAAAAATAAAAGCACCAAATTTTTTATTCATATTCCATTAAAGGGAGCAAAAATAATATTGTTTTAATAATGTGATATTTTATTAGTTCAATAGAATTAAAGTAATGTTATATTTATTAGTTCAATAGAATAAGATTTAAGATTAATTTTGTAGACCTTAGAAAAACAAAAATTGAAGGAAGTATCATCCATTATAAACCTCTAGAAGTAAATAACATCATCCTATATTGGGTACAGCAGCTGGCCACTACTAGAATTAGGTTTAAGAAAAAAAATTTATAAATCAGTAAGGAACTTCTACAGTACCTCTATAGGTGGACTAAAGGTACAAGAAATGCTACAGGTCTTGGCTTCTAACCATTAGACCAGCTTTTATGTATTATGTATTTTCACATATTATACCATACTTCCCTCCCATAAATCACAGGAAATAGAAAGCACGAAGGAGGAACATCAATTGCTAAGTACAAAAGAAAAATCATAGACTTGATATTCATTGGGACTATGGAAGATAATATGTGAGATAATCCATTTAACTAAAGGACAATACAAATCATAAAACCTATTTATAAAAAGTGATATATCGTAATACTTAGGAATAAATTTAACCAAGGAGGCAAAAGGCTCATATACTGAAAACTAAAAACATTACTAAGCAAAATGAAAGACACATATAAGTAGAAAGATATTTTGTGTTTATTGATTAGAACACTTAATACTGTTAAGATGTCAATACTACCCAAAGCAATCTACAGATTAAATGCAAACTTGATCAAAATCCCAGCAATAGTTTTGTAGAAACAGAAAAACACATCCTAAAATCTACATAAAATTTCAAGGCAGCTCAAATAGCCAAAACAATTTTAAAAAGAATAAAGTTGGAGGCCTCACTCTTTCTGATTTCAAAATTTACTACAAAGATATAGTAATCAAAACAATGTAGTACTGGCATAAAGAGGGGCACACAGACCAACGGAATAGAGTAAAAAGCCCAGAAATACACCTTAACATATATGATAAAATGATCTTTGGCAAGGCTGACAGGACAACTCTACAGGGAAAGGACTATGTCTTCAACAAATGGTGTTGGGAAAACTGGAAATTCATATGCAAAAAAGAATGAAGTTGGATTCTGATCTTATACTATACATAAAAATTAACTCAAAATGGATTAAAGACCTAATGTGAATCCTAAAACTATAAAACTCCCAGAAGAAAACATAGAGGAAAAGCATTATGACTTCAGATTGGGCTATCATTTCTTGCATATGACACCAAAAGCACAAGTGACAAAAGAAAAAATAGATACACTTCATCAAAATTAAAGACACTGGGGGCCAAGTAAGGTGGCTCATGCTGGTAATCCCAGCATTTTGGGAGGCTGGGGCAGGAGGATTGCTTGAGGACAGGAGTTCGAGGCCAGTCTCGGCAACATAGCAAGACTCCATCTCTACAAAAAAATGTTTCAAAAATAGCTGGAGTTGGTGGCATGCAGCTGTAGTCCTAGCTCCTCAGAAAGCTGAGGTGGGAGGGTTGCTTGAGCCCCGGAGTTTGAGGCTGCAGTGAGCTATGATCATACCACTGCATTATAGCCTGAGTAACTGAGCAAAACCTAGTCTCAAGTAAATAAATAAATAACTTTGGGGCTTCAAAAGACCCTATTAAGAAAGTAAAAAGAAAAATCACAGAATGGGAGAAAATATTTGCAAACCATATATCTAGTAAGAGATTAATATACAGCATATATAAGGAACTCCTACAACTCAACAATGAAAAACCAAATAACCTGATTAAGAAATGGGCAAAGGCAGAACATAGAGGATTTTTAGAGTAGTAAAACTAGTCTGCATGATAATATAATCATGGATAAATGCATTATACATTTGTCCAAAGTCACAGAATGTACAACATCAAGAGTGAACCATAACATAGACTTGTGAAAATAAAATGGGCAAAAGACTTGAATAGACATTACTTCAAAGAAGATATATAAATGGCTCATGGCACATGAAAAGATGTTCAACTGTCACTAATCATTAGGAAAATGGAAGTCAAACCCACAATGAGATACCACTTCACACTCATTAAGATGGCTAATACTAAAACAACAACAACAACAACAACAAAACAACAGAAAATGACAAATGTAGGTTAGGGTATGGAGGAACTGTAAACCTTCCAAACTGGTGGAAAATGGTGGGGCCTCTGTGAAAAACGGTTTGGTGGTTCCTCAAATCACTAAACATAGAATTATATGATCCAGCAATTCCATTACTAGGTATATAGCAAAAGAATTTAAAACAAATATTCATATAGACACTTGTACATGAATGTTCACAGCAGCATCATTCACAATAGCCAAAAAGTAGAAACAACTCAAATGGCCATCAACAGATGAACGGAAAAACAAAATGTGGTATATAGATATGATAAAATGTTATTCATCATCAAGAAGAAATCAGGTTATAATATATGGTACCATATCAATGAATCTTGAAAACATTATGCTAAATAAAATAAGTCAGATACAAATGAATAAATATTATACGATTCCACTTATAGAAGGCATAAACATAGGCAAATTTGTAGCAACAGAAAGTAGAAGAGAGGTTACCAAGGGATAGAAAAATGGGATGTTATTGTATAATGGGTAGAGAGTTTGGTTTGTGATGATAAAAAAAAGTTCTGAAAATGAACAATAAAAATTTTACTAAAATAAAAATATGACATACCTAACTTTATTTTACCAAAATAGTCATTAGAACATCATAATTAACATATTAGAATTTCACTTAAAAAATCACTTCACATACTATATTAAAACATCTCATTTTTCAAACAAAAAATTAGCATTGTTATTAAATCTCTTGTCAACTTCTAATTTTTTTAAAAGAAAGATTATAGCAATAGAGGAGAAAATACCAACTACAGTGTGTCCATGTTTTTTAAAAATCAGTCTTTTCTTCTAAATTACTAAACTCAAAACATGCTAAAATTTACTAAAAATAAGTCAAACAAAAGATTATTTTCAGAAATGGTATATGCTGCTGTTCCTTCCAGTGTACCTTGTTTCTCTGAAATTTCCATCTGAAAATAAATTATACTAACACTTGACATTATTAAGCTGTAAGGAACCATACTCTCTCTTTGAGATCACGAATAGAAAAATGTTACTTGTCATAATATTTAGTAAAAAATGTAGAATAAATTAAAAAATATTTAATATTCAGGCTCTTTAAAATACTGTTTTAAAATTCTTGTTGTTTTAGAAGAACACACTGGGCTCAAAATTATTCACAGTTTACTGACAGATTTCATCTTTAACCAAAGGCATAGGGACAAATGTGTGTAATTAGTTTCCTAAATGTTTCTGCAGAGTGAATTTTAATTTGCTCTTGGAGGTGTCATCCAACAACTCCCACCCTGGAGTATAATGGAATCTCATTTGTGTCATTTAAAATGATAAAATGTTAAACCAATATTTCATCAATGATGGCTAGTAGTTAATTACTATTGAGTTGATATTTTGGGCCTGGACAAATCTCTTTCAATTAAATGTACTAAAAATTAGACTTTCCTGGAAGAACCATGCAACTGAAAGACATACGTATCTATACTATGTTATGTCTCTTCAACATGATCACCTAATATTTCATTTGAGAACAGAGAACTCTCTATTACCCCTACACATATTTGCTTCCTGCCCAAAAGGACTGGTTCAGCTGCTAGGTTTGACATTGTTATTGGTTTTCCTATCTTGGATTTGTCAATTCACAGAGCTACTCTAATATAAATAAAAGGGGCCTCAGTTCCAAAATGGTCCATTTCTAGCAGGCCCTCAATGACATACGGTGCACATATGAAAGTCAACTAAGATTTTATGAATTCTGGTGAAACTGGATTAAAGAACATGGTTCACATGTCAGCAAAAGAGGAAGCAGAGAAAAAGTCTCAGATTCTAGCTTAGGTGCCATCCCTAACCAGGTGTTTCCTGGCCCTCCCTCAGGGTGTCTTCTGGCATCTGAGAGCATGTACTTCTCTTCAGGAGTGTCTAGGTAGATGCCTCAGCCATCATTAGCACATGGCATTCTATCCCCAGGTTCACCTACTATAATAGCACATAGCTTCACAATCAACTGTCTTCTTGTTCTTGATAGGTAATAGAACCTCGAATTTGGTTTCACTCAGTGAATACCTTTTGAAAACTCAGTAAAGACCAGCAGTATTTATAAAAGTTTATATGAAGGATTTGCAGCCCTCCTATTTTTCAAGATCCAGGAGAAAAAATAGATTTCATGCATAGAACCTGCTTAGAGTCCTAAGAATGGTTCTGAGGATGATTCTGAATGAAATGGGAAAGAGAACCATGTGTGTCTACCACAGTCATGTAGCAGTAACATGTGGGCTGCACACTGGCCAACCGTGATCTAGACACTCTAAAAGTACCTGCATTAACATCAGCCAAGAACAGTGTATCAGGACCAAATTATGACACCCCCACAGAATTGATTTGCCTGTGCTGTATTTAAGTATTCAAACATCAGCACACATTTGGGGAAATTAACAGAAATAGAGCCATGAAAATAATTATTGTATTCCATGTAAGAATGCTCATCATTCACTACATTTTACACTATTGTCTACATAAAGATCCACAGGAGAAATTTCTTCCAAGACTTGGTGCCAGGAATATTTGAATTTCATCTCACTGACTGGTTGGTTTTTATCTTATGGCTACTATGACTTATTTTTTTTTTCCTCCCATTTGCACTGCTACTAGAAAACTCCAGGAAAGCCCTTCCTGCTGGCACTGGGTGAGAACAGTATCCCTGCCCTCATGGAATCCATTTGATATCTTAACCTCACCCTTGATTTCAACTAATTTTTCTATACTTATTTTCACTTAGCCTTAATTTATTAACTTACAGTTTTAATCTTCTAGAAGTGTTTTTATTTCATATGCTGGAATAAGGCTAAATATACATGCATAAACTTTTCAACCTGGCTGTGTTACCTTTGGAAACTTAATCTCTCAGGGGCTGGATTTTCTTATCGATAAAATGAGAGGTTTCTCCATTCTAGTTCTGAACTGTTTTTCAACTTGCTAAATTAAAACCAGGAAAGTATTATAGTAACAAACTTATTCCTATATTACAACTTTTTATTTTGTTACTTTTTTTTCTAACTATTATAACAACACAAGAAGGAGTATGTGTCCTAATTCTCAACATCCCTAATGACTTCATGATCAATACCCAGGAGAGGTTTCCATAACTTTCTCATTTTGAGGATGGGGATGGAAGCTTAAACTTCCTAGAAAAGCCAGTAATATCAATAAGTAGGTAAATAAACTGAGTTTTGTTTGCACACTAAGTAATCACTCCTGAAAAGGACAAAAAGCCACATATAAATAAATGCACAGTAAATGGTTTTTGAAGATTATCAGCACAGAAATATCTGCGATTGCATGTGTACCTATGAATGAATACTTAATGGAGCTTGGGTACCTACTTCAAAGAGGCACAGCTATGTTTCCCAACCTCTCATTCTTTCAAACTACTTTAAATGTCATACTTGGCCCCCAATGTGGGAAGCATACATGAATTGTGAATTTTATAAAGCGGTCCAAAATTATGTTACAAAAGACAAACACCTAGTGAAGACTAAGTGTAAGGTATTTTACATGGATTATTTCATTAACTCTTTTAAATAATCCCAGAAGGTAAGTATTAATAATATGTAAACTCCTTTAAAAATTTGTAATAGATTTATTGAGATATAATACACATACTTTAATATTCACCTTTTTAAAGTATATAATCCAGTAGTTTTTAGCATATTGTCAGAGTAGTGCAACTATTACCATAATCTAATTTTGTAACATTTTTGTCTTTCCAAAAAGAAACCCTGAACTCATTAGTGGTAACTCCCCATTCTTCCTTCCTGGTAGTACCTGGTAACCACTAATCTACTTGTCTGTATGAATTTGCCTATTCTGAGCATTTCATTTAAATGAAATGATACAATATGTGGTCTTTTGTAACTGTTTTACTTAGCAGTTTTCAAGGTCCATCCATGTCCTATGAACATTTGTATGCATATTTCTTTGTAGACATATGTTTTCAGTTCTTCTGGATATATACTGGGAGTGGAATTGCTGGATCATATCATACTTCAATTTTTAACTTTTTGAGGGACTGCCAAACTGTTTTCCAAAAGGGCTGTACCATTTACATTTCCAACAGGAATGAATGAGAGTGTCCAATTCTCCACATCCGCAACACTTGCTACCATCTTTTCTATTTTTAGCTATGGTAGTGGGTACTGTCGGTTTGAGTTGCGTTTTCCTAATGACTATGTGTTGGTAATCTTTTCATAAACATTTTGGCTTATATATATATATTTTCTTTGGAGAAATGTCTATTTAGATCCTTGGCTCACTTTTTAAATTGGTTTTACTTATCTTTTTATTGATTAGTTATGTGTCCTTTATATATTCTGGATACTATTCCTTATCACAGGTTGGATTTACAAATATCTTCTGCCATTCTGTGTGTTTTCTTTTTACTTTCTTGATGCTGTCTTTGATACAAAAAAGTTTTCATGAAGTCCAATTTATCTACTTTTGTCATGTATGCTTCTGTTGTCATATCTAAGAACCCACTGCTTAACTGAAGGTCATGAAGATTTATGTCAATGTTTTCTCCTAATAAAAGTTTCTTGGGTTTTTACTCTCTCATTTCGATCTATGATCCATTTTAATTTAATTTTTGTATATGGTGTGTGAATGCCATTTTACAGAGGAGAAAGCTAGACAATAAAAGGCTAAGCAATTCTCACAAAGTCTCACAGTATGCAAGGAGCTGAGACAGTATTCAAATCTAAACAATCTGGCTCATGAGTCTGCACACTTACCCACAACTGTAATGCTACCTCTGTATTACAATTGGATTTTTTGGTCAAAATACATGTAAATTGATAAATTATGTGAGCTTTGTTCTCTTAATTATCAATAAGTAGAGAATGTAATAGGAAACTCCGAAAGAAATGTCAATATTGCTACAAAAGAGATCATCAAGTTTCTTCTTTATCCAAAGAAATGTTGCAAAGACACAGGAAATCTTTAAAAAGCAAATCTAAATTCTACATTCTATAAATCTCTAATCTCTACACTGGAATGTTCTATCATTTTTACAGTTGCTTTTAGCAATTGAAATCACAGCAGAAAATTGCACTGAACATTTCTTTTCATTAGCATACAAGGTCTATGTTCATTCACTTTATTAGCTTATATCCCCCTTATATTATGTCACATTCTGTAAAAACTGATTCTTCGAAAGGTGACCATCTTAAAACTAGATAATGTTTAATTTAGCAATTACTACTATTAATAGTTTTTAATCTATAGAAATTTCACTAAAGTGACATGTAAAGCTATGTATTCTCATTATAGTCCTGTACAGTAGGATTCTGGTCATTAAAATGACATTTCACATGAAGGTCCAGGGAAATTAGCAAGGTTTAATAACCGGCAATGCTAAGTAACATTAACATTAAGACACTGGTCTTGTCAGAACTATCTCAGGTTTCTAAATATCCAATGTAATATTTTACCTACCATGTATTACCAACTCATTTAGCAGAGCAATCATTAATTATCAAAATCAATTAAAATTCATAGGGAACTGTGTGTTATCTACCATATAAATTAATTACATTATATCAGAGAGATTTCAGAGAAGTTTGTTAGACAGACCTTTCAATTCTACCTGCTATGCCACTGACAGGCTTTTTACAAAACCTATAATTTTATCTAGGTAACAGTGGTTATATATTTCTCAACTCTACTTGGCTACTATTTTTATTATATAACACACAGTTTGTTGCAAAAGAAAGATAAGTATTGGTTAAATGAGGAGCTATCTGCCTGTCTGCACTTACTTGCTGACTTAAAGCTTGATTTTAATTTGTGCTGGATTCTTCTGCTAATGAAACTGTCCATTTTAAATGACTATCAAAGTCTATAACATTAACATAATGAATACAATCTCCTAGAATCTCAACAGAGGCTTTATAATAATAAAACTGTTTACCTTGAGGCTTCATAATAGATGCCATTCACAGAGGGTATTTTTTTTAATTTCTAATGGGAACACTTTATACCTTCAATGAGCTCTGTAATCTAAACCAATCTGTACAACTCTGCCAGTATAAAGAGATCATTTGAATTTGGAAAAGGTTGGAAACTTTAGGTTTTGTTTTCTTTCCAAATGGCACAGATAAATTTCTGCAAGCATCAGAATCACAAATTCGAATACAACACTGGCTACATATAACTAATTGGGTGGCCAACTGGAGAAAGCTCCCCCAAAAGCTTTGTCCTGCATATTTTAACACTTCATCTACCCCTGACTGAAAGGCATACAAATGCTTCTACGCACCTCTTTTTATTGAGACAGGGCAGGGTCTCACTCTGTCAGCCAGGCAGAAATACAGTGGTGTGATCATAGCTCACTGTAGTCTTGAACTCTAGACTCAAGAGATACTCCTTTCTCAGCCTCCTAAATAGTTGGGACTATAGGCATGCACCACCACATTGGCTAGCTTTTTAAAAATTTGTGTTTTTTTTTGTAGAGACAGGGTCTTGCTATGTTGGTCAGGCTGGTCTCAAACTCCTGGCCTCAAGCAATTCTCCAGCCTTGGCCTCCCAATGTGCTGAGATTACAGGCATGAGCCACTGCTCCTGGATTGTACTACTCTTGATTACTTAGACTAGAACCAAAGGACATGTTCTCTCCAAAACTGTGTAAGTTCTTCCCGGGATTGTTATTATTCTGGGACACTAATGTAAGACAAAATATAAGGTCATAAATAAATTCATTCTTCAAAGTATAATGCGCTAAAAATAGTTGAGTCATTTACCATATTTAAACACAACTAAGAAAAGAAAAATATAATAAACATAACAAAGCTTCTTGGATACAAAAAAATTAATAATACATTGGATGCTGGTAGAATAAGTTTCTCTAGAGGCCAAAGACATGATGTAAAGGAGAGTCATTTAAGTCAATGAAGCACTGGAGATCCAGGCTAAACAAGGGGAAACAGTCTGTAAATGTTAAAATAAAGTATCATGTTTTAATCTCTATTTTTCTGGTCAGCTAAAGAATATAACTTTCATGTTCTAGTCCAATCATATTGTAGAAAGACTGCTGCTTAGGAGGGAAGCAACTTGAATTGGAAAATTCTGTTTGCTTAAAAAGATAAGAGGTTGCTCTGTAATACAGGATCATAACCAGGGTTCCTGGGTTTACCTTTGCTTTGCGAAAGTGGTAGACCACCAGCATGCTAACGAAGTCGAGCAGCATACACAGGGCTTGGAAGGAGATGATGGCAAGTCGTAAATACTTATCTTCCTGGACGAAGCATGGGCTGTCATCAGCACAGAAGGGGCAGCCCTCCCTGCAAGGTAGGCAGACATAGGCTTCTTCTGACACATCTTTTGTACTTCCTGAAATATGCTGATCCGGACCCCTTCCTGAAAGTTCCAAATAAAACCACAGTGTCATTTGCACCTCTTAGGTAGGTAAGATTGAGTATAGAGTCAAAAGACATCCGTGACTCCTCATTCCTTTTCTCACTTATTAAAGACCTTTTGTCAACCCTCTTGCTAGGGGAAGGAGTTACTTTTCCTTTAGACTCTTAACAAAATTCTTTTTATCTTTTTGATTTTAAAAATCATCATTGAAAGTGGTTGAGGAAAATTAGCAAAAATGGAAATAAAGCTTCATGAGGGCAGGGAACAGTTTTCTAAGTCTTTTTTTTTTTTTTTTTTTTTTTTTTTTTTTTTTTTTGTGATAGAGTCTCGCTCTGTCGCCCAGGCTGGAGTGCAGTGGCGCGATCTCTGCTCACTGCAAGCTCCGCCTCCTGGGTTCACACCATTCTCCTGCCTCAGCCTCCCGAGTAGCTGGACTACAGGTGCCCACCACCACGCCCGGCTAATTTTTTGTATTTTTAGTAGAGATGGGGTTTCACTGTGTTAGCCAGAATGGTCTCGATCTCCGGACCTTGTGATCCGCCCATCTCTGCCTCCCAAAGTGCTGGGATTATAGGTGTGAGCCACCGCACCTGGCCTTCTAAGTCTTTTATATCATTATCTACCACTCACCAACTGAAAAGCAAAAATCACATTCCACAAATATTTGTTAGAGAATTAACCAGAAGTAGGAATAAGAAAGTTGATGCTTTTATGTGCCGAGTAAATACATGCATACCTTTGGGAACTTCTTGACCTAGATAGCCCAGAATCCAAAATGAGACTTTGACTGCTCCTTAATTCATTCATCAGGGATCTCATCTACCAAGTTCATTAGGTCTAAATTAGGTAAAATGGTATTTAATTGACAGTTGTTCAGTGTGCAATTGCCTAATGATGGTGCATCCTTTGCCCAGAGTACAGTCTATACTTACAAGCTATCATGTAATTTCCCACTTTGCAAGCTCTTAGGACATTTTCACACTATTCACTTACTGCTATCGATCCTCCTTTTAATTTTAGGTTCTTCTGTCTCAGTTATCAAACTTAAGTTACTTCTGAAGCCCTACAGGTAAAGATTATCTTTAATAGTTAAGATGAGTTTAGCACCAACATCTATCCAATTAATGCCAAATACTAAGGAAAAAAAAAACAAAACAGAAACAACTATTTCCAACTCTGAATTCAACATAAAAGACATTAATGAATATGAACTCACTTCAGTATATAACACAACTTTGATTAACTGAGGAATTTGGGAAAGAGGTTCTTCTAGGTAACAGCATTTTAATAATACTCAGTTTAACAGAAAGTCTTAGTTTCTTTCAACTCTTATTAAGAATTCACAATCTTTCTATAATGTATTTGTCTGCTTTGTTTCCTCAGTAAAGACAATAGCAAAAGCATAATTGAATATTTCTCTGATAATTGTGGATATAATGCTGTTTAAGAGTCATCATTCTGTTACATGATGAAAAGCAAATGGATTTTATTGTCAAGCAGACATGGTTCCCTACTCCAGATAACTCTGTGACATGAGACAACTCACTAGAACACTTGGGGTCTTAGTTTACTTATTTATGAAACATGAATTGCTGTGGGACTAAATGAGGTTATTTATTTATTTATTTATTTTTGTGATGGAGTCTCACTGTGTCACCCAAGCTGGAGTGCAGTGGCATCATCTCGGCTCACTGCAATCTCTGCCTCCTAGGTTCAAGTGATTCTCCTGCCTCGGCTTCCTGAGTAGCTGGGACTACAGACACGCGCCACCACGCCTGGCTAATTTTTGTGTTTTTAGTAGAGACAGGGTTTCACCATGTTGGTCAGGCTGGTCTCGAACTTATCACCTTGTTATCCACCTGCCTCAGCCTCCCAAAGTGCTGGGATTACAGGTGTGAGCCACCGCACCTGGTTGAGATTGTTAATATTTATAGAAATCATAGTGACTGGCTCTTTCTCCTCTTCTCCAAATATAGGAGATGCAAGGATTAATTAGGAATCCATGGTGCCTTAAAGATATTCCTCCAAAACAGAGAAGTTAGAAGACAGAACTGAGATATAGAGTGGGTGTTACAGAGAGAACCTGCAGAGATCTCTCGGAGTGGATAATTACTGGGAAATGTACAGAGGGAGATGCTATACAGGGAGGAGTATTTACAGTGTCATAAAAGAAATGCAATTTACTAAAAAATGCTATAATGTGATCAATATGATGACTGAGAAAAGGCTACAAGATTTAATAATTATTTTATCCTTCACTGACCTATAAGGTAATAATTTCCAAAGAGTAGGAGTTTTAGTCCCTAAGTTGTCAAGGCTTAAGTACTAAATAAGTAATAAGATAGAATAGTATTTAAATAAATGCTCTATTGAATGAAAAAAGCAAGAAAAACTCATGGTTGATAGGAATAATTATGATATTTTTAAAAAGCGATTTTGTTTTTTGTTTTCTTTGAAACAGGTGAGATCATAACACAATTGCATCCAGGAAAAATGAGCCATTGGAAATTGAGGAATTATATGAGAAAACTGGTAAAGAAAGTATTTGAGAAGTCATGATTGGATGTAATCAAGAGCATAGTTGGAGAAATTAACTCTAAGAATATTTGATATCTCTTTTTCTAACACTGGAAAAAAGTAGAGGTAAATCAAAGATTTTTTAAAAGGTGTTTTGTTTTTTAGCAGAAAGAAGGAATCAGTTGAAAAGAAAAATACATTTTGAAGTAGAAAAAATGTGGCAGCCAATCTTGTAGTCTTATCCTTCTCAACAAAGCAGATAAGAATACATATTGAGAGTGAAGAAGGCCTTTTTTGAGACTAAAGACCTGAAGGTTGAGGCAGAAATATAATACAAGATGATTTGTCAGATCACTTGGCAGAAAAATAATCCAGTTAGAGTACGACAGTATGCATTACTAAGAAACATAGTCAAGATAGTTTGTGATTTTGTACAATTATTGGTAGCATACAAACAAATGCAGAGGATAGAACAGTCACAGACAGAGAATAAAGAAAGGATTGTGCTAATGACAGTTTTAGGCTTCTTTTCATGTGATTACAAAATGTGCTCCCAGACAGCAAGTGTGAGAGGAGGGGTAAAAAGGCGAAAGAGGAAAGCCAACACAAGGCTGTATAATGGAGCTGCAGCCTTCACTCCCTGGCAGCAGTTTGTGCTCTATCCTCCAGGGACTTCTTGAATCTGAGTCAATCATGGAGATAAAGGGGAAAACGTGTCTCCATTGTCAACCTTACTCATTAATAAAGGGTTTCCAGAATCATCAACCGCCTCCACGTGCCTGCATTATGCACACTTGAGTCCAAAGCAGGTTCTCACATCTTGTGCCATGAACACAGAGGTACCTCATAGCAGAACAGGAAGTGCGAAGCATGATATGAAGAAAGGCACACCTCAACGGCACTTAAACAAAGCCATTCAAAACCTTCAGGACATGGTGATCGCAATGGGTAGAGAAAGAGATAAGGCCAAGAGCAATTTGAGATGATGAAAAAAAGGTATCCATTGCAGAGGAAAACTTGAAGAATCATAGGGCACACAAGTCAAAAACTAAGAAGTATGAGAAGCTAGGATACTGAGAAAACAATGAGTTCACTCGAGTATGAACTGGATAATTACATAAGTGAAGTCAGAGTCATTTCACTGAGTAAGATAAAGGTGTCAAGGATTCAGAAGGTCTGAGGATGGTGACTACAGTGTCAAAAGTCATAGAGCACTGTAGAATAGGAGACGATAAAGTATGGGCTGTAAGATTCAGATTTGAGACACAGAGGTTAGGATTTCCCCCTTCTGGACAAGATGGAAGAACAGGGATTAAATTTACCTTCCCATCAGAAACAACCAAAAACAATGGACAAATTGAAACATGATGGCTTTACCAGGCACTGGACATTAGCAACAAAGGACAGTGAATCCTAACAGGTGCAAGCACTCCCCACACAAACCAAAATACCATAAGAAGAACTACAATAGAAGTTAAATTAATCAAAAAAGTATCTGTGAAGGTATTGTTTGTTTTAGAAAATAGTCCTTCTCACACAAATCTTTGCTTTCTTGCTTCAACTAAATAGGCTGACCTTTTTTCACTGGCTTAGGAAGACATTGGCAACATTTAACCTAAACAGTATACATTATTTACTTTCAATACAAATGAAACTTGAAACTTCACCCACATCAGCTAAGGTTTAATTCTCTGAGATGGGATAAGCAGAGACTATTTAGCACCTCGAATCACTCAAACTTGAAAAATATTGCAGTATGTTAACTGCTCATATATTTAAGCTTAGTTTTTGCAGGATTAGGGTTAGGGTTAGGGTTTTGGGTAGAGGAGTAACATGATATGCTTTATGTAATTAAAGGATTGCTTTGGTTGTATAGAGAACATACTATAGAGGACAAGGGAAAGAGCAGGGATAGTGGTGAGAAGCTACTGTAATAATCCAGGTGAGACTTGATAGTGGCTGGGACCACAGTATAGCAGTAAAAATGGCTGCACGCAGAGTTTGAAGGTGGAGTCGACATAATTTTAGATGACTTGGTTATCATGTGAGACAGAAAGAAAAGCATCAAGACTGTCTCCAAGGTGTTTAGTATGAATGAGTGGAAGAAAAAAGTTACCATTAACCAAGAAGGGAAAGAACATATGTGGAGAAGGCTTTGGAAGAGATCATAAGTCCAATCTTGACATGTCAGGTTAAGGAAGTCTACTTGAGATCCAAGTGGTGACATCTAAAAGGCATCTTGACACATGTGAAAAAGGCCTGCACCGAAAATAAATATTTGAAAATAATGGGCACTTAGGTAGTATTTAGAGCCACAAGACTAGATAATATTACCTAAAGAATGAATAAAAATAGCAAAGATACCTAGGGCCCCCCAATATTAATGCCAAACAAAATTCTTAATTATCCCCAAACTCTGCCTTCTATTTTACAAGAGGCAATGCATTATTTCTTTCTGTAACTGCACATGCAGAAAACTTTAACAGAAAATAAAATAACATTTTTTTTCTGAATTTATATGCAAGTTGCCACTACGAAACAGCTAAAGCTGGTATTTTCATCTTGGTCCCCAGGAAGCAGAACTTAAGATAAGAACTTGGACATAGATATCTGATTTGGGAGACGACTCCTAAAAGAAGGTGTAAAATATAAAAATAAGTTATTCAAAATCTAAGCTGTTGGAACTCTAAATTATTTTGAACCTTAAAGGAATGTGATTATGGGGTCCAAGTCACATAACTGGCAGCTATAACCTTTGTATCTTTGATTATAGATTAGTCTTATTCCTTACCTACATTGTTTTGTAAAATGTTGCAAGTGACTAAAAGGCACCAGAAAAGATCACCTTCCTCTTCATTGTTGATCTTAATGATCTTTATGATAGATTAACTTCCCTCCTACTAATATCTTTCTCACACAAAGACTTCATGACTATCACATTGTCATAAGATGGAATGTTAAATACAGTTTTGTAAACTGGAAAGAAAATGAAAACCAGCTGTAAAGAAAGGAAATTAAGCCAGATGGAAAAGAAAACAAATTATAACTAATTAAATTGTTGTAACTCATAAATCAACTTTTTATAGAAAATACTGCAATCCTATTAAATTTATTTGTTTTCTTCCAATAAGAAAGACATTTAACTTTTAACTTCATAGCACTGACCACAGTTCTCTGGCGTCCGTGTTTCCCAGCTGGCTATTCCCAGCTTTTTGCTTGAATAAACTCTTTTAAACTGAAATCTGATCCTTTCAACTATTTCAGGTTGACCAAAGGTAGAGTGATAGAAGGAGATCAGATATAGTAAGACAAGGAAGAAAGAAAAGGTAATAAAAGGTAGATTACTGAGTTGGATATTACTGTGGGCAAATGGGGGATCAATCCTGCTGGGATCCCTCTAAAAACTGTATACAATGCCCTTCAGATCTGACTTTCCAGAAGATGGAAGGCTGGAATATTTATGCAGCAACTACCAATCCTTTTGTTTGACAGTTATCCCAGGAAACTTCCATTTCACCACACTTCTGGGCAAGGGCTGAGCAAGCTTAGAGGGCTTCAGAGACAGCCCTGAGGCAGAAAAGAAAATAAATTCTGTGGGCACTTGAAGTTGGCTACTGGCAGCATGTTCAGTAATAGTAACTGTCTACTGTAGCTATAATCTAAGGTGAGTCAACAGTATGTGATGCAGGGCATGAAAAGCTTGTATCATAGCTTCCACGTTCCAAAGTGAGCTGTCTCTGGCAGCATTCATATAGAATAGAATTTGAATGGTGCACCCAGATTTGAACAACATGGTAATCATGTGATGGACATGGAAAAGTGAACTAACTTGGGATCTTGTAGGTCACTAAGATAACTCTAATCATGATGTTAAAGGCTTTCCTTTACATTCACAAAACAATTTACTTCCTAGAAGTAGTTTATTCTTGCCTGTGGTCATTTTTGCTCCTTTATAATACTACATCTAAATCAATTTGTTAAATATAGTAGAGAATGAAATAAATTTCTTCCAGTTAAACCACTGCACTTAAAGAGTAGAACCCTCTCTATGTCACTCTTTGTTTTGTTGATCATAACTCAACTGCTGTATGGTGGGATACTCTAAGATCTGGGCTAATCAAACTACCCAAGCAGGGCTTTTAACATCTGGAGGCCCAATAAGCTGACATCATCACCAAAAGAACAACCTTAATGTCATGCTAGCAAAAAAAAAAAAAAAAAAAAAAAAAAAAAAGGAAATTGTTTCTCTTGTCAGATTTTGCCAAATTCAACTAATAATTACAGAATATTGTCAAACTAAGCCATTATGAAACATTCTAAACAGTTGGGCTTAGGATCAGCCATTTATTTCTTTTTCATAACATATATCCTACAGTTAAAAAAAAGTATCTTTTGCAATTAAAAATGCAGTACATTCTTTTAGAAATGTCTTTGTGTGGGTTAAATTTATATAATTAATGAAAAATTAGTCTCCCTTCTCTTACTAGAAAATGTTATTTCTAAATTGGACTTAGATATCATTTCTGCATTATAATAGAAATATATATATCTTTTTACTAATCCAATGTTATCGTTCATCTATCTTTCCTAATAATGGTCTCTTCTACATTGATGTAATTTATTATTCACATAAATTAAGGTTCTTTCATAGCGATTGCAATGTTCTCCAATTTTGATTCACTGGGAAGACTGAGTTACTTGTCTAGATTCAACCTTTCGAAATAGAGAATCGGGGGTAGAATTTTGGAACATATGAATTGCAGACAGTATGCTGAATAGTCCACATGTGCTGTCCAAAGGTGGACTTCAGTGTACTTCCTTTGTGCCATCATGGTCTGGAGATCCACATCAACATGGAGAGCTTTCCATGACTGATATACTCTGTCTCTGCTCAGTTCTCTCCTAAAGCCACATGCCATTGTGATTTTCTTTACTTGCCTGTTTTATTCTATTCTGCTTACTGCTAGAGTTCCACAAATCTATATGGTATGTGAAAAGAAACTGTGAGCCCTCTAAGAATAGGACAATGGTTTTATATCTTTATTTTCCCACCTATATTAAAATTACAAAAGACTCAAAATACTGGGCCATAAAATACAATCATGAATGCAGGACATAGAAAAAGCCTATACACTTTATTATCTTCCTCAAGTAGGAGAGATATCATAGTTAACAGGTATTCTATCTACTGAATTAGTAGCAACTAGACATAAGGTTGAAAACTGAATGTAACTCAAAACGATTCTATGGGAAATAAATCGTTGGTTAAATATTTCAATATTCATGTATAAAAGGCAACTTGTTGGAAAATAAATTATGAGCACATTTTATTCTTTGTGCTCAGAAATACCATGAGATCAATTCACAAATGGCAAACAGTAACATGCTATCATGAAAAACTGCCTCTTTAACAATGTATTTAACTTCATTTGACTATCAAAATTCATGAGGTTCTAAAAGGAACACAAAGTTGTAAAAGAGAGAGAAAGCAAAACCAAAAGTCAAGAGACCTGATTTCTAAAGCTCAAAAAGCAACTAAAGTTAAACACAGAGCTTTTGATATTGAGTGTTCCCTTTAGTACTCAAAGCACAATTTAATAATCTTCTAGTTCTAAAAATAGTTTGCTGATTTATGCTGAAGTTCTCTATCTAGGAAAAGAGAACATATGCAGCTAGTAGAAATCATACTACTACTACATAATAAGAAGCTCTATTTAATGGTATCTTAAGCTTATGATTGTTTAAAAGTTTACATTCTTTGAGATAGGGGCCATGATTTATAGATGTATCTCTTTATACACTTAGCACCTCAGCAGTTTATACATATTGGATACTCAATAAACAATTGTTACTGATGAAAGTGCTCTCTCAAAAGAATAAATTAACTGATCTATAATACAGATGCTTAGTTGAAAATAATATTCAACTCACCACTTCATTGTTCATGCTCTCAAACCATGTATGCTTAAGAAATTTAATTAAAGTAGTATTTTTCAAGGTGCTGGAAACAAACTAGAAAAACACATTAAGAATATGAGTTAGCACAGCTGACTTTGGCACCTATGGGCAAATCTGTTTGATGAAACCATGTTGCATCAAAATTTGATTTGGAAATCTCAGTTCTGAGCAACTAGAAACACATCCTCCATGCACAGAATGCCAATCTGCCTTGCTGAAATCTAAAAACCCTTGAAGATGAGACTTAGAACTTTCAGATAAAACAAATACTTCCTGAAGACAAATGGAAAATGTATAAAGCTATATAGCTTTGGCAGTAGCAGCTGTTTAGTTTCCTATATGAGTGTTGCCTTGAGAAAAAACATAAAGAAGGACATTGGGAGAAGGTTACAGTAGCATTTACAGGCCATCTGAGGAATCTAAAACGTTCACCTGTAATTGTAAGCCTGCCAAAATAAATTGTGACAATTTGTGAACAGTATGTTAACTTATTTGCTTGCCTTAATTTTATTTCATTGACAAGAAAAAAACATAAAACTTCTAGATATTTTTGTATAAATATAGTCTTATATTTATAGAAACTAGTAAAAGTATAAACCTTAGAATGGTTAAGCAAACCACAGTGCATTTATTCAATGGAATTCTATGTAACTATTAAAATTATGTTCAAGAAAACTATGTATATTTTAAATAAATATAATTCCAAATTTTTAGAAAGATGATATATACAGACATTTGCCTACAAACTATAAACTGAAGAGAATTAAATGAAAAATAGACTTTGAATGGTCTTTAAAATTCTACTTTGTATACATTCCAAAGTTTATTGAATGAGTATATAATATTTTTATATTAAAATAATTTAAAGCCATGTCTCTTTTGATAGCAATAAATTCACTTTGGTAAGTGAATTTTAGCTCCAAATCACAAATATCTAATTAACCCACCAAAGCTACAATTATTGAAATATTTAAGTCCTTTGAATTTAAACAGATATTCTGAAAGTTAGATTTTGTAATTTATAACTGTGATATCATTTAAATTTTACAGAAAATCTACAAGAATAGTAGAAATAAATCCAATATATTCTTTACCCAGATTCATCAATTATTTACATTCTGCTGTATTTACTTTACCATTCATATTGTCTTGATAGATGTTTATAAATTTAAACATATACTATTCTTCCTGAACCATGTGAGTATAGGATGGAGATTCTATATCCCTTTACCCATAGACACTTCAGCTAGCATGTCCTATGAAAAGGGCATCCTTGCACAAAACCACATTACAGTTATCAAAGTTGGAAATTTAATACTGATACAATATTATCATCTAATACATAGCCCATATTCAAATTTCATCAATTGCCAGAATAATGTCCTTTGCGGCTACTTTTCTCCATCTAGGGTGAAATCTAGGATCATGCATTGAATTTACTTGCCATGTTTCTTAGCCTCTGATTTGAAACAGTTTCTCAGCATTTCTTTGTTCTTTTCGACTTTGAGATTTTTGGAAAGCACAGACCTGTTATTTTGTAGAATGTCCCTCAGTTTTGATGTGCCTGATATTTCCTCATGATTAGATTCAGATTATTAACTTTTGGCAGGAACACGATAAAAATAATGCTGTGTCCTCAGTGTAACATACCAGGAGGCACAAAGAGTCAGTTTGTCCCAATAATTGATGATGCTACTTTGATTAATTACTTGGGAAGGTGGTGTGCCACCAGTCTGTTCACTGCAGGTTACTTTTTTCTTTGTAAATAGTAATTTGTGGAGAGATACTTAGAGGCAATGTAAACACCTTGTATCTTATCAAAGTTTCTAAATTTGCTAAAAGCCAGGTAGGAATATGTTCTGAATGTTATATTTTATTTTTAAAACATTATGATTTTGTGTAAGAAATGTATTTTTACTTAGGGAAAAAAGAAAACACGGAAGCAAAAAGAAAACAAAAATTACAAATAATTCTACCATGCAAAGAAAATTGTCACTATTATGTTGGTAAGTGAAGTTTCAGACATTCTTCCTACCACACTGAGCTAATTAATAGTCAAATTTCCCTGCCAGAGGTCTTTAATATTTGGGGAAAGATGATTGTTAATATAAATAAGTCTCTAATTAGCAGTCTAGTAAAGTAAAATAATGCAAATATATAAAATTATGTTAAATAAGAGGAAAAGTCTAATAAATTAGTATTTCAGCTAGTGGAGGAAAAGGAAGATTTTTGGAGGACTGAAGTGTTATATCTCAGTCCACAGCCCATTTTTAGGACAAGTGAAATGAAAGAATCTGAGATCTGGAAATATGTTCAATTCGCATTTTTCATTAGTCCCTACAAATAAGACTAATGAAAAATATATGAAAATTGAGCAAATTACTGAGGCAAAAACATAAGACCGGCAATTGGATGGAGAATCTTTCTTCTACAACTAGAGTAAAACCGATTAGGACTAGGTTCCTATAATACAGTAAAAGCCTAGCTTCAGAATGAGACTACAAGGTTGAAGTCAGACCAGTGGTGAAAGTGACGATGCTATTTATGAGACTGTGGTGTTCAAGCTCTTTTAATCTATTCCGTCTAAGTTTGGAATAGATACTAGAGACTGATACTGAGCTTAGTCTACAGAAAGCAAATGTCCCGACTCCCCAGCCATGAAACAGAGTAGGAAGAGAGTGTGAGACTCAAGCAAAGCAAGAAAACTAAGACTCATCCCAGAGACAAGTCAGCCTTGCTTAACATTTGCTGTAGAGCTCAGCCAGAATCCCTAAACTGTACTGCTTTCAATGAGCTTCCCTTCTTTTTCTTCCAGAACTGCATACTCTTTATGTCTCTAATTACTTTGTTGTCTTTTTTCCTCCCGTCGCATCTTCTCATATCAATAGCACTAGAGTTAGGTAAGTAGAGATTGTCATTTCTGGATATGGGTCACTTGTAAATTTGGATTTGGAAATGTACACAGGCTGAAGTCAATCCAAAAGGCCAAAGAAATAAGAATGAAAGACTGGTACTATATCCACACAAAAGATAAAAGCAGTTTCACTGAAGACAGAATCCATACTAAGATAGATGAACGTGAGGAAGATGAGCTAGTCACAAGCTTGTGTTTCATCAACCTGGAAGGGAACAACCTGGATTTGAAGAGACAGTGAAACATCAGTACTTGGTTATTCTGAAATCCTGCTACTATCCAGATGTCAGATCCTGCTAACTCACATGTGATTACCAATTTCAAGAGCAATGCCAGGAACAAGGTCTCTGGGCTGCCAGCACAATTTCAAATCATGTTATTTGAATACATTCTGTTGGTCTTCACGAGTCATTTGTTTACTGTGGGCCTCGGTCTAAATAAAGATTTTTAAATCACTTCATATTTTAACAGAATTTTTAAGTCATATTTATATTTTCTCTAAGAGATCAGCACCACGTCTTAGCTCCTCTCTCCAAAGGGGCCACAAGACTACAAGAGATTTAGGAATTTGGGGTCTTTTGCTATATTTACAATTATAAATTAAGTAAATTTTATCTTTGCTCTATATCCTTTCTGTTTCTCCCTATTAGGCAACTAATTTCCTCCTATTGTAGAATTCATTCTCCAAAGGTCCTAGCTAAAGTCACTGGTTAACCTAATATAATGAAATATTTGAGATAAGGTGCTAAAGACCAGTGGTGCTTAGGAGCTATCTCTTTACATGCATGATTAATGTTATGTTTTTATATGTGTGTGTATGTGTATTCAATTATTTAACTGTGTATTGACCACTTATTATATGCCATGTACTGTGCTAGCAGTTTTCCATGTTAGCTCATATGTTGGGTCCCTAATGCCTTTCTTACCTTTGGTTCAAGGGCTACATGTGGTCATTCCTTATCTCACAGATACCTCATCAAGAAAGTATAAAAATAACATTCCCTATAACTTGCCTGGATACTATGATGAAGAGGCCTAATAAATTAAAACACAGAAACATGCAATATATTCTCTTATAAGCCTCAAATTAAAAAAATATTGAGTAGTTCTTCGATGATGACCCCGGTGAGTTACAGAGCTCATATTCCTAGTCAGGTTGTTGAACTCTTTCTTTAGGACAAGAAGTGATTAATGTTGGATTTTCATGAAACTTGACAAGGCCATCAGGAAAGATATTTTTGGTCAAAGAGTACTTTACTGCAGTGGTCCCCAACCTTTTTGGCACCAGAGACTGGTTTCACGGAAGACAATTTTTCTATGGACTGAGGTGGAGGGCATGCAGGATGACAGTTTGGGGATGAAACTGCTCCACCTCAGACCATCAGGCATTAGATTCTCATAAGGAGCATGCAACCTAGATCCCTCACAAATGCAGTTCACATTAGGGTTTGCACTTCTATGAGAATCTAATGCCACCACTGATCTGATAGGAGGCAGAGTTTGGGCGTTAATACTGTCTCACTGATATGGTTTGGCTCTGGGTCCCCACCCAAATCTCACCTTGAATTATAATCCCCCAAGTGTTAAGGGCAGGAACAGGTGGAGATAATTAAATCATGAGAGCAGTTTCCCCTATGCCATTCTCATGATAGTGAGTGAGTTCTCATGACATCTGATGGTTTTATAAGGGCCTTCCCCCTTCGCTCGACACTCATTCTTTCTCCTGCCACCCTGTGAAGAGGTGCCTTCCACCACAGTTGTAAGTTTCCTGAAGCCTCTCTAGCCATGTGAAACTGTGAGTCAATTAAATCTCTTTTCTTTATAAATTATTCAGTCTTGACTATTTCTTCATAACAGCATGAAAATGGGCTAATACACTCACCCACTGCTCATCTTCTGCTGTGCGGCCTGGTTCCTAACAGGCCATGAACTGGCACCAGTCTGCAGCTCGAGGGTTGGGGACCCCTGCTTTACTGGCTTCAAATTACAACATGCAGCGACTGTTCTGCTCTGTCAGTGAGGAAGGTTGGTCTTGGCTAAGTATGTGCTGAGGTCAAAGCTGAATCAAAGCTAAACTCAATTATACATCATCTTCCTGAAAAGAGTGGCCTCTCTTTCATGGCTGCAATGGGTATAACATGGGAGTTAGACTTACACAGAGAAGCAGCCTTTTCTTAGAGTGTAGGTCCAGTAAGAAAACACTGGCTTTTAAAATAAGGAAGAAAGTAGGAGTGTGCAAATTAAATAAAGATAAGTTGTTAAAGGTTAACCAGTTTCTCCTGGTAGTGTTATAAGCAAATGGCATAGTCATTCTCTGATTCTACAATATTTAGATGTTTTATTTCAGTCACATAGTGGGAGCTGAGAACAAATGTGGGTAAACCAGATACAAAATACCTTCACAGAACATAAGCTAAAACCTTTTCCCTTAATCTTTCAGTGTTGAATCATATGTTATGTCTGGACCATAAACGTGAAAAATGCCAGAGTAGCTCCGGTGTCGCCATGGTCTGGCACACACACACCAAAAAGCATAATCATCCTTAAAATATATTACCAGGATTGCTATTGTATATTTGCAATTGCTGCATTACAAATGATCAAAAGTTTAGGGGCTTAAGATGTCTGTTTATTATTTCCCTGTTTCTATTGAATAGAAGTCTTGGCACAGTGTAACTGGGTTCTCTGTTTAGGGCCTCACCAGGCTGAAATCAAGGTTTTGGCTAGGCTGCATTCTCATCTGGAGCTCACGGTCCTCTTCTGAGAGTATTCAGGCTGTTGGAAGAATTTACTTCCCTGCAATTGTAGTAGTCGAAGTCCCTGTTTTCTCATGGGCTATTAGTGGGGTTTGCTCTCAGTTCTTAGAGGCTGCTCTCAAGCCCCAACCACGTGGCTCTCTCCCAACAAAGTAGCTTACTTCTTCAAAGCCAGTAGAAGATTCTCTCTCTCCTTCCAGTCTGCTATGATGGAGTCTTAGATAAAATAATATAATCACAAAAGTGACTATATCCTCACTCTCTTATGTTGCTAAATAACAGAACCTAAGCAAGGGAGTGACTATCCCAGCAAATTCATAGATGACACCCACACTTAAGAGGATGTGGAAGCAGAACCTGGGAGGCCACCTTAGAATTCTGCCTACAACAACTCACTCAGAACAAGGACTAAACTCTGAAATATGCGGCGGAGGAGACGGCAAAATGTTTCTCACCTCCAGAACCTACAAGTTAAATGTAAACAGTCTCAAGACCAAGAATAGTGCCTTCTAAGAGAGAGAAAAAGAACTGTATAAAAATCTATAAATGTCTACCAAAATTCCCAGAGGAAGACATTCAGGTCTCAATCTCAATGAACCCTTTGAACTATGCCTCAGTGAAATCCAAATTCCTACACAGATAATAGGGCTGGCAAAGATTTATGGGTAACTATTTAAAAGAGACCTGTACTCTAGTTTTAGCAACTCCCAAACCCTAACTTTCCATGAAACCACCCCTGTTACCACTACAGTCTTTCTTCTTGGGTATTATATCCAATAGCTATAAGGTGATGTGGCAAGAGTTTATTCTCCGGAGAGAGAATAATACTCAATACTTGAATTGTAACACTGACATTTTCTGGAGTAGGAATAAAATAACCAGATGACCAAGTTTCAATTCTGGAATAGAAGCCCTGTATAATCACTTCTGTTTGAATGTGGGTGGATCCGTAAATATGATGGGACATTCTCTCTTTTGGTTGGGCTATGTTATATGCTGAAGTGATAGGAGAGGCACTCCCATGATTATACTCTGTCATTTAAGACTCTGTCTTAGCAGGTGAGGGAGATTCTCCTGGTAGCCTTGAAAAAGGAATCAGCCATGTTGTGAAAGGGTAACGTAGCTAGGTCTTGAGGGAACTTTTAGGAACTAAGAGTGACCCCAGGCTGACATCCAGCCAGAAAATAAGGGCCTCAGGCCTACAAATGCAAGGAACTGAATTCTTCCAACAATCCTAAGGAGCTTTGAAGAGGACCCTGAGCCTCTGAGAAGATCACACCCAAGTGAGACCTTTATTTGCTTTTATTTTTATTTTTTGAAACTATAAATTTCTACATGTAATATTTTATTATTAACTTTATGAAGACATGGCTCTGGTCATGATTGTTTATAGAGGTCAGATAATGCAAATAACAGCAAGTAGACTTGTATTTTTTTGAAGATGATCTCTGCATTGTATTATTATTATTATTGAGACAAGGTCTCACTATGTTGTCCAGGCTGGTTTTGAACTCCTGAGCTCAAGCGATCCTCCCACCTCAGCCACCCAAATTGCTAGGATTACAAGCGTGAGCCACTATACCCAGCCAACATCTTGATTTTAGAGTGGTGAAACCTTGAGTTTAGGACCCAGCTAACCCAGACCTAGGAACCTAACCAATGGGAACCGTATGATAACGAATCTGTGCTGCTTTAAGCTGCTCACTTTATGGTAACTTTTTATGCAGCATTAAAAACATATAAACACCTTGATAAATAAAATAAACTGACAAAATTAGTTTTAGGAACTTTCTGTAGCAGCATCTTTCAATAACTAAATCCCCATTGGTCTTACCAGATAGCTACAATATTTTCAGACTTTTAAAATGTATTAAAAACTAATATATACCTAAGAATATTTTAGGTATATTTTAGTGGTTCTCCAGAGCATTGTAGATGACAAACTAAAACTAAAACTCCTTAAGTGATGAAAGAATGCCAAACCAATGATTATTCAACCATATAACTCCAACAAGGATAAAAGAAAATCTTCGTAATAATAGTATATATGATGTATATACATATATATACATAGAAACAAAGGGCACTTACTCCGAAAGTTGTTCACTGGTAAGACTCCAGGATGATAGAATCCTGCTTTGCAAATGCACTCATAGGCTCCAAGAACGAATCCTAGGCCTTTAATTGGCATACACTATGAAGAAGAAAAGACAGCAACATAGTTGATCATGGCTTATCTCATGGTATAAAGGCTCGCAGATATCCATCATTGCAAATGGTAACAGAAAACTAACACATTTTCCAGAAATAAAATAGCTCTTTTTTGAACTTTTCAGTTTTGTTGTGCCAACAATTTTTTTTAGAAGCAGTAAATTAAGTTTCCTTTCTAAATTTATGCCATTACAGCTGCAGTTGCACACATCTTTACTTCCTGTGGCAATGGAATGAGTTAATTACTAGACATAGTTTTTCTTTTTAATGCCTCACATATCATCTTATTGCTTTAAGAAATTGTTCCAAAGCCTATAAGAGTATTTCAAAAGTGATTCCATACTGAATGTTTCTATCAAAGCAAAGGTAGGTAGGTGGGTAGATAGGCAGGTAGGTAGGTAAACAGATAGTAAAATTTAAGATGTGAAAATTGCTTTTATGAATTAAATAGTCATCAAATTTTATCCTGGAATCAATCAAAATAACACAAATTGATAAAATAATAAAACAAGTAAATTTAAAAATGCAAATTTAGAAGATAAAAATAAAGATGAATTAATTATTCCAGGGCTGTTTACCTAAAATCTGTTTAATAGATAAATGTTTTACATATACATATAAGGAAGAAAAACAGCTTTCAAAATATTTCACTATCATAAACAATAGACATCTCCCCAAAATTTAATCTTGACTTCTTTCAAGGGTCAAGGATATAACCTAGCAAGCAAAAGATATAATTTTAACCAAGTAAAATTTAGCTTAACCTACTTCATTTTTGCTACATTTAATTACATAGCAAGGAATAACTTCTACTAAACTACAAAAACTACATCAGTAAAACTGGAGCATTTAAATAATCTAACCAACACTGAAATTTCTTTCATGATATTGTTCTACCATGATTCCAACACATTGCCTTTTTACCACTATAATCTATTAAAGGAACTTAGAATCTAGTGAATTTAAGAATTATAAGATGTCCCTCTTTTCAGAAGCCCTTGAGATAAAATTTTAAATAATTTAAATAATTCCATAATCTAAGCTTAAATGATTAGCATTAGGATCAATATTACATATCACAAAAACTCCAGCAATTAGATAAGTATTTGTATGTAAGATAAAAAAGCTAATACTTATTCTAAAGTCAGAGATGCAGCAAGAAATCTCTGAAAAAGAGCTCTCTAAAGGACCTTCTTGAATATTTTAATTTCATTAATACCCTCTTCTTTTCCATCTAACACACACATATCCAATTTATATGCTGCAATTGAAAACACATTTCCTAACCCAGAGCAAAATAAAATAGCAAGAGTACCAGTCAATTCAACTGAGTTAGCAAGTATTTAGGAAATAACCGCAGCATGCATAAAGAATGCGTACAGAACCTAATAAAAATAACATGTACTGTTTATAAAGCTCCAGTTATACAATAGGTCAAATCATATTTCTAAACTATGTAAATAAAAGAAGTAACTATAACATGTATTTAGGAGAAGCACTAGTATTATGGAAAGAGCATATTAGTTGTGGTCAGTCAGAAAAGACAAATTTGAAATCTGACTTCATCACTTCCCAACCGTGTGGATTTGGGCTGTTCTCTTAACATCTCTGAGCCTTACTGTCTTTAATTAATGAGAATAACTATTCCACCAGACACAGACATAGTCTGAAAAAGGTAGTGCCACCATGATGGCCTAATGGGTTAAATACAGGGTATAAGAGGAAAAGAAAAATAAAGGATGACTCCAGCGTTTTTGGCCTGAGCAAACTTAAGTATGGAGTTGTCATTTAACTGATCTGAGAAAGTCTTTAGATTTAGGGAAAAGATCAGAAGTTCAGTTTTGGAAATGCTCACGGTGAAGTGATTATTCAAAAATTTAGATCTACATCTCAAATAGGTAGTTTGATAAACTAGTATGAAGTTTAGAAGAGATGTCTGGGCTGTATAATTTGTGAATCATTTGCATAAAGATCATAGATAAATCCGTGAGATTAGATAAGACTAAATCACTAAGCAGTGCCTTCAGTCAGTGAAGGAAACAGATCCAAAAATATGAGAGTAATCCGGCTGCAACATCTGCCACCTCATTGATTGCCAGGATTGATTCAGCTAATCTGGCTGACTTGGCAAGTGTCTTTTTCCTTCCTCACTACTCCATGTGTGTCCTTCCTGAAGCTACTTGCTAGGTCAAAGAGGATGACCTTCCCAAATAGAGGAGAACCATTCTTCACTCAAGGGTACACAAGCTGCTGTGTTCCCCTGCTAGAACCTCTAAACATACTATCAGGAAATAGATCCAAGTGGTGAGACTCGGGACACTTCAGAGCTAAAATGTTAGGCAGAAAGAAAGAATCAAAGGATCCTGAGAGGAGCAATTCAATGGGGTATCATTACTTCCGTTACGACGTCGCGACACTACGAATATAGCATGTGGAGTTTGTTGTAAGTTAGATTTACTAAATATTCATCCAGCAAGGATTTGTAAACTAAGGTAAACCAGGTAAACTAAGTCTTAGATACTAAGACTACATTAGAATTCTTGAAATATTTTACCTTGCTGAAATTCAGAGGTTAATGCTATTCATTAGAACATAGAACATCACTGATTTCATGATGATATGACTCAGCACTGCAACAGTGACTCAGTTGAGAATTTTAAATTCTTATGGAAGATCTGAAAGTTTATTGTAATTAAAGTATCTCTCTGCTATAAACTAACTCTACAGCCAACATAAAAAAATGAATGTTTAAAAAATTGAATTGATTAGATCTGGTACATATTGCCAAATAAAATATTCCTTAAACTTGAAAGAAATGCCTCCTGATTTTATTACATAAAACACAGAAACATGAATTATTAGCTACCTCAAACTTGTTATTCTATTAATAAATAATTTTATGATCTCAAAGGAAAGAAAAAAAACTTTGTCAATTAAAATCAATAAAAGCAGATCATCCTGCTGTACTGACTCCACCTCCAAGACAGCAGGGCCTGTACGGAACCAAATGTGCTACTGTTTTCATGCTTTTGCCTTGAAGTATACAAGTGGTCTTGGCTTATTTTTTTTTATGAAGAATTGTAAATTTTCAATAAACTTGCAAGGCATATTTTCTTGCTGTACCCACCACCATGATTCCCTCGCTACTTCATCTCTGTTACCTCCTAAACAAAATTATACATTTTTAAGATTAGGAAATTAGTTCAGTTAACCTAGTTTAAAAAAAAAACTGTAAATATAGTGATGCTCAACTAATGTTTAGTTTGGGTTTAGGCTGAGGGGCTGCTTGTTAAGTAGCACTTGTTTCTCCTCCATGAGGGTAGCTGCTCCATGAGTAGCCTTTGATAAAAATTGATAAAAATATAAAAATTAAGAGTTATTGCTACGGGATCCTTGGAGTGTCATTTTGCCAGCCAGAAACCTCTGTGGCCAGTGGCTCCTCGGCCTGACTTTTGCTCTGGCCTGCTAGGCACATTATGCCCACTCAGCCTGGAAGGCTGCCCTTGGCTCCTGCTACCAGCCTGGATCCCACACCTGCCAAGGGCAAGCCAAGTGTGGAGCAGTGGGGGTGTGTGAGTGAGTGTGGGGTCCACACACTGTGTGCAGCAAGGCACACCAGCTGCAGAAGGGAGGACAGCTCTAGGCACTGGCAAGGGCACTGGCTCCCTGTGAGACTGCAGCTGAACCAGGTGTACCATAAGCAGCTTCGATGGCTGTATTAGTCCACTCTCATGCTGTTATAAGAACATACCCAAGACTGGGTAATTTACAAAGGAAAGAGTCTTAATTGACTCACAGTTCCACATGGCTGGGGAGGCCTCACAATCATGGCGGAAGGCAAAAGAGAAGCAAAGGCACATCTCACATAGCAGCAAGCAGGAGAACGTGTGCAGGAGAACTGCCCTTTATAAAACCATCAGATCTCGTGAGACTTATTCACTTTCAAGATAACAGCATGGGAAAAACTCACCCCCATGATTCAATTACTTCCTACCAGTTCCCTCCCATGATATATGGGGATTAGGATAGGAACAATTCAAGATGAGATTTGGGTGGGGACATAGCCAAACCATATCATTCCACCCCAGCCCCTCCCAAATCTCATGTCCTCACATTTCAAAACAAATCATGCCTTCCCAACTGTTCCCCAAAGTCTCAATTCATTTCAGCATTAACTCAAAAGTCCACAGTCCAATGTCTAATCTGGGACAAGGTAAGCCCCCTCCACCTATGAACCTATAAG
Source organism: Homo sapiens (assembly GCF_000001405.40). Taxonomy (NCBI): domain Eukaryota; kingdom Metazoa; phylum Chordata; class Mammalia; order Primates; family Hominidae; genus Homo; species Homo sapiens. Next base: position 25,391,650 of record NC_000010.11, on the reverse strand, counting down.
ATCAAAAACAAGTCAGTTACTTCCTGGATACAATGGGGTTACAGGCATTGGGTAAATACACCCATTCCAAATGGGATAAATTGGCCAACATAAAGGGGCTACAGGCCTCATGAAAGTCTAAAATCCAGCAGGACAGTCAAATCTTAAAGCTCAAAATGATCTCCTTTAACTGCATGTCTCACAACCAGGTCATGCTGATGCAAGAAGGGGTTCCCATGGTCTTGGGCAGCTCTGCCTCTATGGCTTTGCAGGGTAAAGTCCACCTCCTGGCTGCTTTCATGGGCTAGTGTTGAGTGTCTGTGGCTTTTCCAGGCACACAGTGCTAGCTGTTGGTGGATCTACCATTCTGAGATCTGGAGGATGGTGGTCCTCTTCTCACAGCTCCACTAGGCAGTGCCCCAGTGGGGACGCTGTGTTGGGGTTCCCACCCACATTTTCCTTCTGCACTGCCCTAGAAGAGGTTCTTCATGAGGGACCCACCCCTGCAGCACACCTCTGACTGGACATCCAGGTGTTTCTATGCATCCTCTGAAATCTAGGCAGAGGTTCCCAAACCTCAATTCTTGACTTCTGTGCACCCACAGGCCCAACAACACGTGGAAGCCACCAAGGTTTGGGGCTTGACCCTCTGAAGCAATGGTCTGAGCTGTACCTTGGCCCCTTTTAGCCACAGCTGACACACGGGGCACCAAGTCCTAAGACTGCACAAAGCAGGGGAGCCCTGGAGCCAGCCCACGAAACCATTTTCTCCCCCTGGGCCTCCAGGCCTGTGATGGGAGGGACTGCCATGAAGACCTCTGACATGCCCTACAGACATTTTTCACCATTGTCTTGGTGATTAAGCAAATTTCTGCATTTCCTTGTTACTTATGTAAATTTCTGCAGCCAGCTAGAATTTCTTCTCAGAAAATGGGTTTTTCTTTTTTACTGCATTGCCAGGCTGCAAATTTTCCAAAATTGTATGCTCTGCTTCTCTTTTAAACATAAGTTCCAATTATAAATCATATCTTTGTGAATGAATAAAACTAAATGCTTTTAAAAGCACCCAAGTCATCTCTTGATCACCTTGCTGCTTAGAAATTTCTTTGGCTAGATACCCTAAATCCTCTCTTTCAAGTAAAACGTTCCACAGATCTCTAGGGCAGGGGCAGAATGCCACCAGTCTCTTTGCTAAAACATAGTAAGAATCACCTTTGCTCCAGTTCCCAAAAAGTTCCTTATCTCTATCTGGAACAGCTCAGCCTGGACTTCATCATCTATATCACTATCAGCATTTTGGTCAAAACCATTCAACAAGTCTCTAGGAAGCTCCACACTTTCCCACAGCCTTCTGTCTTCTTCTAAGCCCTCCAAACTGTTCCAACCTCTATCTGTTACCCAGTTCTAAAGTAAATTACACATTTTAGGGTATCTTAATAGCAGTACCCCCCTCTACCGGTACCAATTTACTGTATTAGTCTGTTCTCAAGCTGCTATAAGGATATACCCAAGACTTATAGAGGAAAGAGATTTAAAAGACTCACAGTTCCACATGGATGGGGAAGCCTCATAAATATGATGGAGGGCAAAAGAGGAGCCAAAGCATGTCTTACATGGTGGCAGACAAGAGAGCATGCGAAGAGGAACTGCCCTTTATAAAACCATCAAATCTCATGACACTTATTCACTATCATGAGAACAGCATGGAAAAAACCTGCTCCCATGATTCAATTACCTCCCACCAGGTCCCTCCAACAACACATGGGGATTATGGGAGCTAAAGCTCAAGATGAGACTTGGGTGGGAATAAAGCCAAACCATATCAACAGCTAACACCAAGAAACGTGGTGTGGTGCCCAGAAGCTTGGGGATGCCAGGAACCACAGAGACCTAAAAAGGATGTCACAGCCTTGGCTCAGGGAGCTTCCAGGTCTGGGATCCCCAAAGGGCCACAGCCCTTCTTTCCTTCTCTATTCTTTCCTTCTTGTCACCCACAATATGGCATGCAAGGGGCGTGTTTCAGCCCTGTTTGTGTTACAGCTTTTTTAGCCCCACCATTCAGCGGGTCCCAAGTTCTTGTACTCCATCCAGGAAGAATGTACACAGACAACTGGAGGGTCAACAAGATAAAGAGGAGTTTTATTGAGCAATAGAACAGCTCAGAGGAGATCTGCAGTGGGGAACTCCTCTCTGTAGCCAGAGTGTTCCAACGAGTGTTCAGCTCTCAGCAGAGAGTCTCCTCTCTGTGAGGCAGGTCATCCTGATGACTGTCGAGCTCTCAGCAGAGAGGTTAATTTCTTTCTGCAAATGGATGTCCCATCATCTCCTCAGCCCTCAGCAAAGAGGAGACCCTGGGGTGGGCAGCTCCTCTCTGCAGTTGGTTGTCCCATCATCTCCTTGAGTCTGGCTGAGTGCAGGGCTTTTATGGGCCTCAGCAGGGAGGAAGTACATGTCCATTGGTCCATGGGTGGCCATGGACAGGTCTGGAAAAGGCACCACCTCCCCTGTCTGAAGGTGGGGCTTCACTGGGGACCCTCCCCTCTTCTTCCCAGGATCTTGTCTGATGCCTGCCACCATTCATGGCACCCAGGCTGTTTGTGCCAAGGGATGCCTGCAGGCCACTGCCAAGCTTCCCTCAGCACCCACTGGGCCTCCCTCCCATGCTCATTGGTGCCCAAAGTCTAGAGGGGGCCAAGGTGGCAGGGGCTGGCCTGTCAGCACTGTCCCAAGCAAGCACACACCCTGTCAGGTTGCAACAGCACCTGGGCTCAGCCTCAACTTTGCTCCATGATTGGAGTGGGCACTGAAAGCAAGGAGAGGCCAGGCAATGGGAGCAGACACCTCCAAGCCTGTGTGGGCAAGGGAGGGGGCCTTCCCAGGCCCCCCAAGAGTGCAAAATGCCTGGGTCTGCAGCCACAACTTGGGCAGCTGCAGCCACACATGGGAGTGCAGGAATCTTGCCTGCTCCCAGCTCCCACTGGCTCCATGGAGCACAGCACTGCCCCAGACCCAGCTCCACTTCTGCCCGCCCTTCATGCCTGACCATGCTGCTCCTCCACCAGCAGGTGACCTGGCCTGGCCTCATTGCGATAGCTCCCAGGGCAATGGGTGAGATGAAGGTGGTACAGTGGACCTGGCCAACCCCACAAAAATGACTCCAATGTTCCTGGGGCCAGCCCCATGAGTCCTGGCTGCACATTTGGCCTGGTGCTTATGGGCCCGTGGGACATGGCAGGGAGCAAGGTTAAGGCCACAGCAGAGGCTCTGGGCCTGGGAACAGGTTCTGCCTGGCCATGCAAGGGTGGGGGTGGTGTGGTTGACTGCCTCAGGGACTCAGGCCACAGAGGACCCACTGCCGCCACTGCTGCTCCCACAACCACTCCTGCTGCCACCGCTCTCACCTCACCAATGCAGCTGGCATAATGACAGCAGCTGCTCTGGATGGCCCACGATTGCCGTCATTATTGTACCCCTGAATAAGGAAGCTGCTTACAATATTGGAAGCCTACTTTGATGAACCTTAACAAGCCACCAGCAGAGATTTACAAAAGACAGCTCTTAAGAACTCACAATCAAATCCAGGTTCCTAGGAGCAGACCAGATCCAATTGCATAAGATATGGTGGTCAAGAGTTTAGAGTGAAGTGGATAAATTTCTAGAAACATACACGCTATCAAGATTGAATCATAATAAAAAAGAACAGATATATAACTAGTAAGGAGATTAAATTCAGTAATCAAAAAACTTCCCAATAAAAAAGTGCCCATAACCAGATGTCTTCAATGGAGAATTCTACTAAACATGTATAAAAGAATAAACAACAATCTTCCTTAAACTCTTGCAAAAAATTGAGGAGAAGCCCAGGCACGGTGGCTCACACCTGTAATCACAGCACTTTGGGAGGCTGAGGCAGGTGGATCATGAGGTCAGGAGATCGAGACCATCCTAGCCAACATGGTGAAACCCTGTCTCTGCTAAAAATACAAAAATTAGCCAGGCATGGTGGCGTGTGCCTGTAGTCCCAGCTACTCAGGAGGCTGAGGCACAAGAATCACTTGAACCCAGGAGGCGGAGGTTGCAGTGAGCCAAGATCATGCCACTGCACTCCAGCCTGGGTGACAGAGCAACACCCTGTCTCAAAAAAAAAAAAAAAAATTTGAAGAGAAAGGAACATTCCCAAACTCATTTTATGATGTCAGCACTACACTATACCAAAGCCAGATAAGTATACTCTTGGAAAAGAAAACAATAGACAAGTATTCCTGATGAATATTGATGCAAAAATCTCAAACCAAATTCACCAGAAATTCAACAGACATTAAAAAGGATTATACACCACAAACAAGTGGGATTCATTTCTAGAATTCAAGGATAGTTAAACACACAAAAAGCAATCAGTGTAGTTACACACATCAACAGAATGAAGGACAAAACCAAACGATCATCTCAAGTGATGCAGAGAAAGCATCTGACACAATGCAACACCCTTTTATGATAAAAACACCCAACATACTAAAAATAGGAGGAAATTACCTCAACATATTAAAGATCATACATGAAAAACCACAGATAACATCATACTCAATGGTAAAAAACTGAAAACTTTTCCTCTAAGCTCAAGTACAAGGTGTGAAAGCCTTCTCTCTCCACTTTCACGAAACATAGTACTGTAAGTCCTTGCCAGAACAATTAGTCAAGAAAAAAAACTAAAGGGCATCCAAAAAGGAAATTAAAAAGTAAAATTATCTTTGTTCACAGATGACAAGATCTTATATAATTTGAGGGTAGAAAACCCTGAAATTCCACACACACAAAAACTACTAGAACTAATAAATGTATCCAGCAAACATGTAGGATACAAAAATCAACATGCCAAAATTGGTTGTTTCTATATAAAAACAATGAATAATCCAAAAGTAAGTTTAGAAACAGTCTCATTTACAATAATATCAAAAAGAATAAAATGAAAATATCAAAAAGAATAAAATGATTAGGAGTAACCAAGAAGGTGAAAGAAGTATACTCTGAAAACTGTAAAATATTGCTGAAAGAAATGTTAAAAGACATAAATAAGTGACAGTGACATCCAGTGTTCATTGCAACACTGAATTGAAAGACTTAATATTGTTAAAATATCCATACTATTCAAAGCAAAGCAAAACTACAGATTGAATGTAATCCATATCAAAATCCTAATGACATTTTTTGCAGAAATCGAAAAAATGTCCTAAACTTATATGGAATCCCAAGCACCCGAAATCATCAAAACAATCTTGAAAAAGAACTAAGTTGGAGGCATCACACTTTCTGATTTCAAAACACACTACAAAGCTATAGTAATCAAAACAGTGTGGTACTGGCATAAAGACAGACATATAGACAAATGGAATAGACAGCCCAGAAATAAACCCTTACATATAATGTTCAAATTGTCTTCAACAATTCAGTGAGGACAGGACATTCTCTTCAACAGGTGGTATTTGGAAAATGGAATATGCACATGCAAAAGAATAAAGTCAGACCTTTACCTAACACCAAATACAAAACTTAATCAATATGATTTAAGACTTAAACATAACACCTAAAACTATAAAACTCTGGAAGAAAAATGGGAAAAGCCTTATGACATTAGATTTGGGAATGGTTTCTTGGATATGACATCAAATCCACAACCAACAAAACCAAAAATAGACAAATGGGACTACATCAAATTTAAAAACTTATTTGCATCAAAGAATGCAATACAATCAACAGAATGAAAAGTCAGCCTACAGAATGGGAGAAAACATTTGCAAACCATGTATCTGATAAAGGGCTAATATCCAGAGCACATAAAGAACTCCTGCAACACAATGACACAGAAAAACAAATAACCTGATTTTAAGTGGGCAAATTTCTGCAAGGAAAATATACCAATGGCCAATAAGCCAATGAAAAGATGTTAAACATCACTAAATACTTAGAGAAATGCAAATCAAAACCACAACGAGATATTATCCCACCTCCATTAGTATGGCCACTATCAAAAAATTATAATAATAATAAATGTTTCTGAGGATGTGGAAAAAATTGGAACCCTTGTGCACTGTTGGTGAAAACATGAAATGGTGTAGCCACTATGGAAAACAGTATGAAGGTTCTCAAAAAAATTAAAAACAGAATTACTATATGGTCTTGCAATCCCTTTTTGGTATGTATCCAAAATAATTCAAAGCAGGAATTTGAAGAGCTATTTGCATACCCATATTCATAGTGGCACTATTTAAAATAGCCAAGAGTTGTAAGTAACCCAAATACCCATCAACAAATAAATGGATAAACAAACTGTGATATATAAAAATAATGGAATATTATCCAGAATTGAAAAGAGAAGGAAACTCTATCATCTGCTTCAACATGGTTGAACATAGAGGACATTATGCTAGGTGAAATAAACCTAGCACAAAAAGCCAAATACTCTATGATACCACCTATATGTGGTACCTGAAGTAGATAAACTCATAGAAATAGAAAGTGGAACGGTGTTTTCCAAGGGTTAGGGGCAAGGGAATATGAGGAGTTGTTCAATGGGTGTAGAGTTTCCATTTTGCAACATGAAAAATTTTTAGAGCTCTGTCACACAACAATGAATATAAATAACATTACCAAATTGTACAGTTAAATAGGTTAAGATAGTTAGATTTTTATATTATGTATTTTTACCACAATTAAATTTTTAAAAAAATATTTTAGAGCAAAATGATCTTTCTAGTTCAAAGATGTGTATGTAAACATTAAAGGTCGTATTGCAATCGGCATGATGTATATCTCATCTCACATACCTCAGACTGCCAACTCCTGGTAAACATAATTGCAGAGCAAAACCTGGTCAGCCTGACAGTCAAGAAGATTTGTATGGAGATATTACTGAGAAATGGAATGGCTAAAATGAAAGCTAAGATGAGGTGCATACAGGGAAGACTTGTTTTAACAGAAATAATACTTGTGCCGAAAAACCACATTTATAAATAATTCTGAAAAAAACTAACTTGGACTGAAAAGAGGTGTCAGAAAAAAAAATCAAATAAATAAAGTTTATGTAATTCCAAATCTTCTAGAAATGGATCTTTAAATGCCTTTTTAAAATTTTTGTTTTGGAATTTTCCTAAAATGTAAAATTCTTTCTGATTTCTCTAAACTGAACACCATGAACAGAATTTAACATCTTCTTCTGAACACTGTGAACAGAATTTAACATCTTCTTCATGAGTCAGAATCATTACGCTGAACAATAGGTACTGAATTGTGTTGAAATTCACTAATGCCCTCTGGAGCCATTGAAAGTTTATGGCTATTTTCTCACACATTAAATAGCCCAGAGTGCTGTACTTTTTGAGTTCTTATGCTTAGTTTTCATGGTTTTTTATTCTTTATTTTGAGCTGGCAGCTCAAAATTTTATCCTAAACTATAGGCTATTTTAATCCTAAAATATAGACTTAACTCTACAAATGTCTTTTCTCCCTTTCAAATCATAGTTACAACTGCCTGCATATCTGGAAACTAGATCGCAAAGCATGCAGGGTATATGAGATAATAAATAATAAAGTAAGGGTAAATAAGATAATAAATAGTTAATATTTACTGTTTACCACATACCAGGCACTGCTGCACAAGTATTAACTCAATTCTATAGCAACTCTGTTATTATTTCCATTTTAGAGATGAGAACTTTGAGGAACAAACTGCTAAAGTAACTTGCCCAAAACCACACAGCTAGCAACTGGCTGAGCCAGGATTCAACCCCAAGGGTGTGGCTCCAAAGAGTATCAATCACTGCCTAGGAAGTATAGGCTCACAGAAGTATTCCATAAATGAGGAACAGATGCTAGTGCATGGTCACTTTAGAGTCTCTTTTGATTGTTTCAACTTTTTTTTTTCTATTCTTCTTGGTTTCAGGCAGTATTCCAGATGGACCAGTTTGCTGGATCATTAAGCTTCAAATAAGGGAAGATTATTAATTTGAAAATGTACATATGAAATATACTTTAAGAAATGCAATTAAGTCCCACACCTGTTACAATTTTTACAAATGAATCTCTCCCTTCCCGATGCAGAGTTCCTCAACTCAAATCTTAGGAAACAAGCCTTCATTTCAGGGCATCCAGGTAAAGTGCCTTTTCTCCGCCTAAATTTCCTGAAAACGAAACCCCCCTTGTGCCTCAGGTAAGTCTCTGCAGTGGAAACAAAGGTGTTTCTATGGCAGTCTGGTCTGTCACTTCTTTTTTGCTTTAGTGGCAAATGCATAGCTCTCCTTTGTTTTGACCGGAGACTTATCTAATTCCAGCAAGTTTCCTGCTGTATTGATTACTGAGCCTTATTCAAAAAGCAGATGGCAACACCACAGAGGCATAAAGAAAGATTAAAAGCTTGACACTAGCAAGATGAAGTAGAAATGGAGGCTTCTAGATTTTTAAAAAGGCAGCAGCTTTTAATATTTTTTTACTCCTTCTTTGTAACTTATGAAGAAATACTTTAAAACGTTGAATCTTCTCATCTGGGCCGGGAGCGGCGGCTCATGCCTGTAATCCCAGCACTTTGGGAGACGGAGGCAGGTGGATCGTCAGGTCAGGTGTTCCAGACCAGCCTGGCCAACATAGTGAAAGCCCATCTCTACTAAAAATACCAAAAATAAGCCGGGTGTGGTGGCAGGCACCTGTAATCCCAGCTACTCAGGGGGCTGAGGCAGGAGAATCGCTTGAACCTGGGAGAAGGAAGGAGGTTGCAATGAGCCGAGATCATGCCACTACACTCCAGCCTGGGCGACAGTGTGAGACTCCATCTCAAAAAAATAAATAAATAAAAATAAAATAAAATAAATAAATGAATGAATCTGCTCATCTGGGAGTGGGTTTGGGGAGACTTTGTACTAAAACAGGTCAATTATATTAACATTCAGTAGCCTCTTTCCCACAACTATTTGCAAGTTTATTAAAGCCAAAGGAAAACACTCAAACAGGAAATCTAAAAGGCCTCCTGGTAATCATAGGGTACACATCACTCACATATTTTACCAAACCACCTTCCAGGAAAACAAGAACCCATGAATAACAAATAATGCAGTATTTCACAAGGGAGAAAAAGAACATCTTATCTCTATTATTCAGCAGCTGTCAGAACCCAGTTTTAAAAGTATGATAAACTGGGGTAGGGTTGGGGGCAGAAGAGAGGATGTTTTATTTTATGACATCGTTAAAATTAAAAAAGAAACTTTTCTATTATTAATTTTTGAAATGTTCTTATGTTCGATGGAGCCAGCTCTCACAAAACAGGGCTAAGGGATAGCAACACAGCATCTGGTTCAGACACATTACAAGTCTGCAGACTTCACACTGACACACAGCAAGATGCCTTGTGGGGGCTGAGACTGACTCAGGAAAATGTCAGAATTACATCTCGCCGAGTGAGCAAGCCCAATTTTCTAGGCCTTCCTACAGAAATAGCCCAAAGGCTTGACAAACGTAAATTCTTTGTATGTTCGACACTTTCAGATAATGAAACACTCCCCTCCACTAAATCACAAACTCACTATGATGCATCTATGCTCTAACTTTGACACCCCATGCTCCCCGCAGTCACAGTTCACATCACTGGGGACTTTGTTTTCACTCTTGACAGAATTTAACTCTTGCTTACCGAACCCTGTTGTGCATTATTTGCTGAGGCAACAAAGAACAAAATCATGGTCTGGTTCTCAGGCAGCTTAAAACCCGCAAGCAAAAACAAAAATTGGACCTGTTATAAATGTGCTTTACCCTGTTTACAATAAAAAACTTCATGTGTGCTTGATTTGTTTGTTTTTGAGTAGTCCTTCTTTAAATATTTTGCTAAAATAAATTGTTGTTTAAAATAAAAAATGCTAAACAAAATAAGTTAATATGAATAATATCTTTGAATTCAAGATGAATTAAAAATACTTTTAAATGTAAATAAAAGCCATGAGAAGAAACTCCTTCAACTGCCTTTGAGCAAACCAACAAGTCTACTAAACCTACACCCATATGCTCCTAGTAAAATGGAAACCATGTCCCTCCTATTTAAAGCTGATTAATTTCAATATTTGTCCACTCTCGCCATACATGTTCCCAGTGACTTCCTCTAGCAAGAATGTTCCCTTTCTTGTTCAACCTTTTCCTCTTTACTAGCAACGTTCCTCATTATTAACTGTGCACAAATCTCAGCCATATTAAAAACCATAATAATAAAATTAAACTGTCTCTCAACCCTAAATTCACTTCTAGTTACTACCCAAACATCTTGAAGGATTTATCTATGCTCATTATCTCCATTTACTTACCTCCCTCATCAAACCAGAGCAATTTGGCTCTCACCACCCTTGCTCCATTGATCTGATGTTGCCAAATACACAAGTGATGTTCACATCATTGAATCTATTAGCTATTTTCAGGTTATAATTTTTTAACTTTTCTGCAGAATGAGACACTTCTGACCATTCCCTCTTTCATGAAACACTTCTTTCCTTGACTTCCCATTCTCAAATATTCAATTCTCCTCCTACTTCTTTTGCCACTCCCTTTCAGCCCCGAGCTGACATTCTTCCTCTTCCTGGACTTACCAACTGGGGTTTCCAGGGCTCTGTCCTATACTTATTCTTACTATAAATTTGATCTCTGTGTCATTTTATAACTTTTGTGCAAATGTTAAGGTTATCTGCATACTTGCTAACTGCAGAAGCCCAGATTAGAAACTTACTTTTCCTTACTCTCCAAGTTCCATCACTTCTACCTTTTAGCTATATGTAAAATCAATGCCTTTCTCATCCCTATTGTCATAATACTAATCCAAGCCTCTATAATCACTCAATAGAATTAGTATAACTGCTTCATATATGGTTTCTCAAATTTGCATTCCTTGAATCCGTTTCTTATATATTACACAGAGTGATCTTACCATTATTTTTAATTATTACTCCTAATTCCATACAGATTACATGAATAAGTTCTTAAAAGTTAAAATAATAAAAATTAAAGTATCTAATATACACACATTGGAAAATGATTTGGCATTGTTTACACAGTTGAAGATGAATGTAACTTACAACTAAGTAATTGTACTCCAAAACATTCAAAATGTGTGTTTATTGAAAAAACACATAAAATGTAATACATTACTAATTGTAATACTAAAAAAAGAAAAATGAATGAACTGCATTATATACATAAATATAGATAGATCTAATTAAAACATCAAGAAGCAAATGCAAATTGTGTGAGAGTACATATAATATGATTTCAGTTTTATAAAACGCAGAAACATGTAGAACTTTATAAAGTACACTTTAGGATATATACACATTTGAAACTACAAAGAACAACAGTGATCAACGTAAAATTCAGGATAATGATTACTGTTTGGTGAGGGAGACAGGTATAGGATGAGGGAGGAGCACTTGGGATTTCTAAGAGACTTGTGACAATCTATTTCTTAAGCTGGATAGTGGGTTGTCTTCTTCACTGCAATGTTCCCAAATCCTAGCACAAGCATGACACATAGTAGGTGCTCAATAAATATTAGTGAAATGAGGGAAAAAAAGAACAAAACTGAACTCAGTTTTTTTCTATGAAACAATAGTTTGTTAGCAAGCTGTAGCACCTACCAAAACAATTAGAACATCTGGATAAAATACAAAAGAAAAAAGAAAAAAAAAACCCTATGGAGAGGCATAAGAAAGCTTATGTGAAGCCAAAATGGAGGGACCAAGATCCAAGGTAAAAAAAAAAAGGAGGTAAATAAAAGTCCTGTGTTCTGCATTTCTGTATTAAACCGAGTATTTCATGATATGAAGCACTGGGGGAAGACTGAGAATGCAGACAGATGTAAGCTGATAAGAAGAAGAGATGCCACCTAAGTTTTGGCACTCTCACAGGCATGAGAAGAAAAGAAAAAATCAAGTTTGGGGCTAGAAAAATAATCAGGAAGACAAAATCTCAGAGAGAAGGGAAGTACAGAAAAAAAAAAAAAAAAAAGCTAATCCTCAAAAAAATTTGTTGAATTCTTAATCTGCCCAGAGTGAAACTCTAAGAAACTAAGCAGAAGCTGAAGAGAAAAAGAAGTCTTTTGCCGTATCACAATGTTAAGGAGACTACTTCGGAATTTAGGACCCTGTATGGATAAAGGTCCTAGTAAACAATCCTGGCTTTCTCAATGACAGCCTCTGTAAGTTAAGAGTGAATAAAAACTAGTTTGAGCCTTTCATGGACTACTATCCATCACTGGGACAGCTCAAGCTTTGGTTGGGTTAAGGTGATATGTCTATATCAAGTTACTTATCAGAGATAGGTTAAAGCCTCTCTGGAAAAAGATAATGCATCCAGAACCACTGTAACAACACGATGCCTGACATTCAATCTCAAATTACACCACACAGAAGCCCAAAGATACAGGAGGGAATGAATAGCAATAGAAAGTAAATATGCGAGTAAATCTAAATTAATATTGATGATAGAAGATGGTAATAGTAATAATAATGTCTCATGGATTTAAGACGTATATTGAAATTAAATGCAATATAAAAGGCAGGTGGGGTTGGGCACAGTGGCTCATGCCTGTAATCCCAGCATTTTGATAGTCCAAGGCTAGAGGATCACTTGAGCTCTGGACTTTGAGACCAGCCTGGGCAACACGGTGAGACCCCATCTCAGAAAAATTTATTTTAAATCAGCAAGGTGTAGTAGTACATGTCTGTCGTTCCAGCTACTCGGGGCTGAAGTAGGAGGATCATTTGAACCTGGAAGTTTGAGGCTGCAGTGAGCTATGATTGTGCCACTGCACCCCAGCCTGGGTGACAAAGCAAAACCCTGTCTCAAAACAAAAATAAAAATAAAAATAAAGGCAGGTGGGAAGTAAATCCAGTTAAATGGTGCTGATATCTTACTTTTTATAAGAAAGGTAAAAGGAATAACTTACATCAGTCTTTAGTGAGCTAAGGATGCATGCTGAAATCCATAGAATAACTACTAAAAGTATTAAAAAATATTAATATAAGCAATATATATATATGCCTAACTGGCAAAGAGAAGGAAAAGTTAAATAATAAAAAAAGAAATACTGTATTAAAACCAAATAACATAAGAAAAGAGGAAAAAAGAGCATAGTGGGACAAATGGAAAAATATAAACTAAGATGGTATATACGAATAAAATAAGAAAGAAGGAAAGTAGGAAGGCAAGCAGTCTGTCAGGTTTCTAACAATGATTTAAAAAAAAAAACTTGCCTATCATTGTTATGTAGTTTTTCCAGTGTTGATTAGAAAGCAATTTCATTTGCATTTTAAGCCATTCAGTTTATATGAAATATGGTTACATTTATACAAAGGACAAAACAAGCACAATTAATAGATGCTCTTAGAAATCAGAATAGTTGTTACCTTTCTAAAGGGATAAGTTGGTGATTGAAAGAGCAAAATTGAATTTTGCTCGTATCATTCTCTGTTCCCATCTGAATGCTGGTTAGACAAGTTAAGTTTGTGCACTATTCTGCATTTATTTTGGACATCAATAAGAGTTTTAAAAAAATAACCAGGAACCACTATGAGATACTACTTCACACCTACTAGGATGGTTAAACAATAAAAGGCAAACAAGTGTTGGCAAGGATACAGAGAAACTGGAATGCTTATACATTGTGGTGGGATTGAAAATGGTGCAGTTATTTTGGAACAGTTTAGTAGTCACTGTAAATGTTAAACACAGAGTTACTATGTGATCCAGATTCCCCTCCTACATATATACCCAAGACAATTGAAAACATATGTCTACATAAAAATATGCACAAAAATTTTCATAGTAGCATTATTCATAATAGCCCCAAATGAAAGTAAGCCATATGTCCATCAGCTGACGAATGGATAAATAAAATGTTGTTTATCCATATAATGGAATATTATTCAGCAATAAAAAGGAATGTAGTACTAATACATGCTAAACATAAATAAATCTCAAAAAAGTACGCTAGGTGAAAGCAGTCAGTCACAAAAGACAACATATTATATGATTTCACTTATATAAAATGTCCAGAATAGGCAAATCCATCAAGACAGAAAGCAGAATAGTGATTGCCAAGTGTTGGCTGCTGGTGAGAATGAACCTAATGAGTACAGGGTTTCTGTCTGAAGTGACAAAAATGTTCTAAAATTAGTTAGTGATGATGGTTGCATGACTCTGTGAATATACTAAAATCACTGAATTCTACACTTTAGAAAGGTAAATTTTATAGTATGTGAATTACATTTTAATAGAGCTGTTTTCAAAAAAATAAGTAAATAAAAGAAGACATTTCCTTGAAAACTAAAAATATAATACAGACTGCAGAAACAAACATACATGATGGCATGCAGGTAACAGAGTTATTACATTTAAAAGTCTGGAATTAAACACAGAGAAACAAAAAAGTGGACAATACAGAAAAGAACATGGGAACAATAGAAAACATAGTAAAAATATCTAACATACCTATAATTGGAGAGCCAGAGGGGAGGTGAGAGAACTAATGAGGCAAAAAGAACCATTTTAAAAGATAGTGGCTAAAAATGCTCAAAGATACATTAAGCTTGTATTGAAGAGGCACTACAAACCCTAAACTGGATTAATACAAAGAAAATAACACCTACACATATCATAATAAAACTTCTTAAAATCAAAAACAAAGAAAAACTTTAGAGCTGGTAGTTTAAAAAATATACACATATAATTTTACATATATAATCATATGTATATATATGTTATATACATAAATCAAAGGAGCAACATAAAAATATATAGCTGACTCCTTAACACAAATAACAAAAATAAGGTGACAATAAATTAGGGACTGAAAGTGCAGAAAGAAAATAACTGCTAATTCAGGATGTATACACTATAAAAATATCCATCAACAGTAAAAGTTAAATAAAGATATTTTCAGAAATCTAGAATCTGAAATAACTTTTTAGCAGCAGACCAATACTGTCAGAAGTACTAAGAAGTGTTTATTAGGCAGAGAGAAAATGATCCCAGATAAAAGTTTGAAGCTGCAAAAGGGAATAAAAAGCAATGGAATGGATAAATATGTGGAGTAATCTAAATCAATATGTATGGTTTAAATCACTGACAATTACGTATAGTAAGGATACCCCTCAGAGAAGACTTGTGTAAAACACAAAATTGACAGTGGTGAGAAGAAATTACAGAAAGAATCAAAGAGGAAAGATAATTAGAAATCAATTTGTAAAACTGTATATACAAAGCCAAATACATCATTAACTGTATCAAACAAAAAAACCCTATAATTTAAAATGTTTTAAGATTGTTTAAGTATAAACTACTAAAAAGAAACACGCCTAAAAGCTATATATGTGTCTTTAATTGGAAAAAAATACACAAGAGACTTATGAAAATCAACTATATCTATAAACACTAACAATAAACAAGTGGAAACTAAAATGAAAATCACAATACCATTTATAATCATCCAAAATTAAAATCACAATATCAATTATAATCACCCAAAAGAAAATGAAATACTTAGGTATAAATCTAATAGTGTATGGCATCTGTATGCTGAAAATTACAAAATGCTGCTAAAGAAATCAAAGACCTATATAAATGAGGAGACATACTATGTTCATGGATTGGAAGATTCACTATAATAAAGATGTCAATTCTTCCCAAAGTAATGTATAGATTTAGTGCAATTCCTATCAAATCCCACTATATATTTTGTATACATAAGGAACCTTATTAACTTACATTAAAAATTGTAGCTCCTAGAATAACTAAAACAATTGCGACAAGGAAGAATTAAATGAGAGAAATCAATCTATTCAATATTATAACTCATTACAAAGCTACAGTAATTAAGACACTACGATATTAGCAAAGGAATAGGCAAAAGATTCAATTTTTAAAAATAGAAAACTTAGACTCATGAAAATATGCCCAACTAATTTTTGACAGATGCGCAAATACAATTAAGCGGAAAAAGGATCACTTTTTCAACAAATGGTACTGGAGCTATTTGATATTGATAGGCAAAAACAAAAAACAAAACAAAAGAAAACAAAAAACTGACCTAAAATTCACATCTTATGTGATACTATGTAAATACTAACTCAAAATGGATCATGGGCTAAAATTTAAAAGGTAAAACTATAAGAATTGTAGAAAAAAAAGAGAAAAACATTAGAAGTCAGACCTAGGTGGAACATTTTTAGACTTGACATCAGAAACACAATTCATAAAGAAAAAAATTAAAAATTGGACTTCATCAAAATTAAAATCTTTTGTTCTTCAAAATCCTGTGATGAAAACGAGAGGTATGGGTTGGGAGAAATGATGGCAAGCAACCTATCCAAAAAGAATCTAGAATATTTCCAAAACTCTTAAAATTGAAGGGTAAAAATACAAGCACTGCAATTAGAATATACGCAAAGGACATAAACATTCACAAAGAGGATATACTTATGAAAAATAAGTACATGAAAAGATGTTCATCATCATTCACAAGTAGGGAAATGTAAATTAAAACCACAAAGAGATATTATCACACATTTATGAAAAGGGCTAAAATAAAAGTGATCACACCAACTACTGGCAAGAATACAGAGAAACTAAATCTCTCAGATATTGATCATAGGGATGTAAAATGGTACAACCACTCTGAAAATGCTTTGGAAATTGCTTATAAAATCAAACTTGCACTTTCCATGTGACATAACAATTGCATTCTTAGGCATTTAAACCAGAAAAAAAGTTAACTTTGTTCACATAAAAACCTGTACATAAGTGTTTGGCTTTATTTTTAAGAGCCAAAACTGCAAAAAATCAAGCATGCTTCACTTGAATAAAGGTTAAACCAACATAGTACATCCATATTATGGAATACTACATAGTAATAAAAAAGGAACACACGATTGATACACACAACAACTTGGACAGATCTCATATGAATTATGCGGAGAAAACAGTCTCAAAAGGTTGCATATTACATGATTCCATTTAGACAACACTCTAAATTTAAAAATTTTAGAAGCAGAGAAGAAATTAATGGTTGTTAGGGATTCATAATGGAGGAAAGGAGGTGGGTATGGCAATTATGAATAGAAAGCTTCATAATGAAGTTCTGTATTGTAATTGTGGTAATGGTTATACAAACCTACATTTGTGATAAAATTGCATAGAAGTGCACACATGTACATAAATGCATATAACATTGATGAAATCTGAATAAGCTCTGTGGACTGTTACCAATGACAGTTTCCTAGTTTTGATATTATACCACAGTTACATATGATGTTACCATTGGGGAATACAGAGTGATGAATATAGAAAACCTCCCTCTATATCTTCTGCAACTTTCCATGAATTGATAATTATTATAAAAAAAACTACATATTATATATAAAATAACAAAAAGAAAGCCTGTATATTCATTTACAAAGAAGGATTTAAAGCAAATAAATCTAAGAAATAGAGTGGCATTTCACGACGACACATTTATGAGTAACAAAAATTCTAAATATATATGCACCAATAATATACATTTAAACTTAATAAGGAAAATTCTAACAGAAACCTAAAAAGAGTGAACCAATCCACAATTATAGTATGGGATTTAATACATTTTTTTGCAGTAATGGTAGAAAAATTACACAAAAAATCATTAAGTATGAAGATTTGAACAACCTAATCAAAAAATTTGACCTAAATGACATATCCATTACATTAAAAAGCACTGCATAAATGTCATTCTTTTCAAGTGTATAAATTGGATTTATAAAATTTGAATATACAGTGGACTAAAAGGGACTCTCCACAGATTTCAAAGTACTAAAACAATAGAGAGTATGTTCCCTGGCCACATTAGAAGTCATACAGAAATAAGTCACAAAAATATAACTAAAGAATCCTAGTATACTTGGAAACTAAGTAACATATTTACTTCTATATTACCTTGGGTCAAAAAACTCAAAAATCAAAAAGGAAATTGAAAACATTTTGAACCAAATGATAATGTAAATATGACACATAAAAAGCTGTTGAGTGCACCTAAATCTGTGCTTATAAGAAATTTATCGCCCTAAATTCATATACTACAAAGGAAGACTGAAAACAATATTGTATAAACCCAAAGAAGATACATAAATAAGAAAAAGAAATGTAAAGCAGACGGTAGATTTAAATCTCATCTATAGCAATAATTATTACAGACACATATTTGAAATACTTAAAACATTATTATTATCTTGTCATGGGGGTTTGTTGTACAAATTATTTGGCCACCCAGGTACTAAGCCTAGTACCGAACAGTTTTTTTTTCTCTGATCCTCTCCATCTTCCCGCTCTCCACCTTCCAGTGGGCCCCAGTGTCTGTTGCTTCCCAATTTGTGTCCATGTGTTATCATTCAGCTCCCACTTATAAACGACAATATGCAGTATTTTGTTCCTGTGTTATTTTGCTAGGGATAATGGCCTCCAGCTCCATCCATGCTGCTACAGAGGACAGGATCTCCTATTTTATGGCTGCACAGTATTCCACAGCACATATGCACCACATTTTCTTTATCCAATCTGCCGTTGATGGGCATTTAGGTTGATTCCATGCCTTTGCTATCATGAATAGTGCTGCAATGAACATAGGCATGCATGTGTTTTTATGACAGACAATTTATATTCCTTTGGGTATATACCGAGTAATAAGATTGCTGAGTCAAATGACAGTTCTGTTTTTAGGTCTTTTTTTCTTTGTATTAATTTCCATTTTATTTATTTATTTATTTTATTATTATTAAAGTTTTAGGGTACATGTGCACAATGTGCAGGTTAGTTACATATGTATACCTGTTCCATGCTTGTTTGCTGCACCCACTAACTCGTCATCTAGCATTAGGTATATCTCCCAGTGCTATCCCTCCCCCCTCCCCCCACCCCACAACAGTCCCCAGAGTGTGATGTTCTCCTTCCTGTGTCCATGTGTTCTCATTGTTCAATTCCCACCTATGACTGAGAATATGCGGTGTTTGGTTTTTTGTTCTTGCGATAGTTTACTGAGAATGGTGATTTCCAATTTCGTCCATGTCCCTACAAAGGACATGAACTCATCATTTTTTATGGCTGCATAGTATTCCATGGTGTATATGTGCCACATTTTCTTAATCCAGTCTATCATTGTTGGACATTTGGGTTGGTTCCAAGTCTTTGTTATTGTGAATAATGCCGCAATAAACATATGTGTGCATGTGTCTTTATAGCAGCATGATTTACAGCCCTTTGGGTATATACCCAGTAATGGGATGGCTGGGTCAAATGGTATTTCTAGTTCTAGATCCCTGAGGAATCACCACACTGACTTCCACAATGGTTGAACCAGTTTATAGTCCCACCAACAGTGTAAAAGTGTTCCTATTTCTCCACATCCTCTCCAGCACCTGTTGTTTCCTGACTTTTTAATGATTGCCATTCTAACCAGTATGAGATGGTATCTCATTGTGGTTTTGATTTGCATTTCTCTGATGGCCAGTGATGATGAGCATTTTTTTCATGTGTTTTTTGGCTGCATAAATGTCTTCTTTTGAGAAGTGTCTGTTCATGTCCTTCGCCCACTTTTTGACGGGGTTGTTTGTTTTTGTCTTGTAAATTTATTTGAGTTCATTGCAGATTCTGGATATTAGCCCTTTGTCAGATGAGTAGGTTGCGAAAATTTTCTCCCATTTAGTAGGTTGCCTGTTCACTCTGATGGTAGTTTCTTTTGCTGTGCAGAAGCTCTTTAGTTTAATTAGATCCCATTTGTCAATTTTGGCTTTTGTTGCCATTGCTTTTGGTGTTTTAGACATGAAGTCTTTGCCCTTGCCTATGTCCTGAATGGTAATGCCTAGGTTTTCTTCTAGGGTTTTTATGGTTTTAGGTCTAACGTTTAAGTCTTTAATCCATCTTGAATTGATTTTTGTATAAGGTGTAAGGAAGGGATCCAGTTTCAGCTTTCTCCATATGGCTAGCCAGTTTTCCCAGCGCCATTTATTAAATAGGGAATCCTTTCCCCATTGCTTGTTTTTCTCAGGTTTGTCAAAGATCAGATAGTTGTAGATATGTGGCATTATTTCTGAGGGCTCTGTTCTGTTCCATTGATTTATATCTCTGTTTTGGTACCAGTACCATGCTGTTTTGGTTACTGTAGCCTTATAGTATAGTTTGAAGTCAGGTAGCATGATGCCTCCAGCTTTGTTCTTTTGGCTTAGGATTGACATGGCGATGCGGGCTCTTTAGATTTTGTCACCACCAGGCCTGCCCTAAAAGACCTCCTGAAGGAAGCGCTAAACATGGAAAGGAACAACTGGTACCAGCCACTGCAAAATCATTCCAACATGTAAAGACCATCGAGACTAGGAAGAAACTGCATCAACTAATGAGCAAAATAACCAGCTAACATCATAATGACAGGATCAAATTCACACATAACAATATTAACTTTAAATGTAAATGGACTAAGTGCTCCAATTAAAAGACACAGACTGGCAAATTGGATAAAGAGTCAAGACCCATCAGTGTGCTATATTCAGGAAACCCATCTCACATGCAGAGACACACATAGGCTCAAAATAAAAGGATGGAGGAAGATCTACCAAGCCAATGGAAAACAAAAAAAGGCAGGGGTTGCAATCCTAGTCTCTGATAAAACAGACTTTAAACCAGCAAAGATCAAAAGAGACAAAGAAGACCATTACTTAATGGTAAAGGGATCAATTCAACAAGAAGAGCTAACTATCCTTAATATATATGTACCCAATACAGGAGCATCCAGATTCATAAAGCAAGTCCTGAGTGACCTACAAAGAGACTTAGACTCCCACACAATAACAATGGGAGACTTTAACACCCCACTGTCAAAATTAGACAGATCAACGAGACAGAAAGTTAACAAGGATACCCAGGAACTGAACTCAGCTCTGCATCAAGCGGACCTAATAGACATCTACAGAACTCTCCACCCCAAATCAACAGAATATACATTTTTTTCAGCACCACACCACACCTATTCCAAAATTGACCACATACTTGGAAGTAAAGCTCTCCTCAGCAAATGTAAAAGAACAGAAATTATAACAAACTGTCTCTCAGACCACAGTGCAATCAAACTAGAACTCAAGATTAAGAAACTCACTCAAAACCACTCAACTACATGGAAACTGAACAACCTGATCCTGAATGACTACTGGGTACATAAAGAAATGAAGGCAGAAATAAAGATGTTCTTTGAAACCAACGAGAACAAAGACACAACATACCAGGATCTCTGGGACGCATTCAAAGCAGTGTGTAGAGGGAAATTTATAGCACTAAATGCCCACAAGAGAAAGCAGGAAAGATCCATAATTGACACCCTAACATCACAATTAAAAGAACTAGAAAAGCAAGAGCAAACACATTCAAAAGCTAGCAGAAGGCAAGAAATAACTAAAATCAGAGCAGAACTGAAGGAAATAGAGACACAAAAAACCCTTCAAAAAATTAACGAATCCAGGAGCTGGTTTTTTGAAAAGATCAACAAAATTGATAGACCGCTAGCAAGACTAATAAAGAAAAAAAGAGAGAAGAATCAAATAGATGCAATAAAAAATGATAAAGGGGATATCACCACCGATCCCACAGAAATACAAACTACCATCAGAGAATACTACAAACACCTCTACGCAAATAAACTAGAAAAGCTAGAAGAAATGGATAAATTCCTTGACACATACACTCTCCCAAGACTAAACCAGGAAGAAGTTGAATCCTGAATAGACCAATAACAGGAGCTGAAATTGTAGCAATAATCAATAGCTTACCAACCAAAAAGAGTCCAGGACCAGATGGATTCACAGCCGAATTCTACCAGAGGTATAAGGAGGAACTGGTACCATTCCTTCTGAAACTATTCCAATCAACAGAAAAAGAGGGAATCCTCCCTAACTCATTTTATGAGGCCAGCATCATCCTGACAGCAAAGCTGGGCAGAGACACAACCAAAAAAGAGAATTTTAGACCAATATCCTTGATGAACATCGATGCAAAAATCCTCAATAAAATACTGGCAAACCGAATCCAGCAGCACATCAAAAAGCTTATCCACCATGATCAAGTGGGCTTCATCCCTGGGATGCAAGGCTGGTTCAATATACGCAAATCAATAAATGTAATCCAGCATATAAACAGAGCCAAAGACAAAAACCACATGATTATCTCAATAGATGCAGAAAAAGCCTTTGACAAAATTCAACAACCCTTCATGCTAAAAACTCTCAATAAATTAGCTATTGATGGGATGTATCTCAAAATAATAAGAGCTATCTATGACAAACCCACAGCCAATATCATACTGAATGGGCAAAAACTGGAAGCATTCCCTTTGAAAACTGGCACAAGACAGGGATGCCCTCTCTCACCACTCCTAGTCAACATAGTGTTGGAAGTTCTGGCCAGGGCAATTAGGCAGGAGAAGGAAATAAAGGGTATTCAATTAGGAAAAGAGGAAGACAAATTGTCCCTGTTTGCAGATGACATGATTGTATATCTAGAAAACCCCATTGTCTCAGCCCAAAATCTCAAGCTGATAAGCAACTTCAGCAAAGTCTCAGGATACAAAATCAATGTACGAAAATCACAAGCATTCCTATACACCAATAACAGACAAACAGAGAGCCAAATCATGAGTGAACTCCCATTCCCAATTGCTTCAAAGAGAATAAAATACCTAGGAATCCAACTTACAAGGGATGTGAAGGACCTCTTCAAGGAGAACTACAAACCACTGCTCAAGGAAATAAAAGAGGATACAAACAAATGGAAGAACATTCCATGCTCATGGGTAGGAAGAATCAATATGAAAATGGCCATACTGCCCAAGGTAATTTACAGATTCAATGCCATCCCCATCAAGCTACCAATGACTTTCTTCACAGAATTGTTTTTAGGTCTTTAAAGAATCACCACACTGCTTTCCACAATGGCCGAACAAATTTACACTCCCACCAACAGAGTATAAGCAGTCCTTTTTCTCTGCAACCTCACCAGTATCTGTTATTTTTTGACTTTTAATAATAGCCATTCTTACTGGTTCAGATGGTATCTCACTGTGGTTTTGATTTGCATTTCTGCAATTATCAGTGATATTGAGATTTTTTCCATATGATCATTGGCCATATGTATGTCTTCTTTTGAAAAGTGTTTATTCATGTCTTTGGCCCACTTTTTAATGAGGTTATTTGCTTTTTTCTTACAAATTTCTCATAGATGCTAGATATAAGATCTTTGTCAAATGCATAATTTGCAAATATTTTCTCCCATTCTGTAGGTTGTCTGTTTACTCTAAAAAAAAATACTGTCTTACTGGGGATACATCAGAAGTAGATCCTGAAACAAGGATTAAAATACCAGTAGTTTATTTAGGAGGTAACTCCACAAAACTGGAGAAGGGAAGTAAGGCAGAAAGGAAAAGGAAGGCAGGATCAAATAGACAGTACTTCATCCAGAGAGCTGCCATTCTGGCAGGTGGGGCTAATTCCTCTAGGGAATTCTAAAAGTCAGCTTAAAAGATGAACTTCAGAGACACCACATCTGAGTAAGGTTGAAAGCTATTCTCAAAAATATTAATTCTCTGGCACTTGAAGTTTCCATGATCCAGGCAACAGGGGCAGCCCTCAGGCAATTGGAAATCCAGCCTGTTTATTACAATCACTGAAAAATCTGACAGTATATGTATGGGGCATTGGCATATATCCAAAGAGCATTCCCTGCAAACATATACAGAAGAGAGTTTGTGCAACTATATTAATATCAAACAAAGTAGATCTTAAGGCAAAAACCATTACCAGAGTTTAAAAGGGACATCTGAAGAAATGAAAATGCCAATCCAGCAGGAAGGTGTCACAACCCAAATTGTTCTGTATCTAAATATGTGACTTTGAAATATATAAGGTGATAAATGAAGAGGTCAGAGACAAACAAAAACCCCACCTTACTGAGATAAATTAAAGAAAATATGAATGGAAGGATATTCTCATGTTTATGGGTTGAAAGACTATTATCAAGATTTCCATTTGTCAGAATTCATCTATGGCTATAATAACTTCCAAATTGACAAACTAAGCCCAAATTTTGTATAGAAATGTGTATATAAATGCAAATGGCCAAGAAGAGCCAAAACGAAATCTTGAAAAAGAACAAAGGAAAACTGGGGGGCTTATTGTATAAGTTATCGAAACTTTTTGTAAGGCAACAGTAATTATAATAATGTAGTATTGACATAAGTCAAGAAAAATTGCACAATGATTCAGAATAGAGTCTAGAGAAAAAAAAATCCATGTACCCAAGGAGTGATGATGTATGACACAGGTAGTAGGAAAAAAACATAGTCTTTTCAGTATATGATGCTAGGTCCCTTGGGTAGCCCTATGTAGAAATATAAAATTTTCCCCTACTTCCCAGCACATATAAAAATAAATTCTGGTTTTGATTATAGATGAAATATGGAGTAGAAAGCAATTAAGTTTCTAACATATAACAAAGAAGAAAAACTTCATGATTTGGGGTATTATTAAATATAAAGAAATACATTAAAATTAAAAACTTTTGATCAATAGACAATTTATAAAGTAAAATGTCAAGCTATAGAACAGGAAAAAGTATCTCAAATTAAACAAGGTCTATAGCTACAATATAAAAGAACTCTTCCGTCTGAATAAGAAAAAGATAGACATGCCAATGTGAAATGGAGCAAAAGTCTTAAACAGAACATTACAATGGTTAATAAACATATAGAAAGGTTTCAACCTCATAATCATCAAAAAAAATTTAATCAATACACAATCTAAAAGTGTCAAATTCACAGAAGCAGAGAGTAGAATGGTGATTACCAGTGGCCAGGGGCAAGGACAGGGTGAATTGGAGAGATTCTGGTCAAAGAATACAAAATTTCAGCTAGACAGGAGGAATAAGTTCAGGAGATCCATTGTACTACATGGTGTTAACACACATCATTAATTAACTAAGTATTGTATATTTGAAAATTGCTGAGAGTAGATTTTATATGTTCTCATCACAAAAATGATATATACGTGAGGTAATTAATATTTTAGTTAGCTTGATTCAGTCATTCCACAATGTGTGCACAGATCAAAATACCATGTTGTAAACCATAAATACATATAATTTTTATTTGTTAAAGTTTAAAAACTAAAAGAACCAGTGCTCAGTCATCAAAATGGACAAAACTCAAACTGACAAAGTTTTAGTGAGAATAGAAACCTCACAAAGAGCTGGTGAATGTATAAATTGATGTAATCTGGATATAGGTTTGGAATTATCTATTAAATTTGAAAATAACACATCCTATTATCCAACTATTTGAATCCTAGGTATGTACCCAACTGAAAGATAGGTGGATATGCCCCAATATAAATGCAAAAATAAATGGACTATTTGTAACAGTCCCAAATTACCAAAAAAACAAAAACAAAAACAAAAACAAAAGTTTGTCTACAGTAGAATGAAGAAATAAATTGTGCTATATTAAAATAATAACATACTATACAACAATAAAAGTAAATATATTAGTGTTATATACAAGATGGATGTATCTTTTAATCACTCAATGTTGAACAAAATAAGTCATATATGCTAAATTATATAATACTATTTATGTAAGGTTTTTAAAAAGAAAACTGTAATATACAGTGTTAAAAACCAGAATGTCTGTTAATTTGGGGAAACAGTGAGGAGGATGTGATTGGGTAGGGGACATAAGGAGGCCTTCTGGAGTTTTGGAATGTTTTCTCTCGAAGTACGTTCTCTTTGTGACAATTCATTGTGCTGTATACTTATTATGTGCTTTTATGAAACATTTATATGTCAATAAAAACATAAAATTTACACTAAGCCATACTATCCCTCCAAAGGATCTTTTAGTTCCTTTCTCCTTCACCTGTCAAAGAAATTGTATTTTTTATTATGACTTATTTGATAGAATCAGAATATTTTGTCTACTCCATTCTTCCTGATAGATATAGGATCTATGTAATGATACTGAAGGAAGAAGCCTCTGGATATTAAAAGTGATTATATAAGAATTATGCAAAACTCAGAATGTGTTTGCATGCACCAAATACTTGGCTGCTTCTCAAGTATTGAGAATCCGAATATACATATGCATTTCCCCAGTGAAATTTTGCAGGGTTTTTCAATACTAATTAGCAAATCAAGTACAGAATAAAGGGCATAGGGCTAAATCAAAAGGCAGGAACTAGACTGCCTACTAAACGCTAAATCAAAACTAAATGCTGTATTCCCAAATGACACTGAGCTTTTATTATGGGGAGAAAATTAAATATTGTTTAAATGGGGAGAAAATTAAATATTGTTTATCACTCACAAAGAAAATTATTTTAATTGATGTAATTGCTATCTTTTCATCTGCAAACATGAAAAATTTTTAACAATTTATCTTGTTATTCCAGAAAGATTTACAGGATGTATATATGTCCTTAGTTAACTATTAAACTACCAAAATAATGTTTTCCAAAATAGGAAAAAATTTTAAATAAATATTTAACATACAAAAATGTTTTCAAGTACTTTAGGAAAACATAGTTTTACATAGACAGTTGAAATGTTGATTATTTCTGTATTTATTCTTTATTATTAAAGCAAGCCCTTCTAAATGCTCTCTATGGCATAACTCATTCAAAGTGTGCGGACACACTCTTTCAAGTAATCGAAATTTAGTATGCTTTGCCTTGTCTGCTACTCTAAATCTAATTCTAACCACCAAAACAAACACATTTGACCGGAAATATAAATTTTAAAGAAAGTAGCTATATCTTCTTAGCATTCCTAATATCTGTCAATGGGAAGGCCAACTATAATTGACAGCTCTCCTAGACTTTAATAAGACAGATTTTTAAATGCAGAAGAGAAAAATTATTCAATAAAATATACATAAAATTCAGACAGGAAAGGTATTCAGGAACACTGAGAAACTCTTAAAAGTACCATTCTGAATACAGAATCAGAAATAATATCCTTTGAAGGAACATCAGGAGTAATCAGCATTAGCATTAAAGAGTCAAAAATGTTTAAGTACCCTCATTTCCTTTGTGAGATCGTCTGTTGCAATGGCGAATCAGGGATATACATAGAAGGCATATGTGTGTACTTCAAATCATTATTCACGGATTGTTTAAAATTTTTCAAATTTATGGAGAAATGGAAAAAAGATTTGAGGATACTGTTGAATGATTAACAAACGGTTCTGATTAATAGGGGGAGATTTCTGGCAGTGTATTCTAAGGCCCCTGGTCATGACATTCTTTAATGTGTTTAACAAGGATTTGGATGAATCATTGAGAAGACGATGCTGGTGAATTTGTGGTTAAGAACATGGACTTTGGAGTAAGATATGCTTTAATTAAAGTCCCAGCTATATTAATAGCAATGGAACCCTGGGCAAATTACTTATATATCTTTAAATATTATTTTCCTTACTGATAAAATGTGAAGAATAATACTTCTTATTCCATAGAACTGATTATTTCATTATACAACTACATATATGGTGCTTATTATACGCTAGGCATTATTTTAAGCACTTTACAAATATTAATTCATGTAATTCTCAAGCAACTCAGTGAGTAGATGCGATTAATTATAATTATCCTCATTTTGTAGAAGAGAAGACAAGGGTAGAGTGCTTAAGTAACTTTGTCACCATACCAGACCAATCTAGTTCAACTTTTATGTAATAAAGTTGTCAGTCATTTTTCAGTTGCCATGGACCCTGAGGGTCATGTAACCTGAGCATGCTTAGATGAACCAAGCATGCAACCACAGGGGGAACCTAAGTGCTTGAACTGAGGATCAGGGACAGCATTAAGAAGCAGGCACCACATAGCAGGATCCAGGATTCAACCAGATTGAGCTCTGGCATCACCCCATGAAAGGATCCAGTCAGATCATGTCCCCAGGGATCACCTCATTGTAAGATCTAATCAGATCACATCTCATTACTCTATGATTATAAAATCTTTCCCAGCCACCAGCTCAAGGAGAGAGATTTGAGCATTTCCTCCTGCCTCCTTGCCAAATGACTTGCAACAAAGCTTTTCTTTTCTCAAAAGCCAGTGCCATGGTATTGGCCTCTGTGCACACTGGGTAGTGAGGCCATGGATGGGTCAGTAACAATTCATCTTAGGTCACACATCTAACAAGTGGCAGAGTGTGGTTTAATCAACAGAATGCTTAGTCATATGAATTAAATATTAACATTCATCATTATCATCATCATTGGAATGATAATGAATATACTCCATGATAAAAACAGAATCTGAAAAGACATCAATCAGCTAGTGATAACAAAATACAATTTGACATAAAAATATGGGATGCTGTGATTGGATCTATAAAAACCAGCCACATCACTGCAAAGTTATGGTATGGCTGCCAAACAAATGCTAAAACAACCTTTGGTTGCATTAATTATAATAAAGTAATCTAGAATAAATAATCAATCACAGATTGATTCTTGATATCAATTTTCAGAACCTGCTTAAAGAGACTACAATCAAATGGAAGAGGTAGCAGAAAAAAATGATGTAAAAAAACATGATTCAACCATATATTGTGAACAAGAGACACCTTAGGTGAAAGCAAAAGGACAGAAAGAGATATACCATAAAATCAGTAAACAAAAGAGAATTTGTGTGGTTATATTAATATTAAAAAATATATAAAAAGCAGTTATTAGAGACAAGGAAAGTCAATTAACAAGGATGAGGTCGATCTGTTAGAACTAATAAATGAATTCAGTAAAGTTACAAAATATAAATCAACACACAGAAATCAGTTACATTTCTATACACTAACACTGAGCATTTTAAAAGTTAAGAAAATTCTATATACTAGCATGAAAAAGAGTTGAGATAGTTAGGAATAAACCTAATCAAGGAAGTTAAAGATTTGTACACTGAAAACTACAAAACTTTGCTGAAAGAAATTAAAGAAGATACAGATAAATGAAAACCATCCCATGTTCATGGATTGAAAAATTAACATTATGAAGATGTACATACTACACAAAACAATCTTGTATTCAACACAATTCCTATCTAAAGCTCAACATTTTTTGCAGACATAGGGAAGTTCATCTTAAAATTCATATAGAATATCAAGGGAGCCCAAATAGCCAAGAAAATATTGAAGAAAAAAAAATTTAGAGAATTCATACTTCCTGATTTCAAAACAAATTATAAAACCACCATAATAAAACCAGTGTAGTACTGACATAAAGACAGACATGTAAGCCAATGGAATAGGATGAGAGCCCAGAAATAAACCCTCATGTAATGATGAAATGATCTTCCACAAGAATGCCAAGACCACAACATGGAGGAAGGACACCTTTTACAACAAATAATGCTGAAATAATCTGGATATCCAAATGCAAAATAGTGAAGCTGGATCCTTATGCCATATATATTAACTCAAAATAATTAAAGATCTAAAGCCACGAAACTTCTAAAAGAAAACATACAGGAAATATTTCAGGATATTCTCAGGACTTGAGAATAATTTCTTTAACAGGAAACCAAAAGCTCAGACAACACAACCAAAAATAAACAAATGAGACTAAATCAAGCTTAAAAAGTTTTGTGCACTGAAGGACACAACAGAGTGACAAGGCAACCTGTGTAATGGGACAAAATATTTGCAAATCATATATATGAAAAAGGGTTAATATCCAAAATTATATAATACATAAAGAAGTCCTACAATTATACAATATATAAAGAAGTCCTATAACTCAACAACGAAGTATCAAATAATCAAAGTTAAAAAATATGCAAAGGATTTGAATAGCCATTTCTCCAAAGATGACATACAATTGGCTAAGAAGTATCCAAAGAGATGCTTGCTTAATGGAACTAATCATCAGGGAAATGCAAATCAAAACCACAATGAGATGTAACCTCACATCCATTAGTATAGCTACTATCAAAAGAACAGAAAATAACAAATGTTTGTGAGAATGTGGAAAAATTGGTACCCTTGTGCATTGTTGGTAGGAATTTTAAATGGTGCCGGCACTATGGGAAACAGTAAGAAGGTTCCTCAAAAACTCAAAAATATAATTACCATATGATCCTGCAATTCTACTTCTGAGTATGTATCCAAAATAATTGAAAGCAGGATCTCTGAGAGATATTTGCAAACCCATGTTCATAGTGGCACTATATACAATACCAAGGGGTGTTAAGTAACCCAAACACCCATCAACAAATGAAACAATAAGCAAAATGTGGTATATAGAAACAATAAAATATTATTCAGACTTAAAAAAGAAGGAAATCCCATCATATGCCACAACATAGTTGAACATTGAGGACATTATGCTATGTGAAATAAGACACTCACAAAAAGCCAAATACCATATGATTCTATTTATTTGTGGTACCTAAAGTAGATAAATTAATGGAAACAGAAAGTAGTAGAATGGTTATTACCAGCGGCAAGGAGAAAGGGGAAAAAGAGAGTTGTTGTTGAATGGGTATAGAGTTTCAAATCTGCAAGATGAAAATGTTCTGAAGATCTGTTTCACAACAATGTGAATATAATTAACGCACTTACAAGGGATGTGAAGGATCTCTTCAAGGAGACCTACAAACTACTGCTCAACGAAATAAGAGAGGACACAAACAAATGAAAAAAGCTTCCATGCTCATGGATAGGAAGAATCAATATCATGAAAATGGCCACACTGCCCAAAGTAATTTATAGATACAATGCTATCCCTATCAAGCTACCAATGACTTTCTTTGCAGAATTAGAAAAAAACTACTTTAAATTTCATATGGCAACAAAAAAAGAGCCCATATAGCCAAGACAATCCTGAGCAAAAAGAACAAAGCTGGAAGCATCACGCTACCTGACTTCAAACAATACTACAAGGCTACAATAATGAAAACTGCGTGGTACTGGTACCAAAACAGCCAAAACAGATATATAGACCAATGGAACAGAACAGAGGCTTCAGAAATAATGCCACACATCTACAACCACCTGATCTTTGACAAACCCGACAAAAACAAGCAATGGGGAAAGGATTCCCTATTTAATAAATGGTGTTGGGAAAACTGGCTAGCCATATGCAGAAAACTGAAACTGGACACCTTCCTTACACCTTATACAAAAAATAACTCAAGATGGATTAAAGACTTAAACATAAGACCTAAAGCCATAAAAACCCTAGAAGAAAACCTAGGCAATACCATTCAGGACATAGGCATGGGCAAAGGCTTCATGACTAAAACACCAAAAGCAATGGCAACAAAAGCCAAAATTGACAAATGGGATCTAATTAAACTAAAGAACTGCACAGCAAAAGAAACTATCATCAGAGTAAACAGGCAACCTACAGAATGGGAGAAAATTTTTACAATCTATCCATCTGACAAAGGGCTAATATCCAGAATCTACAAAGAACTTAAACAAACTTATAAGAAAACAACCTCATCAAAAAGTAGGTGAAGGATATGAACAGACACTTCTTAAAAGAAGACATTTATGCAGCCAACAAACATGAAAAAAATCTCCTCATTGCTGGTCATTAGAGAAATGCAAATCAAAACCACCATGAGATACCATCTCATGCCAGTTAGAATGGCAATCATTAAAAAGTCAGGAAACAACAGATGCTGGAAAGGATGTGGAGAAATAGGAATTCTTTTACACTGTTGGTGGGAGTGTAAATTAGTTAAACCATTGTGAAAGACAGTGTGGTGATTCCTCAAGAATTTAGAACCAGAAATACCATTTGACCCAGCCATCCCATTACTGGGTATATACCCAAAGGATTATAATAAATCATTTTACTATAAAGACACATGTACACATATGTTTATTGCAGCACTATTCACAATAGCAAAGACTTGGAACCAACCAAAATGCCCATCAATGATAGACTGGATAAAGAAAACGTGGCACGTATATACCACGAAATACTGTGCGGCCATAAAAAAGGATGAGTTTATGCCCTTTGCAGGGAAATGAATGAAGCTGGAAACCATCATTCTCAGCAAACTGACACAGGAAGAGAAAAACCACCACCACATATTCTCACTCGTAAGTGGGAGTTGAACAATGAGAACACATGGACACAGGGAGGGGAACATCATATACTCAGGCCTGTCAGGGGTTGGGGGGCTAAGGGAGGGATAGCATTAGGAGAAATACCTAATGTAGAAGATGGGTGGAGGGGTGCAGAAAACTACCATGGCATGTGTATACCTATGTAACAAACCTGCACATTCTGCACATGTATCTCAGAACTTAAAGTATAAAAAATATTGTTAAGAAGGTAACTTTCATGTAATGTATTTTTACTATAAATATATATGTGTGTGTATGTGTCACAAAATGGTCAATCAATCCCTCAAGAAGGCGTAACAATATTAACATGTATGTACTTAAAAACAAAGCCCCAGAAGTCGTAAAATAAAAATGACAAAATTGCAGAGAAATAAAAATTTATCAATGATAACAAGAGGCTTCAAGACTCCCCTCTCAATAATGGATAGAATAAGTAGACAGAAGATCAACAAAAAAAAACAGAATACTTGACCATTACAAACCAACCAGATTTAGCAGATACCTAGAAAAAACTTAATTCAACAATAGCAGAACACATATTCTTCTTAAGTACACATGGAACATTCTTCAGTATAGCCATAATTTATGCCATAAAACAAGTCTCAAACAATTAAAAAGAATTAAAGTTATGTAAGTATATTCTCTGACTAAAATGGAATGAAATTAGAAATAAATTTCTAATTCCAGAAAAATCTGGGAGTTCACAAACGTGGAAATAAACAACATACTTGTATTAGTCTGTTTTCATGCTGCTGATAAAGACATACCTGAGACTGGGCAATTTACAACAGAAAGATGTTTACTGGACTTACAGTTCCACATGGCTAGGGAGACCTCACAATCATGGTGGAAGGCAAGGAGGAGCAAGTCACATCTTACATGGATGGCTGCAGGTAAAAAGAGCTTGTGCAGAGAAACTCCCATTTTTAAAAAGCATCAGATCTCATGAGACATATTCACCTACACATGAACAGCACAGGAAAGACCTGCCCCCATGATTCAATCATCTCCCACTGGGTCCCTTCCACAACACATGGGAATTATGGGAGCTACAAAATGAGACTTGGGTGGGGACACATAGCCAAACCATATCATTTCACCCCAGCCTCTCCCAAATCTCATATATTCACATTTCAAAACCAATCATTCCTTCCCAACAGTCCCCCAAAGTCTCAAATCATTTTCAGCATTAACTCCAAAGTCCACAGTCCAAAGTCTCATCCAAAACAAGGCAAGTCCCTTCCACCTATGAGCCTGTGAAATCACAAGCAAGTTAGTTACTTGCTTGATACAATGGGGGTACAGGCATTGGGTAAATAAAGCTATAGTAAATGGGAGACATTGGGAAAAACAAAGGGGCTACAGGCCCCATGCCAGTCTGAAATGCAGCAGGACAGTCAAATCTTAAAGTTCCATAATGATCTCCTTTGACTCCATGTCTCACATGCAGGTCATGTTGATGCAAGAGCTGGTTTCCCATGGTCTTCAGAAGCTCCACCCCTATGGTTTTGCAGGGTATAGCCTCCCTCCCAGCTGCTTTCACAGGCTGCTGTTGAGTGTCTGCAGCTTTTCCAGGCACATAGTACAAGCTCTCAGTGAATCTACCATTCTGGTATCTGGACTATGGTGGCCCTCTTCTCAAAGCTCCTCTAGGCAGTGCCCCAGTAGGGACTGTGGGAGCTCTGACCCCACATTTCCCTTTCACACTGTCCTAGCAGAGGTTCTCCTTGAAGTCCCCGCCCCTGTAGCAAACTTCTGCCTGGACATCCAGGCATTTCCATACATCCTCTGAAATCTAGGCAGAGGTTCCCAAACCTCAATTCTTGAATTCTGTGCAACCACAGTCTCAACACCACGTAGAAACTGCCAAGGCTTGGGGCTTGCACTCTCTGAAGCCACAGCCTGAGCTGTACCTTGGCCCATTTTGGTCATGACTGGAGCAGCTGGGATAAAGGGCACCAAGTCCCTAGACTGTACAAAGCATTGGGGACCTTGGGCCTGGCCCATGGAACCATTTATTCCTCCTAGGCCTCCGGGCCTGTAATGGGAAAGGCTGCCATGAAGACCTCTGACATGCCCTGGAGATATTGTGCCCATCGTCTTGGGGATTAACATTTGGCTCCTCATTACTTATGCAAATTTCTACAGCCAGCTGGAATTTCTCCTCAGAAAATGGATTTTCTTTTGTATTACTTTGTCAGGCTGCAAATTTTCAAAACTTTTATGATCTTCTCCCCTTATAAAAGTGAATGCTTTTAACAGACTCAAGTCACCTGTTGAATGCCTGGCTGCTTAGAAATTTCTTCTGCCAGATACCCTAAATCATCTCTCTCAGGTTCAAAGTTCCACAAATCTCTAGGGCAGGGGCAAAATGCCACCAGCCTCTTTGCTAAAACATAACAAGCATCACCTTTGCTCCAGTTCCCAACAAGTTCCTCATCTCCATTTGAGACCACTTCAGCCCGGACCTTATTGTTCATATCATTATTAGCATTTTGGTCAAAGCCAATCAACAAGTCTCTAGGGAATTCCAAACTCTCCCACATTTTCCTGTCTTCTTCTGAGCTCTCCAAACTGATCCAAACTCTGCCTGTTACCCAATTCCAAAGTCATTTCCACATTTTCAGGTATTTTAATAGTAGCACCCCATTCCTGGTACCAATTTACCATATAATTCCATGTTCATGCTGCTGATTAAGATGTACCAGAGACTGGACAGTTTACAAAAGAAAGAGGTTTATTGGACTTACAGTTTCACATGGCTGCGGAGGCCTCACAATCATGGCAGAAGGCAAGGATGAGCAAGTCACATCTTATGTGCACAGCAGCATGCAAAAGGAGCTTGTGTAGGGAAACTCCCATTTTTAAAAACTATCAAATCTTGTAAGACCCATTTACTATCACATGAACAGCATGGGAAAAGCTCTCCCCCATGATTCAATCATCTCCCACCTGGTCCCTCCCACAACAAGTGGAAATTATGGGAGCTACAAGATGAGATTTGGGTGGGGACACAGAGCAAAACCATATCAATACTCTTAAACAACCAATAAGTCAACAAAAAAAAGTCGCAAAGGGAGGACTTCAGATTCCAAAATGGCAGTGTAGAAACAAGCTAGCTTCACTCCCCAATGCCCCCCAACAATCAAAAACAAATATACAGCACTGAGGTTATTATCAGCAATACCCCAGAACTCAAATATGTGGATAGGCAGGTTCCTGGGCCACATAGAAGTGAAAAAACTCTGAGTACATGGTAAGAAAATCATTTCCATATCCATGATGCCCCTCTCCCCACTCTGCCTGGCACCAAATGTCAAGAAAATTTTCCCCTGATTTGTAGTTTCTACACTGGAAAAAAATAGATTGAGGTAGACAATCAGCTTTCCCACTATCTTCTGTTCCTTAGCAGGAGACCTGTCTCTGCCTCAACTCATGAGAAGCATTGGGAGTTCCTGAGGAAGAGACATCACTGAAGACAGCTGGAGAGAAAGTGGGGAGGTGAAACCACCATACCCAGCCCTGGATATTCTGCTCTGTAACTTGGCCAAAGGAGATACTAAATCAGAGTGGCTGTTCTGCATTTCCACACTATTGGAGGTTTGTTCTTTAGGTTCCCTGGGCACAAACCCATAGCCAGCCTTTCCACACTACTAGGATATCACCTTTGAAACCCACCCCATTCAGAATAAACAGCACTCTGTTTACCAGAAGCAAAGCAATGTGCCAAAAGATTACAGTAACCTGGCAGAAAATGAAAATACAAAAGAAAATCAAGAGGTAAATTACAAAGAATCTTTAAGCAAACAGATCCAATAAAAACCAAAATATGCTAGACACAGAAAACTGGAATGAATAATCCTCCAGTGCAAAGTCACAGACGTACATCCACAAGAAACAAATAGCCAACAGGGAACCATGACCTCCTCAAACAGATAAAGGAGCCAGTAACAAGATGGTGATATATGAATTCTCTGACTACGAATTCAAAATAGCACTTTTAAAGAAACTCTGTGATCTCCAGTAAAACATAGAAAAGCAATTCAAAAATTTATCAGATAAATTTAACAATGAGATTTAAATAATTTTTAAAAATCAAACAGATACCTTAAAACTGACAAATACATTTGCTGAACTGAAAAATTTATTAAAGGCTCTCAGCAGCAGAATAGTTCATGCAGATGAAAGCAGCAGCAAGCTCAAAGACAGGCTGTTTGAAAATAAAGAGGAGAAAAAGGAAAAAAAAGTTAAAAAAGATTACCTAAAGACCAATGCTAGAATTACCAGTGTTCAAGAGGGAGTTAAGCAAGATCTAGAAGTAGAAAGCTTATTTAAAAAAATAATATAAAACTTTCCAAAACTTGGGAAAGGGATTAATATCCAGGTACAGGACAGTAAGAGAACACCAAACAGATTTAATCCAAATAAGACTACCCCAAGGCATCTAATAATCAAGCTCATAGGTCAAGACAAAGAAAGGATCCTAAAGCATCTAGAGAAAAGAAGCAAATAGCATATAAAGGAGTTCCAATATGTCTGGCAACAGACTTCTCAATAGAAACCATAAAGACCAGGAGGGAGTGGGGCAACATTTTCAAAGTGATGAAAGAAAACAACTGCCATCCAAGAATACTGTATTTTGCAAAGCTATCCTTCAAATATCCTTCAGATAAAGTCTTTCCCAGACAAACAAAAGCTGAGAAAATTCACCACCATGAGAACTGTCTTTCAGAAAATGCTAAAGGGAGCTCTTCAGTCTGAAAGAAAAGATGCTAATGTGCAAAAAGAAAAAAATTGAAGGTATAAAACCCACTGGCAAAATTAAGTACATGCATAAGCCAAGAATACTCTAACACTGGAATTGTAGTATGCAATCTACTCATAACCCAAATATATAAAGCCTAAAAGGCAAATCTATTAAAAACAATAATACCTACAGCAACCTATTAAGAGGCAAAATAAAAATATGTAAATTGAGACAAAGTCTAAATGTAGCGGGGAATGGAGCTAAAGTGTAGAGAGTTTTTTTCATTTTTTTCTTAGTTTGCTTCTTTTCTTTGTGGTCTAAGGTAAGTTGTCCTCTCCTTAATAACTTTTTTTTTTTTTTTGAGACTGAGTTTCACTCTTGTTGACCAGGCTGGAGTACAATGGCACAATCTCGGCTCACTGCAACCTCCACCTCTCCAGTTCAAGTGATTCTCCTGCCTCAGCCTCCTAGGAGGCTGGGATTACAGGCATGAGCCACCACGCCTGGCTAATTTTTTGTATTTTTAGTAGAGAGTGTGTTTCACCATGTTGGTCAGGCTGGTGTTGAACTCCTGACCTTAGGTGATCCACCCACCTTGGCCTCCTAAAGTGCTGGGTTTACAGGCATAAGCCACTGCACCCAGGCTTTAATAACTTTTTAAATCTATAAGATGATTTTTGTAAGCATCATGGTAACCACAGTGCAAAACCCTATAATAGATTCACTAAATGCAATTCACTAAAAAGAAATGAAGACATACTACCTGAGAAAATCACTTAACCACAAAAGAAGACAATAAAAAGGAAGAGACAACTTACAAAACAAGAAACAAAATGGCAGAGCTAAGTTCTTACTTAATAATACAACGTGAATGGTCTCAATTCTCCAATTACAAGGTTTACAGTGGCTGAATGGATAAAGAAACAAGAGCCAATTATATGCTGCCTTCAGAAAACCCAATTCTATAAAGACACATAGACTAAAAAGTAAAGGGGTAGAAAAAGATATTCCATAAAATTTGAAACCTAAAAAGTGAACACTGGTAAATCACTGTTTTAACATTTTTTAGCCGCTCTGCAGAGGAAAATTCTGTGATTTAGTAGCAGGGGAGAAGATCCTCCTCTAATCCCACAATAAAATATAACAAACATACATGTGAACAAGAGGTAGACGTTCAGAGCTCTGAATTTTACATTTCACTTTTAGGCTTTGATCCCAATTTTTTTTTTCTTTTATTATTATTATACTTTAAGTTTTAGGGTACATGTGCACAATGTGCAGGTTAGTTACATTATTTTTATTATGTAAAAAAATCAGTTATGGAAATCTTTGCAATTTAAAGCAGAAAACTTGGCCTCCATTTTATGTGAGATTCAACAATTCTAATTAGGCCAAATTTACCTTATGAAACCAAGGTGTAGGAAATAATTAATCATTGTAAAGGACTTTTTAAATACCAAGTGCTACAGAAATGTTAAATAATAAGCTTAAGTGCTACAAAAATTAACTATTAAATAAAAAATTGGATTTTCAAGGAGAACAAAGTACTCAAAAGCAGAAATCTATTTCCCCTAATTTGTAGATAGTTAAAGTCATTACTGCCCTTGCAGAATTTTAATAAGGTTTATAACTATAGTAGTAACAGCCATTATCACGGCAATACTGTAATATTAAGGATACCAAGGAATATAAGCAAAGCTCTAGAATATAATCTTAGAAATAACTACTTCAGATTGTCTTTTATCTCCTTTCTAGCACTGCATATGTCATTTATTTTATATTTTTATGTATTTTTCTGAGCATATATTTAATTGTGTTATATGGTTAAAATGACCATGCTGAATACTAAGAAATTCAGGAAGAATTAGGAAAATAACATACAGAGTAACAGTTCAAGGCCTATCCTAATTCCATAAATATCTAAAACATGAGTCAGATGTAGATACCAACAAACAAAATTAAATGGTTTGTAAACAAACTGTGAAATTATATCATTAGTCACCTTTATCCTCTTAGAACTAGAAGGTATCTCTAGAATCTGTGTCTTTAATCTGGCACAAGCATCTCTAATGCCAGGGTAGGCTTATAAAACATGCATAATTTGAGCCTTGATATTCATATAGACTCTGATGGTTAAAAAGGCAAAAGTAACCAATCAGCAAAAGTAACCAATCAGCAAAAGTCATCTCTGCCTTTATTCTTAACATTATAAACTTATTAATATTAATATAAGCATGTGAAAACCTTATGTGGAAGGTTCTAAAAACTAAGATATTATTTTAATGCAAGGATGAATGCCAAGAAATATCTTAGAATTTTGCATAAATTTATTTCTCTGCTTATTTTTCATTGCTCCCTCAAAGATTCCCATTTTTATCTGAATTTGAGGAGTGCCTTACTCAGTAGTAGTAATTGCTGAGCTTGCTGTGAAGCTCACAGGGTTAGTTTTTAATTAACTAAAGTAATGGGCTTACCTTTATCACTACGGGTTTCACTAGAGTGATATTCACAGTATTTAATGACTAGTATGGCATGGATATCAAACAATCACAAATGCTGGCCATAGGGCTACAGCATGGTCCTGGAGGCCTTCTGCAGATCCAGAGGCCATCTTTTAGTTTGGGAGGTTGCAGGGGTTTCTGATGCAAGGGCCAGAACTGGGAGGGGATAAAGTATGTATTTGAGTGGTTCTGGGTAGTGGCTATGCATTATTAAAGAAAAACAGTACTCACTGATAAGTGGGAGCTGAATGGTGAGAACACATGGACACACAGGAGGGAACAACACACACTGGGGCCTGTCTGAGGGTTGGAGTGGGAGGAGCAAGAGCATCAGGAAGAATAGCTAATGGATGATGGGCTTGATACCTAGGTGATGGGATGATCTGTGCAGCAAACCACCATGGCACACATTTACCTATGAAACAAACCTGCACATCGTGCACACGGACCCCTGAACTTCAAATAGAAGTTGGAGAAAAGAAAAAACATTAAAAAAAAAAAAAAAGAAAGAAAAACACTATTGCTATGGCAGCACTTGTACACCAGACCAGGGTGTCACCCTTAAAAGCAGGTAACTGATTCAAATGAAAAATGAAAAATTCAATTTCCATTTCAAAGCTACTGCAGGAGAGAGTTACTCCTTTATCTGTTGCCCTTGGTTTATATGATATCATGTGGTCCAACTAGGAAGCCTCAGAACCTCTCACATTTACATTTTATCCTACGTTGCCTGGTTTTGATGTGTTACCATATATCCCAGGATAGGCATTTCCAGCACCCCCCCACCCCCAACTCCAGTTCCCCAGGATAGTTTAACGTGAAAATAAAGTTGTTTACTTGCTACCATTACCACCACCCACTGCCTTCTGCTGAAGCTGTCACACAGCCTGGCTTAACCCGCACTCCCTAAGTCTGTCTTACTTGGAGACTTCTTAAAGGGGTCACATTTTTATTTCAAATGTTAGATATCCTATTTGAAACAAAGAAAACTAAGTTCGAAACAGAATCTGAAGAATCCCCCACCTTCTCAGGTATATCTAGGTATATTAGGAAAGGTTGAGAGTTTATATGTTTATAGAGAAGGGGGTGCCTGCCCTTCTCTATAAATAGCCACGCGTTCAGGCTCACAGGCTGTATAGGTGTCACCTCTTCTGCGAAGGAATCTCCATTTCACCTAGAGAGAGTGGACTATTTTCTCCTAGCATTTTGGTTGCATTTTTATTATAACCCCTCATAAAACTTGTTTTAAATCATTTATCTATAGTCAAGTGGACTGGGAATAACTGGTAACCAAATATTTGTTGAATGAATTAGAGAATGAATGAATGATAAATTCAAGTCCACGAAATAAAAATGCCGTGATGAGCATATGTATATAAAACAAATCTCCTTGATATATAGGAGGTCGAGGAAAGAAAGGCAGATGAATCCTAGCAAAAGGAGGAGGGGTCACCAACTGATGCTCTCCAGCATTCAGGTCTAATCCTGAAACAACTGTCCTGTCTCCAAGGCAACCAAAACTCAGAAAAGCATTTAGAAAATAAGAAAGTATAGCTTCCCTGCCAATACACCCCTCCCTGGAGAATGATTATGGAGAAAATTTCAATACCCTTATCTTGCTTACCATCTCAACTTCTTATCCTGACAATCCTTTTAAAATTAGGAAAAAACTGACCAACGGGGCTAAGTCAAGAAAGTAGTGTTGTAGCTCCACAAATATGACCTTCGATACTATGTTCACATGTAAGGGGCAGGTTAGAAAGAAGTGAAAGAAAGATAGCAATTCAGAAGAATTTTGATTTACATAAAGAATATTGACAATGTATATTAGAGAAAGAAGCCTATGGGTCAGTTTAATCCATTTCTGCAATAGTCCTCTTCTGAGCATAACCCTGCCAACAAAATTTTATGACCATTAGTCTATTTCATTTAAAAATATTGAATTTTATTTAAAAGTATAAATTTCTGAATATTCACAATACATAGTCACTAATGAATGGGGTTGCCCCTCCCATCCCATGCCTTACTGATATTTGTAAGTTACGGTCAACCCAATTAAGATGATCTATTCTAATTCATCTTTTTTTTTTTAATCAGCCAGGCCTGGATGCACTTCACAAGCTAAAGGTGAAAATTCAGCCCCTATCCCCCTAGCACTCCATAGTTTAACTTTATTCAACTTTTATTACCACCAAGGTCATCTTTACAAGAAGAATCAAACTACTTCCAGAAAGCACACCAGATACATTTCCATAACATTATTCCACTAGCAGAATTTCCAGATGAAGCTGTCAAGTACGGCTTTCCTTTAGTCTCACCAGAAAAGATCACCAGTGTGATTTCATGGGATGCTGTGGTAGCTCTACCTTCTGTAGGCTGAATCATGCCCCTATCCAAAGACATCTGCATCCTAACCCCTGAAACTTGTGAATATGTTCCCTTACATGGTGAATTAATCCATTGTCATACTGCTCTTAAGAACTACCTGAAATTGCGTAATATATGAAGAAAGGAGGTTTAACTGACTCGTAGTTCCACAGGCTGTACAGAAAGCATGGTTGGGAGGCCTCAGGAAACTTACAATCATGGAAGAAGGTGAAGGGGAAGCAAACATGTCTTGCCATGATGGAGCAGGAAAGAGAGAGCTAAAGGAAGTACTACACACTTTTAAACAATCAGATCTTGTGAGAACTCACTCACTATTATGAGAACAGCAAGGGGGAAATCTGCCTCATGATCCAACCACCTCCCACCAGGTCCTTCCTCCAACACTGGGAACTCAAAATGAGATTTTGGTGGGGACACAGAGCCGAACCATATCATATGGGAAAAGAAACTTTGCAAATGTGTTTAAGTTAAGGATCTTGAGATGAGGAGTTGAGCCTACATTGTCTACCTGGGCCCAATGTGATCACAGGTGTCCTCATGAAGGGAAGGTAGGAGGGTCAGAGTCAGGAAAGGAGGTGAGACAACAGAAGCAGAGGTCACAGTGATGCCAGGAAGAGTCCATGAGCCAAGGAATACAGGAAGCCTCTAGAAGCTGCAAACAACCAAGAAACAGATTCTGCCCCAGAGTCTCCAGAAGTAACCAGCCCTGCTGACGACCTGACTTTAGTTCAGTGAGACTCATTTCAGAATTCTGGCCTCCAGAACTCTAAGATACATTTATATTGTTTTAAGACACTAAGTTTGGGTAATTTGTAAAACAGCAATAGGAAATAAACTCACCTCTTCACAGACCATCAGAATTGGTTATGAATGGTGAAATAATAATGAACATCAGAGTTCAGGTGGTTTGCTTTTCTTTAGGCTCCAAAGTAGAACTGAACACTTCGTGAATTAAACAGCTGCATGACTAGAGTGAATCTTCAAAGCAAGTTTCAGGTGGCCTGAAGAGGGCTGTTATTGAAGCCTCCTCTTTTTCACATGCCACATACTAGTTTCCCAATTCTATAACTTGAAATGTAGGATAATCCTGCTGATAGGGAAAAATTTATCTTGGATTAAGAAAGAGGAATCTTTTGGAGGATACTACAAACTCATTACTTGTGTGTTTCATTAACAATCTGCTTTTGGCTTCACTAGGGGAGATAAGTGTTCAGTTTCTATTTCCTGATGTTGTAGAATGCCAGGTAGGGCTGATAGTATTACCCCTCCCCATCCTGTTAACTTTTGACACCAGTGTACTATTTGTAGCTTCTTAGTGCTATTAATATTATAACTTATTTATGCAAAATTATGATACTTATTGATGGGGATATAAATTTGTGGGTTTTTCCGTGTGTGTGTGTGTGTGTGTGTGTGTGTGTGTGTGTGTGTCTTTCTTCCTAAAATTTCATTTCTGGGTAATATTTTGTACTAACAGTATGAATAGCCTTTAATGTTTTCTATTGTCTGTATGCATTTGTGTCTTAGACATTAAAAAGAATTTAGAAAAGCAACAGATCTATCCCTAAAGGCCTCCTACCCAAAATTTTCAGGAGTTGGCTTAAAATCCCTGTCTAAAATCACTGAAACATGAAAACCTATATAACCTACCGATCATACATCACAATTCTGAAGAATAAAGCAGTCATAGAATAGGATGATTCGGAGAGCTGCATTAACTCTTTGGCAGGTTTCAGGTAGACACAGGCCCAGATCCCTATGTGATAGCTCAGAAATGTGGAGGAAGAGGCCGTGCACATGCTACAGTAGGAACCAAGGTCTTCCAACAGACATTTGCCGCAAAGACTTTAGGCTATTAGGGGTCACAGAAAGGCTGGGCATTAATATTGGTGATGGTGGAGGCAACATGATGGAGTAAAATAATGAACTGAGCTTCTTACACTGGCATGATCTCTAACAGATTGTATGGCTGTGATCAGGTAATTCAACTTGCTTATTCTGTAGCTTCTCCGACTATAAAATGATAACTGGATCAACTTATTTTAAATTTCAAAATGCTGTAATTCTTCTGAAAAGTTCAAAATGCTATGTAAAGATACATTAAAATATTGGGAAAATACCATAGGAATGAATGAATTATTAAAATATGTGGCCTATGCCATTATCTATATACCCTACAAAGAGTATCTTCCAATTTTCTAGATAGTCATTTATTTAAAAAATACACACCAAGTATTTTTGAGCTCCTAACATATGTCAAATAGAATGGTAATGATGAAAATAGCTTGTATAATGATGATGTTAGACTTACCATAAAGTATTAGGCATGGTAGTAGGCCCCCAAAGATGGCCACATCCTAATCTGTGCAGCCTGTGAATACGCTGCCTTACATGGTAAAAAACAGTTGACAGATAGAACTGAATTAAGGGCCTTGAGATGTAGAGATTATCCTGGATTCTGAGCTAATCACATGTGTCCTTAGAAGTAGAGAACCTCTTGTGACTGTGGTCAGAAAGAGATGTGAGTACAAAAGATAGGTCAGAGAGATGACACTTGCTGGCTTTGAAGAAAGAGAAAGGGGACATGAGCCAGAGAATACAGGAGGTCTCCAGAAGCTAGAACAGACAAGGAAACCACTTCTCCCCTAGAGTCTCCAAACTAGGAATGCAGCCCAGCTGAACTCTAGCTCAGTGAGACCTGTATCCAACTTCTAACCTACAGAACCATAACATCATAAGAGAACAAATACAGGCACTATGCTTGGTACTTTGCAAACACCTCAGTTAATCCTCAATGCAATCCCATGAGGCGGAAATTATAAAAATTACTATTTTAAAGATGAGGCCACTAGTACTCATGGAGGTAAAGTAACATTTCCAAGGTAACACTACTGGTTAAAAAAAATCAAGCCAGGTTTTGAACTTGGATACATCTGACTCCACTTTTGTTCTCTTAATCCGATGCTTCAGGGCTTTTCATGTCTGTGTCAGGTATACTGGAGGATAGCAGAAAACAAAATTTAG
Organism: Homo sapiens; assembly: GCF_000001405.40. NCBI lineage: Eukaryota > Metazoa > Chordata > Mammalia > Primates > Hominidae > Homo > Homo sapiens. Next base: position 25,346,803 of record NC_000010.11, on the reverse strand, counting down.
ATCTTTCATCAATTGTTGAAGTAACTAGGTTCAGGTTCTAAACTCAAAATTTTGACATATTTCCTTCATTTTTGCAAAAGTTTTCTCAATGAGAACTCTTTGTAGGAAACAAAAGAAAAATGAACTCAATCTTGCCTTCATAAACACAATAACTTATATCAGAAATGGCACTTCAATTTAATCTCTTACCTAAATGTCCTATGGGAATAATACCTTAGAAAAAGACCCAGAAAATCTATAAGGAACATATGCACCTGAAAAGAGTTGGTGAAGTTTAATGTGCACCTAAGGATGCTCAATGTGTTGTCTTCTCTGCTTGCTTCCATCTTTTTAAAAATATTTTTTAAATTATGAATTCATTCAGGTATAAGAGAAAAATGTTTGTTTATAATGGACACCTGTACTTTTGAGGCACTAGGAATAATTCCTAAGTATGTTATAGGGTTTCTCCTTTTGCAAGGGTAAAGGAGGTGAGTTTTATTGTCAGATGACTTAATGCACATTAAAACTAGAATTGAATGAAGTACTACCCAGTTGTTTTGTCTTCCCAGCAAAATACTTCTTTGTTCAAAATAATTGAGAGCACCCAGAAACATGAGAACTTCAGTAAGAACCTAACATATGGCTATTTGATACTCTTTTATTACAGGTAATTTAATAGAAAGGAAATTCTCATTATATATGAGATATATAAGAGCAGCCTTGCTAAGTCCACTGAGGAGTGACTTAGATCAGTGGCTCAGCTCCAGGCTTGAGGTCTAGATATGATATTATATATTTAAATTAGTTTCCTATTATCTTTGGTGCCTTCTGCTCCTCATGCTCAAGAAGCAGGACATACTGCTCACAGAGATTGTAATCCAACATTTTTCTAGAGCTCTTATCACTTGCTCTTCCCCACCCCCAATACAGATGTCTTCTGCCTAATGCCATAGCATCACTAAAATGGATTATGATCCTAGACCTCGTCTGGGGGCTTTCTGGGACAGGATCAGTTATATCAGTTATTTGGGCAATTTCTTCCTTGGTTTCCCTACCTATAAAATAAGGAAAGCCCTTATTAAGACATCGTCCATAGCTGATGTGAAAACTGCGATGAAAGTCAATATTAGCCAGCAGATTACAATTTTTGCCAGAGAACTATAGCTAATAAAAACCTCAAAAAACAAGTTGATTTATAGCATCAACAGTACATTTGCATCATAAATGATAACAAATTACTAGGATATGAGAATAGGGCTGGTATCTCTCCATGTTTAGTCGGCAAATCCTTTACTTCTTTCCTTGCAATATTTTAATATTAATCTGGATTATGTTTAAATTTATAAAAATACAAATGACTACATTATAACATTAATAGAAATATGGATATCTTTCAGACTTAGGTTTAGAATCCCCATGGAGTACTCTTATTGACCGATTTTACGAGATCAAAGTACTGCAAAGACTGTTAACTTTTGTTCTATGATAGAAGTCAGATATCTTGTCAAGAGCCTTGCCAAGTGGTAAGATGGGCAACAGAAGAGCCTCCGTCAGAGAGAGGCTTAGTAGAGCTCCCACTGGTGAACCAGCAAGAGGGTCCCTTTGTCTCTGTTTGCCGAATGTTGCCGGACAAGACCATTGAGGGAACGGATTAGATGTTCTGCTAGGCAATATAGAGCAGATGGAATCTGTCCTTAGTTACTTGGCAAATGAACTGCTGTGGTCCGAATGCCTGTGGCCCTTCAAATTCATATGTTGAGATTCTGGCCCCCAAGGTGATAGTATTAGGAGGTGAGATCTTTGGAAGGTGATTAAGTCATAAAGGCAGAGCCCTCATTAATAGTATTAGTGCCCATATAAAAGAGATCCCAGAGAGTTGCCTTGCTTCCTCCACCATTTGAAGATAGAGTGAGAAGTCACTTTTTATGAAAAGCAGGCCCTCACCAGAAAATCTGCTGGCACCTTGATATTGGACTTCCAGGCTCTAGAACTGTAAGAAATAAATTTCTGTTGTTTATAAGCTACCCAGTCTGTGGTATTTTATCACAGCAGCCCAAACTAACATATGAACACTAGCTTCCATCTCAAATCAGGGCCAAGTACAGCAAATAGCATTCATTTCAGAAAATACAGCTGCATTACTTGAATATAATAACTATGAATAACACTGGAGTTTCTGGGCTTCATCATGGTGCAAATGCATCATGTTTAGACTTCAGTATTTTTAATATCAAACATTTAGAATGTTTTATCCATGAATGAATTAGCTATAATGCAGATAGGGCCTTAGATTCTATAACCTCTTTTTTTTAAACTCAAGATAAATAAATTCAAGAGATCTATTGTGTATCATGGTGACTATAATTAATAGCATACCATATACTTGAACATTGCTAAGAGAGTAGATTTTAAGTGTTAAGTGTTCTCACCACAAAAAATGGCTGAGGTAATATATATGCTAATTAGCTAGATTTAGCCATTTCACAATGTATACATATATCAAAACATCATATTGTACACCATAAATATATATTTTATAAATTAAAAAATTAAATTTTAAAATCAAGATAATTTGTTAATATAATCTTTAGCCCCAACGCGAAATAAAACACCATCAAAATACTGCCAGTGAATTCTTTCAAACTTTATATTTTCAGATCCATTTTGAATTTAATGCTGTACAATTTGAAAAATGTTTTCAGCTGGTTGAACCTTTAAAGCAGTGAGTCCTGAGGAATGTCTCTTCCGAGAAGAATGCTAAGCACAGAGCAATAATGGAAATTCAGACACTAATGAAAGCAAAGGTGACCCAGTGGCTTCCAGTTAGTGTAGGAGATCTGAGTTATACCCTAGCCTCTATGACCGATTTTTCTCTAATATGCCTAATGATCTTAAATAAAACACCTGATTCAACAGTGCCTTCCTCTTTTGTGAAATATTAATGAGATGTTTTTCCTATTTCTTGAGTATATGTTGACAATTCTAAGTGATCCAAAGTATACAGTGTGTGTGCATTTTCTAGCAGGCATATAACCACCTGCTAGGAGTTATATAGGCCAAGCAATGGTTTTCAAAAAGTAGTCCATTGAACCTGTCTCAGAATTGTCAGGGGTGCTTGTCACATGTTCTGAGATTCATTTAGATGTATTAATTGAAAACATTTTGGGGATTAAGTCCAAGAACAGTTTTCAAAAGCACTTTAGATTATCTTTATGTGCCCTAAAGTTTAAAAACTACTGAACAAAATTTTGATAAATCAGGGATAAACTATGAGATCACCAACTCTAGGATTTTATGAACAAACTGGAAAGAACAATGAGTAAATAAGTCATGTGGTATAAAATTAGTAACTTATTATCTCTGTAAACATAATAATTGGATTATGCTAGCAGAGTTACACAATTTCACATCTTCCTAAGGACACACAATAGTAAGAGATATAGTGACACAGATCTTTTACATTCTGTTTTAAATGGGTTGAACAAAATTAAGTGAATCAGGAAACTTATCCGATTTTAGTCATCTGCTTACTTTCTTCCTCCTCCTATTAAAGTCAAAACTTAGAAGAAAGAGAGTCCTAGATTCCTTTACCTCTGAAAATCCCTGAACATTAAATTTTGGAAATTCTAGACATTTAGCAATTGCTTAAAGTGGCAAACAACATTCATTTCTAATACTTGAGCAGATTAAAAGGGGCTATAAGACATCTTAAGCTCATCTCCATTTGACCAAGATGTAAACCTCACTAGGAAGTTTGCTCATAATCTAATCAGTCTCTGTTTACTCAAATCAGAGACTTTCATTGATATTTTACTTGATCAGTGTCTTATCTTTCAGAAACCCTAAGAAGATGCAACTCTTTCCTTAGGTGAAAAAAAGCTGGAGCCCCACTTATCCCCAGTACACTCCCCATCTGCTGACAGTGACAATAGAAACATCTCCTAACCAGAAACGTTAAGCTTCTGTGACAGGATTAAAACCAAGAAGTATGCAAAATCATGAGCCTGGGACAGAGAATTGAGTTATTTGAGAAAAAAAAAAAAAAAGAACTTAGTCCTCATTTTTGCATTATAATTGATATGTATCAAAGCCTGAGGAAAAGAGGTACTAATCTCTGTTCCTATATACCATCAGTAAATAAAGGCAGATTCCAGAGACAATGAAAATAATTGTCTGAAACAACAGGAAGGATTACATTTTTTTCCCAAGCATATACACCAATATTTTAAGTGATTCTCTCAGGGTGGTAAGCTTCATGTGCTTTTTATTTTCTTTGTTGTGATGTTCTGTGCCTTCCAAAAATTGTACAATAAGGCTAAATTGCTTTTCTTATAAAAACAATAATAGAGTTGTTAAAAATAAGAGTTGAAAAGATGCTCAGTCAGAAAAGCACATTTCTGTGGCTTATTAAAGAATAAGAAAAACAGGTATTAGGATCCAAGGTAAGAAGACAAGAACCTCCAGAGCTGCAGAAACAAGAAGGTGGAACAAGGCTTGGAAGGGGAATGATGTAAGGCAGCAGGGATTATCAGCAGACATGGAAAGTCAGTGCTAGCATCTAGGCCTAAAAAAAAAATAAAACAGTTCCCTTCAGTATTTAAAGAGCCAGATATAGCACACATACTTCAGGGCTTAATGATTAAAGTGAAGTGGAAGAAATAAGAACTTGGTGATTAATTCAGCATGCTCTTTTAGAGGGTTAAATAACCAAGGAACAAAATAAATAATTATCAGGCAAGCGTGTATGTTAGATTTTAAGAAGATATGAAGGTATAGTATATTTGTACCACCAAAGATGCTAGAACTGAAAATAAGAGCAATAAGTATCAGGAACTCTGTCAATTAATCCCAGCCAGTTATAGAGAGAGAAAAATGGAGGGATTTGCTGGGGAAGTGGCAAGGTGGTGAGGTGGGACCAGAAAGTGAGTCCTTCATATTCTTAGATTTTCATTTGCTCTGTTTTTTTTTGTTTTTGTTTTTGTTTTTTTTCAGAATACATATAAAGGATGGACTTAACTTTAAATAAATGCTACAAAAGATTGGCACAGACCTTTTAAGAGTGACATCAGGCTAAAATCCAGAATAAATAAGAGTGTAAAAAATACTAAAAAATAATAGTTTATGAAAGTGAAGGAGAGACGAATGATTTGCTTATGCCAAAAAGATAATAAAGGATTTTCCACTGCTGGCAATAAGGTGGCCCAGATACTGTAATGGGCACTCCCACTGCAATACAAGTAGATCTTTTAAAACATATATATTTGTTCTTTTTCTCTCCTGGATTCCTTTTTTGGATCCATTATTTATTATTTCATTTTTCTTATCTATTAGATTCATAGTTATTTATCCTTTTACTATTATTTTAGATGTATCCCAAGAGAGTACAATATACATCCTTGGCTTATCAAAATCTAATATAAATTCTCTTCCCAGATAATGCATAGATATTAAATACATAATTAACTTCCCTTCCAATTTATGTTCTAGCATATTTTAAAGTACTACTATTACTGAGTTGTACAGTGTTCATTTACATTTACCCACATTCAATATTTGTATTCCCCTTCATTCTTTCCTGTATCTCCAGACTGTCATTTAGAAACATTTTCCTCTGCCTGAAGAATACCCATTAATATTTTCTTTAGTGCTGCTCTGATGCTGATAAATTTGTCTTCACTTGTCTGAAAATGAGTTTATTTCAAATTCATTTATGAAAGATATAACATTCAAAGCTAGCACTTATTTTCTTTTGGCATTTTGAAGATGTCATTACACTGACTTCTGCCTTCCATCCTATCTAACAGAAAGTCAACTTTCACTCTTACTATAGCTCCTAAAACATTTCTTTGTCTATTTAAAAAAAAATTGTATTTGGTTTTCACCCATTATACTATTCTATGTATAGTTTTGGTTTTCATTTTTATCCTCCTTGGAGTTAATAGTACTTCTTTGGAGTTAATAGTACTTCCTGTGGCTTGATTTCTCTCACCAGTATTCTCAGCCATCATTTCTTCAAATATTGGTTTTGTTTCATTCTCTGCTCTTCCTGTAGGACCTCGGTAACACATAGATTGTAATTTCTCACTCTATTCTGTTTTTTAAGCTCTTTTCTACATAGTCTACCTTTTTATTTCTCTAAACTTCCTAGTAAATAGTTTCTTCTGACCCAAATTCTAATTCACTAATTTTCTTCCTCCAGCTATCTCATCCGCTCTTACATCTAAACATGGGGTTCTCACTACTTGAGTTATTGTGTTTTTCTCTTCTAGACTATCCATTTGATTCTTTTACTAGTTTCTAGTTCTCTGTTGAAATTTTAAGCTGTATTTAACTTCATGAACATACTAGACATAGTTATTTAAAGTCTTCCTCTGACTGGAATGTTTCTGTTTAACATATACATTTGATAGAGTACAGGAATATTTATTTCCTGAGTATCCTCCCAAAATACATGCACCTGCTCATGAGCCTTTTTACATATTTTGGAACCCCCACTTCTGGTCATTAATGGCCTTTAACGGGTATATCTTGTTTCAAATCAACCCTCTTGCTGAAACTAACTCAAAGATCTGTATAAAATAAAACAAACAAACAAAGCCTCTAATTGTTTAAAGGCTTTGGAGAGCAACCAAAGCAACCAGGACTTGAGGATCCAAGATCCTGAGGGAAGAATACCTCACTGAGGTGAGCACTCTACTCACTGCAGATTTTTTTTTCCCTTGAAGACACAGGGCTGGCCTAGAGCTTAATCAGTATGGCTGACCTGGGAAGACAAAATCTGGAGTTTGGTGACACTAAGGCAGGCAAAACTTGAGAGACTAATATCTAAAAGCACAAAAACTAAAAAGAAGTAAGCTAACATTATGCAAGAACTTTTCCCAAAGGCATTTCTGATTCCTAAGCTGCACATATGCGAAGCAAAATGAACCCAGCTGTACACAAAATAACCTATTATAATAAACTTGGGTTCATTCCAGAAATACAAGGTCAGTTTAACATTAAGAAACCATTCAGTATAGTTCAGCACATTAACAGAATATACTAGAAAAAGTATATGATCATCCTAGCAGTGCATCAAATATAGAAAACGCATTTGATAAAATTCAACCACTTCATGACAAAAGCTTAGCAAATGAGGAAGAGAAGGGACCTTCCTTAATATAATAAGGATTATCTACAAAAACCTTCAGCAAGCATCATAATCAATGTTGAAATATTTAAAGCTTTCCCACTGAAATAGGAACAAAAATGTCTGTTATCTTTGTATCAACACTTCTATTCATATTGTACTGAAATTCCTAACCAATGCAATCAGAAAGAAAAACAAACTGAAGGTGTGAGAATTGGAAAGGAAGAAATAAACATGTTATTATTCAGTGATGACAAACATGTGCAAATAGAAACCCTAAGAGAATCACAAAGAAACTATTAGAACTACTAATCAATTTTATTTTTGTATACTAACAACAAGCAGGTAGAAAATTAAAATTTTAAAGATATTACAATAGCATTAAAACATTAAAAAATTTAGAAATAGCTAGGCCTGGTGGCTGATGCCTGTAATTCTAGCACTTTGGGAGGCCAAGGTGGGAGGATTGCTTGAGGCTAGGAGTTTGAGACCAGCCTGGGCAACATAGCAAGACCCCATCTGTATAAAATAAATTTTAAAGCTGGCCAGGCATGGTGGTGCAAGCCTGTAGTCCCAGGTACTTGGAAGACTGAGGCAGGAGAATCACTTGAGCTGCACTCCAGGCTTTCTGGGCAACAGAGCGAGACCCTGTCTTTAAAAAAAAAAAAAAAAGAAAGAAAGAAAGAAAGAAACCTAACTTAGAAATAAATTTAACAGGGTAAAATATGTGTAGGACCTTTAACAGAAAATCTTAGGACATCACTGAGAGAAAATAAAGGAAATCAAAATAAATGTTGATGGCTTAGGAGACTTCATGTTGTAAAGATGTAAATTCTCTCCACATTATTGTATAGATTAAATGCAATCCAATCAAAATTCCAGCAGGCTTATTTCTGGCACAAATTAACAAACTCATTTAAAAGTGTATATAGAAATGCAAAGTTCAAAGAATAATACAAACAATTTTGAAGAAAGAACAAAGTTTCAGAATTTACAGAATTACAGACTACTACTGTGATGTATTGATACAAGGATGAAAAGGAGACAAATGAAACAGCAGAGCTTATATATTTATATGATTTTTTATATATAATAATATATATAATATGTATTATATATAATAATATACAATACGTATTATATATTACGTATATATAATATACGTAATATACGTATATTATACGTAATATATATACGTATATTATACGTATATTATACGTATAATATACGTAATATATATATTACGTATATATAATACGTATATATAATAATATATAATACGTTATATATAATAATATATATAGAGAGAGATATATAGATATAGTCATCAGATTTATGGGAAAGCTGCTTGGCAAAACACTGGAATCAACAGAATTTATACAGAAATAAATGTGTTTTTACCCCTACCTCACACCTAAATAATAATCAATTCCAAATGAATGAAAGAAATAATAAATCTTCTAAAGATAATAGAGAAGACTATATTTATAATCTTAGGGTAGGCAAAGATTTCTTAGTCATAACACAGAAACTACAATTATAAAGGAAAAGGCCAATAAATTGGACTTCACTAAACCAAAACCTTTTTTTCTACAAAGATATCATTAACAGAGTGAAAAGGCAAGCTGCATAGAGGAAAAGATATTTCAATACCTACATTTGATAAAGAACTTACATCCCCAATATATAATGAATTCTTATAGGTCAATAAGAAAAAAGGCATTTTAAAAAACAGTCGAAATACTTAAATATTAATTTCAAAAAAGGATGTCCAAATGACCAGTAAACATATAAAATGGTGTTCACCCTCATTAGTTATCAGAGAAATGAAAATAGAAACTAAAATGAGATAGTGCTGCACATCAGATAGGCTAAAATTAAAACTGACAATATCATGGTTGGCAAGTGTGTGGAGCAAATTTTTCATTCATATATGGCTGTTAGAAGTTTATATCAAATACAATCATTTTAGAAAATTCTGACAATATCTACTAAAAAGTAGTATTTGCCCACCCTATGACTCATCAATCCCACACCTAAGCATTTACTCAACAGAAATGTATAAATATGTATACAATCAAAGACATGTATCAAACTGTTCATACCTGCATCATTTATAGTAGCCAAAAATCTAAATGTCCATCATAATAAAATGGATAAACTGTGGAATATTCATACAAAACAATACTATAGAGAAATGAAATAAACTACTATTGCTACGCAAGATATACATGAATCTCATATTTCAAACTGTTACGCAAAAAAAGCCAGACACAAAAGGGTGCATGTTACATGATCTAAACATAACATTCAAAGACAGAAATATTTATCTATGGTGTTAGAAATGTGTTTACCCTTGAGGAAATGGTGTTGACTGCACAAAGCACAAGGAAGACATCTGGGAAGCTAGTAATGTTCTCTATGTTGATCTGGATGGTGGTTTACATGGGTGTGTTCTCTTTATAAAAACTCATTGAGTGTCAATTAAGATTGATGCAGGTTTACTATATGTATGTCTTTCTTAAATTTTGAAAGTTAAAAAATATTTTCAAAGTATTGCTAACACTGTATGAAGTGGTTCTATTTCTCTTTGAGAAAGAGATGTGAAATGCTGCTATATTTTGAAAAATATTCTGTATAAAATGTTAAGTATCTACAGAATCCTACAGTTATAAATTACTTATTTTTCCATTTGCATAATTCTCTGAAGAATATAAGAAAACAAAAATATACAATGAGTAATATAATTGAAGGTGTCTATTTTAGCTGCATCAGAAAAGGCTGACTGACACAACTGAATTACACCAGTAAGGAATTTATTGTCTTATAAAAGAATCCAAGAGGTTGACAGTTCCAAGGTTGGTTAATTAATTGCCTGAGCACCATCTTCCAGGACACAGCTTTCCTTCATCTCACTCTTTTACCATCTTCATGTGTCAATTTTGTCTCAAAGCTTGAGACTTAGTGATCACAAGATGTCTGCAACAGTTCCCAGCATTACATCCCTGCAAGTGTCCAGAAGCAGAAAAGGAGGCCTTTTCCATTTTGAACCAATCAAACATTTCTCCCAATCCCTTCAGCAGACTTTCCCTCAGGTCTCATTAGTTAGAGCTGTATAACATGCCCTTGGTTAAACCAATTATGGATCCAGGGAATAGGAGATTGCACCAAACAGGATAAGATCTATCAGAGTCTAACCCTGAGGCACTGGGGGGAAAGTAGATACCTGAATAGAATTAGAATTCTGTTAACAAGTAACAGCAGCAGAAAGATGGTTGTCAGAGAGGCAACCAAAAACACCTGCTATAACAGCCAACTGAATCACAATAAAGGGAGAAGAATGTAAATGATTCTTTGGTATTATTCATAATATTTGTCATGCTATTAATTTTTCAAGTCTTTTTTTCTATTATGTATCTTGCAAGAATTATACAGACTTCAAATAACATAAACATTCAAATAAAGAATTGATTTATCCATATTTTGTGTCTTTTTTATGATATGTACACAGGTTAAATACAAGGATTCGCTTTATAAAATACTCACCAGTTTAAGTATTTAACTAAATACACATACAGCTCCATCATCCACATTTTTTTACAATAATAGTATGACAATGATCTATCTTCACATTTGATAATAACAATGACAGCTAATTTTTACCAGGTGCTTACACACACAGGCACTATTTTCAGCATGTACAATATAAAGAACTTCTTGAATTTTCATAACAAATCTTTGAGGTACTACTGTTATCCCCCTTTTACCAATAATGGAACAGAATGACAGAAAGGATTGTTTTATTTCCCAAGGACACACAACTAGTACACCCTGGAGTCACTTAGTCATATTTCTGATTGGCAATTTTGAAAGATTATTAGGAACACACCTAATATAATATGGTGCATATCAAGGATTTGTTTTTTACTATAAAATGGCATCTCAGAGAAACAAATACGAAACAACTAAGGTACTTTATTTGCCATAAACTATAAACAAAATGCTAAAATTGTTTTACAAATTTCAAGAAGAGTTTATTACAATAGCCATTCCTTCAGACTTTGCAAATCTCTGGGTAGGGAGAGGAAGGAATGATCTAGAGAGAAGGTCTTCGTTACTGGACAAAACACAAAAGTAAACTCCTGCATTTAGGAAAATTCTACGGAACAATAAAGCAATAGCAGAAGAACATTTTTCATACACTAAAGCCATGGACTATTGGAATTAGCATGTTGAGCTATTTTAGTACAGATTCAACATATAAAAGTCAACAAGTTATTAATAAAAACAATATTCCATCCTTTATAACATCAACAAAAGGAGCTGTTATCGCATCACTTCATAAGCCTAGATATTTCTATCCCTATGCAAAAAGCTATTAGTGAGTAATGAAATATTAATAGCAAGAATGCAGTTGCATCTTTGGCATCTGACAAAATTTAAGCCATTAGTAAATCCATTTGTATTTATGCCAAAAGAAAATCCAAGGATAGCACTCATTTGCTCTCTCTCTGTTAAGTACTAACTCAAAAGTTTGTTGGATTATTCTAGAAACATAACATCACAAGAATCTGTTGACCATACTTATATCCTGAATAAGTATCTGTAGCACATGGGGTCTCCCAGTAGCCCAGAGATCTGTGCAATGTTCTCTCTAAAAATAAATGCAAGGGAAAAATATTTTTTTAAAAAATCAAAGATTTGCATTCACTATGAGATCCTTTTGTCCTGACCTTTCTTTAGCATCACATTGATTCCCGTCCATTCCCTCACCTGCATATTAGCAATGAAGACACATTTGAAAGGACTTTGATTTAAAAAGACATGGAAACAAGTAGGATGGAAATATCAAATAGACTAAAGCATTGAGTTGAGCAAAAATCTCATTTCATATTTGTCTTGTACTTCCCTTTTCACATCTAGTATCACATTTTATTCTCACAAGAATTTTATGAGGTAGTAAAGGAGGTAATACTGATACCATCTTACAAGGAGAACTGGGTCACATAGACATTAAATGCCTGAAGTGAGCCAGCAATTCTGTAACAATCATAACTAGAATCTAGTTCTCAAGTTTTACCCATTCAGACCTTGGTTCCTTCAGATATCGTACATTCTAGCTCTGCTTGCATAGTGTGAAAGAAATTGGATTGCTTACTGAAAAATGAACCTGACCTGTCACAGCAATTCTGGACTTACTTGGACTCCTGATGTCAATTCTGTTGTCATATGCATTGAAGCTTCGCAATGACAGGAGATTAAACAAATGGGAGGTAGGTTTCCAGCAGGACAAAAATGATAATTATAGATTTTGAGAAAATAGCAATAACAGAATAAGCTCTCAATGCATTCCATTTGGAGTTATTTTAATAATTGTTCCAAATTTTATTCTTCATTTAAATCCAAAATGTTTTGTTAGCTACAAAGTGAATAGTTTAATGCCTAACTTTTGGGGTTTTATTGTTATTACGTATGCCAAAACTTAAAATACATCTACTTTAACTTCTAATTGTCATTTTATAAAAGTTGCCTGTTGTCTTTTTAAAAATTCCATTTTAACTTTTTATACATAAAATATTCTCTTTGATTTCTAGTAGGATATCACTCTCCTTTCAGCGTTTTTATAAATAGAACTAATGCATTTTCTCTAAAAGAACCACAGTATATTTGAACTATAATGTATAGGTTTACAAAATAAAGCAATATCTGGTTTACAAAATAAAGCAATATCTGAGGAACACTGTCAAGAGTACACGGAGGAGTCTGTCTGTGGGTTGTCTATACTTGGGCCAGGACACTTGAAATTAAACCCAAATGATGTCAAATAAGAAGCTCTGCCCAGTCATTTTCTTTTTTTCAAAGCTCCAGGAAATCGTCTACATTTAAATAGTTTGTACTATCTTCTCTTAGGAAAAAGAACCACTATGTCCTTTGAGAATAAATAATATTGGTAGACAACTGCTGATATACTTAGTTAATATGTCTTTAGCCTCTTCTCATTTTGAAGGATATTTAGAAACTAGGAAATAATGATTCTTTTCCTCTTGAATAAAAATCTATTTTCAATCATTCATTCTCCCTTTTCCATTGTAACATATCCAGCTACTTAGTTACAGTGGGACAAGTGCGTCATTACAGTACTAACGTCTTACATTGGGGATGGGTTGTAACATCACCTGTAGCCAAATGCTACAGAATTAACATTAAGAAAATCCTTTTAAACTCTTCTAAAGTTCACATACAGATATGTATATACAACCTTGCACTACAGTAATCCCTTTACATATTATATTTAAGAACCACTGGGATACCTAAAAAATGAACCAAGAGAAAGACCACATGCAGAAGTGTGGGCATTCAAACTATCGTGCCATTTAAGATGACTACTAAATCCCTATCTAATAAAGAATAGGTAAAAATTTCTAATGTGCTCCTGCTTGCCTGCAGTGTTTACTCCATTCCTTTTGGATACTAAGCCTCTTGTTTTGTTGTTAGGAGAATTCCAGGAAATGAAAAAGTCATACGAAGAAGAGTTATGTTCTACAGCCAAGCCCAAGTTAAAAAATAATCAACTGAACCTTCACATTCTTTGAGTGCCTCTCTCGTTGGTAAGACTCTATGATCCTGTGAATCCCAAGAAAGTGAAATTTCTTTCTGTCAGATTTCTCTAAACTTGATCCCAAATGCCCAGCTCATCCTCTACAGGCCAGTTCATGTCAGGCAAGAATGAACAGCTCATGTATCCCATACTTCTCCTGCTGCTCTAAGACATCTTTCTTTTTCAGATGCCAATGCTGGGGGAAACCCAGAACCCTAAAGTATATTGAAGCCATTTATAACATGGAGAATAACTATCTTTCCTTAGTGGTAAACAGCAGTTATTTCTAAGATTAGTGTCGAATTTTTTTAAGTTATAACGAGAGATCCTAAATACTAGGAATTAAAATTGAAATGTTCTCTTTGAAGTTAAATCAGCTTATTATTTAAAGTTAGAGGGAAGAGGAGAAGGGAGGCAGCACGGTATGATGGAAAGAACAATGAAATGAAAGTCAGAAAGTATGGCTAAGTTTCTCCAGGTCGGGAACTACAGCTCTGTGTCCCAAATGCCTCTGCAAATACAGTACCAGGCTCCTTACAGGTTTCCAGTAAACATTTGCTAAACCTAGATGTTGAGTTGTGTGCCATGTTCTATGTCTCAATTTCTTTATCAGAAAATAAAGAGCTAGGACAGGGATGTCTAAGTAAAATTTTAGCTTCAATATTCTATGAATTCTTACTAGATTTTATTCCAAGTAAACCAACATCATAGGCTACAAACCAAAAAGGAAAAGAAAGTCCTAGCTTAAGAAACATTGTCAATATCACCAAATTGGTGAATTCCATCAATTTTACTATTTTCTATCTTCATCAAAGTCTTTTGCCAAAATTAGTTTCATAGCACTATCTAGCCAACTAACAATGGCAGGGGCCTCCAAGCTTGTCAGCACATCAGAATCACTGGGAAACTGCTGCCCTCCTCCCATCTACTGAATCAGAATCTCTAGGTATGGGAAACCAGAAATGTATTCGCCCCCCCCCAGGTGATTTCTGATCAATGCATTCTAGGAATCTCCAAGTTTAACATCACAGAGCCATACAGCATGTACTTTATTGGATGTCACATATAAACAAAGGACTTTTAACTTTTTTTTTCACTTTTTGGACTCAATTTTTTGTTTATATATTCTTTTAACTTTTTATTGCAGACTTTTTCAAACATACACCAATAGAGCAAATAGTAATTCCCCATTTAAAATTATCAATTCATTACCAGTCTTACTTTATCTACACTGCCATTGTCACTCTCACATATTATTTTGAATCAAATCCCAGAGAAAGCAAAGGATCTTTTTTGAACCATTATAAAATGGGTTCTTCTCAAATAATGTCATGCCCTGATGTAGAGAACAAAGCATGCGGGACTCAAGCCTCTAACCTTGGAGTGCAGTGACTGGGGTGAGAGAGGCCAGATATACCGATGAAAGCCATAGGCAGCGGTGACCAGATATTTACAGAGTCATTGATGTTAGCCTTTCTTAAGGTTAAGTTATTCCTTACACACTGTAATGTGCTATCACACCTCCTGGAGTAATGTTTAAGTCAGTCTCTTTTTCTGCTACGGGTTCATGGATAGAATTCCCTTGTTCATCTTCACCTCTAATCATAATAAATGCTAGACAGATCAAAACCAGCTGATCACACCAAAACAACATTAAGTTATAGAAAAGAGTGATATTCATCTAATTCAAGTACTAAAATTATGTCAGCAAAGAGCAAAAATACTGCTAAATGTGGTATACTATCCCCTAAGGAAGAATTGTCATCCCTTTCCCTTACCAGTGGCAGATATGAAAGCAGTATTCTACTCAGTAGATAGAAAGTATTGTCTTAAAAATAAAAATAGGCATTTATTAGACTGAGCACAGTGGTTCACACCTGTAATCCCAGCACTTTGGGAGGCTGAGGCTGGAGGATTAGTTGAGGCCAGGAGTTTGACACCTGCCTGGGCAACATAGTGAGACTCTGTCTCTACAAAAATATATATATATAAAAGCTAGGCACAGTGGCATTCACCTGTAATCCCAGCTACTTAGGAGGCAGAGCCATGAGCATTGCTTGAGCCCAGGAGTAGGCTGCCATAAGCTCTGATGGCACTGCTTGCACTCCAGCCTGGGAGAAAGCCACACCCTTTCTCCAAAGTAAATAAACAAAATATTTTAAAAAATAAAAATGGGCATTTACTATTCGATTACTATTTATTATAATTTGGGCATTCAATATATAGGAACAAACATTGTATTATGCAGTTGTGAAGTCCTTCTACTAAGGAAAAACATTCCATTCCTCTCTACTGGATTCTCTTAGGTAGTTAAAAGAATGGTGTTTTTTTCTAAAATCCTCAAGGCCTTAACCATTCAAATGTCAATGAGTCAAATTTCAACAACTTAACATTGCTTTAACTTGTTTTCATTCATGAAGGAAAAAAAAGGTTTACTTGATGAAGGGTAGAAGAAAGTATAATTCAATCCCAGTATCACAGACCATAAACTGTTTCCTAAACATTCCCAAGATATAACCTCTAAACATAATCAAATCAGAGTGATAACAGGATCAATCTACTAAGCTGCAAATCCTATATAGTATCCTGAGGGTAGCCTGGTTTTCTTTGATTTTGGTGTCTATTATAACACTACTTAATAAACTATCCAAAGAGCAGAAATGCTCCTTGGAGGTACTCAAATGCCTCGCCAAACTTGAGTTCCCTTATACTAAATTTTAGTATATGTGACTTTGCTTCTGTGCTCCTGCAGCAACCATAAAAAATTCTAGTTTCAATAAATGTGAGTCATTGCCACTGGGGACAATTATAAAAAGAGGGGCCGTGTTAGGAATAGAAAAGAGAAATAAAAGGATATCTTAGCTAGAAGAGGAAGGTTTTAAAAAGTTAAAGGAAATAAACACAGATGTTACACAATCCTACATCTGTCAGGAAAGAGGGAGTGAGATAATATGTAAGAGGTAAGCTAGATGACGAGTTAGTGGGTGTAGCGCACCAGCATGGCACATGTATACATATGTAACTAACCTGCACAATGTGCACATGTACCCTAAAACTTAAAGTATAACAAAAAAAAAAAAGAATTATCTCAAGTTCTCATTTAAATTCTGAGTAGAAATCTCCAGAGACCTTTACTAACAACTTCTAGTGTTTTTAACATCCAAAGTGTTACAATTTTTATCATCACTAATACTATTAACATTATTATTTGCAGTAGCTGAGAGAAACACGGTCTTGACTCACTGCAAGTATAGACGCTTACGATAAAAATATTTGATGACGCCATCGTAACCTAGTGACAAAACATGTAATAAAACAAGTGTTTGGAAGTACTGGTTTGACTAGTTGTGAGATCTGCTAGATGTCTAATTACTGTAGGTTAAATTAGCCCCCAAGCATTGTAGAGAATGGATTTGTCTTTATTTCCTTTAATATCCACATTTACTCTTGTTTTTCTGGAATAATAAATTATTCAATCAAACTTTAAAAAAAAAAAAGAGGTAAGAGTTTGTCCTTTGGGAATGTGTCTCAGGAAAGTCACAGTGAGATCCAAGGGCAGGCTTAACAAATCCAAATCATAAAAGCTTAAAACCATTGAATATTTGTATGGCAGGCCAAGCAACGAAAATAAAATGCATCTTCTTTTTTTTTTTTTGAAACGGAGTCTCACTCTGTTGCCCAGGCTGGAGTGCAGTGGCGCGATCTCCGCTCACTGCAAGCTCCGCCCCCGGGGTTCGTGCCATTCTCCTGCCTCAGCCTCCTGAGTAGCTGGGACTACAGGTGCCCGCCACCACGCCCGGCTAATTTTTTTTTTGTATTTTTAGTAGAGACAGGGTTTCACCGTGTTAGCCAGGATGGTCTCAATCTCCTGACCTCGTGATCTGCCCGCCTCGGCCTCCCAAAGTGCTGGGATTACAGGCGTGAGCCACCGCGCCTGGCCTAAAATGCATCTTAGTATGCATATTATCTACAACAGAGCAAAACAAATTTATAAGCATTTCAATCAAACTACCAAACTACCAGGAAGAATGATACTGGAACATTTCCAGTTAGCTAGGAATAGTAAATGGAAAGTAATCATATACAGAAACATTACTAAACTGAGATGTATAAAATGTCTTTTATATTATTTTTCTTTAGTAATTCTTTTTTTTTTTTTTTTTTTTTGTGATGAAGTTTCGCTCTTGTTGCCCAGGCTGGAGCACAATGGCGCAATCTCATCTCACTGCAACCTCCGCCTCCCGAGTTCAATCAATTCTCCTGCCTCAGCTGCCCAATCATCTGGGATTACAGGTGTCCGCCATGATGCCTGGCTAATTTTTGTATTTTTAGTACAGACGGGGTTTCATCATGTTGACCAGGTTGGTCTTGAACCCCTGACCTCAGGTGATCCACCTGCCTTGGCCTTCCAAAGTGCTGGGATTACAGGCATGAGGTACCACGCCCGGCCAATTGATTCATTTCTATAGACAAAAATAAATATTTATAATAGCTTTCATTTGTTTACTGGACACATTGACTTTTAAGTCATTAAAGATTAAAATATGCTATGAATATGTTCTTTAGGAATTCTAGTGACTAAGGAAACATTCCAACAAAACAAACATTAGGTACCAAATATTTACATAATGGAGTACATATTTATGTTAGTACATATATATTATATTGGAACTAACATAAATATTAGTACATATATTTATGTACTATTATTATTGACACTTAACAATTTCCTACAAGTATGAAATGTGTTTTTAGATACTAAATAAAGTTTATCAATAGGCTTCAGTCTTTCTGATCTCTCTGAGACCTTCACTTCAATCACAGTTCTATTGTTGCCACAGATGGGTTCTAGGATAGAAAATTGTGAGGATTCCTTGGCATCTATGTATTTCTATGTATATCTATATATATCTATGTATTTCTCTTTCTCCATTAGGAAGACAGGAATTAGTCCTTTCTTATTCAGGTACATTCCAAGTAAATTAACTCACAAACCCAATGCACTAACCAAATTATACAGACGAACTGTATATGCTTTAGCATTATCTATAGTTATACTGTTAACACTGTCATTCTTTAAATCTTTTTCTTCAGTTTTGGAAAATGGCTTCCCTAGCTACCAAACCATTAAGTTAAGCTAGAGGAATAGGGTCAATAACGAATGTCTACAAATAGATTTTCTATAATAACTTAATGTATACAAACTTTCAAAAAATATAAATTTTAAAAATATTCCAATCATTTTACCAAACAAGTTTGATATTTCAAACCAAATCATTCTGAATTTCAGTATCTTCTTCATTCTTTCCTTTTGCTCTCTTTTAACCTTTTTATAATTTTGTCAACTTTTCAGTTTCCACTTATGCCCAATAGTTAAAAATGAAGCACACAGGCAATTAACTGTCCTATCAATAGTAGCAGTTATAAAAGCTAGGGTGGCTATTTAAATTTGGTAGTGTTTCATTGCTCCTGTCTTCCCTAAGAGTCATAAATCCCAAAAACCTCTTCAGAAGTCTAGCCACAGATGAAGAGTCTTTATCTCACGTGAGAGCTGAGAAAGTGAAGTCATTCCAAAATGGGAGAGAACACAGCCAGCCCAGTGTGCACCATTTAATTCAACGGTTCCCTTGTGAGGTGTTTCGTTTGCTGCTGTACTGCTGACAGCAGAAATGCAGCTTAGCACAGCAATAAATTTGCCATTTGTGAGGTATTATGTTAGCAAATTGTTAAGGCCACAGAAAACCTGGAGAAGTCAATGGAATTAGGTTGTCCAGGTGACTGAATCAAGGCTTCAGGTTACTGTGTGTGTGTGTTTGTGTTTCTGTGTGTGTGTGTGTGTGTGTTTGTAAGTGTCCTGTGTATAAGGCAGCAAGATATCGCAGGTATTTAGGGTGGTTTTTCTTCATTTCACACTTCTTGCGCGTGTGTGTGTGCTTTCTTTCACTTATTTTTCTTAGCAGAAATTCTCTCCAGCTTTATTAAGGTGCAATTGACAATTAAGAATTGTAGATACAGACATTCCTTGGCTTACAATGAGGTTACATGCTGATCAACCCACTGTAAATTAGAAATACAGTAAGTCAAATGTGTATTTTTGGCTTACACGGCATTTTTAACTTAAAATGGCTTTATCTAGACATAGCACAATCATAAGATGAAGAGTTTACTGAATGTGAATCACTTTTGCACCATCATAAAGTGAAAAAGCCATAAGTCAAATAATCGTCAGTGACCATCTGTATTTACAGTGCACAATGTGATGTTTTGATATATGTATATGTTGTGAAATTAGTCAAGGTAATTAACATATCCATCACCTTATATACTTATTTATAGTAAAAACACTGAAGATCTACTCTCTTAATAATATTCAAGTATACAACACGTTATTATTAACTATAGTCACCATGCTGTATGATAGATCTCCAGAATTTATTTATCCTGTCTAACTGAAACTTTTTACTTTTTGGCCAACATTTCTCCCCAGCCCCTATCTCCTGGCAACCTCTGTTCTATTCTCTGCTTCTATGAGTTCAAGTATTTAAAGACTCAACATATAAATGAGATCGTGCACAGCAAAGGAAACTACCAATCGAGTAAAGAGAAAATCTACAGAATGGGAGAAAACATTTGCAAACCTTATATCTGACAAGGAAATAACATCCAAAATATATTTAAAAACTCAAAAAAACTCAATAGCAAGAAAATAAATACTCAATTAAAAATGGGTAAAGCAACAATGATAGACTACATAAAGAAAATGTGGTACATATACACCATGGAATACTATGCAGCCATAAAAAGGAATAATATCATGTCCTTTGCAGGGACATGGATGGAGCTGGAAGCCATTATCCTCAGCAAACTAACGCAGGAACAGAAAACCACACACTACATGTTCTCACTTATTCACTTATAAATGGTCGCTGAACAATGAGAGCACATGGACATGTGGGCAGGAACAACTCACACTGAAGCCTGTTAGGGGGAGGGAGAGCATCAGGAAAAATAGCTAATGGATGCTGGCCTTAACTATGTAGGTGATGGGATCACCTGTGCAGCAAACCATCATGGCACATATTTACTTATGTAACAAATGTGTACATCCTGCACGTGTTCCCCTGAACTTAAAAGTTGAAGAAAAGAAAATGGGCAAAGAACCTGAATAGACATTTCTCAAAAAAAAAAAAAATACAAATGGCCAATAGGTGTATTAAAAAAATGTTCAACATCACTAACCATCAGGGAAATGCAAATAAAAACCACAATGAGATATCACCTCACACTTGTTAGAATGGTTATCAAAAAGACAAAAGATAACAAGGGCTGGTGAGGATGTGGAGAAAAGGGAACACTTATACACTGTTGGTGGGAATGTAAATTAGTATAGCCACTATAAAAAATGGTATGAAAGCTCCTCAAAAAATTAAAAATATAACTAGCATATGATCCAGTAATCTCACTTCTGGGATATAGCCAAAGAAAATTAAATCAGTATGCTGAAGAGATATCTGCACTTCCATGTTCAGAATTATTCACAGTAGCCAATAAATGGAATCAACCTAAGTATCCATGGATAGATGAATGGATAAAGCAAACGTAGTGTGTGTGTGTGTGTGTGTGTGTAATTATATATATACTTAGACATACATATATATATTTAGAAACACACACACATATACATGAATACTATTCAGCTTGGTCTTAAAAAAGAAGGAAACCTTGTCATTTACAAGAATATGAATGGACCTGGAGGACATTATGCTAAGTGAAATAAGCCAGGCCCAGAAAGACAAACACTGTATTCCACACTTTCTGAATGAATAAAACAAATATTAAATGTCAATCACAGTTTTTATGCTCGAATCCTCTCCCTTTCTCCTCATCTCTTCCATATTCACCTTTTCTTCTGATGTGGAGATTTAATCTGTGAAAATGACAGGGAAGAATGGGCCAGGTGCAGTGGTTCATGCCTGTAATCCTAACACTTTGGGAGATCAAGGTGGGAGGATCACTTGAGCCCAGGAGTTTGAGACCAGCTTGGGTAATATAGCAAGACCCCATCTCCACAGAAATAAAAATTTAAAAAGTAGTCAGATATTGTGATGGGCACCTATAGTCCCAGCTACTCGGGAAGTTGAGGCAGGAGGATTGCTTGAGCCCAGGAGTACAAGGCTGGAGTGAGCTATGATCATGCCACTACACTCCAGCCTGTGCAACAGAGCAACACCTTGTCTCAATGTCTCAAAAAAAAAAAAAAAAAGAAAGAAAAAAGAAAATACAATTACCTAATATATATTTTACTTATTATTTATTGTCCATCTTCCTCTAGAAGAAGACACACAGGCAGAGGCATACCTCATTTTATTGCACTTTGCTTTATTGTGCTTCACAGATACTGCATGTTTTACAAATTTGAAGATTTGTGGCAACTATGCATTGAGCGAGTCTATGGGCACCATTTTTCCAACAGCAGGTGATCACTTTGCGTCTGTGTGTCACATTTTGGTAATTCTTGAAACATTTCAAATGCTCTTATTATTATTATATCTGTTATGGTGATCTGTGATCTTTGAAGTTTTTATAATTGTTTGGGATACCATGAACCATGCCCATATAATACAGCAAACTTAATCAATAAATGTTGTATATGTTCTGACTGCTCCACAAACCAGCTGTTCTCCCATATCTCTTCCACTCCTCACTCCTGGGGCCTCTCTATTCCCTGACACACAACAATATTGAAATCAGGCCAATTAATAAGCCTACAATGGCCTCTAAGTGTTCAAGTGAAAGGAATAGTTGCATGTCTCTCATTTTAAATCAAAAGCAAGAAATGATTACTTAGTGACGAAAGCAGGTCAAAAGCCAAGATAGGCTGAAAGCCAGGCCTCTCGTGCGAAACAGTTAGCCAAGTTGTAAATGCAAAACAAAAGTTACTGAAGGAAATTAAAAGTGTTACACCAGTAAACACACAAATAAGAAGGCAAAACAATCTTATCACTGATATGGAGAAAGTTTTAGTGGTCTAAATAGAAAATCCAGACATGACATTCCCTTGATCTGTAACCTAATCCAAAGAAAGGCCCTAACTCTCTTCAATTCTATGAAGTCTGAGAGAAGTGAGGTAGCTGAAGAAGAAAAGTTGGAGGATAGCAGAAGTTGGTTCACGAGGTTTAAGGAAAGCAACTATGTCTATAACATAAAAGTGCAAGGTGAAGCAGCAAGTGCTGATGTAGAAGCTGCAGCAAGTTATCGAAAACATCTAGCTAAGATAGGCCAGGTACAGTGGCTGAAGCCTATAATCCAAGTGCATCTGGAGGCTGGGTCAGGAGGATCACTTGAGGCCAAGAGTTTGAGACCAGCATGGGCAACATAGAAAGAACCTGTCTCTATAAAAAAAAAAAAAAAGTAATAGCTGGGCACAGTGGTGCACACCTACAGTACTAGCTGCTTGGGAGGACCACTTGAGCCCAGGAGATCAAGGCTGCAGTGACCTATGATTGCACCACTGTACTCCAGCCTGGGTAATAGAGCAAGACCATGTTTCTCAAAAAAAAAAAAAATCTACCTAAGATAATTGATAAAAGTAGCTACACTAAAGAACAGATCTTCAATGTAAACAAAACAGTCTTCCTTTGGAAGAAGATGTCATCTGGGCCTTTCATAGCTAGAGAGGAGAAGTCAATGCCTAGCTTCAAAGTTTCCAAGGGCAGGCTGAGTGAGTCTCTTGCTAGGATCTAATGCAGCTGGTGACTTTGAGTTGAAGCAAATGCTCATTTACCATTCTGAAAACCCTAAGGCCATTAAGAATTATAATAAATTGACTCTGCCTGTTCTATAAATGTAACAACAAAGCCCAAATGACAGCATTGTGTATAGCATGGCTTACTGTGTATAGCATGGCTTACTGAATATTTTAAGCTCACTGTTAAGACTTGCCAATCAGAGGCCAGGCGCGGTGGCTCACAACTGTAATCCCAGCACTTTGGGAGGACGAGGCAGGCAGATCACAAGGTCAGGAGATCGAGACCATCCTGGCTAACATAGTGAAACCCCATGTCACTAAAAATACAAAAAATTAGCCGGGCATGGTGGCGGGCATCTGTAGTCCCAGCTACTCGGGAGGCTGAGGCAGGAGAATGGCGTGAACCTGGGAGGCGGAGCTTGCAGTGAGCCAAGATAGCACCACTGCACTCTAGCCTGGGTGACAGAGCGAGACTCCATCTCAAAACAAACAAACAAAAAAAAAGACTTGCCAATTTCAAAATACTACTGCTCATTGACAATGGACACAGTCACCCAAGACCCCTGATGGAGATATACAGGAAGATTAATGTTGTTTTCATGCCTGCTAACACAACATCCATTCTGCAGCCCAGGGATCAAGGAGTGATTTTGACTTTCAAGTCTTATTATTTAAGGAATACATTTCATATGGCTATAGCTGCCATAGATAATGATTCCTCTTATGAATCTAGGCAAAGTAAATTATAAACCTTCTGGAAAGGATTCACCATTCTAAATGCCATTACAAACATTCATGATTCATGCTAGAAAGTCAAAATATCATCAGTAACAGGAGTTACGAGCAAAATTTTGTAAAGATACAAAGACTTTTCTAGCTAAAGAGGAATCTTTGGATATAAAACAATTCATCTAAGGATGGGTCCACAAGTATCTGTGATTTTTCTTTTTTTTTCTTTTTTTTTTTGAGACGGAGTCTCGCTCTGTCACCCAGGCTGGAGTGCAGTGGCGCCATCTCGGCTCACTGCAAGCTCCGCCTCCCGGGTTCACGCCATTCTCCTGCCTCAGTCTCCCGAGTAGCTGGGACTACAGGTGCCTGCCACTATGCCTGGCTAATTTTTTGTATTTTTAGTAGAGATGGGGTTTCACCATGTCAGCCAGGATGGTCTCGATCTCCTGACCTTGCGATCTGCCCGCCTCAGCCTCCCAAAGTGCTGGATTACAGGCGTGAGCCACCGCGCCTGGCCGTATCTGTGATTTTCTAAGAAATCTCCAGTAATATATAACTACAACGTGGTCTGAATATACTCAAATTTGAACAATCTATTAAAAGACCTATTAAAAAGATTTCAGTTATTTTAGTCCTTGTTTTTCAGAATAAAAGAGAGAAAAATATGATTTAAACATTTTCACTCTCTTTTCCATATTCTCTAAATATCCTCACTACAAGTAAAATAAAAATATGAAATGCTAGAATAAAAAATATATAAGATAATGAACAAGTTTGATACACATAAGTTATATCCTCCTTATTGTAAAGTTTCAGAGGTTTACAGCCCTGTCTTGCTTTAAGGACACCTATATACAACTCAATTCTAGGCAGGCTCAATGAAAAAAAAATGGATGGCCAAAGGGTATATAAGCATCTCTTTGCCTGCTGGTCTATTCAGTTTGTTTGTTTGTTTGTTTGTTTGTTTGTTTATTTTAAAGGAGGGTTATATAAGCATTCTTTATTAAAATAGTTCTTTGTGACAGGTCCAGGATGGTTCTAATCAACCCTATCTCCTCTAAATCACCAAAATTATACCAAAAACATCTAAGTAAAAGCTGTGTGCTTTCTGTATAAACACAGCTTACAGATGAATTTCCTAAATATCATTCCAAAGAGCTTCCCTTCTTTAATTCCTTTCATATAGATGTACTGGATCTAAAATTAGTAGAGGTCTTCGTGTTTACTCAAAGAGACATTAATTTGTTACTTAAGATTCTCAGGTACAAATGTTTATTAATCATTACAATTCTCTGGAAATATAAATCCCAATATATCTAGAGATGCTTTCATATTGTAATGTTCAGTTGAATGACAAAAACATTTAACTCAGTACTGTCCAGTTTCACACCAATAAAAATACATATTTAGCATTAAATTGCATATCTCACTGCAGAACAGGAGAATATATATTGTCCAGAGATTGTCTGTTATGACTTTCTAATTTTGCAATTGAGGAAACTGAGTCCTAGAGAGGTTAAGTACTCTGACCAAATTCAAACAGTTCATTAGTGCCAAGAACAGATTAAAAATAAGTCCACTTAGACCATCCAGAAACATTTATATTACTTTGTGCTATGCAAACTTTCAAGGAATCCAGTATGTGTATGTTACATATGAATGCCATTGCATAAATTACACATGCAAATTCATGATTTTCTCCTGAGTTAGATACATTAAGGGAAAATTAGATAAAATTCACTTACCTCCACCTGAGATCTATAAAACAGTATTTACATTTCCTACAGTTCAGATTAGTTGATTAGAATAAAAACTCCTGCTAGGGTGACAGCATTATTTTTCAGAATGATATTTTAATTTCACCTCAAAATGCTGATCCATTCTAGGAATAATACAAAAATGACAGTTCAATAATAGAAATCAGCAGGAAAAGAGAATATTCATATGTAGAGACAAATAGCAACAATTTTGTGACTCACATTTTAGATTAAGGCCATACTCACACACCAGGTATCCCATAGTAGGCCACCAACTTATAAACATAAAGATCATTAAAGGTATCTCTGTATTAGGCACTGCAATTGCCAAAACTATTATACCACTGGAAAGGCCATCTCAATGTGATTTCAGGTGCCATTTTTAACAAGCGAACAGCCCAGCTGGCTAAAACACCATGGCAAGTGTGAAGAGCAGACCCACAGATGGTCCAGGCAGCTTCTCTCTCTTCCATGATCACAGACTGTATGTGCCTGGCTCCTTAATGAATAAGATGCAACTTAAAGATTTCTAACACCATTTTGTCCTCTGAGTCACAAGAAGCACCGAACATAAATAGACCATTAAAAGTCCACTATTAAGGACTACAGAAGTAGAAAAAGGAGGACAATCACAAGTGTAGTGTGTGAAGGGTGAGATATACTATGTGGAGCAGCTACAAGAAAAGAAGGCCTCTGGGACATATAAAGATATCTCAGGAAACTATGCTTAAAGGCAGATGTGCTGTACCATGATTAACTGTAATGAAGAAATATGTTTATAAAACAGTGTGACTCGACGGGGCTGGATTAGGGTGGATCATAAAGCAGTGTGACTTGAGGGGGTTGGATGTCGAGGAGAGATATAATAGAGGAAAAAGAATAAGGTATTTGGATGAACAATCCCAAAGTTCAAGTTAGGCCCACCTTTTTGCTATCTCCATCACAATGAGGCAAGGGGCCCTGGTTGGATTTTGAACCCTTATTTTTCATTTGCCACAGTACACAGAAAATCAGGTCAGGGTTTTTTTTTGGGGGGGGTGGGGTGTTCAGCAATATCACCTGTCACCATCCATGAGTATAAACAGACTAACAAATACAGGACTTGAGCTAAAAGTAAAAACTCTCAGTGTTTTACATAAAGAACGATGTCGCCGATGTGATTAGCTTAGAAGAAAAAATTTCTCAACCAGCAACTATTTATCTTAATTATAATGTTCTTTTATGTTTTAGATAAAATTGACCCAGCTGGCAGCAAATAAGGTTCCTCATTAACTAGAAAAGTATGTTATAGCTTTTAATTTATTCTCAGAATTTTACCCGTTCACATTAGGTTTCATTCTAGAAACCAGGGTATCAAATATGAGAGATTCTCTTAGAAATTCTGCAACTTTACTTTTAGTACCCTGTTCAACAAATCCTATGGAATACCCATTATGTAGAAGACATTGTGTTAGATTAACACAATGGGAATTTACAAAAAAAATAAGACATGGCTGTGCTCTCAGAACGGTCAGTCTAGTGGGTCAGGCCTCTGTGTACACAGTAAATGTCAATATACTGTGACAAGTGTGATGACAGAAGTGTCTACAGGCTCCTAAGGATGGACACTGGGAGGTAACTACTCTAGATTAGAGGTCAGAAAAGAATTCTGGTGGATATGACACCTCAGAAGAGTCTTGAAAAATGAGTAAGGAAACAAGGAAAGCAAAGGCTATTCCATTAAAGAAACAGACCCAGAGACCCTGGTGCACAAAGAGAACTATATACAGCTTAGTTCCCTTGGAGCAAGAAGTCTGGACCAGTCAAGTAGGAGAAAAGTCTTCCACATTATACCAAACAATTTAGTCCTACACCTTTAATCCAGGGATTGCAAATTGTATAGCAAACTTAACGTACCTAAAGACCCAGAAGAACTGTTTCATTTCACCAGCTGAGACTTTTTAGAACATTTCAAAGGCAGGACACACAATCTCCTGTGTTCCACAGGGAATAACATTCTTTATTGTATTAAATATAGCCATTTTTACAGTAACTGCACCTGATTGAAGTATATAAGCAACTGATGGATTTAAAGCGGAGACATAACATGTCAGACTTTCATTTTAATAAAATACAGTGAGTATAGCTAAAATAATGGTGATCATACGAACAAAAATTGCAAAATATCCTTCAAAAACTATATAAACAGTAAGAATAAATGAAGCCATACAAAACACACTTGCAGTATAACTAGAAGAGAGAACACTACAAACATCAAATTAGCTCTATACAGAACAAATAAGTGACATTTTCCAGTAGATTTGTTTCTAACACCCTGCCCTAAGCCTTGAAAGACAAGAAGCCAGGATCCACAAAAACTGTACGGAAGAAAGAAGAACGGAATGAAGGGTTTATGATTAAACTCAGCCACCCTCAGAAACACAACGTCTATCCTAGGTGTGAAAGTACTAGAGAAAGAAGTCCTAATAGATCAAAGTGTAATTACACGGAAATGACCTAAAATTGCACAAGGGACTCCAAAAAGCATTCTAGAAAAGGCAGTGCTCACCGAGAAAGATGAGTGAGAGAGAGGCAACTGTTGGAAATTGCACAGTAAAGGGGAAAATGAGCCAAAAGGGTAAATTGAGGATACTGTAAGACACATAATTTTTTAAAAAACTGGAAGACACATACTCCCTCCCCTCCTATCACTATGCTCCAAAGGAGCCATCCATTAAATAAACTATATTTCACTTCACTGACAAGAGTGGGTAGCTCTTGAACTAGAAATCTCACAACTCACATCAAAACTGCCAGCCCTATACAAGGAAGTACAAGAACAATCAAAAGTACTTTATGGGCCAGGCACGGTGACTCACGCTTGTAATCCTAGCACTTTGGGAGGCGGGCAGATCACCCGAGGTCAGGAGGTTGAGACCATCCTGGCCAAAATGGTGAAACCCTGTCCCTACTAAAAATACAAAAATTAGCCAGGCTTGGTGGCACATGCCTGTAATCCCAGCTACTGGGGAGGCTGAGGCAGAAGAATCGCTTGAACCTAGGAGGCGGACACTGCAGTGAGCTGAGATTGCGCCATTGCACTCCAGCCTGGGTGAAGAAGCGAGACTCTGTCTCAAAAACAAAACAAAACAAAACAAAAAAAAACACTTTACGAAGAAAACAGAATTTAAGAATCAAAACAATTCAGCTGATTTAAACCTAAACACAAAGCAAAAGAAGACTATACCACAATAATCCAACTGAATTAAATATTCTCAAACAAGTATATGGGGAATATTAAAACAAATATTGCAACGGAAATCCCAAAACTAAGAAGAAAACTAATCAGGAAGGAGTAAGAAATGAACTCAGAAATTTTTTTTTTGAACTCAGAAAAGAAATAGAAGAAAAAAATAAACATCATATCAGAAATAAATTACAAAATGCCCAAGGAAGAATGGATATGAATTAAAACTTAACAAGGAGAATTGAAGAAAATGAAAGTGAGCTTTAAAAGACATTTAAAAAACCACAGGCCAGGTGTAGTGGCTCACACCTGTAATCCCAGCACTTTAGGAGGCTGAGGTGGGTGGATAACCTGAGGTCAGGAGTTCGAGACCAGCCTGACCAACATGGTGAAACCCCATCTCTACTAAAAATACAAAAAAAATTAGCCTGGTGTGGTGATGCCTGCCTGTAATCCCAATTACTCAGGAGACTGAGGCAGGAGAATCGCTTGAACCCAGGAGGTGGAGGTTGCAGTGAGCCAAGATCACGCCAACTGCACTCCACCCTGGGTGAGTGAGACCTTGTCTCAAAAAAAAAAAAAATTACTTTAAAAATTTAAAAATCTCAAAGAAAGTAGTTAAAATAGGCAAAGAATGGATATGTATAATTGAAGTCCTTAAAGAAAATGAAACAGTGGAAGAGTGTATATATATATATATACACACACATACACACACACATAAACACACACACACACACACACACAAATACATACATACATATATAAATATATACCAAAAGAATGTTATAGAATTAAATGACCTTAATCCAATGATTCCCAAACTGTGTGCTGAGACATACCAGTATGCTGAGTGAACTCACAAGCATGGTATGTGATTTTCTTTGATATTTTAAATTTTAGAGAAAAACACACCAATATATAACATCTGTTGAAAATCGCACAACTTGTTCAAAATATTTCACAGAACATTAGATAGCACTATATCTCATGACATCAAATATTTCTGAAGTTAAATTGTCAATAGTTGTGATTTTAAAAAAGCAAACACGACATGAAAATCAATGTAGAACAGACACTGTCCAATTTGATTCTAAGGTGTGAGAAATTGTACAGTGCTCAATAAGCTCACACAATGCAATAGTAGGTGACCTGGGTTACAAACAAACAAAAACACTATCGTTTTTCTTGCAACCATTTGCAAATGGTCACCAAGTTGTTAGAACATAAATATTTATTAAGTTCTTTGGACTGAACTACTTAATAAATAGAACTGTTATATGTATTTATTGGCCTAGGAACTCCATGAAAATATTTCTGAGATTTTATAGGCACTATGAACTGAGAAAGTTTAGAATCTCTGCTTTAATCTACATATAGGGAGAGCCTACCAGATACCTGGGTAAATTGATCTTCAATGATCAACTGTGAAACATATCCTATTGGAATTATTAGGGTTTAAAGATAAAGAAAAATCTTTGAGGCCTCAAGGAAAAAGACCAAATAAGTTACTAGCGTAAGAGAATTAGACTGACATCACACTTCTGAAAAGCAACACATAAAGCAAGACTGCAATGGAACAA
This sequence comes from Homo sapiens, assembly GCF_000001405.40. NCBI lineage: Eukaryota > Metazoa > Chordata > Mammalia > Primates > Hominidae > Homo > Homo sapiens. Next base: position 25,316,051 of record NC_000010.11, on the reverse strand, counting down.
TATTTTCAAGAACTCAAGCAAAGAAAATATAAAATACAGTATTTATATTCAGCTAAACTGTTCTTCAAGTATCAAGTATGTAGAAAAACAGTTTTAAACATGAAAGAACTCACGGAATACAGTCCACCATGAGCCCTTCTTTAGCAATCTACAAACAATACATCAAAGGAAACAATTAAAATCTGACAGATGAGATGGCAAAGGGTGACATTTTAACAACAGGGTCTAAAGGCATTTCAAAAGGTGTTTTAACAACAGGGTCTAAAGGTATTTCAAAAGGCAACTGCTGGAACAAAAATTAAGCCTTCCTAACTTTAAAACTTTAAAGTTTTAAGGAAACTTTAAAAATTAAAGAGCAAAGGAAACAAATCACAGAGTGAAAAAACCCCAGCAAATAAAACATATTATAAAACACATAGAATTATAACAATATAAATTACAGAGTTGAGATCAAATACAATAGTCATATCAATGTGAATAGGCTTAACAAACTCATTACATGACCAAATTTTTCAATTTAGTTCAAGAATAAGACTCAACTACATGCTAAATAATCAAAAAACACACCTAAAACAAAGTGATTAAGAAAGGCTGAAGCATCCAAAGTGAGTGAAACCAGTAAGAAAGCAGGGGTTGTGATCTTGCTATCAAAGTAGACTCTAACAAAAAAGACATTAAACATAGCAAAGATTTTTTTAAGACTAAAAGCCACAACTGACAATAAAATATCACATTCATGAATACTCATGCACCAATTAACACAGCAACCACCTTTATTAAGCAGAAATGACAAGATATGCAAGAAGAGATAAAAGCATAATAAAAATATATTTTAACACATCACTTTCAGTAAGAGTAAAACAAAGTAAAGAAATAGCAGACCAAAACTCTGTAATCAATTAAGCTTCAAATTATGGATATATATCAAACTTTTCATCCTCATGAGCTATATAACTCACTTTCATCTCGAGTGCACATGAAACATTCACAAAATTTTATCATATTTAGGTCACAATAAAAGCATAAGTTTTATAAAATAGAGGTATTAAAAACAGTACTGACAAAAAAATTCAGAAAAACTAAAAATTAATAAAATATACAAAATGTCCTTCCTCCTGAACTGTGTGTGTGTGTGTGTGTGTGTGTATGTGTAAACTCATTAGTCATATATATATATATATATATATATGACAGTGTGTGTATGTATATACGTGTATATGTATGACTAAAGGCTTTTTCCCCTTTACTGTGCACTGTGTGTGTGCATATATATTTATATATATACAATTTATAGTCGTAAACTTGATAGTTTTAGGAAAATTTATAGTCTTAAACACGTTTGTTGACAAAACAGAAGAATAAAATAAATGTGCTGGTAAAGCTAATCAAAAGCTAAAAAAAAAACAACAGTCAGTCACAAGAAACAAAGTGAAGGAAATAACAAAAGTAAGCATAAAAATCAATGAGGTAAAGAAAAACATTGATCTAATTAATAAATCAAACTCCTCATTTCTTGAAAAAATAAAAAATATACTTGTTTTTTAAGAGGAGGGAAAGAGAAAGCAAATATCAAACACAAAATGATAAGGAAGAAAAACCATTGAAATTAAAAAGGCATAGATGCAAATCTTTATGTCAATAAATTTGAAAACCAACCGGGTGTGGTGGCTCATGCCTGTAATCCCAGCATTTTGGGAGGCCGAGGTGGGCAGATCATGAGGTCAAGAGATTGAGACCATCCTGGCCAACATGGTGAAACCCCGTCTCTATTAAAAATACAAAAATTAGCTGGGCACAGTGGTGCACGCATGTAGTCCCAGCTACTCGGGAGGCTGAGGGAGGAGAATTGCTTGAACCCAGGAGGTGGAGGCTGCAGTGAGCCGAGATTGTGCCACTGCACTCCAGCCTGGTGACAGAGTGAGACTCCGTCTCTAAATAAATAAATAAATAAATAAATTCAAAAACCTAGATAAAATAATTTCCAAGACAAATACAGCTCATAAAATTTACTCAATAATAAAACGTTTTAAAATACTGATTTATATACTAAATAGAGAAAGTTTTAAAGAAATTGCCAAACCAAAAAGTGCCAGGCCCTGATGGTTTCATCGGATAATTACACCAAACCTTTAAAGACCGGATCATCCCAATGCTACCTAAATTATTCCAGAGTACAGAAAATGAAGGAAGTCTTCCAAATTGTTTATAAAGCAAGTATAACAATAAAGTGCAAAACAGTAAAGAGAGCACAAGAAAAGAAAATTACCAATCAATATAATTTATCAATATCAGCAAAAACTACAAAGTAAAATATTAACAAACTGAATCTAATTCTATATAAAGATATGTATACATCATGACCAAATAAGATTTATTCCAAGAACTATAGTAATGGGTTAAGGAGTCCATTAGTATAATAAAATATAGCAAAACATCTAAGGAGAAAAATGACATCATTATGGCCATAAACGATCAAAAATCTTTGGGAAAATATAACATCCATTTCTGACTTAAAAGCCCTCATGAAAGCAAGAATTAAAATATATTTTTTTTTTTTACCCATTGATTCTAGTTTATTTCTCAACAACAATATTTCAACATATCTCTCTGTTAAGTACTCCCAAGTGTTTTTCTTTTTTTAAACAATTTTATTATTATACTTTAAGTTTTAGGGTACATGTGCAAAACGTGCAGGTTTGTTACATATGTATACATGTGCCATGTTGGTGTGCTGCACCCATTAACTCGTCATTTAGCATTAGGTATATCTCCTAATGTTATCCCTCCCCCCTCCCCCCACCCCACAACAGTCCCCAGTGCTTTTTAAACATGATAAAGTTTATACTTAGTCTTAGAGACAGCATCCTATTTAGTGGGCAAATACATACTTCACTTAATATTAGAAAAAAGGTAAGGTCACCCATTTCCTCCACTATTGTTTAAGAATGTACTGGAGGCAACAGTAAATGCAAATAGAGAAGAAAAATATATTAATAATCTGTGTTTCTTAAAGTAAGGTATGCAAACCCCAAAGGATCCCCAAGACTCTTTCAAGAGGTCCTCAATGCCAAAACTTTTCCTCCAATAATACTATGATATTATTGCTTTTTCTACTGTACTGATACTTTTACTGATAATGCAAAAATATGGGGGTTAAAATTTTGCTGGCGTCTTAGCATTAATCAAGGCAATGGCATCAAATTTGATTAATAACGATTGTATTCTTCACTGTAACCACTAGAAGAAAATGATTCAATTTCACTTAAGAAAGCCTTTGATCAAAAAGTAAAAATTATGAATATTACTAAATCTAAGGCTTTGCATACATTTCTTTTTAATATTCAGTTCAACAAATAGGAAAGTATGCGCAAAGCACTTACTCTGCATACCAAATTATAGTGTTTTTCTCAAGAAAAATCACTTGTACAATTGTTTTAGTTGTGTGCTGAATTAGCATTTATTTCATGGAACACCATTTTCCTTCCAAGAAAAATTGACAGATAAATTATGGTTATTCAGATTAAAGATATCTGGCAGACATTTTCTAGAAAATGCACAAAATGAACTCTACTTCACGGAAAACAACTGGCAGAATTTTCTGACAATAACAAAATTCAAGTTTAAGAAAACTTGTATCTACTACCATGGCTTGACAGCTTCCCAATATTAACATCTTCTGATGAGATCAGTGGTAATTTTAATGTGATGTTTTACATTTTGGGTTAAACGTATCAACATTTGAAATATCTACATAACTCGGTGAAACAATTTCTCTGATATATATATAACAAAGTCATGTATGGGTAAAAGATCCATTCAAATTGTAATATATACTAATGGCTTTTAAGTAACATGGTCCAACAAGTCCTCTGAAATGGTTTCAGATCGGAAATAACATTTAAGAAATTTCCACATGTCAAGTTTGGGAGTATAAAGGAAAATATCCACAACTTTCTGAAAAACATTACAAAAAAATCCTCATTTTCCAACTACAAATTTGTATAAGGCCAGATAATTTTCATATAGTTTGACCAAAATAAATATTGCAAAAGACTAAATGCATAAATGGATATAAGTATCCATCTGTCTTCTATTAGGCCAGATGTCAAAAACATTTATACAAAATGTACAACCATATCAATCTTCTCACTAGCTTTGCATGTTTCATAAAACATAGGGTTTTCTTAGCTGTACAGATCCGTGCAAACATACAGTTAAAAAAATTCTTAACTGTAAAAAATGGATTACCACTGTCCTTTTAAAAAAATTAATGAACATTTGGAATATTCTGAGTTTAATTTCTAATAAGCTAAAGATTAATAGGTATACCTCACATAATCAAAAAGTCTTGGGGCACTCAAAAATATTTAAGCATATAAAGGAAGTCTTGAGACCAAAAAGTATGAGAAATGCTGAATTCGAGCATTAGAATAGAAAAACAAGTAAAACTATCTCAATTCGCAATTTCTGAAAAATCACAGAACGTCTGTGATGAAGCAAATTAAAGTAATGAAGTCAGTAAACTATCAAAACCCAGACTCAACATACAGAAATCAATAGCTTTCATATACACAATAAATAACATGGTAGACTGAATATAATGTTATAATAAAGGCATTTACAATAAAAAATAGAAAATAGAATATTTCATATAAACACAACAAAAATGCAAAGCCTAGGTGAGAAAAACTTTAAAACATATCTGAGGGATATAGAATAATGTTGAATAAATAGGAAGATGTCCTTTGTTCTTCTATAGAAAAGCTCAATGTCATAAAGGTGTCATTTTCCCTGAGTCAATTTATAAATTTGATACTATTCCAAAAAAAATCAAAAAGTTTTTATAGCGTTATGAAAGTTCATATGGAAAAATGAACATGCAAACTAAATTAAGAAAAACTGAGAAAGAAAAGAAACTAGTAGGGAATTAGCCCAAACAAATATTAAAATAAAAAATTCTCTGTATTTCAAATAGTGTGATGCTAATGTATGAATAAGAGACTGAGGAACAAAAGAGAAGTAAACCCAAAATAGAATTTCAGTAAATGATAAAGGCGAGCTCTCAGATTACTGGGGCTAAAAGAAGAGACATAATAATAAATGGTGCTAGGACTCCTGGATAGATATTTGAGGAAAGATAAAATCAGATCCATAACTCAAACATACACAATTCCAAGTGTATCAAAAATCCAGACATAAATACAACTCTTACAAGTTATAGAAAAAATATTAATAAATTCTAGCATAAACTGGTTGTAGAAAAAGATCTCTAACTATGACTCAAAATCCAAAAGAAAAATAATAAATTTCACTTCAAAAACTAAAGTTATAAATGTCCAAAAAATGCAATAAACAAAGTTGAAAGATATATATTTAACTGTGAGAAAAGATTTGCAACTTTCTCACAGATAAAATACAAACACCCCTAATAAATAAAGTGCTCTTAAAAATTAAAAGTGATATAATAAAAACCACAACACATTGCTGAAAGAAATTAAAGAAAGCATAAATAAATGGAAAAACATCCCACATTCATGAATTGGAAGACTTAATACTATAATGTCAATATTTCCCAAAGTGATCTACAGATGCAACACAATCCCTATCAAAATCACAATATTTTTTCGAAAACACAAAAATCCACCCTAAAATTCATATGTAATCTCAAGGGAATATAAATATCAAAAGCAATCCCGAAAAAGAACAAACTTGGAGGACTAACACTCTCTGATCCAAAAACGTACTGCAAACGTATGGGAATCCAACGGTTTTGTAATGGCACAAAGACAAACATATAGATTGATGGAACTGAACAGAGAGCGCAGATATGAACCTTTACGTATATGGTCAAATGATTTTCAACAAGTTGCCAATGCTACTCAACAGGGAAAGGACAGTCTTTTCAACAAATGCTGTTGGGAAAACTGAATATCCACAGGCAAAAGAATGAAACTGGACACTTACCTAACACCTTATATTAAAATAACTCAAAATGAATCAAAGACTTAAACGTAAGTGTGAAAACTATAAAACAGAGGGCAATAGCTTCATGACATTTGATTCAGTAATGATTTCATGAATATGACATCAAAGGTATTATTAGTCTGTTCTCACACTGTGAATAAAGACATACTCAAGATGGGGTAATTTATACAGAAAAGAAGTGTAATAGACTCACAGTTCCACATGGCTGAGGAGGCCTCATAATCATGGCAGAAGGCAAAGGAGAAGCAAAGGCACATCTTACATGGTGGCAGGAAAGAAAGAGTGTGTGCACAGGAACTCCCCTTTATAAAACCATCAGATCTCATGAGACTTATTCACTATCCTGAGAAGCACAGGAAAGACCCACCCCCATGATTCAATTATCTCCAACCAGGTCATGCCCATGACACATGGGGATTATGGGTGCTACAATTCAAGATTAGATTTGGGTGGGGACACAGCCAAATCATATCAAAAGCTGTAAAGGTAACAATAGAAAAAATAGAAAAACTGAACTTTATAAAAATTAAAAGCTTTCTGCAGCAAAGGACACTATCAACAGAATGTAAAGGAATAACAGAAAAATTTGCAAATCATATATCAAATAATGCATTATATCCAGAATATACAGAAAACTCTTAAAACTCAATAACAATGGAAAAAAAACTGAATTCAAAAGTGGGCAAAGGACTTGAATAGATATTTTGCTAAAGAAGATATACAAATGGCCAATAAGTGCATGAAAAGATGTTCAGTATCACTAACCATTAGGAAAGTGCAAATAAAAACCACAATGAGATACCACCTTACACCATTAGGATAGCTATTGAAAACACACACACACACACACAGAAAATAACAAGGCTATGGCAAAGTTGAAACTCTTATGCACCATTGGTGAGAATGTAAAATGGTAGAGCCAGTATAGAAAACAGGATAGCAGCTCCTCAAAAGCCTAAAAATAGGCTTACCATATGACACAGATACTTCATTTCTGAGTATACACCCACCAAAAAATAAAAGCAGGCTCATAAAGAAATATCTGTACAGCTATATTTATACCAGCATTATTTACAATAGCTAAAACATGGAAACAACCCAAGTGTCCATCAACAGATAACAAATGAGCAAAAATGTGGCATATACATATAATGGAATATTATCCAGCCTTTAAAAGGAAGAAAATTCTGACAAATGCTACGACACAGATGAATCTCGAGGACATTGTGCTAACTGAAATAAGCCAGTCATAAAATATACTATATGATTCACTTACGTGAGGTATGTAAAGCAGTCAAAATCATAGAGACAAAAAGTAGAATGGTGGTTTTAGGGGATGGGGGAGGGGAAGAAAAAGGAGTTATTGTTTAACAGGTGCAGAGTTTCAGTTACGCAAGATGAAAAGAGTTCTGGAAATGGAGAGTGGTGATTGTTGCATGAAAGATGAATGTGCTTAGTGCCACTGAACTGTGTACTTGAAAACTGTTAAGATGGCAAATTTTATGTTATGTGTATTTTACAATGTAAAGAAAAACTTAAAGGGGAAAATGATGAAAAAAAATCTGGTACTAAAATGGGCAAAAAACCTGAACAGGCAATAGAGTAATGGCTCATAACCACATAAAAAGACAGTCACCTTAGCAAACTAACACAGGAACAGAAAACAAAATACCACATGTTCTCACAAGTGGGAGGGAAACAATGAGAACACATGGACACAGGGAGGGGAACAAGACACACTGGGGCCTGTCGGGTGGTAGGTTTGAGTCGGGAGAGCATTAGGAAAAATAGCTAATGCATCCTGGGCTTAATACATAGGTGATGGGTTGATAGGTGCAGCAAACCACCATGGCACACATTTACCTATGTAACAAACCTACACATGTACCCCAGAACTTAAAATAAAATAAAATAATAAAATAAAAAAGATAGCACCCTTTACCAATATTAAAAAATACATGTAAATACTGGACTGAGACTTTTGTACCTAACATATTGGCTAAATTAAAATGCTTGACAACACATGTTGTTGAGGCTAAGGGAAAACAGGAATTCATATCTTGCTGGTATGAATGTAAAATCACACAACAATCTAGTGAGGAATCTGACAATATGTAAGAAAAAATATGTGTTTTGATAAGTAATCTCACTTTTGGGAATTTTTCCTGAAGATGCACTTTCAAAATATAAATACACATAAGCACAAGGTTATTTAGAACAATGCAAGAAACTATAAAATATTTTAAAAAGCCAAAACATAGAAGAATAATTAAATAAACTACAGAACAGCTACACAATGCAGCACTACAGCTGTAGACAAGTATAAAGAAGAACTCTAAGAACTGATAGAGAATTATTTTCAGAATATATTATTGAGTAGAATATTCAAATGGGACAGGTATGGTGGCTCATGCCTGTAATCCCAGCACTTTTGGAGGCCAAGGCAGGAAGATTGCTTGAGCCCAGAAGCTCGAGACAAGCCTGGGCAACACAGGAAAATAAAAAAAATTAAAAAATTAGCCAGGCATTGTGGCACATGCCTGTAGTCCCAGCTACTTGGGAGACTGAGGCAGGAGGATCACTTGACCCCAGGAGGGCAACACTGCAGTGAGCTATGATGGTCCCACTGCATTCCAACCTGAGATACAGAGTAAGACCTTGTCTTAAAAAAAAAAAAAAAAAAAAAAAAGCAATTAAAATACACGAGAGTATGGCATTTTGGGGGACTTGAAAGAAAAAGGAGTGTGTGTATATCTGTGTGTGTGTGTCAGCATTTCATGAAAAACCACGTGATGAAGTAGCTTAGTTGCATTTTGGAGTCTTGCAATGCAAAAAAAAAACACTATCTTTAAATAGAATTATGCTTATATTGGCTAATGCTCAAACTATAAGACTACCTGAAAGAAGCAGATCAACTTTCATTATCTTAAACTTATTTCAGGGCACACATTTAATGAATGGTAGGTGAGATCATCAGAAATATTTAAATTGTTCTTACTTATTCTCTTTCTTTCCTCTCTCTTTCCCTCTCTCTCTCTCTCTCTCTCTCTGTATGTGTGTGTGCGTATGTGTGTGTGTGTGTGACTCTCTCCCCCAACCCTTTCCCTAAAAAATAATTGTTGAAATGGTAAATTTAACAAGTATGTTATGTGATTTTGCTGTATAATGGAAAACTTTTGGAGCACTAACTGTGAAGAGTGTAAGCAAGAAGACACACTAGAAGTCATTAGACCAGGTGAAAAATGAAGATCTACAGAAATAAATATTTTTAAAAGGAGGAGGATTATATGCTTGATTATATCTGAGGGATAAAGAAGAAAAAGTACATGATGTCTCCCACTATTCTGGCATGCATGACACATTAGTAATAGATAAAGGTAGTTCAGGAGAAGCTCTACTTATAAGGTAGTAAAAGAAGGAAGTAATCCCTTGTAACAGATTTAGCATATGGAAAGATATGAAAACAACAGAAGTATGTGTGTATGTCTGCATGTGCATATACATACATGCATGCATACATATATTGTGAAAAGGTAGTAAAAGACTAATTTATGTCCCTGTACTTTTTCTTAATGTGTTATTCTATTAACACTTGTATTCTCCAATCGACTCTGTGTACCATGATGAGAGGTCTCATGTCTCTTTGGGTCACAGTTTTATACACAATATTTTAGCAAGTATTTATGGAATAATGCACGAAGGCAGGGAGACTAGTTTGACTATAGTTGAAACTTAGTAAGAGATATTTAGTACTAAGTAAAAACTAAGGCTGGAGAAGCCCAGTATAGGCAAATTATGGATGATCTAAAAGCCAATCAAGAGATAAATAAAAGTGATTAATAAATTGGATAGTAGGGAGCCACTGTACATCCTCGATAAGGGAAATGATCTTGTAAAAATGGAATTTTAGGGAAATGGTAGAGAGATAACAGATTAGCAAGAGAAGAGAAAAACAGGGAACAAAGAAAGTAAGTTGGGAGCCAACAACTGTACACTAAATGTCAAGTGATAAGAGCCTAATTTAGTGTGATAATAACGGGAGTAGAGAGGGAGGAAAAATCCTAAGAGGCATTTCAAATAAAAAAATGAAAATACATGAATCATTAACGCCATGTTTTTAATTGCTTGTAATAACTTAGATTCACTTTTTGGAGACTGAGCCACAAACTTAAACCAAAAATAAGGATACAATTCCTAAAATACCTCTTCTACTTCATGGTTAATTTGCCTCTACTTCTACCTCTAGCACATTAACATGTGAGGAGATCTGAGCCACCCCAAGCCATATTTATGATTTAATCCCATGATGTCATAGGGCACCTATTGTTGCTGTTTTTTCTGCCTCTTAATCTCGTGGAAAAACACTCAGCCAAGGGAAAGTTAAAAACCATGGTTAAGGGAAGCTTGCAGAGGCACACAGTCCTCGACTGCCAGAGGACCCCTCTCTCTCCTTCTTTTTTTACCTCCGAATCATCCTTAGCACAACACAGGCATCTCCTTCACTGAGACACATTTGCTGACACTTCCAAACTGGGATGAAATCTTTGTATCCATCCCCATAGGATCCTGGACTCACATATAATATAGAATTATTGCACCATCTTATAACTATTGTAATTATCTGTTGGCCTATGTATGGTCCCCATCCACACTTTGAGTTTTCCTGGAAACTGTGATGTAATCTTACTCTTGTCAGTATCTCTAGCACTTAACACACCCTGGCACATAGTAAAGGCTTAAAATATGACTGATGAATGAACTACTGAATATACAAAAACTAAACATGTAATGCTAAGTGTCTGGGAAGGAATCCTTTGGGAAAAGAGCACATCCCGCCAAACTGGAACAGATTTGCCATCACGCTACTTCTGACATATAACAATGTGATTTCTGTTAACTAGTTCTCTCCATCTTAGGTGACCTTGCCAAGTTCTACAGGGAGATAGGGTCATAGAGGCAAACAAACTATAGGATGATTATTTTCAAACTGTGCTTCATTCAATGTTTTCAGAAGCCACCACCAAGGGTGTGGGAGTATCTGAACAGGTAGAGCCCTAGAAGATCTTTGAAGAGCTAAGAGTCAGGGGCTATAGAAAGGCAGAATGTCTCACCTCCAAAAGAATGTACTCTTCAAATACAGGTTAGATAACTATTTGTTGAATTGCTAAAGAGGCTATGCAAGAATCAGAAAATAACTGGATTGTATTACCAGTATCATCCCTTATAGGCTTGAGGCTTATGAGGTTATATATAGTCCTGTGACTCATATTCTCAGACGCAATGCCAAAGAGAGGTGCCTCTACAATTCACTGTGATACTTATTAGCCTACTAGCCAGTATGACTTTGGACAAACTGCTTAAGTTCGTCGATCCTCATATGTAAAATGTGGAAAATCGTTTGCAGAATTGTTCTGAAGGTTTGTAGAAATATATGAGATAAAAACCAGCATAAATCTCTCTCTATATATAGAGTTATATATGTTACATATATATATTATATATAAAAACCTCACAGCAACTCTATGAAGTAAGTTCTATTATCATCTTTCTTTTACAAATAAGAAAACAGGCACTGAGAGATTAGGTGGCATCCTCAAGATGAAAGTGGGAGAGTGGGGAGTTGAACCTGGGCTCTCTTCTTCTGGAGCCAGAATTGTGAAACACTGTGTTATAAAAGGGGTAACATATCTTACCTCTCTTCAACTTTCCCATCCTAGCTACCTCAGTTTTATATAAGAAACATTTATATCTCACAAAACCCTGTCAGCAATCTTGAGTTTAGATATCCATGCAAATAATACTATCAGACAGTTGCTAAGGTGATATAACTTTAGCAAACTGTGAATTTTAGGTTCAAAGCCAGGTATTTCCAAACCCAAGCTCTGTCTGCCACACAGTAGCTTTTGGGCGAAAAAAAAACAAAAAACAAAAACAAACAAGTAAACGAAAAAACAACCATACCCTTTCTTTTGAGGAAAACTTACAAACTTTATAAAGAATAAACATGAATCTGCTTAGAAAGTTCCAAGATAACATACACAACTGAATCACCTCTTCATATATAGGCACCACACACATAAAGATGTAGCCTAAATCACAATCACTTCTCACCAGGGATGGAGATAGGAATTTACATTCTTGACTTCATTAAGTCTCTAATTTGGCAAAAACCTCCAAGCCTTTTATACACATGCTGCGTGTAGGCCAGATCTCACTCATTCTTATAATTGTGCAAATAATATGGAGACCAAAAGGCAGGGTTTTCATTTTATTTTTGTTACATTTTACTTTGTTAGATCTAATCCATGTCTCTAGGTTAATAAACAAAATAAAACATATTGCCTTTCTCCAGGATTTCTCAGAAGCTTTAATATGCTGAGATTCATTTTGACTTACAAAGAAGGGGTTATCATCGAATTTATTTTGATAAAGGCGGAGTTTGACTGCCAAGAAAGACAATGTTCATATAACACATATTAACTTATTAACGGTTTGCGCCACTATTATTCCTAAGATGCTCTCAAGGTATTTCGGGAAGATGAGTCATTTTAGTGTATTTATTTTCCTTCCCAGCTTTGTTTTATCTACAAATTCGATAATCACATTCTCTTGATCTGTATCATCTTCCTCTAAATTACAGTAAAAATGCTGGATAATACAAAGTTAAGGACAGAGTTCTTTGTCATGCCTCTAGAAACCTCCCTCTGGCAGTGACGTCCAATAGAGCTTTCTAATGGAAATGTCCTAAACCTGGGCTGTCCAATACAGTAGCCAAAAGCCACTGCAGCTATTGAGCATTTGAAATGTGGCTAGTGCAGCTAAAGAACAGAATTGTAAACTTAATTTTAATTAATTAAAATGTAAATTTATATAGCTACACGTGGCTAGCAGTTACTTATTAACTAGCAGAGCAATTAACACGCCAAGAGTTAATATTCACAGTAGCCAGCTTTGACCTAAATTACTATCAGCATTTACCAAGTAAGAATCCTTAACTGTCTTCATATCTAATTTCTCCATCTTGACATGGGGCACCATGAGAGTCTTTGCCTAATGCCACGTATTATGATTACTGCATTCTATTCATCTACCAGACGAAGAATTGAGTCAAAGAAATAAATCACAGTAAATCATGTGATTTGCTCAGAACCTACGTTGGTATCATCTGATTGCTGTTTCTTCTTCACGTTATTCATAAGTTGTTTTTAAAAATCCATTCTAGATTCCTTGCTCAATAACCACATTTGGCTAGCAGCTACCATAAGAGACAGCTCAGATATGCACTCATCACAGAAAGTTCTATTAGATAGCACTGACTTAGAACAGGGGCTGCCAAACTGTTTTTGATCTGCAGTCTGTTTTTGTATGGCTCGCAAGCTAAAATTGTTTTTACATATTGTACAAGTTATCTTAAAAAAGTAAGAAGAATATGTGACAGAGACCATATGTGGCTCGCAAGTCCCAAAATATTTACTACCTGGATATTTATAGAAAAAGTGTGTTGTCCCCTGTCCAAAGGGAGGATGTATTCTAGACCCTACCTAGAAAAGCCTCAAAACAAGCCCCCAAAAAGATCCGCAGGGAAGACAGAGTTTCAAGGCTGAGTCCTGCCAAACTAGAAAGGCTTAGGAAACATCTTGGGCTTTTCAATAGATTACTATTCAGCAATAAAAAGGAACAAATGGCCGGGCGCGGTGGCTCACGCCTGTAATCCCAGCGCTTTGGGAAGCCAAGGCCGGCGGATTGTGAAGTCAGGAGATCGAGACCATCCTGGCTAACACGGTGAAACTCCGTCTCCACTAAAAATACAAAAAAAAAAAAAAAAAAATTAGCCAGGCATGGTGGCAGGCACCTGCAGTCCCAGCTACTCGGGAGGCTGAGGCAGGAGAACGGCGTGAACCTGGGAGGCGGAGCTTGCAGTGAGCCGAGATCGCACCACTGCACTCCAGCCTGGGCGACAGAGCGAGACTCCATCTCAAGAAAAAAAAAAAAAAAAAAAGGAACAAATTACTGATAGATGCGATAAACAGATAGATCTCACAAACATTACACTGAACAAAGCAAGCCAGACACAGAAAAATACATACTGTATGATTCTACTTACATGAAATTCTAAAACAGCCAAATCCATAGTGATAGAAATCAGACCAGCAGTTGCCTGGCAGAGGAGGTAGGAGGACACTGATTGCAAAGCAACACCAGAAAACTTTCTTAAGGGAAGAAAACCCCACACATCTTATTGGCAAGTGGTAACACAGGCATATATCTTTGTCCAAAGTAGTTGACCTTAATATGTATTTCATTATACGTAAACTATCCCTCGACAAAGTTGATTTTAAGTCTATTCTAGAATCTCAAAAAAAAATCTGTGTCAAAGGTATCAATTTGCAGTACATGTTACTCAACTATTTTCTTTTTTTTTGAAAATCAGAACTTTATCCCCCCCTCCAGTTTTTCAATACCTTTCTACTTTTTCACAAATTCCTCACAATCCCAACACACACAATATAATTTATCTAGGCCACGAAGTAATTCAAAGCTAATAAGTGCCCACTTATTAGCTTATAATATTCACTTTAACTTACTCTATCCCTTTTCTCCTGAAAATCTCTATTTTGGAAGAGAACATTGAACTGTAATAAGGAATTCAGCCAGTATCTCTGAGGGTAGGGACCGGGCAATGACATTCTCTATTTCATTTCTAACTAATAGCCAGAGTTGAGAACTGGACTATCCTTTGGGACTATTAATGCTAGAAGCTAGGATCTTAAAAGGTATTCTAGTCAGAACATCTTATTTTAGAGAGGGAGAAACTAAGCTGTGGCAGTCTATTCGTTGAAAAACCTTACAGAATAACACTATTTCTGAACAATTCTTCCCCTTGCCAACTCTCCCTTTCATAGATATATAAACATTTTGACAAATTATCTCAATATATTTTGAAGGGATTAAGAATGGCAAGTATAACCATATATAGTTATCACATAAAGCTTATGTTGATATTACACAAAATGGTTAAAACTTGAGGAAAGAATAGCTGAATGAGATAAACTCAGGAGCAATAAGACACCACATTAGTCTCAGCCTCCACATGAAAAAACATCAATCAATGAAGTAGTGATGTTTCCACTGTGTCCTATCTGATAGTGCCTCATTTAGACAAAGCCAAATGAATTCAATCAATTTTACTTCTGCTTGTCTAATAAGGTTTCTCTCTCCCTCTCTTTCCCACTCCCTCCTTCTCCCTTTATTTCCATGTTTCTATTTCTTTGCATCACAGGGGGTCACCTGGTGATTTAAACAATTGAGGACAATAAACTGGTTTCTTATACCCTCACTCATTATAAAAAGATAAATTTGCATCTAAACATTAATGGAATACTTAAAATTATTCTTATCTCTTCAGCAAAGCAAGTTTCGTGACGACCTCTAGCAGGCAATATTTTCTCAGTTTATTCATACTCAACTGGAAGAAAAAGAGTACTTAAGAATATGTGGTAGGCAGAATAATGTCCCAACCTTCCAATCCCAAAGATGCCCACACCCTAATACCCAGAATCTGTAAATGTTACTTTACATGGCAAAGAATTAGGCTGCAGATGGAATTCAGTTAAGGTCACTTACCTTAAAATAGAGAGAGTAACCTGATTATCCAGGTGGGCACAATATAATCACAAGTGTTCTTGAAAGTGAAAGAGGAAGGCAGAAGAGAGTCAACTGGAGATGACTATGGAAGAATGCTCAGAGATGCAAATTTCTGCCTTTGAAGCTGGAAGAAGGGAGCCAGAAGCCATGGAACGTAAGTGGCCACAGAAAGCTGGGAAAGACAGGGGAAACATTCTTCCGACAGCCTCCAAAAAGGAATGCAGCCCTGCTGACACCTTGATTCTAGCACAATGAGAGCTGTGTCAGACTTGTAATCTACAGAAGTGTAAGATATACATTTGCATTGTTTTAAGCCACTAAAATGTGGGTAATTTGTTGCAGCAGCAATAGAAAACTGATATAGGGCTGGGCATGGTGGCTCACACCTGTAATCCCAGCACTTTGGTAGACCGAGGTGGGTGGATCACCTAGCTGGGCGTGGCGGCATGCACCTGTAATCCCAGCTACTCCAGAGGCTGAAGCATGAGAATCACTTGAACCCTGGAGGTAGAGGTTGCAGTGAGCTGAGATCATGATACCGCACTCCAGCCTGGATGACATAATGAGATTCTGACTCAAAAAAAATAAAAATAAAAAGGAAAACTGATATAGAATGCTTCTAATATGTAATAAGGTAAGTTAAACTTTTCATGCAAAATTTGTGCTAAAAAGTGAAAAATCAGTAGGATTTGAAGAAAGACACGAGTATAAACATATCTGCACTCCCGTGTTCATTGAGCATTATTCACAATAGCTAAGATACAAAAATTATCTAAGTGTCAGAAGATGAATGGATGAAGAAAATGTGGTATATACACAAAATGGATTACTATCCAGCCTTTAAAAAGGAAAGTCTGTCATTTGCGAGAAAATGGAGGAACCTAAAGGATATTATACTAAGTGAAATAAGCCAGACAGAGAAAAAAAAGAATCGTATGATTTCACTTATATGTGGAATCTAAAACAAGATCAAATATGTATAAATATAGGGTGGAAATGTAGTTAATGAGATGGGAGAACAGGAAAAATAGGACAATATTGGTCAAAGTGTACAAACATACAGTTTTTCTCCAATGAATAAGTCTAGGGATCCAAGATACATTACAATGACTATAGCTAATAATATTGTACTGTATACCAAAAATTTGCTAAGTGAGTACATTTTAGGTGCCCTTACCACACACACACACACCCACTTAAGTGTGAGATGGTGAACATGTTAATTTACCTGACTGTAGTAATCATTTTACTATCTATGTCAAAACATGTTATACACCTTAAACATATACAAAAATAAACAAAATGTATACTGATAACTTATTCAAACTATTCTAAGTGCAGAATATAGCTCCTTAAAATTTAAAATAAATTTAAAAGAAATGTTCAATTATGCTAAATGTTCAATCTTTGCTCACCAAAATCTACAAAATTAACAAGCACTGTGTGTACATTGTTATATTCAGCTTCAGGTAAAGAAATTAAGTACAAGAACGAAACTTAAAGGTAAAGTGAAAAAGCTCCTTCTGATTGTGGTAAATAAATAAACATGGAGATTTTTATCTTTTTAGCAACTTTATTGAGGGCTCTAGTAGAAGAGAAATAAAAACAAACTAAAGCATTCTTTTTAAGCTCAACTGCCTAGGCAGGGAAATGTAGAAGACTTGAAACTGAGACAGTAAAAAATAATTTTTAAATAAGATAACATAAAAAAGAGTCAAACTGCTGAGAAGTACACAGGCCATGATGTTTATGATTATGATTCATGCAAAAATTTGAACAACCCACCTTTTAATTCAAAGCCAGATTCTGGCTGAGCTGATAAAGGAAAAAATAAAAATTAATGAGAAAGATAAAAATGTGCCTTAAGCTGCTTAAGAGAACAAACTTGTATTCCACCCTTAAAGAGAATCAAAAGCACCATTTTTTGATTTAAAATATGCATTAATATTTTAATTTGCAATAGTTCTCTTTTAATAAGGCAAATTTTCTAAAAGGTACTTTGTTAGTTCAAAGGCAAAACCCATTGGTTATAAAACAATAAGACAACTTTACATTTTTTAAAGAAAAGACCTGTTTTAAAAGATTGCCTTGAAAATTATTTTGTTGGGTAACACTATTTAAAGTCAAAAGTTTGCTAAGTTAACCAAACAAACACAATATTTAGTAATAAAATACGAAAACAAGAATTAAAGTGGCAAAATTCAAGCAGAGATTCTAACATGTAGAACTCTAGAATTAAGCCTTACAACACAGCTTAGTAATTATAGGAACATCTCAAAGTGGAAGTAACCTATTAGTATATAGAATATAATCTAAATTATTATTATTAGCTAGCACTTATTGTTTAAATATTTCAAAAGGCACTCTGTGAAACACAATCCCCACAATATGCCACATTTACTCATTTTATACAGATGGGACCTGAGGTTCAGAGATGCTAAGTTCCTTGCCCAAGCACTCAGCTATTAAGGGGCAAAGATGTGATTTGAACCCAGATGTGACTGGCTCCCAAGTCCATGCATGCTCTTTCCAATGTATAGCACAGCAAACATTATATATAAACTTCTGAGATGTCACTGTTCTTGTAGGGGGTGTCCTTGCTCATCTAAAGTGATTTCAAAACACAAGTACACAGCTACTGACACATGTAGAAATTCAACTCTGTGTCTGTTGGCCCCAAATCTAGTTTTCTTTCTATAGGTCATGGTTCACAAGCCACTGATAAGTATGTTGCCTAGTAACTAAACTGATTCACCTGCGTCTTTAATCTCCATCTGAACTTTGATAAATTCAACGTACGTGGGAGATGGGGGTTAAGAGATAAAACAGAACATACTTCCTGGTTTCTGAAATGAAGACCCCCAGGTGATAGGCCTTCTGCCATGTACTGAGGACAATGTAAAAAAAACGTTTATGCTTCTGGTTAGATCCCTATCTTATGCTTCTGGGTTCTTGGTCCAAACAGTTAAAGCAACACAAAACAATTCTTTGGAATCTGAAATGATACTTACACACCTGATTCACTCATTTGCTTATGTATTGATTCATTCATAAAATACTCATTTAAGACCAATGTCAAACCTTGTATGACTGATGTCATACAATGCTTCAGGCTACAAGTTTATTCTCCTGGACCAAACTTCTCACTTTACAAATCAAGACACTGAGGCTCAGAGAGACTGAGAAAGTTGTCCCAGTCTGTAAAGATAGCAATGTTACACCTAGGGGCAGAATTTATATCTTTGAACTCTTGGTAAAGAGTTCTTCTGATATGGAATACATCATACAATAAACAAACGCCTGAGTTATGGAGAGCTAATTAAAATACAGCCAAGGTCACAAGTGATGGCTAGAGTGGCAGAGTGCCAGCCTTTTGCTACCTAAGCCCCTGTTGCAGGACACAGACACAAAAATATGCCAAAGGAAGAATTTTACTGAACTCCCATTTCATTACTGTGCTGAAACAGAATGACAAAGATGATTAAACTACCTAGAAAATGCTTTATGAATCTAACTCAATGGACTTATTCCTTCAACACTCAACGAGTATTTATAGAGAGGCAGTGGATTCAGCCTGGAATAAAATCCTAGACTCACCACTCCCTAAATGTGTAACTGTGGGTAAGTTACTTGGCCCCTCTGTGTCACTTTCCTCAACTGTAAAATGAAGATAATAATAGTATCTCTTTTTTAATATCATTATGAGAGGTAAATGAATTAATACTTGTAAAGCACTTAGAATCACATCTGGCATGTTGTAAACACTTAATACATGTTAGTTATGATTATTTTTGATACTTTTAACATACTGGGTACTCATTTTGGTACTAGGAATATACCAATAAGCAAGGCAAAACCCCTAACCTCTTCATTTTAATCTTGGACAAGGAAAGATCAATCAATAATCAATCAATCAATCAATAGATAGATTAGATATAGATAGAAAGACAGACAGATGATAGACCAACAAGTAGATAATATATAATGTTATAATGAAAAGTGAAACGGTATCTAATAGGGTTGGCTACTTGTAGCAGATGCTGTTGATACCCCTACCAGATCCCCCTTCTCTAGGTGATGCACCTGCACCTGTGACTGTTGGCTGTTACAGGCTCACAGCTACCCCTTTCTCAGGAAAACTGCCCTCAACTGAAGGAGAGTTGCCTCACCCAGGAGACTGTGTCCCATTATCACTATCCCAGGGGCAGCCAACAATTGGCTGATATAGTGTACAAATAGCCAGTTTCCTTGCCTCGAGGTGAGAGTAAGTCTCTGACGTTATTTGTGTTCCAGGGTATCCCCTGCAACCAGGCTGAAGCACGTCCCCAGCTCAGCTGACATCCTTGCTTAGGTTTTTTTTTTTTTTTTCCTCCCTGCCCCTGCTATGCTTTTCTCATTTCCCTTTTACTAAAAGCACTGCCTCAATAAATGACTTTCACAAGAATACCTATGGAAATCTCAGCTTCTGAGGTCTCTGATCTAAGGCGTTACTTCTTAACGGGGGATTCAGGGAAGGCCTCCTTGAAGAATTGATATTTGACAGGAATCTAAATAATAGAGCTTTGTAAAGGTATGGGGAAAAGTATTTTAGGCAAACAGAATGTTCTCCGTCTGGAGATAATTTGGCACATTTAAGGAAGAAAAAGATCCCAGTAGACCACGAAAAGTTTTTTCAGGTTTTATTTGAAGTATAAAAGAAAGGGAAGTCAGGCCGGGCGCGGTGGCTCACACCTGTAATCCCAGCACTTTGGGAGGCCGAGGCGGGTGGATCACGAGGTCAGAAGATTGAGACCATCCTGGCTAACATGGTGAAACCCTGTCTCTACTAAAAATACAAAAAATTAGCCGGGCGTAGTGGCGGGCGCCTGTAGTCCCAGCTACTCGGGAGGCTGAGGCAGGAGAATGGCGTGAACCCGGGAGGTGGAGCTTGCAGTGAGCCGAGATCCCACCACTGCACTCCAGCCTGGGTGACAGAGTGAGACTTCGTCTCAAAAAAAAAGAAAGAGAAGTCATTTTTTCCCTGTTTTGAGCAGGAGAGAGACATGATCTCATTTGTTGTTGAAGTCAGTTACTCTGGCTGATGGGTGAACAGACTTTACAGAGTGCAAGCATACATGTAGAGCTGCCAGCTAGGAGACCACATAAGACAACATGATGGTTTGGACTATGGATATAACAGTGAAATTGATTAGAAGTGCATGGATGTTGGATGTACTTTGAAGAAAGAGATAGACTCAATAATAGAATTGATGTCAGTAATCAGAAACAAGAGTTATGAATCACTGCTAGGATTTGGGTTACATGTGGGTAAGACAGGGAGGTCCGCATATGGGGCAGACTAGGGAAAGGGACAGATTGAGAAAGGGCTAGGTAAAGAAAATCTCCTAATGAAACGCTGGCAAAGCGTCAACTTCCATGTCCTCTTCTTTTCAAGTATTGAATTAGAGGTTAAACTTATTATCAGGTGTTAATGATTCTTCTCATTTTTATTTTTAGTTTCTATGCATTCCATACACCTAGATGATTTATCTGAGAAGCAGACATTCTGACCAGCAATTTGACATCACATGAAATCACAGACAGGATCAGTGTCTTGCCCCAGTCTAACCTTATGTTTTAAAAGGCAAACAGAGTATCAATGCCTAAGAGCTTCCATGCTCTTAGGAGGCAAAGAAGGAGGTTCTTGACAATATTAGAACACTTGCTAGAGCAGTATCTCTTTAACTGCACAAATCATTGACACTTTACCAGACAGAAATGATTACATCCAAATCATAGAGGTTGCCATTTTTTTTTTCCACATTCCTCTTGCTATCCATACTATCACCTGTAATGGTGTATTTCCTCTGTTCATTGCAAACCAAAGACAAAGCAGTGATAGTCAGGTAGCCTTTTTCAAGAAAATCTGAAATGACTCATCATCAGCAAAGCCAGCTCAGTGAGTCACAAGCACGACTCAGAAAATTCAGCAAAAGGATGCCTTTATGAACTGAAATTATCTTGCTGAGCAAACTAAGTTGATTTAAAGAGGGATTTCTACTCCTTTTATTTTTAATTACAATAAAGTATTAAAATTAAGACACGATTTTAATATTCGTTAGAAATTCTGTTACATGGTTATGACTCACAAAGTTTCTCCCACTATCATCCTACTAAAGATGTTTTATTTGAAAGAAAAAAAAAGATGTTTTATTTGCTTACTCTTAGTCAGCAGTCCCTCTCTTAGTTCAGATAACTGGAATCTCACTCATCTTTTATTAGTTGATTGATTATACAATAACAATATAAATGTAGTTGATGCAACAATGGCAAGATGAAAGAAAGTTAATTTATTTGTAAGTAAACCTGCATCATTTAAAATATAAGATTACAGGTTTCGGTTGGGCGCAGTGGCTCAGGCCTGTAATCCCGCACTTTGGGAGGCTGAGGCAGGTGAATCACGAGGTCAGGAGTTCAAGACCAGCCTGGCCAACATGGTGAAACCCTGTCTCTGCTAAAAATACAAAAAATTAGCTGGGTATGGTGGTGGGTGCCTATAATCCCAACTACTCAGGAGGCTGAGGCAGGAGAATCACTTGAACCCAGGAGGCGGAGGTTTCAGTAAGCCAAGATCGTGCCACTGCACTCCAGCTCAGGCAACAGTGTGAAACTCCATCTCAGAAAAAAAAAAAAAAAATTACAGGTTTAAAGAACTTTATTAAAATACCCAAACCAGAATCAAGGAGACAAGATGATCCATATGATCAAGGAAATAATTTGCTATGGAGAAAAACATCCTGCATCTGATTATCTGGTATTTCCTCTCTCCAATCCTAAACACTTACCCAGAAAAATATTGGGTCTACAAAAACCTGGAAGAAAATTTGGTCGTTATTTTTGCCAATTTGCCTCCAAAAATACCACCACCAGCAATAACAATAGAATGGCTAACCCTTTTTGAGAGACAAATATTTGATAGCCATGCGTTAGGTATATAATATCTCATTTAATCTTCTAAACAAGGATTCACCTTATTGTGAAGATGATCCCCATTTATTTAAAACATGCTTAGCCTAGGCAGACCATACCTACTATGTAAGTGGGAGAGTCAGAAACCAGGTTCAGTTTCATGGTCAGCTACCTTCCCCTGACTCCATATAGTAAGTAACCATGTTACAACAAAGGTTTTTCCACCTACAGATAAAAGTAGAGAATAAGTAACAATGCAAATTCCTCTATTCTCTACTAGAAAAGGAATTCTCAACTCAAGGCAGCAGCATATAAAGGAGGTAACTTTTGCAATTAATCCACAAAGAAAAAGCTGCAAAATCTCAAAGCTTCATTTAGAGATCAATGTACTTGGTCAGGGACAGTAGAAGACAATTTTCTACTAACAGCAAGAGATAACTTTTGTGTGCTGTCTTTAACTGATCAGATCTCTCATCCATTTATTTCATGGTGGGAAAAATCACATCCAACTCCCTGTGACTGATCTCTCCTTCCATTGTCTTATAACTCTTGTTACTTTTATCATTGTCCAGCATTGTTTGCTTTCTTAATGAACCATATAGATTTAGACAAATGAGTGTCTTTGGTAGCAAATAATAAATTATTCTTGTAGAAAATACATGTCTAACCAGGAAAATATTATTTTTCTAAGAAATAAATTTCTCTCTTTCTAAATGTGTGTGTGTATGTGGGGAGAGGAAGTTAAAAGCAACTTTCTGTGCATGAAATTTGGCTCAACTTTGTACAATTTAGGCTTATATCTTTAAAATCTTTAATCTTTAAAGACCTCATTTATTTTTGCTCTTCTCATAGGTCATTATACTAAATTTAGCTCTATCTACTTCCCATTCTCCAACTGTTTACTCCCTCATTCAATGATTCTGCTATATAGAGCGAATAATCTAATGATAAAAAGAGAGTGCTGGAAGGTTGCATTGAACAGCATAACTACATCAATGAAATGCTTTGAATTGTCTACTCATCGTGGGAAAGTCATCAAAAAGGAAAGAAAAAAAAGTATCCATTCAAAGTAACCCTGAAAGGTTATTTTTAAGAGAAAAGGAGCAACCAGCTCATTCCAAAGAGACTGTCTAAAGTAAACAGAAATATTAATCTAAATGTTTCTTTAAAATGCATTATAGAAAACTGATTCATTAAAAATGTTTCGTAAGAATTCAAAGGACACGGAATTTTGAGAAATGTAGTATTTTTACTTAAGTGCCTTTTTTCTACTTCTACCCCCCACCCCCACCACTGTCTATTATTTTATAAACCAATTGATACATAAGTAGTTTCTTGGGGGATGATATATTACTTACACATTTCCTATGTAGTAAACATGTATGTATATGTGTGTGGGTGTGTATCTAACTACTTTGTTGGAGTGATTCCTATGGTTTGGAACTGCCGGGGCCAAGTTTATGCAAAAATCTACATTTTTTGAGTAAACTCCCCGTGACTACAGTAAGTTTCCCCAGTATTTGAGAATTCTTCATTTCCTAAAGCTGCACAAACATCAGATATCAATATTTGTAAGGATCGATAATGGAATTTATAATGAAATTGCTTTCTCAGCTATTAATATTAACTATATCATCTTCATATAGCCTTATAACTCATTTGTGCTATTCCATTTCCCTCTGTTCCTTTTTTTCACTTCCCTTGTAATTTTAGTCTCTTTGTACTGATTTCTGAAGAGTTCATTTATGATTAAAGATGTTAACACTTTGTCTAGAATTGCAAATATGTTTTTTCTCATTCATTTTACTGTGATGTTTTGTTTTTTGGTTATACAGAAGTTGTATATTGAAATATAATCTTGTTCTGATTTTTTATAAATGCATTAAGGTATGCTAACTTTAGTTCTATAGTATTTGCCAACACTGAGAATATTAAAATATGTGTTACAAGAAGCAGCCTCGTGAAACTCATGGCTATATTTGACATTAGAGTGATGTTGAAGCCATTGTATCCTCTTTATGATGAAAAACAAAAGAAATTTATCTATGGTTTCAGGATTAAAAATATTTGTTACTTCTCCTAAACAACTGATATGTTTTAATCTACTAGACACGATAAATCAGAAATTGATCCCATTTCCCTCTTTAAGCGCTTGCTCAAAGATAAATCTATGGCCCGTGTCTAATAGCTAATGACATATTTTTTATATTACCTCACATATTTCTTATTTTATCCTGCCCTTCCCTTTCTTTCTCCTGAATTCTTTCTTTTCCTATTGGTTTTAATTAATGTTACTTTGTTTTATTGTGGATTTCTTTGTAAGCTATTTAAATCTTTTTTTCAACAAGATGGGGAAAGATGGCAATTCACAATACAAAAATTATAATATAGAAATGCGTATTATGACTGCAAGTATGTTAAAAATATGGCTGCATGCAGAAGGCAATGTGCAAATATTAAGATAATTGCATGAGATTGTATTATTTTTTACTTTTGTCTATGACATTATTTTCATTAAATTTTTAAATAATTTGGTTAAATTTTTATTACAATAGAATTTTATTTTTAATGTACAGTACTTTAGGGCCCCTTGTGCAATCAAAGGCATAGAGTACATTTGATTTGGTTAAGCTTAGGTTTTAATTAAATATTTGAAAAGGTAATGTAACAGTTAGTTATCTAAAAGAACTGAAATAAACAAATTATTCTACTTAGGTTCAAAGAAGGAAGATACATAGTAATATACATAAATATAAGAAACTACTCCATGAAATCATTTGCCTGATACATACGACCACCTCCCTCCCACAAAGTCATTTATCACCTGATTATCTAACATTTTTCCATTGCTAATGACAAAGGCCTACATTTTCTGATCATTACCTTGAATATTGATCTATTTCTTCCTCAGACATTTTCTACTGCCCTTGCCTTTCCTTTCAAAATCACAGTTTCTTTTTTCTTCACTGATAAACTATTTTAAGGTTTAACCATCATATGAATTGTCCTCTTCTGCTCTTAAGCTTTTTCAATGGATTCTGTAGACTGTCAATACATCCTTAAGCATTATATTACATATGTCATTAACAGATTTTCGGGATACTTTTCTTCTTAAATACTAACCTCTGAAAGCAAATTTTGCTTAGTTTATTACAAACGGCATTATACAAGAGGCTAGCAGTAACAGGAATTTATATCATGTGAAAAAAATCAGAGATAGTATACGGAATTCTTTTCAAAAAGCCAATGTTATGAAATGTCTTTGATATATCCGATAAAAAGAGCCACATTTAATCTGAGTAAGTTTTCCTATCTCTTGGCCTGCCTGTGTTGCATGGGTTTTAACTATAATGCTAGTCAATCCTACCATCAATTATTTAACCCTGACATTGTAAGCAATGTTACTTTGTGTTTGTGACCTCATAGGGTCACTAACTGTGTGATAATTTTATTGTCAAGCTAATTAGTGAAAATGTTAACTAACATGGCTCATGATAATGAAGACTTGCAGGACCCAGTTTCTTACAATTAATTACAGTCTTGATTTGTCATTGTATCTCCGTATCTTATTAGTGAATTTACAATAGGATTTCTCTAAGGTTATTATCTATAACTGTAACATGATGGTTTTCAAAATTCAAATCATATTTTTCATAATCCCTTGATACATTGTTTCTTAAAAGCAATGACAATCCCTCACGTTTGTGGACTTCAACCAGTTTTTGATGTGCAATTAGAAAACATTTAAATGTTCGGCTGGGCGCGGTGGCTCACACCTGTAATTTCAGCACTTTGGGAGGCAGAGGAGGGCGGATCAAGAGGTCAGGAGATTGAGACCACAGTGAAACTCCATCTCTACTAAAAATACAAAAAATTAGCCGGGGGTGGTGGTGGGCGCCTGTAGTCCCAGCTACTCGGGAGGCTGAGGCAGGAGAATGGGGTGAACCCAGGAGGCAGAGCTTGTAGTGAGCCGAGATGGCGCCACTGCACTCCAGCCTGGGTGACAGAGCAAGACTCCGCCTCAAAAAAATAAAAATAAAAATTTAAATGCTCTTCCTTTGCCTGGAAGGCTTTTTCCTCACCTGCTTGCTGAACTCTTACTTTTAAACACGCCCTCTGTGAATATCCTGAGTCTGTCAGGTCTGCCTCTCCTATATTAAACTTTAATACATTTTATTGCATGTCATAATTATTTACACATCAATACCTATACTAGACCCACCACAAATTCATTGGAAAGTAGTAGCTATCTCCTATTCAACTTTGTGTCCCCAGTGTCCACCACTGGGCCAGGCTTATAACAGAAGTTCAATAAATGTTTTTGGGTAAATGAATGATCTTCATACACCATGCAGTACAGGTGAGAAAACAAAGGCTAAAAGATATTAAAACATTTGCCAGAGGCCAAGTTGCTTGTAAGTCACAAAACATGATAAACAATTCAAGTTTTCTGACTTCTGTCCCTCTACATGCTACTATGTGTATGTAACCATCATGGAAAGGTGAAGAGAAAGGAAGCCGATGGAAAGTCTGCCCTTAAGGGGTATATAAATTTCCACAGGCATTGTATTAAATAAAAGAGAAGAGTTAGAAAACAGAGCTATGATAATGAATGAACTATATATTTAAGATACAGTCTTTGAGAGGACTAGCAAGAGTTATTATTTTTAAAGCTTAGCAGAACAAATGGCTTCTACAATCAAATGTACTCATTAATAAACACTGGAGGGAAAAAGCCTTTTGATAGAAAATTCCCAACTACAGATATTTACTTTGTTCCCTGCCTGAATGAAGATGGATATTTTAACTTTGGATATGTTCTGTTCTTGGACATATATAAGTTAATGTGATACAATTACATGGCAATCTGAAAATTACGTTCCTCTCCATCATTTGAGCTGAACCTATAAATAAATAAACCTTAGCCCAAATAAGAAATTTTTTAAAAATGAATCTCTAGATTTAGAGCACTGGAACTGAACTCCCATTTGTAATCGAATGCTGTGATTAAACAAAAATAGCATGGGAAATGGAAACCTTGGTTCTATATGGAATCAGCCCCAAACTATGTGGTTGGTCCTGATGAGTCACTTAACTCACATGTTTAAAATTTCTCACTTGTAAAATAAAAGAGCAGGACTAGATGCTCTTCAGAATTCTGAAGTACCCTGATTAATCACCCTTTTATACTTTTATTTGGGAAGTGATAAAGCTGATTAAAAACACTTGTGTTCAAACCCCCAAATCTACTATTTAGGAGGTAGGATGACTTGAGCAAGTGGTTGACCTCACAGTGCCTGAGTTTCTTTATTAGTAACATAAAAGTTGTGAGAATTAAATGGGTTAATATGTGAAGCATGGTTAAAACAGTGTTTCACACATAGTATGCATTATGCATGTTTTAGCTATTATTATTTTACCCCCCTAACTTTCAGTAATGGAAATGTGGATATAAGAATGTAAAAGTTATGTTACAATGGGAGTTCCACATGAGCTAATTCAAACCCAAGGACTTGGTGATTTGCAGATGTATTCCATGC
The DNA here is from genome assembly GCF_000001405.40 of Homo sapiens. Lineage (NCBI taxonomy): Eukaryota > Metazoa > Chordata > Mammalia > Primates > Hominidae > Homo > Homo sapiens. The sequence continues at coordinate 25,287,933 of NC_000010.11, read as the reverse complement.
ATATATATTCTACATTTTCATATTCTCCCACTAAAACATAATTGATTGGTACTGCCAGCTTCTACTTGGGACGCAGAAGGTTGCAAAGGGCATTGCTTCCAACCTCAATACAATAAAAATAGCCAATAAAATGGCAGACAATATGAAAACCTTTAACTTTTCTTGAAATCCTCAGAGAGCTGAGGTGGTAGAGCAACAACCTCTAACCCCAAATCTAAGGAAAGGCAGGTACTTGCAAGGACAGACAAGATATATGCATTTGCTTACAGACACTGTCAGATGCCAGTAACAATTCAGCTAAAATTTTAAGTAAATTGGTAAAGGTTAAACGTGGGCTAGTCAAGAATATAAAATGTTAGAGAACCACATACAACGAGCCACATATAAAAGGGAGATTCACACCACCTGCATGCTCTTCTTCACTTCCTCACAGTCCTGACTTGCTGCTCACCAATACAAACAAACAGAAAAAGATTAGTGAGGGTCCTAAGATAGCATCCTTCAAGGCTTTGGACATGAAATGAAGGGGGATAATAAAAAAAGACTCAAAAAAAGACATGAAAACCCACCTAAACCCACCTTTCTTTTCTCCCCTACAAAACAAATGCCTTCAAGTACTGGTGGAGGGTCAAGAAAGATGTGCACCCTTAGGGCACTAGTGAAAATCAACTGAAGCTAGGAGAAAAGAAAAGGAAAGAAAACTCCCTATATCTCGGGGAAGAGCAGTGGAAAATCAACAGAAGCTAGGGAAAAAGAAAAGGAAAAAAATCTCTCTACATCTTGGAGAAAAGCAGGAATACAACTAGGAGTGGCGTAGGAGCACTGAGAAACTCATAACCCTAAGAAATGAGTCTTAGGGCACAGTATCTGCCTAAAACAGATGCTTAATTAGAACTATAATAAAAATCACCCCAACCCTCACCACGAGGATAGCAGGCATCAAGTAACAATGGTATACTGCAGGGAGATTAAGCAAAAAAGGGGAGAGAAATTCTCTCTAAGGCACAGCACAAAGGGAAGACCTGAAGCTTAGTGCACAGCAGACACTTAGAAAAAATTGGTGCAAACTACCATCACCCTAAACATAAGGTAACAACTACTGAAATGGCAAGCTGGTGGTACAATGAGGGTAACCATAGCAACAATCCCAAAACCAGACCAATTCCTGTCCATATTGAATGAAATGCCACCCTGAAAGCTTAACATAAGGAAAGGCATACCCATTTACAGGCAAACAAAAAAAAGCTATCTACTTCTGTGGCTACTGTCCTACACCAAATGCATAAACTTCTACAAAAAAGTTATGAGCCATCAAAAAATAAAAAAAAACAACAACACTGTCAAGACACAAAGTGATCTAAGGAGCTAAATACAAATATCACACACATAATAACTATTAGAGAGACTGTTTTTGATATGTTAAAGGTGCTAATGAAAAAGGTAGACAGCATGTAAGAACAGATGAGTAATTTCAGTAAAAAGATAAAAACTATAAGAAAAAAATCTAATGCAAATGTTATAGTGAAAAGCACAGTAACAAAGATGAAGAATGCCTTTGATAGTCTAATCAGTAGACTTGACAGAGCCAAATAAGGAAACAGTGAACTTAGAGACAGGCCAATAGAAAGTACCCAAACTAATACAAGAGAAAAACAGAGTGGGAGGCAAGGGGAAGGATCAAAACAGAGCATCCAAGATACCAAGATATATGAGGGAACATTTGATTTAATAAAAAACACAAAACCACAAATCCAAGAGGCTCAGATAACCCCAAGTAAAATATATACTAAAATACAAGAAAAAGGGAAAAAATGCATGCACACACACATATAGGCATATCATATTCAAACAGTTGTTAACTAAAAATAAAGAAAAAATATTGAACGTCACCAGAGAAAAAGGAAATATTACATAGACAGAAACAATGATAAGAATTACAGTAGACTTCCAATAAGAAGCACTGCAAGTCAGAAGACAATGGAATGCCACCTTTAAAGTGCTGAAAGAAAAGGAAAACGTCAACCCAGAATTTTATAGCCAGTGAAATTACCTTTCAAGATTAAAGGAGAATCTAAGACTTTTCTCAGGGCAACCAAAGGAGAATTTTTTGCCAGCATACCTGTAAATGTTTGATTTTAGGTGTCAACTTGACTGGATTAAGGAATACCTAGAAACCTCATAAAGCATTACTTCTGAGGTGTCTGTGAAGGTTTTATTCAAAGAAGATTGGCATGTGAGTCCAATGGGGTTAGAGAAGATCCACCCTCAAAGTGGGTGAGTACCATCCAATCCACCAGGGATCCAGAGGGAAAAAAACAAACAAAGGAAGGGCAAATGTGTTGATCTATCTGCAGAAACTGGAATACACTTTTCTCATCCTGTCCTTGGATAACTCCAAGTTCCCCAGGCTTTTGACTCCAGGACTTACACTAGTGCCTCCTGAGGTTCTCAGGCCATTGGCTTCCCTGGTTCTGAGGCCTTCAAATTTAGACTGAACCATGCTACCAACATCCCAGGGTCTCCAGCTTAGAGAACAGCCTGTCATGAGGCTGAGGCCTCCATAATCACATGAGCCAATCCCCCCACTAAATCTCCTCTCAGATGCTAGATGACAGACAGACACATACATACATACATACATATCAATGCATACGTGTGTGTGTGTAGAGAGAGAGAAGGAGAAAGAAAGAGGGGGAAAGAGATATGTATCTATATCTCATTGATTCTATTTGTCTGGAAAACTCTGGCTAATACAATACCTACACTAAAAACAATATTAAAAGAGTTCTTCAGGCAGAAATAATATCATGCTAGATAGTAATGTAGATTTATGCACATGCATACACACACACACACACACACACACAATGAATAGAACTGGAAATGCAGTAAGGGAAAAATATACAGAATTGCCTTTTATTTGTATATTATCTAAAAGATAACTAACAGCCTAAATAAAAAATAATAGCAATGTATTGTGTGTATAGTATATAGGAAAGTAAAATAACATAAAATAGCAAAAAGAATAAGAAGTAATTAGGAAAAAAATGCTATAAAGTATTTATACTATATTGAAACAGTATATTATTTTAAGGTAGACTTTGAGTAAATAAGATACGTATTGTAAACCATACAGTAACCACTAAAATATTTGAAAGAATGGAGTATAAATAAAAAGACAATATTGGAGGTAAAATGGAATAATAACACCCAACTTTTTAAAAAGAAGACAGAAAAAGAGAAAAAATAAAGAACAAGAATAAAAAATGCATAGCAAGACATTATATTTTAATCCAAGCATATCATTAATTACATTAAATGTAAATGATTTAAATATATGAATTAAAAGACAGATTGTCAGACTGAATAAAACTCTAAATCTAAATATATGCTATATAAAAGAAAATTTATCCTAAACATAAAAACATAGATATGTTAAAGATAAAGACACAGAAAAAAAATATTATTCCAACATGAATTAAAACAAAACTAGAATAGGCATATTAATATCAGAAAAAGTAGACTTCAGAACAGGAACAATACCATACATAAAGAGAGACATTACATAATTAATGGTAAAAATGACATTCCCCAAAAAGACATAAAAATTCTGTATATACATGCAACTAACACCAGAGCTTCAAAATATCAATATTTGAAGCAAAAACTAATCAAATTAAAAGAAAAATAGACAAACCCACACTTGTAGCTGGAGACTTCAAGACTCCTCACACAGAAACTGACAGAATAAGTACACAGAAAATCAGTAAGACTATAAAAGCCCTGAACAACACTATCAACCAATTTGATCCACTTGTCATTCATAGAACACTCTACCCAGCAAAAGCAGAATATATCTTATTTTCAAGTATTCATGGAATACTAACCAGGACAGACAATACTCTGGGTCACAAATGTCCTTAACAAATTAAGAAGAATACATACCACACAAAGTATGTTTTTTGACCACACAGTAGTTCAACTAGCGATCAATAACAGAAAAATAGCATGGAAATCCCCAAATACTTAAAATTAACATAATTATAAATGAACTATGGGACTATAAATGAACTAAGTGGGAAGTTTCAAGAGGAATTTAAATATATTTTGAACTAAATTAAAATAAAAATACAATATATCAAAATTGATTGAATTCAGCAAAAGTAGTGCTTATGAGTAAAATTAATTGTTTTAGATTATTTATATTAGAAAAGAAAAACGGTCTCCACTCAGTAATCTAAGCTTCTGACTAAAAAATAGAAAAAGAAGAAATTAAGTCCCAAGTAAGGAGAAAGAGTAAAAATATGAGCAAAAATCAATGAAATTGGAAAAACAAAATAATACAGAAAATCAACAAAACCAAAAGCGAGTTATTTTAAAAGATTAACAACATTAACCCATTTATGCCTAGTGTTCCATTATTTGAACACTAAGCTTCCGGGAGTTATTTATATCCTACTGCTCAAGGTCATCACCAATGTCTGATTTTTCACAAAAAAGAATTTGCAATCTTCAGCATAAATGGTTTAATAAATTTCTAGTGTGACTAAAAGAGAGAAGACATGAATTATCAACATTATGAATTAAAGAGAGAAAATTACTAAAAACCCTACAAACATTAAAAGAATAAGAAAATACTATGAAAAATTCTATGCCCATAAATGTGACAACTTAAATAAAATTACCAGTTCCTTGAAAGGCACAAACTATTCCAGAAGAAATAGATAATCTTAAGAGTGCTATACCTGGTGAGGAAATTGAATTTGTAGTTTAAAATCTTCCAACAAAGAAGACCTCAGCTCTAAATGATTTCACTCTGGAATTCTGCTAAATATTTAAGGAATATATACTCTGAACTCTACAAAATCTCTTCCACAGAATAAAAGGGATAAAACACTTCCCCAGTCATTTTATGAGGTCAGCATTATTGTGATGTCAAAACCAGAAAGACATTACAAAAAAAGAAAACTAGAGACTGATACCTCTCATTATCATAGACACAAAAGTCTGTAACAAAATATTAGAAAACATTGAGCAATATATAATCAGATATCACAAATAAGAATATTTAGCATATACAAAGAACTCAGATAATTCATAAGAAAGCAAACAATACAATTGAAAAATGAGCACACACACTCAAAAATTAAGCAGAAACTTCACCAATAAGATGTATGAATGGCAAAGAAGCACAAGAAAATATGCTCAACATTATTAGTCATAAGGGAAATACAAATTAAAACCAGAAGTACACACGTATCTATGAGACGGACTAACATTATTTTAAAACTGAAAATTGAAAGTGATGGCAAGGATGCAAAACGAACGGAACTCTCAGAAACTGCTAGTGAGGATACAGAATGATAGAGCTACTTTGGAAAACAGTGTGTCTCTTTCTTAGAAGGTTTAGCACTCATTTACTATATGCCAGTCCCACACCTAGGTATATACCAAGAGAAATAAAAACTTATGTTGACACAAAAACCTGTACATGAATATTTATAAATTGTAAGCATAATTGTTAAGAAACTGTAAATTTGATACATGGAATGTACTTCAACTGGTGAATGGATATTATGTTACAATCCCTACAATGGAATACTACTTAGCAATAACAAGAAACAAACTATTAACACATACAACAATATGAATGAATATCTCATGGATTATGATAAATAAAAGAAGCCAGGCTGAAAGGGCCAAATACTGTATAATTTATTTATATGATTTTCTGGAAAATGCAACACTTTATGGGAGGAGAACAAAATTAGTGGTTACCAGGGGTCTAGGGTGAGGGCTAGTGGATGATTTTAAAGGGGCATCACAAAGAAGTTTGGGGAATGATTGACCTGTTTTGTTGCTTGATTATGATGATGGATAAATACTCAAATCTTTGAATTCATCAAAACTAATAGGTATGTGTACCAAAAAGTTAATTTTAGTTTATGCAAATTTAAAACGTAAATGTAAAATTGGTAAAAGAAAAAATTCAAATCATTCTTTCTATTGAGATTATATTTCTATGTCTACACTGGTATCCTTGTAATGGATCTTCACATTTTATACTCAGTGAAAAAATGTCATTGGAAATTATGATTTTTAAATCTAACTTGAGATTTTATTGATCCTCTATATTGCATGTCTTCTATTTCACTAATTCTGCTCTTTACTATTTCCTTCCTTTTACTTTCTCTTGGCTTATTCTACTCTTTTCTAAGCTTCTTATGTTAGTTACATACTTCATTGATTTTCAGCCTTTTTTTCCTCCTTAAGTGATTATGGAGTAATTTTAATTACATCCCAAATTTTTGATATTTATTATTTTCATTATTTTTAGTTGTTTTTGTTGTTGTTTTGAGACAGAGTCTCAATCTGTCACGCAGGCTGGAGTGCAGTGGTGCAATCTTGGCTCACTGCAGCCTTGACCTCCTGGGTTCAAGCAGTCCTCTCACTTAAGCCTCCCAAGTAGCTGGGACTACAGTCATGTGCCACCATGCCCAGCTATTTTTTTTTTTTTTTTTTTTGTATTTTTGGTAGAGGTGAGGTTTTACCATGTTGCCCAGGCTGGTCTCAAACTCCCGGGCTCAAGTGATCCACCTGCCTTGGCCTCCCAAGGTGCTGCGATTACAGGTGTGAGCCACCCCATCCAGCCTAACTGTATTTTTTCATTTGAATTTTGATTTCTTTTTTTTTCTTTAACCAGTGAGTTACTTACAGGTCATTTAATTTAACCTACGAAAAGATGGAGAAGAGATTCTTTTTTGTATTAACTGATGAGTAATTTTTTTTTTTTTTTTTGAGATAGAGTTTCACTCTTGTTGCCCAGGCTGGAGTATAGTGGTGTAATCTTGGCTCACTGCAACCTCCACCTCCAAGGTTCAAGCGATTCTTGTGCCTCGGCCTCTCCAGTATCTGAGATTACAGGCGCATACCACCATGCCCGGCTAATTTTTGCATTTTTAGTAGAGAGGGGATTTTGCCATGTTGGCCAGGCTGGTCTCCAACTCCTGGCCTCAAGTGATCCACCCCTTCAGCCTCCCAAAGTGCTGGGATTATAGGCACGAGCCACCACGTCCAACCTGATGAGTAATTTAACTGCAGAGGCACAGCATGTGGTCAGTATACTAGCTCTTTAAAATGTGTTGATTCAGATTCGTTTCTTGGTAAAAGAATATGTACGTATGTACGTACGTACATACATACATACATACATACATACATACATAAAATGTGTTGATATGTGATTTATGGCTTCATGGTCAACTTTTATGAATGTTTTGAGAAAAAAATGCAGTCTGTAATTTGAGACTGCAGAGTCCAATGTATGTACATTAAGTCAACGTTCTTAACTATGTGGTTAATCTTCTGTTTCCTTATTGTCTGTTTGACCCAACAATTTTTCATAGCTTCTGCTTTTGTGGTAAGTTTGTCAATTTCTCCAAGAAATTCTATCAATTTTTGCTTTACATAACTTAAAGCTATCTTATTAGGTGCATACAAGTTTAGAATTGTTATCTATTCCTTAGTGTAAAAAACCTTTGCTTATATAGTGACTCTTTATAACCAACAGTTCTTTTTGCCTTCAAGTCTATTTTTATTGACATAAGATAGGTATCTCAGCTTTCTTTTAATTAGTATTCTCCTGGCATATCTTTTTTCATCCTTATTCTTTCAAACTGTCTATGTCCTTATGCTTTGAGTGTGTTTTATCTAAACAGAATATAGCTGGATCTTGTATTTTTAATGCAATCTGTCAACCTCTGTCTTTTAACAAGCAACTTCATTTTTACCGTTGTTTATTAGTGAATTCTTTTGTTCCATTTCTACCATCTCATCTTGTGCTTTTTATTTGACCTGATTTTTCTATGCTTTTTTGGAATTTTTTTATTGCTAACAAGATCCCTCCCTTATTCCATTTTTCTCCTCTAATTCATAAGTAGTTATAATATTTTCTTTTTTTTTTTTTCATTTTAATGGTTACCTTTTAAACTTTGCCAGGCACAAAAGTCTAAAATTAATCGCTAGTGGTACAGCCCAGTGGTTAGGATCATGGATCCAAACCAGATTATCTGGACTCAAATCCTGTGTTGGAACAGGAATTAAAAGAAATTAAAGACTGTGTAAGCAAAAACTCAGTTGTATGTAAGAAAACCCAATTCCCCTGAGGAAGAGAAAGAGCTGAAGTCCTTTAAAAATTGACTGCCTGTTTTTCTGTGGCTAGTGAGCCTTATCTCTCCTTTCCCCAGGCATTGTGAAGACTGTTTCTCTAGCTGTGTAGCTGCGAGGTCACTAAACAGATAAACTCAAGTCATAAAACATGCTGTTCCTTGAAAAGTAAGAAATAATGTAATGCATGTCTTAATTTAAATAACTGTCTTTATTTCTCACTTCTGTAATACACTTCCCCCTGCACAAATCTCCCCCCACCCCACAAAATGCTTAAAAGGTAGCTTGATTCTTTGTTCAGGGCTCAGTCCTTTGGATGTTCATTGGACTCGGTCTGTGCACCTAAATAATTAAATAATTCCTCCTCAACCCCTCGGTCTCTCTGGTTCCTTAATTATCCCGCTGCAGTGTCACTTCTGTGGATTCTCATTGTCAGGTTTCTTATCTGAAAAATGGAGATAATATCACTAACCTCATAAGGTTATTATGGCCGTCAATTTCCATTAATATACATACAGCAATCAGAACATGGCTGGCATATCACTAGCGTGAAATTTATGTAAACTAGTAGTAGTAGTAGCAGCAGCATCAGCAGCATCAGCAGTAGCAGCAGCAGTAGTAGTAGTGTTGTCATTTACCTTTTGAGCTCAGGCCTAATCAACTCCCTCCTGTCTCATGTGTTATTTTTGTACAATATTTTTTTTATATCTTAGGATCTTAGAACTTCTTCTAATATCACATATTATGCATTATTAATACTTCATATTTAAAGCTCATAATTTCACACATACATACTATTTTCTTTGCACATCTTTTGAAAAAATTATCAGAACATCTTTCTGGGATTATTTTATCTATTTCTTATATATTCTATTATCTTTATGAAGTACTTTTAATGAAGGTCTGGTAACAGTAAGTGCCCTAAGCTTTTTATTTAGTTATTCCTCATTCTTGATATATAAATTTTCTAGGCACTTGACTTCAGATAAACTTAATTTTATTAATTATTTAAATACTTTAATTATTTAATTAATTTTAATTATTTTGTCAGCACTTTGAAGATAGTAAGTCTCTGTTACTCCTTTGTACATATTTTTCACTCAGTCTACTTTTAATATTTTCTCTTCGTTTTTATTATTTTACAATTTTTTACAATACATCTCAGTATGAGTTTCTATTTATTGTTAGTGAAATACACTCAGCACTTTATCTAAGAATTTTCATCTTTCATCCATTCTGGAAAATACTAAGGCATTACTTCTTCAAATATTGCTTCTTCCTCATTCTATTTTTTCAGTCTACTAATCTGGGTAGCTATATGTTAGTACTTATTATTTAATCCTCCAAATATCTTAATCGCTCATATTTTTCATCTATTCCTCTATATTTTGCATTCTGGATAACTTCCTTGGATTAATCTTCCAGTTTATTAATTCTCTCTTCACCTGACTCTAATATATTTATGAGTTAATTTTATCAATTTTATTTTTATTTCTACACATTCATTTTTAAATCTGCATGGCATATTTGACAATGTCTCACTTACTGCTCATTTTTTTCTTGCCATCTCTATTTTTTGTGTGTGCTATTTTGTTAATAATCTTAATATCTGAAGTGTTTTAAAATCTAAACCTGTTGTCATTTTCATTAACTTGCTCATGATTTACCAACATGGTCATTATTTTTCATCACATATTATTTGGCTAAACTCAGTCCCTAGGAATTTTGAGGTCTTGAGCTGCAGGTGGTTTTTTTAAGGAAGTTTTATACTTGCCTCAATTAGACACTATAGGGAAGTCTCCAAGCAAGGATTACTTTAAAATAATGTCTGGGCTTGAATTTCAATAAGCAGGCCATTTAAATTCAAACTCCACATCTGGATGAGGGGAGGCCTGAGGTCTGTAGTTGCAAATTCTCAAGAAAGTTCCTGTCTCTTCCCTAAAACCAGAGCCACCAAGGTGTCGGAGAGGTTTCTTTGTTCAGTTTGCCAGCCAAGTGAAGTTTTTTCTGGGCTATTTTCCTCTGAAGAGTGCTACCCCTTTGAGGGTCCAGGTTTAGCCCCTTTCTGACAAGCCTTAGGTATAATCTCCACAGGATTCTCCACCAGGAAGCCATTAATTCACATGACAAACTCTCATACCAGCATTCGCTCCCATAGCAGCCTGAGTTCCCACACTTGGTTATGTCCTTCGTTTCAACTTCTTATTTCCTTCAAGTTTGGATTTTGTTTTGGTTTTGTTTCTTGTTCGTTTGTTTGTTTGGGGATGGGCTCTGTCTCTCTCTCTCTCTCTCTCTCTTTTGCTTTTTTCCCCCAAAGTCAGCTACTCAACTGAAATTGTGTTTATTCTATTTTATTCAGCTTTTCAGAATATCGTATTTATCATTTTGCTAGTAGTTTTTGTATTCATTTTTTTCCTATAGGAGCTCATAGTGCTATCCTACTCATTATAACTTTATCTGAAAACTATGTTACTGTTTTAGTTTTCTTTACAAAGAATAAAATAAATGAATAGGTGAGCTGAGCACTGTGGAACACGCCTGTGGTCCCAGCTACTTGGAAAGGCTGAGGTGGGAGGATCCCTTTAAGAAAGGAGTTTAAGACCAGCCTGGGCAACATGGTAAGGCTCTAATTTCTTTTAAAAATTTTTAAATTGGATAGGCATGGTGGCATGTGTCTGTAGTTGCAGCTACTCAGGAGGTTGAGGCAGGAGGATTCCTTGAGCCCAGGAGTTCAAGGCTGCAATAAGCTATGATCATGCCACTGCACTCCAGCCTGGGCGACAGAGTGAGACCCTGTCTATTATAAAAAAAAAAAAAAAATAGTTGGATGCTTTTGTAATACTCTGGATGTGGGAAAAAAATGTCTCTAGGATCTAACTTTCACTGTTCTTTTATGTCCTTACTGCTTCTGTGACAAATCTATTCCCAAATCATTCTACTTGCCTTCACTTTTCTTGACTTAAAATCTCTGGAATTGGTTCAGGTGAGTTTCTTGCTTAGGTTTCCTTCAGAAAAAGCATTTTTCTTGATTAAAAATGGTCTCTGTGCTCAGCAGATTCTGTTCTCCAGGAGCACCATTTTTCAGGCACAGAATGTGACACTCCTCTCATTCCAGTTACAATGTTCCTCTTGTCTTATCTCTTTCCAGATGAGGTCCAATTACAAGGATCTTTACTAATGTAATGTACTGCACTTCTTAGCTCTCTGTCTAGATTTTGTTTTAGAGCATTATGACTTTATCACCATAGTATGTTATACAAAGTGGCCTACATTCAAAATTTAATTAACTCCTCAAGTGAGCTATCACATAATTGGGAGGGCAAAGAACCTTATTCTTATACCCATTCCACTGGATACTTTGAGCATATCCAACAACCATTAATTAAACACTACAAAGGAAGAAGGAGAAAGCAGTTTTTGTTTTTTTGGTTTTTCTAAATCAAAATTGAGCAAGAGAGAGAAAGAGAGTCCAGTGAACCTAACAGCATGTGGGTGGATTCTGCTTAGGGTACAGTAATACTACCATCCACATTTTAATCAACAGAATTCACACTGATCAGTGTTATTACAGTAAATGCTAATTAAATGTACCACGTCTTGACACCTAAAATAAAGTGTTACCAAATTCAACCTCAAGCCGCAGGGATCAAATTCCTCTGAAAGCTACAATTTGCACAAAAGCTCACTCAATAAGAAATGTGTTTTTCAGCTGTTTTCCCACAACTTAACAATAAATAGAAACAGACCTGGGAAGCAGCAAGACCATTAAGAATAACAAGTCAAAGATGATGTACAAGCTACAAAACAATTTTCTCCTCACATAAATAAGTGCAATATACAAGATTTTTTTAATAACATGCCAGAAGACATCAGTGCTCTGGGAGTCAAGATACCTGGATCCCTGTTCTAGCACCTTCAATAATTAGGAGTATGATCTTGAACAAACCAAAAAACCTATCTAAGCATCATTTTCTCCACATGTAAAATGACAGAATTGGGCAAAATGACCTAAATTTCTTTCTAGGAGCAAGTTATATGAATTTTTAAAAATAATATGTAAATGCTTTATCATGGCAGAGGGCTATATAAATGAAAGTCCTTAACATGATCATTCTTTGATACTGTGTCAGAGTTGGAGCAATAAAAGATGAATAAGGAAGAGTGGAAATAAATAAATATCAAGCACCCACTTCTCAATTTTTTCCTTTGAAAACCACCCCAAATCTCTCTTCCTGGCACCATGTGAAAGAAGGGTGTTGGAAAAGGTTGTTACCGATAGGAAAGTAATTTATTTCTTCTGCTATTGTAGTAGTTAACGAGGGGCTAACGGAGAGAACAAGAGTTTAAAGAGTTCCATGGGAAGACAATTATAAAAGGAAAAGGATTACTACTTAATAAACCAGTGGTTCCCAATGTTTAGGGTGTATCAGAGTCAACTGGGGCCTTCATTAAGTCAGAAATTCAGAAGGTTTGGGGTGGACTTCAAAAACCTTGCTCCTGACAGGTTCCCCAGATGATTGTGATAAAGGTAGTCCTGGACCACACTTTTAAAAACACATCACTAAACAGAGTTCAAATTATAAAATTTCCTATGAAACTGTGGAACAGTGCCTGCAGAACTGAACTTTCTGGAAACTTTTTAAGGAGATTTAACCAAAATCCCAGCACATGATCTTTTAATAGCAACAGGCTATATAATCAGAATTCTAGAACTGAAAATATCATGAAAAGTAGCATAATTTAACATATTTCTCCTAAATAAATGGCCCCCAACTAATTTTCAAATAAGGAAACATTTCTATTAATTCCAGCAGTATCGTTTTCTGGAGAGTAATTCGTCTTTGTCACCGTAACTCAGCATTTATAGAGCTTCACTTCTTAGCACACACAAAAGTCAGAATTTAGAATACTGATGATGAAGAGAAATTTATATTTACAACTGGGACTTAATTCACTACAATACACCAAAGAACACAACAAAAATAGTTCAGTTAACTTTTTTTAACGCTTGTTAGAATTAATACTTCATAATATCTCTTCAGTGCCTACCTAATAGTTATATGGCTTTGGCTGTTACATGGCATCAGGTAAAATTAATTTTTAAACCATCTGCACTAGTGGGCTTTTAGATATATCGTAAGTGTGGATCACATTCTGACCTCAAAAGAATATACCTTGGAAGTGGATCATTTGTTTTTCAGCTGTCACCCATTTCCTCATGATAGTCTATATGTATTTAGCACTGAGGATTAAGTTGTTTTACAAGTCACATTAAATCACCTATGTTGCAAACTAATGAATACCAAGTGACGGATAGGGGAGTACATATAAATTAATCTTCATATAAAACTATCTCTTCAATAGAACACTTTTATGTTCTTTTTATATTATTTCTATTTGAAGACATTCTAACTAGCTTACTTTAGAATCAAACCTATTTTATTATTCATGTGTTATATAGGATGTGATAAGACCACCTAAAGTAATAGACTATTTTAATAAATTGTGTGCATGTCCATGTTTTCTGTAGATAGGAGGAAAATGAATATCACCTAAAGACAAATGTTTAGAAAGAGCTGAGCAACAAAATCAGAACAATCTTTGGTGTTGTGTAAATAAATTTAATAAAAATAATGACTTCAAAGGCAGAATAAATAACTGTAGGCAGAAAGAAAAATATCCCAATTGCAAAAGGACAATCACAAAGGAAGCTGTGCACTGCCAACTTGTCTCTTTCTAAACCACACGGAGCAGAGAAAAACCATGTCTCGCAAAAAACATTTTCTTTGAGGCTAGGCACGGTGGCTCATGCCTGTAATCCTAGTACTTTGGGAGGCTGAGGCAGGCAGATCACTAGTCCAGGAGTTTGAGACCAGCCTGGGCAACATGACAAAACCCTATCTCTAAGAAAATACAAAAAATTAGCCGGGTGTGGTGGCGCGCATCTATAGTCCCAGCTACTCAGGAGGCTGAGGTGGGAAGATTGCTTGAGCCTGGGAGGTCGAGGCTTCAGTGAGCAGAGATCACACCACTGCACTCCAGCCTGGGCAACAGAGGGAAAACCTGTCTCAAAAAAATAAAACAAAGAAAAAAAACCCATTTTCTTCAATGCATAAAGAAGTTATAGAAAAGGTAGAGTGATTTGGGAAGCAAACAAAGGCTTTCTCCCTAAGAAGTTAAAGTCATAGTAGACTGCCTACCCAGACTTCTGGCAGTACATTAGTTGTAGTAGGTGCAAATTACCTCATAAGTCTTTGTATCTGAAAAATACGTTTAAAGTATGCCAACTGCTATTTTCTACACATAATGGGAAAACAACCAAAAATCTTTACTTCATGTTATATGTGCAAAAAAAAAAAAAAAAAAAGATGCCAATGTGTTAAGAAAAATCCTTGAATATTCTTAGGATGGATTTTCAACTATAGACCATTTGTTAAACTTCTTCTCCTTGGGTAAAAGTAAGCATACCCTGTTAGACTGCATAATCTAACATGTCACTCTTCTTTAAGTTAAGAGGTAGTGATATTGACAATGAGGTTGCCAGTTTGGGAGATATCACTGGCATTATACCTGATGATCACATCCCATAGAACAAACTAGAGAGGATATGGAAGGACATAGCTGATGTGGAAGGTGCATTTTCAGGAACCAGAAATCAATTACAGTCCTTGTAAAGCAGTGACATAAAAATTGACTTGGGTATTAGAGTATCTGGATTATAGTCCCAGGTGCCACGAACTAATTGTGTGACTTTTGGTAAGATACAGCCTTTGTTTCTTTAGGGTGTCCTCCAGCTTTTATGATCTAGAATCCCATGAAATTATGATGTTGACATATGCATGGGGTTCACTTATAATTCTAGGAGCTCAGCCTTGGTTCAAAGGAGTTCTGAATAAAATTTTAGAAGTCTAGTACATCCCTGGATAACCTTCCTTTCTTGCTGCAATTTGAAGGAACATTTGCTGTTCTATTTCTTTGCCTCACAAAAGCAGCCAACGTTTTTCCTCCAAATTAGGCTTCCCCTCCCCACCCAATCTCTGATTGCTGTGTTTATCCTAGTGTATCTTGACTGTTTCTATTTCCATTCCATTTTGTACAGGAGGACCAACTTCTGTCTTGATGAATGAATCTCCTGGGAGAAGCAATCCATTTTTATAAACATTCTCAGAAGGTAATTTCCTGCTCAAAATAGAAAGCTGACATTTCTCTGTCTTTCTGTCTATATTTATGGATTGACTTAAGCATAAAGGCACGTAAACAAGAGGTGGGGTCTTGTGAAAAGGTAAAGAAAAAAGAGCTACGGAAAGGAAGGTGAAGAAGGAGAGGGAAGCAGAGGAGATAGAAAATAAAGGAAGTATAAAATAAATCATCTACCAGAGAAGTGAGCACATTATACTATTTCTATTATCTGAAAAAGCACCATATCAAAATTTTCTTTCATTAAGAAAATGTGAGACAAGAGAATCAAAAAGCAAATAAGAAAACAATACATTCCTAAAAATAATATTTTTTGAAAAAGCTTAGCAAGAACTTGGAAAACTCAAGTCAAATTATTTTAACTGTTTGGGAACATTACTGAATTACATTAATACCATTGGACTAAGTGGCTACATTATACTATTAATCAGAAATGTTCCCTTAACCTCTGAGGATCAGAGGCTCTCACTACTGTTGATCTAGATTTCAGACAGCAACCCTTTGAGTCCTCTGATGGCAAGGATATGAGATGGTTTAAGATGACAGGAAGAATTCATTATTACCAAAGAACCAATCAAAGGCACTTCTGGGCATTTTTGCCCACAAAGAAATCATAATAATATGATATTGTGGCCAGAGGCAGTGGCTTATGCCTGTAATCCCAGCACTTTTGGAAGCCGAGGTGGGCAGATCACCTGAGGTCAAGAGTTCAAGACCAGACTGGCTAACATGGTGAAACCCCATTTCTACTAAAGAAAAAAAAAATTAGCCAAGCGTGATACACGGGAGACTGAGGCAGGAGAATTGCTTGAACCCAGGAAGTGGAGGTTGCAGTGAGCCGAGATCGCACCATAGCATTCCACCTTGGCCAACAAGAAGGAAACTCCATCTCAAAAATGTTTCTAAGTTATATGCGCTGGCATAGAACTGTATATAGGTAGCATTCAAAAGTCCTTGGTATCTGTTGCCACATTCTAAACCCTTAACTTCGAACTGCCATATGACATGTGTGGTCAGAGTGAATGGAAGAGAGTATGTCCATCACCACTTCCAGGAGCACAATTGGAAACAGACAACTCTGAAAATCAGACGGTATGTCAATAAGATGGCTTCCTGTAATGTCAATTCTTGGACTCATTTAATACTTGAGTTGCTGTTAATGTTTAGAATTATGCTAAAAATTAAAGATAAAATTGGGGGTAGAACAGACACATGTAGCTTAAAGTTTAGTGAGAGAGACAGACATAAGTAAAAATCATTGCATAAATAAATACATAATTAAAAATTTTTGTAAACACTATGAAGAAACAGGATAGGATGCCATTAAAGCAAGTAACAGGGATAACAAACCTAGTCTGAAGTTAGAAGCAGCTTCTCTAAGAAAATGCTATTTGAGCAGATTACTGAAGGAGAGAATGAACTAACTAGATTAAAACAGGAGAAAGAGAGATCCAAGCACAGTGACCTGGGCACATAGGTGTCCTGAGGTGGGAGGCAGCTCGGAACACTGGAGGAGCTAAAAGAAAGCCAAGCCATTGTCACTAGGGCAAGAATATCTACAAAGTATGAGATGAAGATTTTTAAAAAGTGGCCAGGCCAGCGTATGCAGGACTTTATAGGTCTTGATAAGGATTTAGACTTTATCCTAAAATCAGTGATAAGCATCAAAAACTAAGCATTTCAGTCTCTTAAGTCTCTAACTGCAATAAAAATGACAGCAGAGAGGACAATAATGGATGTAAAGAGATCCATTAGAAAGACCGAGTTTTCAATAGCTGGAACTGAGGTGTTGCTGGATAGATATCAAGACAAGTAGACAAAAATAGTATGAGATAAAATCAATGGGACTTCGATAAGGTGATGAGGAAGAAGGAGATGTAAAAGAAGACTTGTAGATATCTGGCCTGTAGATTTCTGGTTGGTACATTTCTGGTTGGTAGATAGCGTCACTGACTGGGGTGGGGAGCATGGAGGAGGACTCGGTTGGAGCAGAGTGGCATTAGTGAGATCAGTTTGGGGTGCGCTGGGTCTGAAGTGCCTTTGGGACAGCCAAAAGTAGACAGTTTGTAGCTGCAAACCATTTGCTTTGTTGCCTGGCTTTTCTTATATCTCCTCCTTCTCTTATACTTCAAGCATGCCTTCCAGGAATTCCAAATCCATCTCACTCTATTTTACAGACAATTTCAACTATACCAGCTCTACTTCCATATTCAGTTCCCCTGCACATCGGAGGAAAAAAAAATCAAACTGTTCAGGTGAAACAGAAGACCATCTATTCTTCAGTAACCAAAGAATCTATACAATTCTAGCAGAATCATCTTTCTTGAAAGGCTCATATGGTTTTAAATAGCAATTTTTCCCCTTGATACTAAATGTGTAATAATGGGAAAAAGAATTAACCTTTCTGAAGCTACAATGGAGTACACCTGAAGTATCTTACTTTATACTTTGTTGAAGATTCTGTGTGTCCTCAAGGTCTACAGCAACCATCAACCCGTAGATCTCCCCAAAAATCTTTGTCCTTGAACCAGTAGAACTTCTTTCTGCATTATAGGTGGTAAAAGAGCTTGAATTCCCAATATAAAAGGCCAAAAGTCCAGGCTTTAAGATTATAGAATCTGAGACTCTAGCTTAGATTTAGGATATTTAATAAGATAATTGACAGCTTCAATAAGCATACTAAAATGAAACAAACTGCGTGGTACCATGGGTATAATACAAACGTTAAAGGATGAACACTTTTGGATATCAGGATCTCACTGCATTGCTGACAATATATGCAACAACTTGTGACAGAGCCTGGCAACATCAGCTCAGTTTCTCCGTTTTCTCATTCATGAAATGGGGAAAACAGCTGCAATTTCATTACATGGTTGCAGTGAGAGCTAAATGGTTTAACTCATATAAAGTTTACGTGAGTGTCTGGTCTATACTGTGTTCAATAATGTTAGCGAAAGTTGCTATTGCTTTAAGGAAAATGAGTCAAAATGATTGATTTGCTAAAGGTCCCACATCTAGTGAAAGTAAAACTAGAATTTAATCCCTGCTCTTTCCTTCTGTGCTAAAATATAAAACTAAAATGTGGTCAGGGATTGGGGGAGGGATATAACTGAAAAATCACAGGTTCTTCAGCCACAGAGGCAACTAACATAGGATTAACAAACACTTTTCAAATTCATTTTACCATTCTGTTTCCATTATGATAAAAACATAGACAAAGGATATAAAGTAGAACTTCTTCACATACTCTGCTCACTAGCATATTGCTGTGTTATCATATGCAACTTACTCTTGGGTATTTTGAAAATAAGTTTAAAATCTAAAATATTCAGAATCCAACTTCATGTTCTCCCATTTTCCTACATAAACCATCTGCTCTATTCAAGCTAAAATTAGTCAATTAATTAATACGATTTATTGTCAGAAATTCTTTGGTTCATTTTTTTAACTGAATGAAGTGTTAACCATGTGCCAGCTTCTTTGCCAGAGTATTGAGATATAAATGTATATAAAGTAACATTATGTCCATTGTATAGGTGAAAACAAAATGAGACAAGAAGAATTTGTAATTTGCTTTAAAGGCACAAGTAATTGCTTAAAGAGGTTATTGACAAAAGAGGTGTTTTACTCACACCTTAAAGAACATAAAAAACTAAATAACAAAAGGATATAAGCAACACCATGAAATACTTAGGATGCTCCTAACACAGCTTTTATATAGTATTGGTTCATTTGAAAAGAATTTGCTGGATAGCAATGACATTTCGTTGACCTTATGTGGTGCTCATTGTGAAGGCGAAGGTTGGCAGCTTGGTTACTGCATGATTACTCTACTCTTCTATATTCTATCCCAATCTCTGACTCCACTTCCATGTGGACTATAGAAGTGTGCACACAAAAATAGAAACTATTTTCGTGGTATTCTAGAAGGAAAGGCAGACCTGAAAAAAGTTCCTCATAGAAGATACCTCCCAAGTCTCTCACTGTCTGCTACTAGTATTTTTTAAAGCTGTTCATTGAGAATACCGATTCAGAGTTTTTGGGGGAGGTCCAGCTGCACTGAGGTACAATTTATATACAATAAAATTCCACATATATAACTCAATGAGTCTTAGGGTCACAGATCTCATTTATGAATTTGATCGAATCCAGGAAGACTCTCCCTTTTAAAAATGCACATATGGCCAATATTTTATTTAAAATCACAAAGACTTCACAGATATACTAAAGTTTATCCAGGCACGCTCACAGATAGATCCTAAGAACCTCGATCAAGAAATAGCAAAGCACCTAAGGGAGTCATATTCAAGTAAAAATTATTTTCAGGTTAAACAGTTTACCCCTCATCCTATCAATAGGATAACGAGTATTCTTTAAGCTCACTTTATTGAGTATTCATTTGATTTTATATAGAGAGTATTCAAAAAATTGGCATATGTAATACCAAAATGTATATTCAGAGTACACATACAGGACACACTTTGCATGCATTCCACTTAAGGTTACTGCTTGCAAAAAAAAGACTTGTGTGGTCAGTGCTTTTCACAATTCAAATGTATTAATTTTAACTTTTTCTAGTAAATATATTTATAGTGGACGATATGTGATAATAAAATTAAGAGTAACAACTGAAAGAAAACTAATTTTTGTAAAATATCCATCCATCTATTTGGGTAATTCTTCTGCAATTCCATTAACTTAAATAACATTTAATAAACAATATTATTAAAAAATAATTTCCTACTCACATGTTTTTGAAAAGTTATAACCAAGAGTCTGGGCCCTATCATTAAATATGTAAAAAATAAGATTTTACTTTCATTTAAAACAACATTGGGTTCAACCACAGATCCAAAATAAATGATAGGTTTTGCCACAAAGAATCTTGTCAAATTAGAAGGCACATTTGTAGTGAGATTATGGTGAAGCTTTGAACTTCTTTTTTTACATAAGATTCCAAAATAATTCCATAAAAATAACATACTACCCTATAAACATTTCAGATATCCTGTGCTCAAAAATGTTTAAACCCTGTGATATGGTTTCACTGTGTCCCCACCCAAATCTCATCTTGAATTGTAGTTCCCATAATTCCCACATGTCGTGGGAGGGATCAGGTAGAGATCACTGAATCATGGGGGCAGTTTCCCCCATCCTTTTCTTGTGATAATGAATTAGTTCTCACAAGATCTGATGAGCCTCCCCTTCACTGGACACTGATTCTTCTCTCTCCTGCCACTATGTCAATAAGGTGAATAAGGGCATGTTTGCTTCCCCTTCCACCATGATTGTAAGTTTCCTGAGGCCTCCCCAGCCAAGCTGAACTCGGACTCAATTAAACCTCTCTGCTTTAAAAATTACCCACTCTTGGGTATGTCTTTATTAGCAGCATGAGAATGGACTAATACACCCTGATTGTTATGTCATTTAATCATTTTTGTGTTCATGCTATAATGCTAATAATATGATCTGGAAAAGAGGTTCTAGCTATATTTGATTGAAATTTAAAGAGGAATAGAGGGCAGAAAGACAAAACTCAGCAGAGAATAACACAATTTCTTTCAAGAATATTTACTTAAATAATCAAATGAAAGGAATTGCCAATTACAATTTAATCCAAGTAAATAAATTAGCTTTGCAGCAAAATTAAGATAAAACAATCAATGTGAATTAAATACTTTGAAGCAGATAACAGATTAAAATTTTCACTAGTATTTTCATGGACAAAAAAGGTTATCTCACATGTTGTTTCTAGGATCATTCTAACACTCATCATAAAAAAATATTTATGAGGTTATAAAACTGCTCACAGCATTTTATAGAATATTATCATTCACTTATTCAAAATATATTTATTGGAAGCAGCTACTATTTATAGAATTTATTTGCCTGGCTATGCACTAACCTTGTCTTTTACTTCTACAGCACAAAAAAAAAGGAAACAGCTTCCTTTTTTAAGCTTTCCTTCTTATGCTTAAGAAGCTTAGAATGTAAAAAAAGACAATAGAAATTACACTCTATTCATGTGAAATAGTCATTCCCAATTTGTTTAATTCCATTAAATGGAACCGAATCCCATTAGAAAGAAAATCCAGTGATCTGATTATGGGATGGCCAAAAATATACTACATTACTTCTTCACTCCAGCTCTTCAGGTCCATCTGGACTTCTCTGATCTTTGACAGTAAAGGGCCCACAAAGGCATCCATTCCACCTTCTATGTACTGGTTATGTCCTGAACACTAGGCATAAAGTGATGAGGAAACACAAAGGACTACCCTCATGAAGTGAATGACAAACAATCAAACAATTGCACTTAAACATGTAAATTTCAGACAGAGATAACTTCTCTGAAAGAAAGAAACCCAGTTCTATGAAAACCTCTAACAAAGAAACTTAAGGTCAGAGCAAGATTCCTGAACATGAAGACTGAGCTGAGATCTGAAGGCTACAGGGATTAACTAGGAGAAGAGTGGAGGTTGGAAGGATGGTAAAGGAAGAAAAGTTTTCAGATAAAGAAGGAACCTGCCCCCAGAAATCCAGTAAGACTGAAGCAAACAAACTGAAGAGGAACACAGCAGTCACAGCAATCCAAGAATGTGGATCTGAACCCAGTCGGCAATGTAAAGCCATTGGAATGTTTTAAGCAGGCGGGTGGTAACATCAGAGTTTCATTTTGAAAATAACACTCAAGCATCCATATGGAGACTGGATTGTTCAAGAAAAAAACAAAAGATCAGGAGCAGTTCTGAACAAAACCAAGGAAGAAAGTTTTGTTTTCAGAGCCTGACATGCCTGGTTCTTCTGGCAAAATATTCCATCTAGGATCACCCTCTTGGCAGAATCCCAGTTTTCGTACCTGTTCCCTCTGCCTTGTAGCCAACTGAAAGGTCTTTCATTCTTTCAATAACCTGCTTTGTGCTTCCTACCTTCACTAATCAGAGCTAGGTGCTAATAGATCAATGAAGAATGCCATGTCTCCCATTCTTGCTCTTACTTTAAGAGTAGAAGTACCTTAACTAGTATCTTACCATATTAAGGTAGGTTGGCATAGGCTGCATTATTAAAATTCATCATGAAATCCCAGTGGAGTACACAAGAAAAAAAGTCTCCTTTCTATTACATGCCCAACTCAAGTCTATAGGGAACTCTGCTGTACATGGCCACTTAGGGACTCAAGATGCCAGATGTTCCTCCATCTTGAAACTGCACAATCTGGAACATATGACTTTCTTGCTTATTGCAGCAAGAGAAGAGAGAGAATGTGATGTTTTATGCTAGTAATAAATGCTTCAGTTCAGAAATGGCACCTAGCATTTCTGTTCACAGCCCGTTGTCTGTTGTTCAGAACCAACCACAGAGCCCAACCCAAAAGTAAAGGAGTTAAAATGTGTAGACCTCTGTGGACTTAGAAGGGAAAGAGTACTAAATATTGGGAAACATAAATAAAGTCTAACACATTAAGAAAGCCATTTTGTTCTTCTCACTAGGATCCCATATTTAAAAAAATTCTGTCCACAAAAAGAAAAATCAAAATCTCCATATTTCAGTATAATTCATTTTAATGAGATACAATGAGAGGGTGATATATACATAGCCCAAAGCAAGGAAATGTGTTAACTGTACAGTCTTACCTTGGGTAAATGAACCATTTTAGTTAGGCTTCTAGAAATATTAAAAATAGTTCGCAGAGTATCAATTCTACTTTCAAGAAAGCATGAACCCCACATATAGCACTGGAAACTGGAAAAGGTACTCTTTTAGGTACCACTGTGACAAGTTTCAATAACATCATATTGGCATATGAAGGATCTGCAAGATACTATCGACAAAAGTAATCAAAGTAAAGAATTACTATGGTAATAGCTTAGCAATCAGTGTCCAAGTCTTCTTTGGCCTTTATTCTGGTTCTCCCTGCTGTGTAACAAACCACCTCAAAGGTTAGTGGCTTTGAATGACAATTTCTTATTATCTCTCACAGTTCTGTGTATAGATTAGGTTTAGCTGGGCAGCTTTTGCTTGGGTTCTTTTATGCTGTTGCATTTAGATGACATTTGGGTTGGGAGTAATATTATGGCTTGACTGATCCAGACACCCAAAATGTTTCTTCACTCAAATATTTTGCATTTCAGCTGGGATAGCTGGAATAGCTGTGGACTGATCAAGTCTCCCTCTCTCCACCTGACTTCTCCAAATGCCTTGAGCATCCCTGCAGCTTGGAAATGTCAGGTTAACTGTACTTCTTATATGGCAACTGGCTTCCCCAAGAGCAAGCATTCCAAGAAATCATAATGGAAACTGCAGACCTGCTTACCACCTTGCCTTGGGAGATGTGCAGCATCAATCTGGTCTTATTCTATTGGTTACAAAGAGCCAGTGCAGATTCAACGTACAAAGGACTGGATATTGGCATAAAAAGCAGAAGGTGTGACTCATTAAAAGGAAGGAATCTTTGGAAACCAGTTACCACAATGCTGGTTTGGGTTATGAGAGCCATACTCAAAAATGCCTGATATTCATCAGTTAGGAATGATTTTCTTGAAGACAAGCCCCTAAAGATCCAATAAAAAAAGTCTCCAAAGGATAATACCAAAAGATGGCATTAACCAAAAGGTGAAATTTATTTCATTTTTTTAAAGACAGTCTCACTCTGTCGCTGAGGCTGGAGTGCAGTGGCACTGTATCAGCTCACTGCAATCTCTATCTCCTGGGTTCAAGCAATTCTCCTGCCTCAGCCTCCTGAGTAGATGGGATTACAGGCACCCATCACCACACCCAACTGGTTTCTATATTTTTAGTAGAGACGGGGTTTCACCATGTTGGCCAGGCTGGTCTCGAACTCTTGACCTCAGGTGATCCACCTGCTTCAGCCTCCCAAAGTGCTGGGATTACAGGTGTGAGCCACAGCACCCGGCCTTAAAATTTATTGTAGCATATAATGGCCCCTACAGCCAATTCTAGGCATACATATGACCACACAGCAGATTTTTTTTAAATAGTGAGAAGCAGCATCTTTAAGCACGAAATAAAATATAATAGCATTTTGAAAAGAAACTAAACATATTAACAAAATAAAATGTCAAAAAATTAGATCAGAAGGAGAACAAAGTTGGAGGACTGATATTACTTGACTTCAAGACTTACTATAAAGCTATAGTAATCAAGGCAGTGTGGTATTAGGAAAAGAACAGACATATATAAATGTCATGGAATAGACAGCCCACCTAAATACAGTCAACTGAACTTTGAGAAAGAAGCGAAAGCAATACAACAAAGAAAAGCAGGCTTTTCAAAAAACGGTGCTGGGAACAACTGGACATCCTCATGCAAAAATAATTTAGGCACAGACTTCACACTTTTCATAAAAATTAACTGAAAGTGGATCAGAGATCTCAATGTAAAACAAATTATAAAACTCCTTGAGGATAACATAAGCAACCTTGGGTATGGCAAGTACTTTTTAGATACAATATCAAAGACACAATCCATGGAAGAAATAGTTGATAAGCTGGTCTTCATTAAAATTAAAAACTTTTGCTCTCCAAAAGACAACATCAAGAAAATAAAAAGAGAAGCCACACACTGGGAAAAAATATTTGCAATACATACCTACTAAAGGACTGCCATGCAAAGTGTGCAAAGAACTGTTAACATTCAACAACAGGAAAGCAAACAACCCAATTTCAAAATAGGCAAAGAATACACAGAGGACTTTTAAGGACATTGAAACTTTTCTGTATGATACTATAATGGTAGATACATATCACTGTACTTTTGCCAACATCTATAGTAGAATGTACAATGCCAAGTGTGAACCTATATGTAAGCTATGAACTCCAGATGATAAGGATGTATCAACATAGGTTTGATTGTAGCAAGTGAACCACTGTGGTGCAGAATGTAGACAGTGGGGGAGGTTCCACATGTGAGGGATAGAGGGTATATAGGAACTCCATACTTTCCACTCATTTTGGTTTGAACCTGGAATTGCTCTTAAAAATGTTTATTAATTTTGCAAAATTGTAAAACAAAAAATGCCTAGAAATTTGTGGGTATTTATTAAAATAATTTTTAAAGAAAAATAATATATCACAAAATTTGGAAATAAAACCTTTCTCCTGGGTTTCCTTTATCCATATTCATTCTTTCCTAGATACTAAGAAGTTACAGAATGTCTTCCAAAGTGTATTGCAATCATTAATTTGTTATTCCACACAATGTTCCCCTGAGGAAAATAATGATAATTATCCATTATTATGAAAAGCAATAGCAGACTTCTAAAGACCAACTTGCCCAAGTGTATACCCAAAGAATGTGAGTTTTCTCTAAAGCATTCCAGACCTCCACTCTCCCCACTAAGTCAAGAGAAGTCTATCATTCCTGGTTAAGCCATCTGTTCACTGTGGGAAATACCTTTTATCTTGTAGACACTAAAATCAATGTGTTAAGCAGATCATTTGCTAATATTGCAGCTAGATCTCTGCTTATTCTACTTGGTCCCAAACCCTAGGCTTCAGAACATGTAACAACTTGTTTTACTTGCAAGAGATAAGTCATTATTACTTCCCCAGGATAAATAATTATAAATTTATAATTATGTCATGTATTTTCAGATGCTCTGAACACTACATTAAAGAGGGTCATAAAACAGCGTTTTAGTAACATGTTATGGTCAATTAACATACTGTGACCTCAAACAAAGTATGATGGCAAAACTCTACCAAAATTATTTGCTACACCTGGCCTAGCTGCTCTTGTCATTTATCTTCTCCCTTTCTATTAGCTCCAAAGGGAAAAGGGCCATGGCAGTCATAATGGTTAAAAGCGTAGATCATTTTACAAATAAAACAGAGTGCTTCTCTGAGCAAATATGCATTACTCAAAAAGACAACTGACTCCGCCGTGTTAATTGGCTCTAATTTATTCCATTGAAATTACATCATTTTCTGTGCTAAGCCATTCATAATCCAAGTGTATCACACGCTGATTTGCTGAGACTATGAAACTAGTCTATCAGAATTAATTAGCAAATTAAGAGACTTTGCACTAAAAATTTCTCAGTGGAGGAAAACAAAATTGTATCAGCATAGTGCAAAAGACATAAAAAAAGAGAATGATGTAAAAAAAATAAAAACAAGCTGAACATTTTGCTATTAGTTGACCATAGGTATAGTAGACCTAGTTTCACAGAAAGTATATTGGTTTGAAGAAGTAGGTCAGGAGTACTATAAACCTGGTGTTTTATGGGAATGTGAACATCTGGCCTCAGAAGTAAACTATTTGGCTGAGGAAAGTGAGAAGGCAGGTGAACTCGAATAGACATGAATCAAATGGGCAGCTAGAATTTAAGCAGTTGTTCTTAACCTTAGCTGCAAAATGGAATCCTGTGGGGAGCTTTAAAAATTACTGATCCCTCAGATAATCTAATTTATTAAATTCTGGACTGTGGCCCGAGCATCAGGATTTTTAAAAGCTTCCCAGATGGTTTTAATGTGCAGGAAGGTTTAGTCATGATCAGGTAGGACAGCTCAGGACAAGAGTCTGTGATCTTGGGTAAAGTCAAATGGGAAATACTGGTTTTAGCAATATAGCAGAATAGATGTTCACACAATCTCCTTCTGGTATAGCACAACTAAAAATGCCAATTGAAAACTTTTAAAACATTTTTTTCTTATGCCTTCCTCATCTAACAAGAAACTAAGAGGTCAGAAATCATTCTCAGAGGCCATAGACGAATAGAAAGCAAAAATCCAGAGAAATAAGTAGCATGGGAGCTGGCAGTTGCTTTGTCATATACAGCAATTCTTGCTAACCTAGAGCCTGAGTGTTAATCAGCTACATATGGAAAACAAGACAAAACCTAAGCCCCTTTTAGGGTAGGAGGTGAGATTAGAGATGCTCCCTTAAACCCAGCGCTTTCAAAGGGTGACATCCTAAGAACATAAAATGAGGGAGGAATAAAAACAAAACAAAACAATAGTAACTGTCCCACCAAAAGAATAATACAAGTCAGTCTTAGCCCTGAACTCTGGATTCTTTGGAAGAAAAGTTAAAAAAAAAAAGCCTAACATATGTAAAAATTCATATTAACTGTGTGTCCTAAAAAGTCTCAGGACAAAAATTTAATTGAAGTGATCCTGAATTGGTAGTGACCATGCTAACAAAAGCAAACACAATTTTTCTCTGGAAGAACATGCTCACTTTGATCCAGGCCTAAAAGATTTCCGGAGATGAAATTCTAAGAAACATGGCCTCATAATATATGCAAAATTAGCCTCCTTGAAGGAGAGTTATAAGGGGAAAAAGACAAGGAATCACACCAAGCACTGTAATTGTCAGGTACAAAATAGAAAACAAAGCAAATTCCTTGGCCTAATAAAGTATGCCTGACAAACAAACAAAAAAATCTATCGCAAATGTTATGTGCCGTAGTCAAACAGTTACCTCGTTCTTTAAAAAGCAGGGAAAATATAGAAATTCCTATTCTTATTACTTGTATTCAACATTGTACTAGAGGTTGTAGTCAGTGGAATAAAATAAATTTTAAATAATAGCAGTGGAAATGAAAAAACAAAACTGTCATTATACACAGACAATAGAATAAACTCCAAAGAAAAGTTTACTAGATTTATAGAGTTTAGCCATAAGCAGCATATAAAATTTGATCAAAATTATACACATCAGCAAAAGTCAAAAAAAAGCAATTTTTAAGAACATACTATTTATCATAGCAACACAAAAATAAAGTAGATAGGAATAAATCTAAAAAGTGATGTGCAAGGCATTAAAGAATATTACAAACTTTAGTTAAGATATTAAAGATGACCCAAATAAAAGCAGAGATACAATATGTTCAGAAACAGGAATGCAGTATTTTAATGTTAGTTCTCCCTATATGGATATAACACAATTCAATCAAATTCGAAGTGGAGTTTTTATGGAACTTGACAATATGATTTTTAAGATTTATTTAAAAGAGGGATGATCAACAAAGGCCAAGACACATCTAAGGAAGAATCACAAGGAACTTTTTTTCTCTGCCAGATAGCAAATCTTATAATAAAGCTATAGTACTTAGAAAAGTGAGATACCACAACAACTGAAACAATTTAAAAACACACACACAAAGAACTGAGAAACACATATATGGAAACATTATACAAAAGAGCAGGCACTGAACATCAGTGGGAAAAGAAAGACCAAAAAAGTTGTCTGAGACAATTAATTATCTACACAAGGCACTGGCAAACTATAGTCCACAGGCTAAATCTAGAGAGATTCCTGATTTTGTAAATAAAGTCTTGTTGGAACTAGCAATGCCCATTCATTTATAGTTTGTCCTTGGCTGCTTTTATGCCACAATGGCAGAGTAAAGTACAGTTGACCCTTGAACAACACATGTTTGAACTGCTTATATGTGGATTTTCCTCTGCCTCTGCAACTTTTGAGACAAGGCCAACCCCTCCTCTTCCTCCTCCTCCTCAGCCTATTCAACATGAAGATGACAGGTGGAAGTGGATCGTCATAAAGGTAATGGATCATCAAAAAGAATTTCATGATGATCTACTCCCACTTAATGAATAAAAAATGTATTTTCTCTCTTATGATTTGCCTAGTAACATTTTCTTTTCTCTAGCTTACTTTATTATATGCATACGGTATATAATACATAGAACATACAAACTATGTTAATTGACTGTTTATGTTACAGACAAGGCTTCCAGCCAATAGTAGGCTATTAGTAGTTAACTTTTTGGGAATCGAAAGTTACATGTAAATTTTCCACTGTACAGGCGGTTGGTGCCCCTTATCCCTGCATTGTTCAATAGTTAACTATAGTTGCAACAGAGACCATATGACCTAAAAAGCCTAAAATATTTATTATCTTGTTCTTCACAGAAAGCTTGCTGACCCTTGGTTCGTATGGAAAAAAAAATTACAATGAATTCCTACCTCCTACCATAACAAAAATCAATTCTAAATAGATACATAATTTAAATGTGAAAGCCAAAATTTTAAAACTCATAGAAGAAATTATAGAAAATATTTCTATGATTCAGAAGGGAAGGGTTTGTTACATCAGAAAAAAAGCACAATTGTAAAGGAAAAGGTTTGTGAAAATTGAATAAGTTAAAATTAAGAACTTTAGTTCCTCAAAGAAGCTACAAAAATAATTAAAACAAGGTAAGCCGCAATCAGGGGTAAGATATTTACGTCAGATTAAGGCAGAATATGTCAGATTATTTATGATAGTGCCTACAATGTAGTTAAGTTCTACATTCAGTGTATGAGAAATGCATAAACAAATGAATAAGTGAATGAGAGAAGGTATGCATGCATGCTTTATGTAGTGGTGATTAAGTGCCCTAAATAAGCAGTTGCTTACACTTAGTTTAAGATTGTGCTTGATGCCTTTCATGTTGAATGGCTTACATGTTTCCCTTTGACTCTGGGCACAAAGTGAAGTTATCTGGTAGTTAAAAATATCTCATAAAATTAGTTCCCTAGAGACTAGGGGATTATTTTTATTTCTTCAGTGTATAGCCTTGGAATCAACTGGTAAAGCCACATTTTACTTCTATTTTGTAGAAGAAAAGCATTCCCATCTCGAAGAGTCAGGATGCACATAAGAAAGGAAGGATGAGCAAGAATGTGGAGGATTTTTCATCTCTTCATTTTTCCTAACCCGCATGGACAGAAGAGAGAAGACTGTTGCAAGGCCAAGAAACTTGCAAAACAAGCCTACTTGCGTAAGTGATATATTCATATGAGAACGGACCCATGTAACTCGCAAAGTATAGCCAAAACTTAAGGGCCATTCAAAATAAATGTTGACACAAGTTAATGATATAATATGAATACAAAGTGACTTATATTTAGTAAGCAGAATGGACAAAATGAGAATACATAAATAGGGAAGAAAAATGTTTGCAAGCTTTGAGAAATTATTTTGAATAAATTAGAAAAGGAAAAGACAGCACATATACTTTATTTCTTCTGATGATTAGAAAATAGAGCAGATTGCTTCTCAGTCTTTTGGCTAAGATCAAGTGTAGAAAATAGAGCAGAATTATTACTTTCCTTCTCTAAATAGCCGATCAGCTTTTTCTGGCAGCCCATACCACTGTTCGTTCACATGAAACTCAATGCTAATCAGAATTTCTAAGTCTTTTCCAAATGTATTAAGAGGCATTCCTATGGTTTGAGTATGTCCCCCAAAGTTCATGTGTTGGAAATGTAACTGCTATTGTAATAGTATTAAAAGACAGGGCCTTTAAAAGATTATATCATGAGGGCTTAGCCTGCAGGAATGGATTAATGCTCCTATTACAGGAGTAAGTTCTAGGGTGGGCTCTTGATAAAAAGGGTGAGTTCAGCCCATTTCTCTGTCTCACGTACTTGCTTCCATCTTCTCCCTTTCTGCTGTGGGATGATCCTCACCAGATGCCAATTCTATGCTCTTGGACTTCCCAGTCTCCAAAACTATGAGCCAAATAAACTTGTTTTCCTTATAAATTACTCAGTCTGTGGTATTCTGTTACAGCAGCAGAAAATGAACTAAGACATATATGCTAAGAAATCTATCCACTAATCTGTACCTGAGACAATGTTTTTCTTTTAGGGAAAACATCAATACAGGGCTTTTAGGTTTATCTCTATCTAAACGTATCCTGTTAATTTCAGCCTATTATGTTTATTCTGCTAGAATACTTTTTGGATCTCCATTTTATAACTGTAATATATTTACTAATGTTATCGGCTTTGTTTCATCTGCAGATTTGCTGAGCATATCTATATGTTTAATTAGGGAAGGAACAGGACAACAAAGGAGGACAACTAAAGCATACTATTGTTTTTATTTTATTTTATTTTATTTTTATTGTTGTGAATAGAGTCTCACTCTGTCACCTAGACTGAAGTGCAGTGGAGCCATCATGGCTCACTGCAGTCTCAACCTCCTGGGCTCAAGCACTCCTACCGCCTCAGCCTCCTGCCTCAGCCTCCTGAGTTCCTAGGACCACAGGACATGTGCATACACATGTGCCACCATACTCAGCTAATTAAAAAAAAAATTGTAGATTGTAGAGACAGGGCCTTACTATGTTACCCAGGTTGGTCTTGAACTCCTGGCCTCGCGTGATCTTCCTACCTCAGCCTCCCAAAGTGTTGAGTTTATAGGCGTTAGCCACTGCACCCAGCCAAGCACACTATTTTTAAAGATCAGTTTCTACCATGTGGAATGCATGATAAGGTATATTGAATTGCACGTTCTTGGAAATTATCTCTAAACACACAGCTTCTTTTTATAAATATTTTTATATTTTTGGATTATAATAGTAATTTTAAACGCTGTTTGGTGTTTACTCTTCTGCTAAGCATAAAGGTTTTTTTTTTTTCAGTCGAAAGTACTAATTAATAGTATGGCAAGTGCCACCAGATAATGATGGCAGATGGCAGTCACAGGCTATGGTAGCTATGGACCCATAAGGTCTTTAGTCACATCACTCACTGATACACCTGTAACTCAACACTTCAATTCTAAACCAATGTTGAAAATAGAAACTCATTCTGAAAAGATATGGCATATGCAGAAGGTAGAATTCTAAGATGGTCCCCAAGATTCCTTCCTCTTGCACACACCATTTATCATCCCCTCCCATTGAGTATGGACAGGTATATAATATGATGGATTTTACTGCCATGATTAAGTGATATTACCCGACAAAGATGAAGGAATGTTGTGGATGTAATCTCAAATCAGTTGATTTTGAGTCAAAATGAAAATTATCCTGGATGGCCTAACTTAATCAGGTGAGTTATTCAAAAGAGAAAGATATTTGAAATGAAAAAAATTCTCCTGGTTGTTCTGAAGAAGACAGCCATCCAGGCTGTGAGAGAAATACATGGCCATCTCCTGAGGGCAGCCTCTAGAAGCTGAGGCCAGCACAAAACAAAACAAAACAAACAGACAAACAAATAAAACAGGGATCTCCATCCTATAACCACAAGGGAGTTAATTCTGCCAAGGACCAGAATGAACTTGGAAGGGGACTCCAAGCTCCTGATAAGACCACAGCCCCAGCTGAAGCCTAGAGACCTAGAGAGACCCTGAGCAGAGGACACAGTCAGGTCATCCAGCCTAGGCTTCTGACCTACAAAAACTGTGATATAATAAATGTTTGTTGTTTGAATGATGAACTTTGTTGTAGTTTATGTAGCAATACAAAACTAACACAGCACACAAGAAATAAGACTCAACCCTTCTAACCCTGCCATCCACCAAAATACTTAGTGATTTGATGGACAAAGCTGAACTGAGCTACACTGAAAGCTGTAAGGGAACCTAACAGAATAACAAAATTCAGCTATAATTGTCAAGGTTTTCTATTTGGGGCAGTATTGTGTTTGTGTTGCTCTCAGTAAAAGAGCTATTTGCAAAGAGAAAAACAGAGAAAGACTGAGAGGGAATCAATATAAATCATTTACATAACTGGAGAGACTGATGAAAATAGCATCCAGGAATAGCAGGGAGTCCAGACCCATGGAATACTTGATGTCATTACAAAACCTGCAGCAAGAATTTCCAGGAAGTAATAGACCCAGAAGGACTACTCGAAGACTTTCTATGTTGATTTCAAGGTCTGAGTATTGAAATTAACTGAGCTGAGCCTCCAAATCAACTAACTCTCTTGAAAAAGTAGTTTTAGAATGTGTCTAGTCATTAGATACTTCCAAGGTGAGAAAGTTAATTTGCTAAAAGTTTTAGAAATAAAGAGTAATCAAGAAATACATTACACTAATATGCTTTCAAAAAGAAGTTTCAGTCTCCAATCACATACTCAACTGTTTTCTAACAAAAATAACAAGATATTCTGGATGTAGATATTTAAAAATTCCCTATTTATCTTCCTGAACTTTGTTTTACTGTATATAATTAAATGCAGTTATATAAATGCTATATTATTAGAAATAGAATTTATTTTTTCACTACTACTTATTTCATAACTTAGTGATCCCCATCTCATTTATTTATGAGCCTTTTAGAATTTTCTAGATCAGTGACTACACGGAAATTATTAAAGAAAATTTTTGTCTACTCCTTTTAAAAATAATCAAACCAGAATTCTTCAGAGAAATTAATATTTAAACTAAAGCAGTTATGTTTTTTCAGGTGATAAGCTTTGTTCTTCAGGATCTGCTACAGCGTACAGTATTTTTATAAACTCTCCCTTAAAGTATATCAGTTCATGTGGTTTTGCAAATCTATTTGTCCTGTTTTGCCATGAAGAAAAAACACTTTTATCAAGGTATCTCCATGGATGTTTCAATGAAAATAAGAAAAGAAAAAGAAATAATTAATTTGTAAAGACAGCCTTGATTTTCTTGGACAGTATTTTATAAACCACAAACAAAGAGCCAAAGCCCCAAGTACAAGCAGTAGAATAAACCTTAAAAACCGATAACATTTCTTAGGTGTTAGCCACAGAAGTTATCTTTAATGATCCATAAGGGAATTGTATACAATAGTCAAAGCTCTTGAATTCATACACACATATCCTTCCATTTGAAAGAGCAAACTAAACAATGCTAATTATGTTAGACTGAGACAGTTGTTTTGAAATACCAAGAATAGAACCTTTTCTATGGTTCCTACAATTTTATTACTCTGATGTATTAGTTTTTTAATTACAAAATTGGCAAAGAGCAGTGGACAATATTTGGTTTGCTGGTTTTGTCCCAAGGCAAATTTTATAATTTTCTTCGAAAAGGAAAGCTTCTCTTTCAAAGAATTATCCCATCAACAAGTCATGAACCATTTTATACATCATTAATTGCAACACAGCTCAGAAACTATCAAAGTGTGATATATATATATATAAATAACGGTTTCAGCATGGCTCATATGTTTATAGAGCATCATTCATTGGAAAATGTTCTTACATCTTACCAATATCTTCTACACAGCAAGCTTGTAAAAATTAGATAATTATATTCTGCCTGTGTCAAAGAAGATTCTGAATGACATTACCAATAATAATCAACTATTCCTTCCAATCTCAAAGTCAAAGGTGGACTCTCAGTTAGGATTCCCCTTATTTAAGCTTTTCATGTATCTGAGGTTGACATT
The DNA here is from genome assembly GCF_000001405.40 of Homo sapiens. NCBI lineage: Eukaryota > Metazoa > Chordata > Mammalia > Primates > Hominidae > Homo > Homo sapiens. Next base: position 25,253,441 of record NC_000010.11, on the reverse strand, counting down.
TCATAGCTCTTTTAAGCACAAATATAGTATCCCCTAGTATTAGCTCCAACAAGTAATTAGCTCAGAGGGACACCTCCCCCATTATTCTAAAGAATAAATTGGGGGGAGGTGCCAAGATGGCCGAATAGGAACTGCTCCGGTCTACAGCTCCCAGCGTGACCGACGCAGAAGACCGGTGATTTCTGCATTTCCATCTGAGGTACCGGGTTCATCTCACTAGGGAGTGCCAGACAGTGGGCGCAGGCCAGTGGGTGCGCGCACGGTGCGCGAGCCGAAGCAGGGCGAGGCATTGCCTCACCTGGGAAGCGCAAGGGGTCAGGGAGTTCCCTTTCCGAGTCAAAGAAAGGGGTGACGGACGCACCTGGAAAATCGGGTCACTCCCACCCGAATATTGCGCTTTTCAGACCGGCTTAAGAAACGGCACACCACGAGACTATATCCCACACCTGGCTCTGAGGGTCCTACGCCCACGGAATCTCGCTGATTGCTAGCACAGCAGTCTGTGATCAAACTGCAAGGCGGCAGCGAGGCTGGGGGAGGGGCGCCCGCCATTGCCCAGGCTTGCTTAGGTAAACAAAGCAGCCAGGAAGCTCGAACTGGGTGGAGCCCACCACAGCTCAAGGAGGCCTGCCTGCCTCTGTAGCCTCCACCTCTGGGGGCAGGGCACAGACAAACAAAAAGACAGCAGTAACCTCTGCAGACTTAAATGTCCCTGTCTGACAGCTTTGAAGGGAGCAGTGGTTCTCCCAGCACGCAGCTGGAGATCTGAGAACCGGCAGACTGCCTCTTCAAGTGGGTCCCTGACCCCTGACCCCTGAGCAGCCTAACTGGGAGGCACCCCCCAGCAGGGGCACACTGACACCTCACACGGCAGGGTATTCCAACAGACCTGCAGCTGAGGGTCCTGTCTGTTAGAAGGAAAACTAACAAACAGAAAGGACATCCACACCAAAAACCCCTCTGTACATCACCATCATCAAAGACCAAAAGTAGATAAAACCACAAAGATGGGGAAAAAACAGAACAGAAAAACTGGAAGCTCTAAAAATCAGAGTGCCTCTCCTCCTCCAAAGGAACGCAGCTCCTCACCAGCAACAGAACAAAGCTGGATGGAGAATGACTTTGACGAGCTGAGAGAAGAAGGCTTCAGACGATCAAATTACTCTGAGCTACAGGAGGACATTCAAACCAAAGGCAAAGAAGTTGAAAACTTTGAAAAAAATTTAGAAGAATGTATAACTAGAATAACCAATACAGAGAAGTGCTTAAAGGAGCTGATGGAGCTGAAAACCAAGGCTCGAGAACTATGTGAAGAATGCAGAAGCCTCAGGAGCTGATGCGATCAACTGGAAGAAAGGGTGTCAGCAATGGAAGATGAAATGAATGAAATGAAGCGAGAAGGGAAGTTTAGAGAAAAAAGAATAAAAAGAAATGAGCAAAGCCTCCAAGAAATATGGGACTATGTGAAAAGACCAAATCTACGTCTGATTGGTGTATCTGAAAGTGACAGGGAGAATGGAACCAAGTTGGAAAACACTCTGCAGGATATTATCCAGGAGAACTTCCCCAATCTAGCAAGGCAGGCCAATGTTCAGATTCAGGAAATACAGAGAACGCCACAAAGATACTCCTCGAGAAGAGCAACTCCAAGACACATAATTGTCAGATTCACCAAAGTTGAAATGAAGGAAAAAATGCTAAGGGCAGCCAGAGAGAAAGGTCGGGTTACCCTCAAAGGGAAGCCCATCAGACTAACAGCAGATCTCTCGGCAGAAACCCTACAAGCCAGAAGAGAGTGGGGGCCAATATTCAACATTCTTAAAGAAAAGAATTTTCAACCCAGAATTTCATATCCAGCCAAGCTAAGCTTCATAAGTGAAGGAGAAATAAAATACTTTACAGACAAGCAAATGCTGAGAGATTTTGTCACCACCAGACCTGCCCTAAAAGAGCTCCTGAAGGAAGCGCTAAACATGGAAAGGAACAACCAGTACCAGCCGCTGCAAATTCATGCCAAAATGTAAAGACCATCGAGACTAGGAAGAAACTGCATCAACTAACGAGCAAAATCACCAGCTAACATCATAATGACAGGATCACATTCACACATAACAATATTAACTTTAAATTTAAATGGACTAAATTCTCCAATTAAAAGACACAGACTGGCAAATTGGATAAAGAGTCAAGACCCATCAGTGTGCTGTATTCAGGAGACCCATCTCATGTGCAGAGACACACATAGGCTCAAAATAAAAGGATGGAGGAACATCTACCAAGCAAATGGAAAACAAAAAAAGGCAGGGGTTGCATTCCTAGTCTCTGATAAAACAGACTTTAAACCAACAAAGATCAAAAGAGACAAAGAAGGCCATTAGATAATGGTAAAGGGATCAATTCAACAAGAAGAGCTAACTATCCTAAATATATATGCACCCAATACAGGAGCACCCAGATTCATAAAGCAAGTCCTGAGTGACCTACAAAGAGACTTAGACGCCCACACAATAATAATGGGAGACTTTAACACCCCACTGTCAACATTAGACAGATCAACGAGACAGAAAGTCAACAAGGATACCCAGGAACTGAACTCAGCTCTGCACCAAGCGGACCTAATAGACATCTACAGAACTCTCCACCCCAAATCAACAGAATATACATTTTTTTCAGCACCACACCACACCTATTCCAAAACTGACCACATACTTGGAAGTAAAGCTCTCCTCAGTAAATGTAAAAGAACAGAAATTATAACAAACTATCTCTCAGACCACAGTGCAATCAAACTAGAACTCAGGATTAAGAATCTCACTCAAAGCCGCTCAACTACATGGAAATTGAACAACCTGCTCCTGAATGACTACTGGGTACATAACGAAATGAAGGCAGAAATAAAGATGTTCTTTGAAACCAACGAGAACAAAGACACCACATACCAGAATCTCTGGGACACATTCAAAGCAGTGTGTAGAGGGAAATTTATAGCACTAAATGCCCACAAGAGAAAGCAGGAAAGATCCAAAATTGACACCCGAACATCACAATTAAAAGAACTAGAAAAGCAAGAGCAAACACATTCAAAAGCTAGCAGAAGGCAAGAAATAACTAAAATCAGAGCAGAACTGAAGGAAATAGAGACACAAAAAACCCTTCAAAAAATCAATGAATCCAGGAGCTGGTTTTTTGAAAGGATCAACAAAATTGATAGACCACTAGCAAGACTAATAAAGAAAAAAAGAGAGAAGAATCAAATAGATGCAATAAAAAATGATAAAGGGGATATCACCACCGATCCCACAGAAATACAAACTACCATCAGAGAATACTACAAACACCTCTATGCAAATAAACTAGAAAATCTAGAAGAAACGGATAAATTCCTTGACACATACACTCTCCCAAGACTAAACCAGGAAGAAGTTGAATCTCTGAATAGACCAATAACAGGAGCTGAAATTGTGGCAATAATCAATAGCTTACCAACCAAAAAGAGTCCAGGACCAGATGGATTCACAGCCGAATTCTACCAGAGGTACAAGGAGGAACTGGTACCATTCCTTCTGAAACTATTCCAATCAATAGAAAAAGAGGGAATCCTCCCTAACTCATTTTATGAGGCCAGCATCATTCTGATACCAAAGCCGGGCAGAGACAGAACAAAAAAAGAGAATTTTAGGCCAATATCCTTGATGAACATTGATGCAAAAATCATCAATAAAATACTGGCAAACCGAATCCAGCAGCACATCAAAAAGCTTATCCACCATGATCAAGTGGGCTTCATCCCTGGGATGCAAGGCTGGTTCAATATACGCAAATCAATAAATGTAATCCAGCATATAAACAGAACCAAAGACAAAATCCACATGATTATCTCAATAGATGCAGAAAAAGCCTTTGACAAAATTCAACAACCCTTCATGCTAAAAACTCTCAATAAATTAGGTATTGATGGGACGTATTTCAAAATAATAAGAGCTATCTATGACAAACCCACAGCCTATATCATACTGAATGGGCAAAAACTGGAAGCATTCCCTTTGAAAACTGGCACAAGACAGGGATGCCCTCCCTCACCACTCCTATTCAACATAGTGTTGGAAGTTCTGGCCAGGGCGATTAGGCAGGAGAAGGAAATAAAGGGTATTCAATTAGGAAAAGGGGAAGTCAAATTGTCCCTGTTTGCAGATGACATGATTGTATATCTAGAAAACCCCATTGTCTCAGCCCAAAATCTCCTTAAGCTGATAAGCAACTTCAGCAAAGTCTCAGGAGACAAAATCAATGTACAAAAATCACAAGCATTCTTATACACCAACAACAGACAGAGAGCCAAATCATGAGTGAACTCCCATTCACAATTGCTTCAAAGAGAATAAAATACCAAGGAATCCAACTTACAAGGGATGTGAAGGACCTCTTCAAGGAGAACTACAAACCACTGCTCATGGAAATAAAAGAGGATACAAACAAATGGAAGAACATTCCATGCTCATGGGTAGGAAGAATCAATATCATGAAAATGGCCATACTGCCCAAGGTAATTTACAGATTCAATGCCATCCCCATCATGCTACCAATGACTTTCTTCACAGAATTGGAAAAAACTACTTTAAAGTTCATATGGAACCAAAAAAGAGCCCACATCGCCAAGTCAATCCTAAGCCAAAAGAACAAAGCTGGAGGCATCACACTACCTGACTTCAAACTTTACTACAAGGCTACAGTAACCAAAACAGCATGGTACTGGTACCAAAACAGAGATATAGATCAATGGAACAGAACAGAGCCCTCAGAAATAACGCCGCATACCTACAACTGTCTGATCTTTGACAAACCTGAGAAAAACAAGAAATGGGGAAAGGATTCCCTATTTAATAAATGGTGCTGGGAAAACTGGCTAGCCATATGTAGAAAGCTGAAACTGGATCCCTTCCTTACACCTTATACAAAAATCAATTCAAGATGGATTAAAGATTTAAATGTTAGACCTAAAACCATAAAAACCCTAGAAGAAAACCTAGGCATTACCATTCAGGACATAGGCATGGGCAAGGACCATGTCCAAAACACCAAAAGCAATGGCAACAAAAGACAAAATTGACAAATGGGATCTAATTAAACTAAAGAGCTTCTGCACAGCAAAAGAAACTACCATCAGAGTGAATAGGCAACCTACAAAATGGGAGAAAATTTTCACAACCTACTCATCTGACAAAGGGCTAATATCCAGAATCTACAATGAACTCAACCAAATTTACAAGAAAAAAACAAACAACCCCATCAAAAAGTGGGCGAAGGATATGAACAGACACTTCTCAAAAGAAGACATTTATGCAGCCAAAAAACACATGAAAAAATGCTCATCATCACTGGCCATCAGATAAATGCAAATCAAAACCACAATGAGATACCATCTCACACCAGTTAGAATGGCAATCATTAAAAAGTCAGGAAACAACAGGTGCTGGAGAGGATGTGGAGAAATAGGAACACTTTTACATTGTTGGTGGGACTGTAAACTAGTTCAACCATTGTGGAAGTCAGTGTGGCGATTCCTCAGGGATCTAGAACTAGAAATACCATTTGACCCAGCCATCCCATTACTGGGTATATACCCAAAGGACTATAAATCATGCTGCTATAAAGACACATGCACACGTATGTTTATTGCAGCATTATTCACAATAGCAAAGACTTGGAAGCAACCCAAATGTCCAACAATAATAGACTGGATTAAGAAAATGTGGCACATATACACCATGGAATACTATGCAGCCATAAAAAATGATGAGTTCATGTCCTTTGTAGGGACATGGATGAAATTGGAAATCATCATTCTCAGTAAACTATCGCAAGAACAAAAAACCAAACACCGCATATTCTCACTCATAGGTGGGAATTGAACAATGAGATCACATGGACACAGGAAGGGGAATATCACACTCTGGGGACTGTGGTGGGGTGGGGGGAGGGGGGAGGGATAGCATTGGGCGATATACCTAATGCTAGATGACGAGTTAGTGGGTGCAGCGCACCAGCATGGCACATGTATACATATGTAACTAACCTGCACAATGTGCACATGTACCCTAAAACTTAAAGTATAATAAAAAAAAAAGAAAAAAAAAAAGAATAAATTGAATTTTAAAACCATGATAGGTTGTTGAAGAAGTTATTGTGCACAAGACTCAGTTCAGGGTTTGAAGGTATTTGATAAGATAGTTGACACAACATCAATTTTAAAATCATAAAAAATAGACTGTCATCTCAATGGGATGTCAGAGTACAAATGACCTTCTCAGGAAAAGAAGCATGGCTCCAGCTAGTGCTGAAATGAATGGTGGAAAAAACAGATTGGATCTTTCTGGTACAACTGTTGTTACACATTCCTCAAAACCTCCAAGTTGGCTAAAAAGGCACCGTTGACTTTCACCAAAGCATCTGAGGCTTCCAATGGAATGATTTCAGAAAAATCTGTTAATTTAGATTAATACCTATTAATCTCTTCAATACCTGTTAATAAGCATACACAATTCCCTCATTAACTGACTGGAGTGCCCATCCTGAACATATTAAACCATAATAAAGGTACTATGAAAAGGATCTCATGCTTGTTAGTGCCACATCCAAAAATCCTTCTTATCAATCAGCTGCATAAAGCAGTGACTCTTTAACTTACAAGAATAATCTTGTTTCTGAAGGAGTCATTATTAATTGCTTTAAAAGCCAGGTCTAGTATTTAGAAGTTTCTTTACTGATCATTCATTGCTTAAGCATTGTTTGCTCCATATATGCTTCCTATCCCCACCACCAATGAAACGTCAAGCTCTTTGCAGGCAGGTGCCATGTCACTCATCATTCTATTCCCCCGATAATGCTCAGCTCATCAGCTTTTACATATTTAATTGAACTAACAGTAAATATTAAAGCTTTAACATTTAATTTCTCATTTAGTGGTGCCTCCGTCTCAGAAGTTCTGATTGGAGATTTGAAAAATCATTTTCAAAATTAAAACTTGAGTCCAGTTTTTAGGGGGGAAAAGCATGTAACACAAACCAAGAAACAGTGATGATTTATTATTTGCAGATACACACAGAAAATGCAGAAATCACTTTATATAGTTAAGTCTCTCTCTTTGCAAAGATGTCATGGCTTTCCAGGATAATATTTATATTTCTGTGGCTTGTATTCTACAGTGACTATCAAATTTGGCATTACTACTTGCTCAGAAAGAACAAGCCCTCACAGCTATTTTAAAAATCACTGTAAATGAGCTTTTCCCAAGGACAGAGTAGGTTAAAAACTTTATATGGGTCTAGGGAAACTCATTCACCATCTTTATAAAAGGACTGATCCTCAAAACTTATATCAATTTAGAATAGATTTGTCATAAGGGGTGACATGGCTATGTGCCAATAGCAGCCCTTCCTGCTTCTAATGGGATAAACTGAAGCAAACAGAAACAAAATTCTATTTTATAGCAAAGATTCAAATTAGTTTTGGAGTATCTTTCAATAATAACAAATAATGCCTAATTTAATAACAAAATAACTATTATAAAAGATTTCATAATTTTTATCTGTATCTGAAATAGTTCCTCAGTGTTTTCAAGATTAAGTATTGATTGCACAATTAGCATTATTTCCCATCCTTTTCAGTATTTTTAATAAAAGATTATGTTGGAAACACAATTTCCAAAATCTCAGGAGAGAAGTTACTCTATGTTGAGATTAATTAAACTGCACCTTTGTCTTCTCTTTAAAAAGTTCCATGGCAGGAGTTTAATAAGGAAAATTTTTAAACTTTTATGATTTTTTAAAAAGGAACTTTACCACAATCTTGGAGATTGTCAATGATGTCACAAATCAAGGTTGAGAATCACAGTCTTACACCCACCCCCCAACACACACTCATACACAACAGAACTAGAATTCAGTTTCATGTGAAGAATAGGTCATATTCCAAAAATAGACAAACAGTTTCTAGGTTACTATTCAGGAGTTAGTTTTTTTTTTAATCCTTTCTTCCTCTTCTCTGAACCCTCTATCATATGTGTTAATAAAAAGAAATAATCATATCCCATGATCCTATGACTCACCATAGGATTTACTGACAGAAGACATGGCCTGGGCCAGGCTCACCCTTAAAGACCTGATCTATCACGGGCCTCTTCTCCATAGAAGAACAGGTTGTTTGTTAACAAATGCACACTAATCCCCTGTTGGGCTCCTCCTTTACTTCTCCTTCCAGTGAACTGGCATTCCTTTGAGCATCGTGATAGATAAAGATGCTTTCAAAGACATTTCAATATTCTCTAGGAGCAATGGACGAAATTAGTAGTTGAGAGAAAGTCCAACTCGGGAATAAGAAGAATTCTGAAGCAATGACTGGGATAGGTAATGCCCAAGGAGCCATTCAACATAGCATGTTATTGGAAGCTTTGCTGAGAACTGTAGCATTAATCCAACCAAGTGACCAGTGTCATCTGTGCCTGCCAAAAGAAACATGCACCTCTGGTTAAATAAACCAGAAATCCAGGAGAAAAGAGGTTAAGTACCAAGCCATTGGCGTCAAGAATTAAAAAAAAAAAAAGTCTAGGATACAAAGAGGTAAGAACCCCAAGATAATTACTATTTCCATTGTGAGGAGTATCAAAACTTCTTCATTGATCATTGTTGTCATAACCCTCCAATATGTATCAGGATGGTGTTTAGGGTCAAGAGTAGCCCAAGTCCTCTAGCTCTCACTATTTCAGAGCTGGGAACTGGACTGTCTGGCATACCTGAGGCTAAACCTGAGGTACAGAGTAAGGACTCAGACCTGCTTTGAGGTCTGCACTTTGGCCACTATAAAGAGCTGAAGACAGAAAATGAGAAAGCAAGTGACAGTGGATACTTCTAGATTCCTCTAGATTTCCATACTCCTTCCCTGATCTTGTTTGATGTCACCTTCTGCATTCTAAGATGTTAAGTATATCCACATAGGTAGCACTATAGAGTTGTTAACTTCTAGCATTAAGTATGATACTCCTACCTTAAAATCTGATGGAGAGAAAAGGATCCTATAAAGAAAAGGCAGTGGCTCCTGTCCTAAGGTGGCTCCTGCCTTAGGCTATCTCTGGTATTACTTGAGAATTGGAGCACAGAGTCCCAGGAAATAATTGAGAAACATATGAAGAGATAAAATAGCTACTGAATACATGAAGGATGAGAGAGTAGTGGTAACAGCAAAGTGGGGTAATTTACTAGTCTTTTGATTATTAACCAAGAAAGGGGGTTTATTTATTTTTGCAAGCCTAGACAATTAAATAATGAGATGCCTATAAACATGTGTATAGAAAAGATGACTCTTGTTCTAAGTGGATGAGGCAAGGCTAAAATTGCTAGGACCCAGAAAAAAAAATAGGCCCCTAAAAGCCTGGAAATATTTACTGTCCATTAAATCTCCTCTAATATTATATAGCATTTCCTGTCACTTTTCCTACTTAGCTAGAGTCTCTTAGAAACAGGAAATACATAATTGTTATGTCTTCTGTATATAAGCCTCTATGATAAACACAAAGGACACATAAAGGAAACTCTAGTAGCCTAATCTTACTGGAGATGGAGGACTCACAGTTTCAAACATCCAATAAACATGCAATTCTATTGATTACTCATTTTAGTTCAGGCATCATATCTCTGGCTGGTACTAGGGACACAATAATGAACAAGTAACATAGTGCAGCTAAAAGAGCACAATATAAAAGATTGGAGACACAATTAAATAAAATTGTATGTGCTGTGAAAACATACTGCATGCTATGAGAACTTATATTAAGGGAATGTTCCTTTGGGATAAAAACATGTCTTTCCAGGGAAGGTGATATCTAATCTAGTTTGGAAAAATGCTTGAAAGTCAAGTACAGAATGACAGATCACAGGCATTCAACTAACTTTAATAGACTCTTTTGCTAAAGAACTTCATATGAAGGATAGCATTGTGGGAAAGGCCTTCCAAAAAGATCCACTTGTGATGGGATTTGAAACATATGCAGTAATTTATAAGCAGAATGCATGATTAAAGACCAAGCTGAATAACGTAATCCAGATAACTCCTTCCATTTTATAGCCAATTACAGCTTGCTTCTATTGATGACCAGTGAGGTGTTAGGTCTTGAATTGGGCTTTGAAAAACAGGTAAATTTAACAAGGGTAAAGAAACATTCTAGGCCAGATGAACACAACAAGTAAAGAGCTGGCAAAAGGGATTGATATGATGTATGTGAATGACAGAATAGCTTGTAAGGAGGGGGAGATTTGTTGGTTAAATTAGCTAGAATCCGTGCAGATGGCCTTAAGGGCCGTGGTGGCAAGATTGCACTTGATGTAGTAGCAGCAGCAACCATTGTCTGGTGCTGTATGCTTGTCTCTATTTCAGTTTTGTGAACTATGCCTGGGACCTGCCATGTTACCAGGCCTGCAAATTCCAAATCTGGCATGGAAAGGGATATGGTCAGGAACTGAGTATTTTAGTGGAGCAATAGGTTAGGTAATAGACCCATGTCTGAAAGAGGCAATGAGGAAAATGTGCAGACCTAAAACATTTATTTCTATTTGGATGAACCTTAAAACTGACCACATGATATATATTCTCTGAGATTCCCTGAATGTAACAGAAAGACTCCACATATTCTGATAAAATTGGAAAAAAAAGTACACTCAAGTTACTGAGCTAAAATAAATAATTTTCATTCCATACATTATTCTGATATTAATCTTAAATAAAGGAAAATCCAGTCTAAACATAAAATGTTTCAAATCAAGTAAAGGAAAGCATTATCTGAAGAGAGAGAATGGCCAAGGGCTTATCCAAAAGTCACCCACAAAGCTTCTGTTAACACTTAGTTCTAATAAATAAATTTCCTAACATTAACCCTTTCCACATCACTTTCCTATTAGCATAGACAAATGAGATCAAAAATCATATGGACAAATCTGACTTTCAATCTAGTTTTCTCTAAGGAATTCAATCACTCAGAAAATATTGAGATTTGTTTTTCTGTATAATTTCACTTCTAAAGTTTTTAAAGTCTATTATTCTAATTCATAGCACATATTTTCTATGAAATTAATAACCAGCTTTTACACCATCTAGATTTTGAAATTTTATTTCAGCATCTGGTGCCTTCCATTTAGCTTCTGATACTGTTTAATGAAATGAAGATTCACCAGGTCTACTGCCAATGTTTGTCTACATCTGTGAATTAATTACCCTAAGCGTGGCCTAGGTCATTTTATGCTATTAAAAGCTGCTGCCTCCCCTTTGGGTTTTCCTGCAGATTTCACGAAACCACGTGGCTACTGAGAGGTCCTTTGAATTGGTAATTTTCTTATTAAATTGCCATGTTTAGTTTATAGAAACATTTCACTCATTTAAGCCATTCATTTACTCACTTAGCCAACATTTGTTAAGTAGATACGGGGAATAGGTGCTCAACTATTTATGAAGTACAAGAGACTTTTTAAAATGCCTCCATTGGAGTGTCTCAACTAATGGGTCTAGATACAGAAAAGTGTGTTTAAAGTGTCCAGCAACTATCCTAGTGCTGTGAGAATTCAGCTGTACCAAATTCAGAAGTTAGTTGTATACCTTAAGTTTACTGAGGTCCAGCAAACCACCTAACAATATAAGGAAGTAGAATAGAGTTATCTTATTCAGTATCAAAGTAAAAGGGCCAGGCACGGTGGCTCACACCTGTAATCCCAGCACTTTGGGAGGCCAAGGTGGGGGGATCACCTGAGGTCAGGAGTTCGAGATCAGCCTGGCCAACATGGTGAAACCCCATCTCTACTAAAAATACGAAAAATTAGCCAGGCATGGTGGTGCGCACCTGTAACCCCATCTACTCAGGAGGCTGAGGCAGGAAAATCGCTTGAACCCAGGAGGCAGAGGTTGCAGTGAGCCGAGATCACACCACTGTGCTCCAGCCTGGGAGATGGAGCAAGACTCTGTCGAAAGAAAAGAAAAGAAAAGAAAAGAAAAGAGAAGAGAAGAGAAGAGAAGAGAAGAGAAGAGAAGAGAGAAAAGAAAAGAGAAAAGAAAAGAGAAAAGAGAAAAGAGAAGAGAAGAGAAGAGAAGAGAAAAGAAAAGAAAAGAAAAGAAAAGAAAAGAAAGAAAGAAAGGAAAGAAAGAAAGGAAAGAAAGGAAAGAAAGGAAAGAAAGGAAAGAAAAAGGAAAGAAAGGAAAGAAAGGAAAGAAAGAAAGGAAAGAAAGAAAGAAAGAAAGAAAGAAAGAAAGAAAGAAAGAAAGAAAGAAAGAAAGAAAGAAAATCAAAGTAAAAATTCAATATTTGGTCATAATTGAGTTAAAAAATACATAGAAAAACAAAACCTCTTTAGGAAATTTCCTTAGAACCAAAAGTAGTCATAACCCAATTATGTTCAGAAATCACCACTTTCCTCAACCTCTTAATAGAAAACAAGAGGAATCCATCTTAAGGAAGGTATCCACTTAGTCAACATCTTAGCAGCCAATGATAGGTAAATAAACTATTAAGAAAGTTGGTCCAAATCAGTTGGGCATCTTCATGAAGGTACATATTGATTCAAGAGTAAAGAATTTTAAGGAATTTCTTCCAAAAGGTAGCTCTACTCCCAATTGATAGATATTTACTGATTGATCAATTATTGATACTAAATTCTGATATGCATATTTGAAATAAAAATTTATATATCTTATTACATAAGAATCCAACACAAAGTACATGATATAAAGTTCTGCTTATTCCATTTCCCTACATTTAGTACCATCTATTCGTTCTATCAGCAGACAATGTACTTAGGAGATACTGCAATGAAGCTCACCTTTCCTTATCATTTCTAATCAAAATTCTTCCTATTCTTAAAGGCGTGCATCCTGATGCCTGTCCTGACCATTTAGTCAAAGTGACCTCTTTGAGATGGAGTCTCTGTCTCCCAGGCTGGATGGCACGATCTAGGCTCACTACAACTTCTGCCTCCTGGGTTCAAGCGATTCTCCTGCCTCAGCCTCCCAAGTAGCTGGGATTACAGGCGTGCACCACCATGCCTAGCTAATTTTTGTATTTTCAGTAGAGACAGGGTTTTGCCATGTTGGCCAGGCTGGTCTCAAATTCATGACCTCTGGTGATCTGCTCACCTCAGCCTCCCAAAGTGCTGTGATTACAGGCATGAGCCACTGTGCCTGGCCAAAAGTGATCTCTTTCTGAACTTTCAGAGCACTTATTTGATACGTATGGTGCCAAATTCATTTGAACAGAATAATTTTGTCCCCATTACAATATAGGATGACCTATCATGACTTTAAGACTGAAATGACTAGATTAATCAATGCCTTTGGAAATATGTAGTAGAGTAATTGACTTGTTTTGCTGTTTTATCTTATAATATTAAGACAGATGTTCTATCTTCCCACAAAGATTGTAAACCTTAGAGGACATGAACTGCATACTATACTACTTTATAAAATCTCCACAGTTCCTGGTACAGTATGCTACTTAGAGTTGGTATTCAATAGATGATGATAACTAAAAATAAGATATATTAAATACTCATTATTAGTGTTTTCAGTGCCTGGTATATTATTGGCTTTGTTTTGTTTACTACAATATCTTCAATAGCTAAAACCAGACAAACCAAATAGTAGATACCAATAGACTAGCCTATCCAACAGAACTTTCTGCACTGAAGGAAAGAGACAAAGAAAGGGGCTTTAAATTTTACTGGCAGGCATATATTCTCTAATAGAGAAAATACAGGGTAGTGTGCACCAACCAGGAAAACTTGGTGATAACTTTTTTTTTTTTTTTGAGACAGAGTCTCGCTCTGTCACCCAAGCTGAAGTTCTGTGGTGTGACCTTGATTCACTGCAACCTCTGCCTCCCAGGTTTAAGTGACTCTCCTGCCTCAGCCTCCCAAGTATCTGGGATTACAGGTGCCTGCCACCATGCCCGGCTCATTTTTTGTATTTTTAGCAGAGACGGGGTTTCACCATGTTGGCCAGGTTGGTCTCAAACTCTCAGGAGATCTCTCAGGAGATCTGCCTGCCTCGGGTTCTCAAAGTGCTGGGATTACAGGCATCAGCCACCATGCCTGGCCCCTATTGTTTTAATCACAGCTGGTCAATCTTGAGTTTGGTTGCGGCTGGGCGTCCTCTCACCCATATCTCTCACTCCATACCTCCTGAATTTCATAAAAGAAGCTTCCCCAGCAGCTCATCCAATTTAAAGACAAGTCAAAATTAGCTCTTCATTAGCAAGAGTTAGACAAAGTAAAAATAAGTCCACTTCAGAGACAGGCTTACCCTTCTGGTTTCTTCACTCCATGTACTCTCCACATCCTCCCTCCCAACTCACTCCTACCTCCCCCAACAAGTAGATGAAGCTCTTTTCTCAGAAGATAATCTTTCCAGTTCTGAATTATAATGTATGATTTAAAGGTATCATTAGACCACACAATACCACCCTTGAGATCTTTTTCAGTTACAAAGTTGAGGAAGGATCACATGTCCTCAGTATTCATGGCTATACCTGTATAAAGTGTGAAGCTAAATATGTGCAGCAATTGAACAGAACATATTCTAATCATAGGGTCCTGAACAAGAAACCTAAATGTGATCATGTTCTGCAGGTATATTACAAGACTTATGGAAGATCCGCTGGATTGGCATTTGATACGGCTTGCATGGAAACAAATCCCATTTTCTAACCCATTCTTGATTTTGTTTGATGGTTTAAGTCCTACATACCATTTTAAAAGCAGAACTAGGCGAGCTAGAAAGTAAATCCCCAAACTCTCTGAAAGTAGTGTATAACCTGCAGCTCATAAATCTCTGTGGAGTCACAGAGTTATCATAAGCAGTTAAAAATGCTCAATAAACCACACTAAGCAATCATTCTAGTTTAAATTAAAAACACACCTTGACCATTTATGTCTTGTTTTTCAAATGTATATAAAAGATGTTGTGATTCCAGATACATTAAATTATGAATTTATTGTTATTTTATTAACAGATATTAACATTACAATCATACTGTAAAAGATATGCAACCAATACTTCAGGACTCCCAGGTATTATGCGGTCTAATGATGCCTGTCAATCACACATTATAATCGGAACTGGAAAGATTACCTTCTGAGAAAACACAGTTTCATCTACTTCGGGAGGTGGGAGTGAGTGTGGAGGGAGGATATGGAGTGAAGAAACTGGAAGGGAAAGCCTGCCTGTGAAGTGGACTCCCACAGCCTTGGCCCAAATTGTGCCACTTCTTTTTGGAAATGAGAGCATCTAGCTTTCACCTTTCCTTCTGCGAAGTAGCGATTACTAAAAAAGAAAAAGAAGGAAGAAGAAGGAGAGAAAAGAAAAGAAAGACAAGAATTTTTTTAAAAAAGGAAGAGAGCAGAGAAGAGAGAAAAGAAGAAAACAGAAGAGACAGTGAAGTAAGTGAAGGACGGGCAAAGAAAGGGGAGGGAGTGAGAAAGGGAGGGAAAGAGGGAGGTGGAAAAGGAGGGGATAGAGAGGACAGGAAGAAATGGAAAGGTGAAAATTGATTATGATAAGTTTTTCAATTACATTTACATGTAGATATACTGTAAAATTTGATGTTGAGAACATAATCTAATTTTTAATTTAGTGGTTTGGTTGTGGAGAAGGATTTATATGGATTTAGCTGAGTAGTAGTGAGTAAAACTCACTGTTTGTCAGAGAGAGAGATGCAGCTTTAAAAGGTATCATGTGCCTGTTCATTCTTTCAAATCTAGATAAATGACAAAAATACATGACAATGGTGAATGAGAATAATCACTAGTCAATTTGAAGAGCCACCTACTCTAAATTCTGTACACCCTTTTTATAAAATTCATCTATCACAAATGAAAAACAAAAGAAACTAAAGCACATAACTGAGTCATTATGGCATATGCAGTTTTTATTTGATTCTAAAAATAATAGTTGATTATAGTATGTATGATGATAGACATTCCCTAATAGGAATTAAAAGTATTCATTTTAATTCAACCTCTATTCATTTTTAATTAGGACTGCTTGCAATGAAATGAGTTAATGAAGTAAAACATAAAACAAATTAAAGTTAGACTTAGAATCTAAACATCCAAGAAGGTTTTCAGATACCAGGAAGAGTTCCATGAATAACCAGGTTCTATCTGGAATTTTCCATTCCTGAAGGAAGATGAGATTACCTGGTAAACTATAGAATTCATCTAAATCTTTCTTATGGGTCTTAAGATAAATTAGTGATGAAACTAGCAACCATGAACTTAAACCACCAAAACAGCCTTACCAATGAGATGTGCAAGTAGGTCACAGCCCTTGCCTCAAGCTACTCTTGCATTAGCAATCGATCACTCCGGATTATTAATTGATAGGTAATCTATATTAATTTCTTAAAATTTCTGAGTCTCAGTTTCCTCAGCTGTAAAATTAGAATAATACATATTTTCTAGGATGTCTTTGAAGATTAAATACAACTTCATATACATTTATATACATTTGTATGAATACTCATGCATACACATTTGACAAAGTGAAAGGAAAGGCATCCAATAAATGTAGTTATTGTAATTAATAGCAACCAAATAATTTTAGTACAGCATTCTAGGTGTTACAGTAGAAACATGTACAATGTACTACAGTGGCACATAGGAGAAAACAATCTTCTGCCTGAAGTGGAGAATAGGCTGCTAAAGGCTCACCGAGAGCAACTCTAGGACTCAAAGGATAAGCATGACTCGATCAGGTGGCCAAAGTGGGAAATAGTATGTTATTCCAAAGGAACAGCATGTGCAAAGAAAACCATGGAGACATGAAAAAGCATGGTAGAATCATGGAAGGCAAGTGGTTGGGTATTGCAGAATGAGAAGAAATTTATTTTTTTATTTTTTTTATTTTTTGAGACGGAGTCTCGCTCTGTCGCCCAGGCTGGAGTGCAGTGGTGCAATCTCGGCTCACTGCAAGCTCCACCTCCCGGGTTCATGCCATTCTCCCGCCTCAGCCTCCCGAGTAGCTGGGACTACAGGCACCCACCACCACGCCCAGCTAATTTCTTTTTGTATTTTTAGTAGAGACGGGGTTTCACCATGTTAGCCAGGAGGGTTTTGATCTCCTGAGCTCATGATCAGCCCATCTTGGCCTCCCAAAGTGCTGGCATTACAGGTGTGAGCCACCACGCCCGGCCAAAATTTAGATTTTTGAAAGCAAACTACAAATACTTTTTAAATGCCTTTATTATAAACATGGTTATGGCACTTGAGACAGTGGTGAATGACACTAATTTGGTTTCTGCCCTCATGGAGCTTACAGTCTAGCATAGAAGATCGATACAAACAAACAATTATAAATAATAACTGCAAGCATACAAAGTGCTATGGAGGTTGGCTAACATTTATGAAGAATGTACTGTGCAGGCCAGGCGCAGTGGCTCACGCCTGTAATCCCAGGACTTTGGGGGGCTGAGGCGGGCAGATCACAAGGTCAGATGATTGACACCATCCTGGCTAACATGATGAAACCCCGTCTCTACTAAAAATACAAAAAATTAGCCGGGCATGGTGGCAGGCACCTGTAGTCCCAGCTACTTGGGAGGCTGAGGCAGGAGAATGGCGTGAACCCGGGAGGTAGAACTTGCAGTTAACTGAGATCTTGCCACTGCACTCCAGCCTGGATGACAGAGAGATACTCCGTCTCAAAAAAAAAAAAAAAAAAAAATTACTGTGCAAAACACTTTACATAGGCTAAAAAAAACTGTCCTCATTTTACAGAAATTTGAGACATGAAAAGGTTAAGAAATATGGGTGGTTTGAATCAAAAACAAGCACTTTTAACTACTATGCAATACTATCTCTAGAAAAATACACTGCCCGATGAATGACGAACTGAAGAGGAAGAAAACTGAAAACAGATAGTATTGCAAAAGTACAAGCAAGCTAAGAGCAGATAGATTTCAGGTGCTCTTGCCATTAAAAAAAAAAAAAAGGAAGAAGAGAAATAACCATGTGAGAAGATAGATATGTTACTTTACTAGATTATTGTAATCACTTTCCTAAGCATATCAAAGCATCATGGAATAGAACTAAGATGTAGTAAGAATAAGAGAAGAAAATAGATTCATGAGATATTGAAGTAAAATTTATATCACAAGTGGCTAATGTAGAAGGAAAGAGAACACCTAACACATTGCCACCAAAAAGACCAGACTACCAAGCACTTTTGTAATTTAAGATCTATTCAATTCTCACCAAAGAGAAAAGATGTAGGATTTCATTTCTACTCATTGCCACTCCCTAACTCAAGCTCAGCTTCAACACATACCTTCTTGTGGCAAGGGTAACAAAATATCATTACACAGGGGGCAATAAATTATTTTACCTATTTAAAGAGAACCCTGTGAAAAACTTGGATAAAAAAAGAATTCTGGAATCTCTGAACTATTTCAACAAAGGAACAAAAAGCCCAAATTCACTTTTCATTTTGCATATATATGGTACTCATTTGGTCCTAAGAATATCTTGATGCTATATACAAAAAAATGATGCTTACTGAATTCACAATCTGCTACTTACAAATTAAAATTAATTAGCAGATGGCCAGCTTACCAAATGATCAGTGTACAATTTCAGACCAATCTTCAGAAAAAAACTTTTGAGGTATTACTTGAATAAGCCATCTAACTGGTAACCAAATACTAAAATTATTAACAATCAGCACTACTCAGACAAACAAATTGGTCTTTATATACACTTAGGGCTGCAGAATTCTATATAGTTCTAATACCTTGGCATGTAAATGATTTTCAATTTAGATTTAAAATCCCAATATGAAAAATTTGAAGAGTAAAATACAGAATATTCCATCCTTTGGCATTTTGGTCAAGATTGTTTAAGAAAACGAAGTCAAAATAAAAATCCTAAAAGTGTGGTTTTCACTTAAGCTATATAAGTGAAATAATAAATGAACATTCTTACCCATAATGCACTCACTATAGTTAGAAATACGTATCAAACTAATATGTGAAATGTTAATTTGGATAGATTGCTCTTTTAATTAATGTGATTACTGTGCTTGTGTCATCACCAATTCTAATGACACTGGGCTGAGAATTCAGCGGGGTCTAAGGCTGAAATGATCAGGAGGGAAGGCAGAGGGGAACAACTGAGTTATAAAAGTCTGCCAGTCGAATCACAGAAGTAAGGAAGAGAGAGAGAGTCCAGAAACCAGGAAGTGGAATTAAGGTCAGAAATCATGCAGTAGCTGATGAGTGCACCTCTCACACATTTCAGTCTTGGGACCCCTTTACACTCTTGAAAATTCCTGAGTATCCCAAAGAGCTTTGATTTATGGGGGTTATGTCCATTGATATTTACCATCTAATATATTAAAACTGATAAAATTCCAAAATATGTATTAATTCATTTAAAATCAATAAAACAAATATATTAACATAAGTAACATATTTATGAAAAAAACTATATTTTCCAAAATAAAAAATATTTAGCAAGAAGAGGGTCATTGTTTTACATTTCTGCAAATCTCTTTAATGTTAGACTTACTACAAGACAACTGGATTCTCCTCTCTCTCTTTCTGCATTTAATCTGTTTCTATATCACATCTTGTATAACCTCGGGATACTCATAAGAGAATGGAGAGTTCCAAAGGCAAATAATGGCTCTGAATTACTATGAAAATACTTTTAACTTCATAGACTCCCTTGAAAGGGTCTTGAGGACCCCCAGGGGTCCCAGGACCACACTTTGAAAATGACTGCATTATACAGACATATTTTAAAAAGTGGCAGACAAAGATGATTTGCAGACAAGCATAAAAGCATAGCCCATAAGCAGGGTTGCTCAGTTTGTACACCTATAAATTCTGGTATTCAACAGATCTAGAATTGCAATGGGGCCAAGCCTACAGAGACAGTTGTCCATTATCCTATTTCCAAATGTAAATATAGAATCAACTCAATAGAATCTCCTCCAGGTGATCATGAAATTGTAACCACCAGCAGGGAAAAAAAAAGAAACTGCTTTTGCATGCATAAAACAAAGACTGTACTGACAAGCCAATAATAAAATCTATGGAAATAATTACACAATCAAGATTAGGTCATGGCTTCACTTCATTACAGATAATTATGGTAAGATAATAGAAAGCACTGCTGAGGGACAGCCCTCTTTCCTGAAGAGCTATAAAAATAAAGTGGATACCCACATATTTAGAATAAAGATATTCCTTTCTGGAGACAGCGCATGGACCAAAATCCTCCTCCAGACTTATAAGTCCCTCTGAGCATGTTTATCCCACTAAATGGGCTCTGATCATCTAACGATTCCCCCTTTACACACTTTTCTACTTCATGCACAATAACTGCTCTAAATATTCTCCATTTGCAGTTTGTTTTTTCTCCTTAATCCTTCTGTTTTCAATGGTCTTTTGTTCCATTTCCAGCCTTACTCTTATTTGTTTCATCAATTACATTCACTCTTCCCTACCACTTTCCATACACCTACGTGTGAGCTTATATTTTAAAATACAAAAATCTTGTGCATTTTAGAGACAATAGTAACCCAAACTATGAATAAGCTAAAAGAAGAGGGGGGCAAAAAACAATGGCTTCAAATGACAAAAATAATTTGAAATAGACACTTGTACACTACTTTGAGGACAAAAGCGTTTTCAAGTGATCTCAATACTTCATGTTCTGCTTGTATCATCAACACCCACTTGTTCTCTCTCAATCTATAGGCCCTTGGGGAGGGAAAAACAATGATGAATCGAAACCTGTCCTGGATGAATACACATAAACGTCTTGGTGAAGATACCAACAAAATAAGAAGGTGGGAAATAAGGCCTTTCATCTTAGAAAAAGAAGATATCAGGGAACAGAGTTTAATTCTTGTATAATACAGTCAGTTAAAGCTCTCTAAATCAGCCAAGGGCTGTAGCTAAGCAACATGATTCTTCACTTGCTCAAAAAGGGGGCTGCCAAGCATCCGTAGCCTCATTTCTCACTGAAAGCTTTGACAACTTTCCACCATATTTTATATAATTGTAGCAGAGGGAGTGCCAGATTAGATCTGATTTGCTGTCATAATGGGATTTTTTTCCCACATAAGTTAATGATGCAAAGCTATATTTAACCCCCAAAAAGTCACCCTCAGGCACTCACTGTATATTCTGATTGCCTCTCATATCTAGAATTGGACAAGTAGCAATTTTTCTGCTACTGAATATGACAAAAGCAAAGGTTTAATAGGTAGGTTTTTTCCCCCTGATTGGCTCCATTATAAATTTAGCTACATATTCCAAATCTGTTCACTAACTTCATATTTCATCAGATGTTCTCCCACTGAGTTGAAAAGATCAAGAAAGTCTGGTACTTTGAGTTCACATCCTTTGGTGTATGCAAGTCAATTCTCTCGCCCCAGCCTACTCTTGCCCTGCCCTGCATATGCTGCAGATCACCCACCTTCAAACTCAGCCTCACCCTGATCCCGAGGTCACAGAGAAGCTTCAAAGCATTTTGCATGTTTGTATTTAGCAAGGGTTAGAGTCCATAACATATATTTTCATATTACAATTTAGAATAATATATTATCATAAATGTAGTGAATCCTCTGAATCCTCTTGTCATCCCTGTGCATGGTAAGCTGCCATCCTCCATATTCACCTCTGTTATATTCCCACATTCCGATTTGTGTTCTAATTCTCTACTAGGAGTAGGTCCCTTCCATTAACACCAGCCTTTTAATTGATGCCCAGATAACGTGTACAGACAGAGAGGCAGTCTATTCACCTTGGATGGTCAGGTAGCTCTCTCCTTTGTACATTCTAATTCAAATATTTCAAAGGTCCTAACATTAGAGCAACAGATTCAAGAAAGTTGGGGACACAATCCAGTGACATAGATTGTATAAAAGCAGTGTCATTCAGGAGCAGACTCCAAACACCATGACCCCATTCTAGCTGGAAAATTGATTTATCTCCTACTCTAAAGTATCTGATTCCTTGATAAGCAGAAGAGGCAAATTAGATTATTTTTAAAAATCAATGGTGCTTCCTATAATATTGCCTCCTTTCTGGCTCAGATTATCCCAGATTTGCAATCGAAGGTCAGCTAAACATTTTTTGGCTTTTTCATCTCACTTTCATCAAAATGTATCAGTCTTGCATTAACAACCTAAAAGTGCTTAAGGGGTAACTGGACATCAACTCCTATAAGCTAGCTTGAATGAACGTGGCAATGCTGAATAATAGTTTGCTTTATCATTATCACAGAGAAAAATCAGAAAATCTCACCTTTGGCAAGCACAAGCACATATAAAGTGAGAATTTAAAGTATTACCAGTACAAGGACAATGAGAGTATTCTTTCGGATGGAAACATCTTTTAGTGGTTCCCTTTAGAGTATACTAGGTATAAAATCTTAACACTACAGAAAAATTTAGAGGTATCTAGTCCAAACATATAGCCAATATCGCATGCAGTTTTAACGAGCTCCACAAAATTGTCATGTGGTACCTTTCACTGTTGAAAATACCAAAGTCTACAACATCCTCTCCAGGTGGTCATCCCTGCAAGGTGTGACTGAATAACCGTGACATTCAAATTTATAATCTACTATTTTAAAATGTGCCTTTTTCATTTTTAAAAAAATCTGATTATTAAAAAGTTCCAGTTACATTGAGGTAAACAGAGCCTTCTGCAGTTCCTGTTGTTTTACCAGTAAGTCACAGACTAGCCCCTGTATTCCTTGAGAAAAAGTAAAAATATCCATATAATAGCTATTTTGATATTTGAAGACAGTTATCACATCACCCACGAGTCTTCTATTTCCTGGAAAAACATTCTCAATTTCTTTGATTCTTCAAAAAGTAAGGTTTCAAAGTCCTTCGTAATACAAATTTTCTCTTCTGGAGTGTTTCCACTTTATCTACACACATTTTAATGTATGAGAACTGAAAACTGTCATACCATTTTAGGTATTTTCTGCTAAGTTCTGAATACAGTTGAAATATAAGCCTCTCCAGATATAGAGAACAACCTCAGACTATGTTGGCTTTTGCTATGGTTCTGCAGCCACACCATACTGTTGACTTATTTTCAACTTTCAATTATCCTCCCAAATATCATTCACATGTGATCAAACCAAACCACATCATTCTTCCTATGATCAGAAAGATAGGAATTTTGATTCACATTCAGGATCTTATCTTTGTTCTGATTAACTTTCATTGTGATGCAGTTGTCCATTTCTCTACCCCGCAATATCTTTTTAGTCACTGATTTTAACTTTGAATGAATTTGTTATTCTTAACTATGTGTCTTCTATATCATTATTCAAAGAATAGATGAACATTCTGGCAAGCACAAAGCCCCACATAAAGCCCTATAACAAACGACCATAACCTTCACTGAAAGTTCATATCAGTCCATTCAATCACTTCCTAATATATAGCCTTAGACTTAAACAAATCCAGGGCCTATGGGAACTTCAATTCCTCTCCTACTGAGAAGGATGCTGGATTTTCACAGCAATTACTTTATGAAATGCCAAAGCACCATGTCTAAAGTGACACCTGGTACAGGATAATATCCCATCATCTCTCCTACCCAATTTCCAAGGTTAAATGTAGTTTGTAATCTAAAATACCCCATACATCCTCATGTCTAATCCTAAATGAATTCATCTGGTTACATGTTTCCTAGAAAATAAGAAGGATATGATTGTAGTAAAACAAAAATAGGCCTAGAATCAGATAAATCTGGATTCTAATCCCAGTTTTACCAAATACTATTTGTATGATTATAAATAAGTTATTTAACCTGTCTTGGCCTAGCTTTCTCATCAGTAAAATAGAGGCTTTAAAGATTAAAGAAATGCATATAAAGCACAAAGACCAATTCTTGACCCAAACCAAGCACTACCAAGTAGTTGCAGCCATCGTTAGTGTTAAAATTAATAAGAAGATTTTTAGATTTTGATAAAAATCTATTGAGTGGAAACAACAGAAAAAGTAAAATTTATCCAGTCTTTACTGTGAATCCATCCACTTCCTACTGTAACCTTCAATTTTGGGGTTATTTGCGTTAGTAATCCTCCCTATGATCCACAAAGGAAAAGGGAGTCCCTAAATATAGCGATGAATCTGCCACCTCCTCACAGGTATGCTCAAGGTTCTTCAAATTGTCTTTCTCCATCGTCTTCTTCCCAGCTCCATACAAGTTCTAGATAGAGACACCACCAACATTTATAAGATAGACAGATTTTTCTTTTGAGGTTGCATATGCCCTCTTGCCTTTAATCTACCCTCCTCTTACAAACTGCGAGCTAGCTTATACAAATCATCTTTTTTTTTTTTTTTTTGACATTGAGTCTCGCTCTGTCACCCAGGCTGGAGTGCAGTGGCACGATCTCAGCTCACTGTAAACCCCGCCTCCGGGGTTCATACCATTCTGCTACCTCAGCCTCCCGAGTAGCTGGGATTTTAGGCACCTGCCACCACAACCGAATAATTTTTTGTATTTTTTTTTAGTAGAGACGGGGTTTCACCGTGTTAGCCAGGATGGTTTCCATCTCCTGACCTCGTGATCCGTCTGCCTTGGCCTCCCAAAGTGCTGGGATTACAGGCGTGAGCCACCACGCCCGGCCTACAAATCATCTTGTACACATTTCCACAGTAATAAATTTCACTTCTCAAAACTAAAGGGGCTCACATTCAGGGGGAAAAAAACATTGGCTGCTTCTTACCAAGCCTCTACTCATCTACTCCATACATGCCAGAAAGCCTTTCTTACAATCATCACTTTTCTCTATATCCCCAAGTGCTTACTAATCCTTAAACCATACTGGAGAACCTGTTTATTTTCTTTAAAATATATAATGAACATCATTCTACATCAAGGAATGAACAGTATTCATTTTAAGGAGCACAATGGTATAATATTATTTGGATACATTGTAAGTCACTTACCCAATTCTTTATTATGCATTTGTTTCTAAATTTTTGCTACTATATGTAATACTGTGATAAGTAGTCTAGTACATATATATTTATGAATTATATTTTAGAATTATATTTATATATTTTAGAATTTTCTAATGTTTTCTTAAATTATTTTTTTTAGAAATGAGGTCTCACTCTATTGCCCAGGCTGAAGTGCAGGGGCACAATCATAACTCACTGCAGCCTCGAACTTCTGGGCTCAAAAGATCTTCCTGCCTCAGCCTCCTGAGTAGCTGGAACTACAGGCATGTGCCACTAAGCCTTGCTAATTTTTTAAAATTTTTTGTAGCGACAGGGTCTCGCTATGTTCCCCAGGCTTAAATTATTTAAAGTAGAAGTAGAGAAAAAACAGGTAGAACAAAGAAGTATGCATTTTTAATGATGACACATTTTTACCATATTGTCAAAAAATTTATAAACATTTGCATTCCTACCAATATCACATTAGAATATCCTCACCAACATTGAGCACAATTCTTTTTTACTGCTTGCCAATCCAATAAATAAATTCCTGCACTTCTTAAATATGTGTGAAGACTTCTCTTTTATGACTAGTCTTGTGTCTCAGAAATTAATATACGATATTTTAGTACATATCACCTAGAAAATTTAGTACATAAAAAAGTTAAAGTCAATTGGTATATTTCTAAGTTCTCTGGTTCCCTCTAGAATGCAATGATATCTTTTAAATTATAAATTTCCTCTGTCTTATTCACCACTGTATCCCTAGGACCTAAAATAATGAATTTGAAATAATGTTATAAAAGGTATCCCATGGAAAAAATAGCCTATACCTTATTAACCATAATAATAAGAAGAAAAATTACTAAGAATAATAGTTTAGCAAACTTGTAAACTGTCCTCAAAGAGAGAGGCCTAGTACACCTAATTATATGTGAATAGACTAAAGTCAGAACTGGGTTGCATGAGACAGTGATGGAAACAGTGGTTTAGTATTTAACCAGAATACAACACACAAATAGCTTGAAACTGTACGCAGGGAAAGATGTATTGTATTTTAATAGTAAAAGAGATGTCTAGACAACAAAGAAATAGTTTAATGTCACTTAATTTCCTACTACAGATTTTCTCTCTCTCTTTCCCCCAACCACAAGATGGCGATAGCCACTGGTGAACGCTTGGCTCAGTTGCTGGGAACATCTAAAACAGCCAGCTTGTCCTTAACTGACTTATTAGGCTCCCCAGCTCAGTGGTTTTAGCACAGTGATTTCTAACCCTAGCTTTGAAACAATTCGAGAATCTCTATTCCAAATAACCCTCGAGAGCATAGTGGAAAACTCAAAAAAATACCATCGGTTTCTATTAATTTTAAAAAGAAAGACTGTAACAAAATCAAATGAGATAGGCTTTAGAACTCCAAAAACAAATAAGCATCCATACAGTGGTGATATGGCCTCCTTTGGCTAAGCCTGGTAAAGCAGGGATGGGTGACTGAAACAGAGGAAAGAAGACTTAGAAGGTAGCTAACAGCAGTCTTCAAATACCTGAAAGGCAACTACTACAAAAAACATTTTGTTTAATTTTATTTTAGGCAATTGGTCAAAAGCGATGGCCATGCATTAGAGGGAGGCCATCTAACAACAGCAAATTATCTCCATTAATTCAACAGTGTCAGGTACTGTTTCTAGGTACAAATGAACACCTGATCATTGTCCTACATTCCAAAAGAAGAGTGTGACTTTATATTAAATAACCACATTTCACACTAGTAATAGGAGAAAAGAAAAGTTGTGCTACAAATACAACTAAAATGTAAATATCCACAGTGATTACCAGTGTTTACTCCTCACTTACTGTGAGACTATTACAGTTTCCAGTGTGAAATAATGGCATTAAAAATAGTTTGCAACATTCTCATTACTTAGTTTCAATTGCACTAATACAAATCATAAGAAGATTGCATAAGCCAAAACTCATTTTAAGTTTGTTCTTAAATGTCCCTCAGTGAATTTTAAGGCAATGTTACTGACAAGTGTACAAGGAAACTCAGGGATTTGAAAGTTTTAAAAAGCCTGTGTGGCTTGACTACACTATAAGCTAGACTATATCCTACGGCAGAGCAGTCCACTGCACTTTTCAACATGGTAGCCACTAGTTACATGGGCTATTAAATGCTTGAAATCAGGTTAGTGAGGACAGAAACTTCCTTTCTTGATTTTGTTTAATTGGTTTAAACTTCAGAAGCAACATGTGGCTAGTGGCTATCATACTAGACAGCATGGCTCTAGAGATAGGTGAACAATAGTATTTGTTAAACAGAAACTTTCTGGAGAAAAGAAGAGCAATGGTGAGATAGCAGCCACAAGATGGAACTGACACATAGCTATTTCTAAGTGATTCAGTAAATGAAAAGTTAAACTAAATGAAAGATCTCTAGAAAAGTACTCTAAACCCACTGTAGTCAAATGAGTAAGTTACATTTGGTATGTAAGAGGGTTTTTCTGCTTTCTTTGAATCTTTGCATTCTATTCCTCTTCTCATATACCAAATGATATGTTTTCTTACCTTTTTAGCCTTCTTTAAAATTTATCTTTAGAGATTCATTAAACTACATCTAATGTAGTAGTAAAGAATTACAAATAGATTTTCACCCAATACATTCCATAGAAAAGAGGAGATATGGGAAACTGTCTTAGAGCAATATAAGACCAATGACTGGAGTGATAACACAACCACTCCAGTGAATCTGGTATCTTCAAAAAGTGGTCTCCAAAGCAGAATAAACACGACTTTAATTGGCATGCAAAAAGAAAATACTAGAACTTCTGTTTACATTTAACTTTTTAATAAAAGAAACATAAGCTGTTAAGCCTTGTTTTATGTAGGACTTGGATTAATGTTAATGCCCTCACTCAATCTATACTTTACATGATCACACATCTGAGAATGCACTTGAGACATCCTGAAGGAAAACTGGGAGTTTCAAGACAGAAAAACATTAACATTGACACTGGTCACTGGGTTCCTTCATTTGCTTCAATTTTCCATTTATTGCCTTTATATTTGGCCATTTAGATGCATTTTCAGAGTGTATTGTTTTAAAGTATAAAGTATTTATGATTCTTCATGAGATGCTGTGTGACCCAGAAAATCTTCCCCCATAAAGATTCTCTGATTATTTCAAAATGAACTGCTCACTTCTGAGCTTAAAGATGGGTTATACATTGCTTTATACAAAAAAAAAAAAAAAGGCAAATGTTCCAAATCTGCTGATCTGTTCTGGGATGGCAAGTGGTTGGTTATCAATAGTGTCTATGAAACAGGTATTTAAAAAACAACAACAACAAAAACCATTCCTTCAAAGCCATTTTAACAATCCATGAGAAAGTCTTTTCAAGTGAGCATTTTGAAAATGGATATTTGAAAATGTTTTCAGTGTTAAGTGGTTTTTGTTGCCAAAATCTATAAGTATTCACACACCTCTACAGTTTAAACTTGGAAATAAAATGTCCTAGTCTGCTTTAATATATTTAACATGAAGAGATTCAGTGGGTTTTTAACCGATTCCTTTAAAATATTAAAATGACCAGGTTTCGAATTAGTTTGCGAGGACCAATTGACATCAAGTAAGATGCAGAATTGCCAGCTGTATCTCTGTAAAGAAAACCTCTGCAAAAATTGGTAGCAAACATAGTTGACAATTTATTACTTCAATTTGGACTGATTTCTCCTTGTGAGGAATCTTTTTCAACCATGACAGATATTAAAACTAAGCATAAAAATAAAGTGAACTTAGAGACCTCTGAATCACTGCATTACTAAGTATTAAACTAAGATTTTCAAAAATTGTGACATAATCATAACAGTCTCACTAAAAATTTTATAGAATTATGAATCAATTATATTGCTATAAATATATAATTCTTTTAACAAAGTAATATAATTTATATTAAAATATTATTTCATCTTCATCTCAATCTTGTAAAATTTTCTGATTTATAATATACTTAACATAAAAATATAACAAAAGATGTATATACACTCTAAATTTAAAATATATATATACCTTGGACTGATGTTTAAAAGGTATTTACTAATGGAATATAACCAAAAAGTTTCCAGGATACTCTCCTAATATTTCCTACTTCAAACAATGGTTTTTTTACACTTCAAACAAGCAAAAGAAAATATTTAAAACAAAAATTAATATGAATTAATTTTATGTTTAAACCATTCTGTAGGAGAGGATGTGAAAACTGACCAAATCTATTTTACAGTAATCTAGATTAGTTACTAAGACATGTCCTTCAAAAAATGCTTAGTGGCCTCCTAGACCTTGTGAAGACCTAAACTCACTGAGAGATTATTTTCTTCACAAACCATTCCATGCCTTTCTAAAATGCTCCTGAGGCTTTTGTCATTGGTTCCATATCACTTATCTGTTTCCAACATCAGACCTGATATTTTGGTTGTACATACCCTAGAGGCTGGAAAGTTTTCCAACATCGCTAGAAAAATTTTTACAGTGAAAAGTTTGCCTCATTTATAACTTTGAAATTTGTAACTTTCTCTATTGTTTACTGGAGAAGAATGTTAAATATTAGCAAGATAAAACCCACTGTAAACCAAGATGAGTGTCTTTATTTCTAATGATGTGGACATTCATAAAGACAGGACCCTACATCCTACAAATGTGGATGTTAAGTGCTTCCCAAAATAAGCCAGTTTACACAGCGATCCTTGGGATGGTAACAGAGGGGTTGTTACAAAGAATAAAGTAGAGCCAGAACACATGAAAAATGCCACAAGTGAGACATGTTTCTTTCTGTTTTCCCAAGCAGTAAAAACCTCCAGAGAAGCCAGCTTCTAATCTCTAACTCACATCCCTATGGGAAAGGAATTGAAAGACTATTCCCAGTAACTACACTGAGGATGTGGTCCAAAACTGTTGCAGGTACCTAGAGTGACCAGCACAAACTATACGACCTTAGAGAAGCCCAATACAATGTGTGAAGAGTTCCAGGACAGACCTGTGCAGGGAAGACTACCCCATGAGGGCCTCCTGAGCATAGCCCACGACACAAAGATTCTTTCTTCCCAACTCCAGTACCTGGGCAATGAAAGGGGGCGAGAATGACAGAGTGCAAGTTGAACATACACTCTGTAGATCCATTGTTTTGATATTACTTTTTGATCACTCAGCCTCTTTCTACAATATTTTCAAATGAAATTGTAGAATATTTTTTCCACTTTTTTCAGTAGGAATGTAATAAATATAATGTTCCCATATATAATCCCAAAAGTTATAAATTTCAACCTAAACTTTGTTAATCAGAATAGAGGATATTTTATCTTGAAATAACCTAGTTTATTTCAAAGCTTTAAAAAGACACAAAACCCAGAAAATTAATCATCCTGATGCAATGAAAATAAATCAATCTTCCAAAAGGAGAAAGAGGTTCTTTCAGTATGACCATCTAGTCAAATAAACAGATGCGCTGTAAGGACACAAAACCACACCATGATTATTAGAAGCAAGCAGCAACTGTAACAAACTGAAAAGTAAGTATCTCCTTGTTTCTAGGCAGACTGCTTATTGAACCACCCAGGAGCACCACTAACACAAGGCTATATAGAAATGAACACACACAGATCAATATCCACAATATGACACCCATGCAGAAAAAAGTCCATTCTGGCTAAAAGACAACGCTAAGTGGCTATCTGCTCCTAACAGAACAATATTGCTCTAGACATTTGGCACAGAGATGATAATCAGGCTAAAGATATTCACCAAGCCAAGCGATTGAAATTCACATCTTAGAAATGCCAGAATCATCCGAAGTGGAGGCTCAGAAATGTTCAAAACCCTAAGAACAATTAAAGGAGACAAAAAGAAGAGCTTAATTTTGTGAGTTAGCAAGGCAGAAACATTAACTGTGGATGGCAGTCTCTGTGGAGGTGTATGGAGATGTGGGAGGAAGTGTGTGGATGTGAGGGAATGGGGGGGCTGTGGGAATGTATTGATGAAGTGGGGGATCATCAGGATATGGTGGAGAGATGTGATAGATTTAGAGGGATATGGGAGCATTACGGGGGCTTCTTACAGGTTGGGGGCAAGAGGATTGAGGGATGCTGTGGAGAGTGTGGTGGCGGGGTGGAAGTGTGTGTGGAATGTATGGCGGATGTGAGAAACAGTGAAAAGATAGTTGGGAGTGTGGGAGTACAGGGGTATGTGGGTTGTGTGTGGCAGGAGTATGCGTGGTGGGTGTATACATGGTAAACACTCAATGGGCGTATATACATGTATATGCATGCATGTATACCTGTGCAACTGTCTGTGCATTTGTGTAATGGCACAAATAAGTGCTTATTGCTAAATTTCCTTCTGATTTAAAATTCCTTCCTTAAAAATTACACTATATACAATCACCTTTCACAAATGGCAAAAATTCAAATTAAAGTTGTAGATTACTACATTTGTGGAAATATCCCCTCTATTTTAAATAAAGCAAGCTGACTTTCCTCACAAACTCATGGAATCAATGTTGGACTAGCCCAAGTATTTAAGATCAAGAACTTTATTGTATGTTTGTTCCATAGTTTGAGGACCTTGGAAATGGACTACTAAAAATGAAATCACTAGTATGTCATCATATTCCTTCTCTGAAACTACAAAAGACAAGTGATAGTCTTATTTCCAGAAGCATGATCTCCATGCCTGTTTCCTATTAACCAGAGTATCGTCAAATCAAGCATGAATAGGGACTAAAAACTGAACAAATACACACACATATACACAATTCCTTTCCAGGACCCTGTACAGTGTTTTCTCCTTGTTTTCAAAATTGCCCCACCATGCCTTCTCTAGTGCTCTTCTAGCAGATAGCAGTGTGTCTGAATGAATACCACCAATATTTCAATAAGCATCATATTCCATAAAAACAGTCATAATTTCTTTGACCATTCCTGGGACTGGTTTCTCATCTCAGGACTATTTTAAATTTCCAGCCCATTTTGAAGAATAGGGCCAGGCTTTGACTAAAGTCAAACTTCAGATGTAATTGTAGTTTTGGCCTTCTTTCAGTCCCCAAGCGAACAGTTATTCTATACAAATTTTATTTTCTACTCCTATTTTAGTTCATTTGGCAGCACTGAGACCTACATAGATTTTCTTCCCAGTAAGATGCCTCTTGTTCATTTACCCACACAAATATAACATATTCAAAATAATGTATTCCTGAGCTTAAAGAGGATTTTATTTTCATCTTCTTACCTCTGAATTGTTGAGGTGGCATTTATGAGTTCCTGAAAACCAGCCATCACTTGAGCATTGGTCAATGTCCACTTTCTGAAGATTTATGTCAACTTTCATGACACCCCTAGAAATAGAAAAGGATAAAAAGAACAAATTAATCTGGACATTTATGATTTCTCTGTATTTTAAGCTTGAAATTAGAAAATTATCATAAAGAACATGCCAAAAATTGTCAAATTGCCTACTCATATTCAACCAAAGTGCACCAAGAGAAGACACACAGTATAGGAAAATCATTAAGTATTGGCTTTATGTAAGTCCAAAGGCAGGGAGCTGTCTTCACTTCCTTATATAATGCCTGGTACATAATAGGTGCTCAATAAATATGTGTTGATTGCCTGAACTCCAGGACAATATTGCTCTAGACATGGCAGAAAATGTGACTCTAAAATAACACTTGCTCTCAGAACCCCTTCTAGTAAAGTAAATTAAAATAAAGCCTTCAGTTCATTTCTTTCTACTTCTATTTCCCATTGCAGGGCTAGGAAGATTGAGTAGGGAGGACAGTATCAGAAAATAAGCATCTCTTTCCTCTGATCTCTCATTTTAATAACTCTAAACAGCTCTTTAGGTCTCCCAGTGTTCCACATTAAACAGAGATTTGCCTCACTACAGAAATGATGACTACATTCTTTTTTCTTTTAAATCTGGAAACGAAGAGACTGCATTTCACTTAGCCATTTGAGAAGTGTCACTAAGAAAGACAACTCACAAATTCAGAGCCAGTCAAAAGCTAAATTGCAAAGAAAGCTCCAAGTTGGGCTAAAATTCCTCCACTTCCTCCAGCCAACTTTCTCTCTCTGTTTTCCTAAGATTCCCTCCTTTCTATTTTTCACCACCAGCAGCACCACTAGCAGCAGTTGCTGCAGAAATATCTGTCCAACACTGCACTATCACACATGGACTTTATTGAAATAAGTATTCTGCATCCTGGGCCCTGAAGCTTTATAATGTAGTTTTTCATAAACTTAAGTAAAGTATATATACCCCACTACAAACTACTCAAAGTAAAAACACATTTTTGAGGCCCCACACCCCTAATTTAAACAATTTTTCATTATGATATCACTCATATACATAAAATATAAAAGTAGCCTCAAATTCCTGATTTTATAGCTCCTGTAGCTACAAAGAATCCCACACAATTACAAAATAAATGCAAACAAAAGTATAAAACCGACAAAAACCAAATTTAAAATATTAATTTAAGAAAACCAAACATTATGCTTTGCCAAAACAAAATCACCTCTCAAAACAGGAATATAGTACTGACTGCTAGTTCAACAATCCTATTTTGCCACACATCTTATGACTCATTTCTCTCATCTCTTTTCTCCTTTTAAACTACTGTGAAGCATTCTAACAGCATGGCTTAATGCCACTTGGGCTTCCTTTGGGGTGAATAAATCATTTATTTTTTCAGTCTGCCTCTGTTCTTTAACCTGTGAGAAAAGTACTACATTACCTAGTGCCTACATGCTCAAAACATACACAGAAATATATAGGGACACTAAAACCTCCTGCCAGTGTTTGGTTTATCCAGATAATCCAGAATATGTTTGAGTTGATTTTCCAGATGATCAGTGAAATGAAAACACAAAAATTACAGAAAACACGCTGATCATTCAGATATATAGACCCCATTCTGCAAAATATTACTGTTGTGGGCCATAACGCAATAAAACAAATGTTTATGTGATAAATAAATGGATTTCCAAGTAACCTAATGCCTTAATCCAGTTCATGCCTTTCCTCTTTCAACAAATTTTTATCGTCTGGTATGTGCATATCACTGTAAGATAACACTATGCACGACAGAAAGGCAAACCTACCCCCAAGGAACAGTAAAAGGCATAAGACATTTTGAAAATGACCAAAGTGTTTAATGGACAGTAGATGCTAAATTCTAGAGGATTTGGAAAGCTATCACTTGGAGTAACGTAGGGCTTCAATAACCATTCGTTGACTTACTGACTGCTTTCACTATCAGAACTTTCAATCGAAGTAGGTTCCACCAAAGTTAATCCAATCATGTAAGCCCACTTCTGGTTCTACTTTATGCTCCTTGGAAATAACTTTCTTTCACTGATTCAGTAGATACTCAGTGAGTGCTTACTATGTGCCAGAATTGTTCTTGGTTTTTGAAAGGCATCAGTAAGCAGGAACACAAAATCCTGCCTTCATAGAGTTTAATTCTAGTGTGGGATAGAGAAATAGGTAAAATAAATGATTAAATTATACTATACAAAAAAAAAAATAAGTTCCATGGGGAAAACAACTTCCAGCAGATAAAGGGGATGAAATAGAAAAATTTTAAAATTTTTTTAAAGGGTGGTCAGGATAAATCTCACTGAGGTGAAATTTCTGACTCAACACAGTTCAAGGCATAATTAGAGCTGGTTTATAAGCACACTCTAAATCACCAGTATCATAAAGCTTCTCACCGGACTACTGTTGTCCACTACATTTTGGTTATCTTTCTTGAATATCTTATTTAGAAAGTATTTGTAATTGGCAAACTAATCAATAGGCATTTCTACTCGTTCCACAATGGTTGGTTATAATGAGGTCAAGTTTTTCTCAACAATCCTACCATAGCAGTCCAGTTCCCAGACAGTGGAAATCTCAAATCTTCCAGCTTACTCAGACATCGGCTAACTTGGAAAATAAAAAGCTGCAATTACTGTGATCGTTTCCTTCCCTGGAGAAAACTGACTTCAGAAAAAGGCAGCTCAACTGACTGAAAGCTTTCGCCCTTCATTCCAAGTTCGTACATGGAAACTAAAAAGTCACCGCAGACCTCAAGCCCGGCCCGTGAAGCATTCCAGGCTTGTGCAAAACCGTGGAATATAATGAGCTACGTTTCCCAGCTGGGAAATCAACGAGGCTTCTTCATTACAGCCTAAGCCTGGGCGCCCAGAGACTTACAAAACCCTGGGGAAGGCGCTGTAGACTTCCTGTCGGGGGGAAGCGGAGGTTTGGGGGATATAACAGAAAGAAAACCCTCTCTTTGTGGGGAAGAGCATCCTGCCGCTGAAAGGGACGCAAAGATCCAACACCTAAGGACCCACGTGTCCCATCGCAGACCAGGCAAGGTGAGAGCCCCATCGCGCCTGTGCCCTCTGTCCCGAGTGGGCATCTCAGGGGTTGAAGGGCTCCTGGGAAATTCTGAGACTGAAAAGCTGGCTGCTGTTTCATGGCCTCAGGACAGGAAAGTGAGGGTCAAAAAAAAAGCGTGTAAGTGGCCTCCAGAGAATGGAAAATATAGCAAATCGGATCCCCTAAACACCTGGGTGCTTAGCTACACTACAGACCAGCATTTTCCTCTATTTGTCCATTAATAGAACAACAAGCCCGAAGCAGGATTCAGTCCATCAAACACGATTTCCCTACTGGTCTTTCTCTGTGAATGGACCTCCAAGTCAAAGCAATGGCCAAGTGCCATAGGTTGGACTCCCTTTGTGCTTCTTGTATCTTGACTCTTCTCTTCCATATGCATGGCCACTGCCTTGCTTCAGGCCCTCATCTTTCACGGGTTAAACAAATTTAATACTAGCATACTCTTGGGTCCTGTTTGGCATTGCTCCAAGTAAAGATCCTGGTTTGTAGCTCTTGAAGTTTATATGGTTTAGGGACCTTCTTTAAGAAAAACAAAATCATGAATACACATGTATGTGACGAGATGACCTTTGGCCCTAGGTCTTTCGGTGGTAACTGTTGGATGGGTAGGCACCATGGGCATTAAGAGTATTACCAGAAGCCATTTCTATACCAGAATGACCAGTAACTTCGCTATACACAGAAGTGACCACAGACAACTTTAACATATATTGCTTAACCCAGACTAAAAAAATCCTAAAGTTCCTCCAGTTTGCAAAACTACCCAAAGCCTAGGAAAAGTGTAATGGAGGCACATTATACCAGAAAGAGACCATTGCATTCAAAATATCTTATTTTTGCAAGTTTTATGAGAACAGTTGACCACAAAACTCATTTCTAGTACCCATTCCAGGATTTTAGAAAGTTCCCATGCAAGTAAGGGTTGCTGAAGCCCAAGAATCATACACTGCTTTCTATGTAATATTTGAAACATATAAACCCAATCCCGACAATTCCCTACTTGAAATCAATATTACTCACTTTCCTAAATAATAAAATCCACGTTCCTTGGAATGACATAATCAGGGCCCTCCTACTTCTAACTTCTCCAACCACTGTCATGCATATATTCCTTATTCCAGACAATTCAGAACTACATTTAGGGCCCTAAAAAATTCATGCTATCTCAAACCATTCTTTCACAGACGTCTTTATACCTGAAATCCCTTTGCCTAAACCATGCCTTACATTATAACTCCTACCTGGCCACTTTCTAAAGCCTCCCATGAACTCCAAGTCTGATATGGAAGAGAGTCCCTTATTCTCCCATAATGCAGTGTGCTTACCTTCTTCATATCAATTAGCACACTATATTATAATATTTGATTTTCAATGATATGTTTTCCCCACTAAAATTTCCATGGTCTATATCTTTTTTAATATTTTTCCTTAGCTCCTAAATCAGCCCACACCCAAAATTAACTTTGGAGGAACTACAGACATGAGAGAAGCAAGGAGTAGCTAAACTGACATTCCCCCCACCCCCAAAAAATACCCAAGCAAATTGAAAGTATCATAAACTGCTATGGAGGAATGGATAGAGAGACTGGATAGATTGATGGAAAGACTTGAAATTCTGCTTTTCCTCCCTCCTCATGTTACCTTGGACAATAATTTTTCTGCTCCATCACTACAAAACAATGGACAGTAACAGCATATGTAGTCAACATTGATGGGATATCAAGGTAGAAGCTGTGCTGAAATTGATTGATGAAAACAGGTGCCTGTAGATCAGCTGCCATCAGTCATTCACTTCTAACAATAGACAACCAGAACAGAATCCAGTGCCTGGAAACGGACTGCTGCCATAATAAAAACTCTAAATCTATGCTAGTGGCTTTGGGAACAAGCAAAAGCTAAAAGGGCCTCAGTGATGGTTAATGAAAGGGGAATTTGTTGGTCAGTTTTGAAGGACAATGAAGAAAATGTTATTGGAGGCAGGAACAAAAGGGACTTTTGTTATATAGTAGGTAGAAAGTTTGACAGCACCGTCACCTGTGAACAAGTGAATTTGTAGATTCAGCTGAGAAAGTTTCTAGACAAATGCTAGCTGCCACTGATAAATATAAAAAGAAAGACATGGACTAAAGAAGGAGCTGGTTTGTGGTTTTATGTTTTGGCTTTTTGAGACAGAGTCTCTCTCACCCAGGCTGGAGTACAGTGGCACGATCTCAGCCCACTGCAACCTCCACCTCCCCAGCTGAAGTGATTCTCCTGCCTCAGCCTCCTGAGTAGCTGGGACTACAGGTGCGCACCACCACGCCCTGCTAATTTTTGTATTTTTAGTAGAGACTGGGTTTCACTATGTTGGCCAGGCTGGTCTTGAACTCCTGACCTCAGGTGATCCACCTGCCTCAGCCTCCCAAAGTGCTAGGATTGCAGGCATGAGCCACTGTGCCCAGCCATGTTTTCGCTTTTTAATTGTGGTAAAATATACATAACACAATTTACCATCTTAACCATTTTTAATGTACGCTTTTGTAGTATTGAGTTCATACATATTATTGTGCAACCAATCTTGAGAACTCTTTTCGTCTTGCAAAACTGAAACTCTGTTCCCTTTAAATGACAAATCCCTATTCCTCAACTCTGCCAAGCACTTGGATTAGAACTACTTTTCTACTTTCTGTCTCTATGAGTTTAACTACTCTAGGTTCCTCATGTATGTGGAATCATACAGTATTTGTCTTTTCATGACTGGCTTATTTCACTTAGTATAATGTCCCCGAGGTTCATCCATGTTGTAGCATGTATTAGAATTTCCTTCCTTTTTAAAGCTTAACAAGATTCCATTTTATATACACATCACATTTTGTTTAGCCATTCATCTGTGGTGGGCCCACTGAGTTCCTTCCCCCTTTTGGCTATTGTAAATAATCTTGCTATGGAGCCGCTTAGATTTTTAACAAAATTTAGAAGAAATATAAAAAGCCAGGACTGCTGAATTTGAAATAAAACTTTCTATGGGAACACAACAAGCAAATAAAATATGGTGTATTAGTTTGTTAAGGCTGCCATAACCAAGTATCTCAGACCGGGTGATTTAAACAACAGAACTTTTATTTTCTCACAATTCTTTAAGCTAGAAGTTTAACATAAAGGAGTCAGCAGAGTTGCTTTCTTCTGAGCTTCTCTCCCTGACTTGTAAATGGCCATCTTCTCCTTGTGTCTTCACATGGTCTTCCCTCTATGCATGTCTGTCTCCTCATTTCTTATAAGGACATCAGTCAAGTTGGATTAGGACCCACCCTAAATGACCTCATTTTAACTTACTTCTTTAAAGATCCTATCACCAAATACAATCACATTCTGAGATATTGGAGGTTAGGAGTGCAACATATCAATTTTGGAGAACACAATTCATACCATAATATATGGTATCCTGATTTATATCCTGGAGCAAAAAAGGGACATTAGTGGAAAAACAGGAAACCTGAATGAAGCCTGTAGTTGAGTTAATATTAGCTCCTTACTTTTGATAATTTTGCCATGGTTATGTAAGATGTATTACTACAGGAAGCTGTGTAAAGAGTCTATAGAAACTTTCTTTTCTAGCTTTACTAATCTTCTGAAAGTCTAAAAGTATTTTAAAATAGCTTTAAAAACTTTCTAGTTATAGAAAACTAGTTTTTTTAAAAATAAGTAAATAAATAAGGGAGACTCGGCCAGGCGTGGTGGCTCACGCCTGTAATCCCAGCACTTTGGGAGGCCGAAGCAGGTGGATCACGAGGTCAGGAGATCAACACTGTCCTGGCTAACACAGTGAAACCCCGTCTCTACTAAAAATACAAAAAATTAGCGGGGCGTGGTGTCGGGCGCCTGTAGTCCCAGCTACTCGGGAAGCTGAGGCAGGAGAATGGCGTGAACCCAGGAGGCAGAGCTTGCAGTGAGCCGAGATCTCACCACTGCACTCCAGCCTGGGCGATAGAGCGAGACTCCATCTCAAAAGAAAAACATGGTAATAATAAGGGAGACTCAAGAATTAAAGAGACAATATGCAAATAAACAGAAAATATGCAAATAATATGCAGAATGAAGAGACAAAAAGGAATGTTTAAAAAGCAGTATTAGGATAAATTGCTCTCTAACAAACTTTGAAAAACTAAAAGAGAAGGATTAAAAAGATAAGATGATAGACAATATAAAATGCCAGTTTGCCCCAAATGGAAGAAAAAACTTTAATAGCACAATAAGCATAAAAAATTTAAATCATTCCCTTCCCTGAAAACTTCAGGCCTAGATGGCTTTATATACGAATTCTACCAAACTTTTAATGAACAGTTCTGTTTTCATGTTTTCACACACAAAAAAAGAAAAGAACAACCCACCCAGCTCACTTTACATGATTTTTATTCCAAACCACATGAGGGCAATAAAAAAAAAATGCAGCCACCTTTTAACTATGCATGTAGATTTAAGAGTCTTAAAGGAAATATGGGCTAAACAAATGTTTACATATATTAAAATAATTATGTCATGATATAGTGGAATATATATCAGAATGAAAAGTTGTTTTAGCACTGGAAAAATATATCAAAAAATTCAAAATAAATGAGAAAAAATTATTTTAATCAAACTAAAGAGGCATTTTACAAAGTTCAACAACTAAATTATTTTTAATGGCAAACTACAAATAGAAGGAAACTTTCTTAAATTCCAAAGCTTGCCTCTACCAACATTACTCTTACGGGAGAAGTTTTTTTTAAGATGTTCCCTTTAAGGCAAGAATGCTTACTGTATCACTGATGCTATGTAACATAGTACTGAATTCTTGACTAATTCTGTAAAAACCAAAAAAACTGAAAAAGAAAAATGAGATATAAAGATCAGAAGTGAAGATATTTGTCATTATTTGTACATGATATGATCATTTAAAATCAGCAGATAAATATGAGAATAAGAAAGTTCAGTAAGGTTGCTGGATACCAGATCAAAGAACAAAAAGCACTGGCATTTCTCTACAACAATCTCCAGTAAAAAAAATTATAACTAAAAAGACAACATTTAAAATAGTAACAAAACCTACAGGACAGGCACCATGGCTCATACCAGTAATCCCAGCACTTTGGGAGGCCAAGGCGGGTGGATCACAAGGTCAGGAGTTCGAGACCAGCCTGGCTAATATGGTGAAACCCCGTCTTTAATAAAAATACAAAAATTAGCTGGACATGGTGGCGGGCGCCTGTACTCCCAGCTACTTGGGAGGCTGAGGCAAGAGAATCGCTTGAACCCAGGAGGCAGAAGTTGCAGTGAGCCAAGATGGCGCCACTGCACTCTAGCCTGGGCAACAAAAGCAAGACTCATCTCAAAAAAAAAAAAAAAAAAAAAAGCTATAAATTCTCTAGTAGTTAAGTAAGAATACACAAAACCTCTATGGAAAAATTTTGAAAACTCTTAATGAAGAACAATAAATGATCTGAATTAACGGAGAAACATACTGATATGGTTTGGATCTGTGTTCCCGCCTAAATCTCATGTCGAATTGTAATCCCCAATGTTGGAGGTGGGGCCTGGTGGGGGGTGATCGGATCATGAATGGCTTGGCACCATCCCCTCAGTGCTGTTCTTGTGATGGTGAGTATGTTCTCGTAAGTTCCGGTTGTCCAAAAGTGTGTAGCACACCCCGCTTCGCTCCTCCCATGTAAGACGCCTGCTCACACTTTGCCTTTCATCATGAGTAAAAGCTCCCTGAAGCTTCCCCAGAAGCAGATGCTGCCATGCTTCCTGTACAGCCTGCAGAACTGTGAGCCAGTTAAACCTCTTTTCGTTATAAATTACCCAGTCTCAGGTATTTCTTTATAGCAGTGCAAAATAGACTGACACACATGCCATTCTCTGAAAGGGGATAATTCATTGAAATAAAAATGTCAATTCTCATCAAATGAAAGTATAAAATTAATGCAAAACCTACCAAAATTCTGTATGAATTTTTGAGAAATAGCTTAAGTTTAAGTAGAATAATAAAAGTTGTGAAAAAGAAAAAGAGGACTTGCCCAACCAAATATTAGGACATACTACCCAATTGTGGCAGACATGGGAAGCCATGGAACAAAATAGAGAGCTCAGAGACAGACATATGAATATGAGGCACTTATACTTATGATAAAGGAAGGTAGTATTAGGAACTTGGGCCACTAATGGATAAATATAATAAGTGGATCACTACCCAATACCATGTACACAGGTATATTCCAAATGTTAACAACTTGACTGCGAAAGGTAAAATTATATAGTAGTTGATAACATAAGAGAATATTTGTGACAGGGTATCAGAAGGCTTCCTAAATGCTATGGCTTAAATGTGTCCCCCAGAGTTCGTGTGTTAGGAACTTCATCCCCAGTGCAACGGTGATAAGAGATGGGACCTGTAAGAGGTGACTGGTCATAAGGGCTCCGCCCTCATGAATGGATTAATGTGGTTATTAAGGGAGTGGGTTTGCTATAAAAGCAAATTTGGCCTCCTCTTGTGCATGCGCTCCCCCCATCCCTTTTTCCTGTGCACGAGTAGGCTCTTTTGTCCTTTCACCTCCTGCCACAAGATGACACAGCAACAAGACCCTCACCACGTGTGGCCTCCCAACAATGGACTTCCTGGCCTCCGGAATTGTGAGTCAAATAAACTTCTAATCATTTATTGTGAGCCAAATAAATGTCTAATGATTTTAATCTCTATAAATTACCTAGTCTCAGGTATCGTTATAGTGGCACAAAACACACTGAGACAACAAACAAAACCCAAAAGCATAAAACACAAGGCAAAATTTTGATTAAGTGAAAAACATCAGAAATTTTTTAAAATTCTGTTTTTTTTTTTTTCTTTTTTCTTGAGACAGTCTCTCCCTCTGTCACCAGACTGGAGTGCAGTGGCACAATCCCAGTTCACTGCAACCTCCGACTCCCTGGTTTAAGCGATTCTCCTGCCTCAGTCTCCCGAGTAGCTGGGACTACAGGCGCCTGCCACCACACCCCGCTATTTTTTGTATTTTTAGTAGAGATGGGGTTTCACCATGTTGGCCAGGATGGTCTCAATCTCCTGACCTCGTGATCCACCCACCTCGGCCTCCCAAAGTGCTGGGATTACAGGTGTGAGCCACCGCACCCAGCCAAAATTCTGGTTTTCCAGGGAGGACATTATGGACAAAGTTAACTGAAAGATGACATATTGGATGATTTTGTAATGTCTAAAATTTACAAGGATATAATGTCATGAATACACCAAGATTTCTTGCAAGTCAACAAAATATAGCAATTATAATAGGAAGTGGGCAAAGGATATAAACAGTTTACAAAAAAAGTAAACCCAATAGGCCCACAAGCATATGAAGAAATGCTTGAGCACATTGGTAATCAGGAATGCAAATTAAAACAATAATGAGATATCACTACACATTTGTTAGACTGGCAAAAAAAAATATTTAGAAAGCTGTATAATGCCAAGTATTGGCAGGAATGTGAGGCTATAGGAACCCTGCTGGTGGGTCTGGAAACTGATGCACGCTGTCTAGAAAGTAATCTTACAATATTTAGTGAAATTGAGTTTACCCCTCCCTATGACTCAGAAATCCTGCTTTTGGATTTCTCATTTGAAGAAATCCTCACTCATTCACAAAGGGGCATAGAACACACAGTATTCAGCAGTAGAGAAACGGATTGGTTGTATATGTAGCAACATTAAGAGATTTTTAAAGCAGATTTGTGTGGATAAAATGCAAAATAATGAGGTATCTAACAACTATTTAATCAAAATTATTTACAAACAAAATAGCACGTGAATAGAAGAATACACTGCACAGGCTAGTTGTAAATGGGGTGGGTTCAAGGGAAACAAGATACTTTTTTGAAAATGGAAGAAGAGTGATTTCCTTTCTGTCACTGTGTAACTGAAGATTCTAGATTCATAATTTCACGACTTTTAAGTTTTAGCTGAAGTCATCTATGGGTGTCTTCCTTATCTGTGTGCATCTCATACTAAGAAAACATTGCTCACAAAAACACCCTGCATCTCTATCATTTAGCTCAAGCCCAGAACTACAAAAAGTACAAGAGCACCAAGAACACAGTTCTCCCAGGGCTTTAACGACAGAGAAAATATTTGGCAAATCTACCACAATTAGGCATGACCTTAGTACCA
The DNA here is from genome assembly GCF_000001405.40 of Homo sapiens. Classification (NCBI taxonomy): domain Eukaryota; kingdom Metazoa; phylum Chordata; class Mammalia; order Primates; family Hominidae; genus Homo; species Homo sapiens. Next base: position 25,209,825 of record NC_000010.11, on the reverse strand, counting down.
AAGTACTTGGTGGCTGCTTACTTAGCAAATATAAGCAGACAATCTAGGTTATTTGAGGATAAGGCTAACTTTTCCTCTAACACAATTAAAACTTAAGTCACAAGCCACTGAGTAAACAAAGCCGGGGTCAAGACACCAGAAACCAGATAGGATTTTGGAGCCAAAGATTAAAATAAAAATATAATATCAACAGTTAACTAACATTTCTTTTTATCTGTAACACTTTTCAGTTATAAAATAGATTTTAAAATAAATTGTGTGTGTGTGTCCCTACTACATGTAAGGCTCTTTGCTAGGTGGTAGTGCAGATGCAAAGCACAGGATATCACTCTTTAAAAGATTCTGGTTTAGTGGGAAGAAAAAAAAAAACAGAAGTAAAGATACAATTTACTCATTCATTTACTCAAAATGCATTGAGCACTGAATTACCACTGTTACTCTATATTCTGTTCAGCCCTCTAATGTGGCATTGTGCCATGATGAGGGTATTCAAGAATAGGCAATCCAGTAAGCAGACACAGATCATTTAAAGGTTTGTCTTATAAGAGGAAGAGATAGAGTGGTACATAGATCTAACAGTAGTCAAAAAGAAGAATAAAGGAGGTAGAAAACCATATTCCATACAATTTACATATTACACATAAAAGAGAACTGCCTAAAGAAAACAGGAAGTGGCTGGGCGCAGTGGCTCACACCTGTAATCCCAGCACTTTGGGAGGCTGAGGTGGGCGGATCAGAGGTCAGGAGTTCAAGACTAGCCTGGCCAATATGGTGAAACCCCATCTCTAATAAAAATACAAAACAAAAAAATTAGCCGGGTGTGGTGGCACGCACCTGTAGTCCCAGCTTCTTGGGAGGCTGAGGCAGAAGAATTGCTTGAACCCAGGAGGTGGAGGTTGCAGTGAGCTGAGATCATGCCACTGCACTCCAGCCTGGGCAACAGAGTGAGACTCCATCTCAAAAAAAAAAAAAAAAGAAGGAAAGAAAGAAAGAAAAAAACAGGAAGTGACCTGCTCTCCTGTACAGTCTCCAAGTAATCCCAAACCTGTGCTCTAGTGGGTTTGCAGGTTAATTCAGGTGAAAGCAGGTTTGGGACCTACCTAATTTGACAGTTTGTAGAGGCCACCATGTGGTCGGGAAATGTCGAGATGTTCTTGCTGCCAGCACAATGTGACACAGTTCCAGTGCTTCTCTCTGGTCTTTTACTTCTCAATTCTAATACACACACACACACACACACACACACACACACACACACACACACACAAATTCACATAGGACCAAAGAATCTCATACTGAGAACCGTGGTTCTGGTGATGAGATGGTTGATAGAAGAATATCATATATACCAATATAAGATGTACAGGATGCAAATTTTGTTTATTCTTTTACAAAAGCCTCTTGAATACCATCATTTATTTAGTTGTCAATCAACTTTTAAAAAGTGTTTTCCTCCTTCTCTTTCAATTATAACGCTGTAGGTAATTGAGACAAAGTTTTCTTTTTTCAAAACTTTGCATTTCTAAATGCAACATTTGCTAAAATTAAAGTAAAATCAGGAAAAAACAATCTCTGTATGTTTGCTAGAGATGCAAAATTATCATTATTGGCATATTAAAATGTGAAAAATCAATTGAAATAACAATGGTTACCAACCCTGACCAATAATAAGCCATGTGACTAATGAACAAAGCAAACACATTCTATAAACCCTGCTCTGCACAATTGAATATACCATGTGGTAAACATTATATTTTAAACTCCTACAAGTGTTTAGGTCGTTCCAGTTTTCAAAGAACTTTGGACATATATTACCTCATTTTATCTTTACCAAACTACTAGGCATAAAATACATAATTGTGTTAATGATAGCATAAGAGTAAAATAATATCAAAAGCAGCTAACCAATATACCAGAGAATATTAATTAGGAAAGGCAGCACTTACATTGTTATCTGAGTCCTTAAAGATCTTATAAATGAAAACATGAAGCCCACTAATCAACCCCAAAACCTGCTTGTTCTGCCAGCTATACCTTTATGATTCTTTAAGTAGAATCATATAAAGTCAACCTAGTAGTAAATATAACTTTATGCTCTATCCCAGGAGTCCCTCAACCCCTTGGTCATGGACTGGTACCAGTCCATGTCCTGTGAGGAACCAGGCCGCACAGCAGGAGGTGAGCAGCAGGTGAGTGAGCATTACCACCTGAGCTTCACTTCCTGTCAGATCAGCGGTGGCATTCGATTCTCACAGGAGCACAAACACTATTGTGAACTGCATATGCGAGGGATCTAGGTTGCATGCTCTTTATGAGACCCTAATTCCTGATGATCTGAAGTGGAACAGTTTCATCCTGAAACCATCCCCCTTCCCCACCATCGATGGAAAAATTGTCTTCCTCAAAAACTAGTCCCTTGTGCCAAAAACGTTGGGGACCACTATTCTATCTTATGATTCAGTTTAAAAAGGGGGGAAACAGATTAATAGAGTCACAGCAAGAGAAGAAATCTGTCCAGAAGCACCAATGAATGAGTCATAGCAAAGGCACCTGTTGGGAGAAGCAATCTGCCATGGGCCCTGAGCTTCCCATCATGGTCTTGCTGGATATGCCAAGAATGTCAAGTCCTGATTTAGCCACTTGGACCATTTCTAGGGTTGTGTTTTGCAGCGATCAGCCTCAAGGGATGAGGTAATGTCTCCCCCCAGACAAAGAGCAGATTTCCTTCTGCTTAATGTAAAGGCAGTGAATCTCTGAGTTCATAATTCTCCTCCTATAATGCAACCCATTCATGTGCAAGTATCCATTATGGGCTCTTTGCATTTCCCCCGTGGGACTTGGGCAAAAGTGGGAACTGACACAGACAGACTTGAAACTCTGGAATAATTAAGTCCTTTCTCTCTGATCTAGGAGCCTTACGTCTTCTGGCAGCATCCATAAAATAGTCAAGAATAAGCTTGTTAGCTCACAAGTAAAATCTAGGTAGGATCTACACAGCACCTTTAAAAATCACCTGTCAATCACCCTACCTTCTGGCAAGTAAATTATTTAACCATCAGAAATCAAAGCTGCATGTCTAGTAAACCTTGAATACATGTACATAATAGGCAGCCAGTAAGAATAGTGCTACAGAAGTATATTTAAAGAATTGTGAAATATAAGTCAAAACACAGTGTAAGATATTTGGTGTACATTTATTAGAAAACAGGAAAAATATTTAACATATATGTTTTACAACAAAGATATATATCAAAATGTTATCAATTATTAACTCTGAGCATTAAGATTGTGGGTGATTAGAATTGTTTTTCTTTTGGTTGATCATTATTTTTTATAATTTCCAAGTGAATAAATATTTTTATAATAGAAAAAAGTTAAACTTTAAAACTAGAAAAATAATTATTTCACTGCTTGAAAGTCCTTTAGAGTAACAGATTTCATAGTCTTCCAGACTTTTTCTCTTCTACCAATTAAATGGGTTGTTCTTATATTTAATCAACTATTTCTTAAAACTCTGGATATTTAAGAACCCATATCTGGGCCGGGCGCGGTGGCTCACGCCTGTAATCCCAGCACTTTGGGAGGCCGAGACAGGCGGATCACGAGGTCAGGAGATCGAGACCATCCTGGCTAACACGGTGAAACCCCGTTTCTACTAAAAAAATACAAAAAATTAGCCAGGTGTGGTGGTGGGCGCCTGTAGTCCCAGCTACTCGGGAGGCTGAGGCAGGAGAATGGCATGAACCTGGGAGGCAGAGTTTGCAGTGAGCCGAGATGTGCCACTGCACTCCAGCCTGGGTGACAGAGTGAGACTCCATCTCAAAAAAAAAAAAAAAAGAGGGACCCACATTTGGATGTGAACTCAACACTTGACCAAATGGACTGAACAAATATCTATAGAACTCTCCACCTAAAAACAGAATATATATTCTTCTCATATGCACAAGGCACATAATCTAAAATCATCTAAAGAATCAGCCATAAAACAACCCTCAGCAAATTAAAAAAAAAACTAAAATGATACCAAACACACTCTCAGACCACAGTGCAATAGAAAAAGAGAAATTAATACCAAGAAAATTGCTCAAGCCTACACAATTACATGGAAAGCAAACAACCTGCTTCTGAACTTCTGAATAGCTTTTGGTAAAACAATGACATTAGGGCAGACATCAAGAAATTCTTTAAAATTAATGAAAACAAAGATGCAACATAACAGGATCTCTGGGATACAGCTAAAGCAGTGTTAAGAGGAACCTTTATAGTGCTAACTGCCCACACCAAAAAAGAAGGATCTCAAATTAACAGCCGAACATCACACATAAAGGAACTAGAGATTGCATAAAAAGAAAAAAGAAAAATAAAAAGGGACTACAGAAACAAGAGCAAACAAACCCCAAAGTTAAAAGACAAGGAATAACCAAAATCAGAACTGAACTGAAGGAAATTAAGACATGAAAAACTATTCAAAAGATCAATGAATCCAGGAGTAGGTTTTTTGGGAAAAAAAAAAAAATAGAACACTATTTAGACTAATAAAAAAAAAAAAAAGAGAAGATCCAAATAAACACAATTAGAAATGACAAAGGGGACTGTATTAGTCCATTTTCATGCTGCTGATAAAGACATACCTGAAACTTGGTAATTTATAAAGAAAAAGAGGTTTAATAGACTCACAGTTCCACATGGCTGGGGAGGCCTCACAATCATAGTGGAAGATGAAATGCAAGTTTTATATTGGTGGCAGGCAAGAGAGAGAATGAGAACTAAGTGAAAGGGGTTTCCCCTTATAAAATCATCAGGTCTCATGAGACTTATTCACTAGCATAAGAACAGTATGGGGGAAGCCACCCCCATGATTCAATTATCTCCCACTGGGTCCCTCCCACAACATGTGGGAATTATGGGAGCTACAATTCAAGATGAGATTTGGTTGGGGACACAGCCAAACCATATCAGGGACATTACCACCGACCCCACCGAAATGACAAAAAAAAAAAAAAAAAACCCTCAGAGACTACTTTGAACACCTCTGTGCACACAAACTAGGAAACTTATTTTTTAAAAAATGGATTCTGATACCAAAGCCTGACAGAGACACAACAAAAAAAGAGAATTTTAGACCAATATCCCTGAAGAACATCGATGCAAAAATCCTCAATAAAATACTGGCAAACCGAATCCAACAGGACATCAAAAAGCTTATCCACCATGATCAAGTGGGCTTCAACCCTGGGATGCAAGCCTGGCTCAACATACACAAATCAATAAATGCAATCCAGCATATAAACAGAACCAAAACAGAAACCACATAATTATCTCAATAGATGCAGAAAAGGCCTTTGACAAAATTCAACAGCTCTTCATGCTAAAAACTCTCAATAAACTAGGTATTGATAGAACATCTCTCAAAATAATAAGAGCTATTTATGACAAACCCACAGCCAATATCATACTGAATGGGCAAAAACTGGAAGCTTTCCCTTTGAAAACTGGCACAAGACAGGGATGCTTTCTCTCAACACTCCTATTCAACGTAGTGTTAGAAGTTCTGGCCAGGGCAATCAGGCAGGAGAAAGAAATAAAGGGTATTCAATTAGGAAAAGCAGAAGTCAAATTGTCTTTGTTTGCAGATGACATGATTGTATATTTAGAAAACCCCATTGTCTCAGCCCAAAATCTCCTTAAACTGATAAGCAACTTCAGCAAAGTCTCAGGATACAAAATCAATGTGCAAAAATCACAAGCATTCCTATATACCAATAAGAGACAAACAGCCAAATCATGAGTGAACTCCCATTCACAATTGCTAAAAAGAATAAAATACCTAGGAATCCCACTTACAAGGGACGTGAAGGCCCTCTTCAAGGAGAAGTACAAACCACTGCTCAATGAAATAAAAGAGGATACAAACAAATGGAAGAACATTCCATGCTCATGGATAGGAAGAATCAATATTGTGAAAATGGCCAAACTGCCCAAGGTAATTTATAGATTCAGTGCCATCCCCATCAAGCTACCAATGACTTTCTTCACAGAATTTGAAAAAAAACTACTTTAAAGTTCATATGGAACCAAAAAAAAGAGCCTGCATTACCAAGACAATCCTAAGCCAAAAGAACAAAGCTGGAGGCATCACACTACCTGACTTCAAACTATACTACAAGGCTACAGTAACCAAAAACAGCATGGTACTGGTACCAAAACACAGATATACACCAATGGAACAGAACAGAGCCCTCAGAAATAATACCACACATCTACAACCATCTGATCTTTGACAAACCTGACAAAAACAAGCAATGGGGAAAGGAGTCCCTATTTAATAAATGGTGCTGGGAAAACTGGCTAGCCATATGTAGAAAGCTGAAACTGGATCCCTTCCTTACACCTTATACAAAAATTAATTCGAGATGGATTAAAGACTTAAATGTTAGACCTAAAACCATAAAAACCCTTGAAGAAAACCTAGGCAATGCCATTCAGGAAATAGGCATGGGCAAGGACTTCACGACTAAAACACCAAAAGCAATAGCAACAAAAGCCAGAATTGACAAATGGGATCTAATTAAACTAAAGAGCTTCTGCACAGCAAAAGAAACTACCATCAGAGTGAACAGGCAACCTACAGAATGGGAGTAAATGTTTGCAATCTACCCATCTGACAAAGGGCTAATATCCAGAATCTACAAAGAACCTAAACAAATTTGCAAGAAAAAAATCAAACCCCATCAAAAAGTGGGCAAAGGATATGAACAGACACTTCTCAAAAGAAGACATTTATGCAGTCAACAGACACATGAAAAAATGCTCACCATCACTGGCCATCAGAGAAATGCAGATCAAAACCACAATGAGATACCATCTCACACCAGTTAGAATGGCAATCATTAAAAAGTCAGGAAACAACAGGTGCTGGAGAGGACACGGAGAAATAGGGACACTTTTACACTGTTGGTGGGAGTGTAAATTAGTTCAACCATTGTGGAAGACAGTGTGGTGATTCCTCAAGGATCTAGAACTAGAAATACCATTTGACCCAGCAATCCCATTACTGGGTATATGCCCAAAGGATTATACATCATGCTGCTATAAAGGCACATGCACACGTATGTTTATTGCAGCACTATTCACAATAGCAAAGACTTGGAACCAATCCAAATGTCCAACAATGATAGACTGGATTAAGAATACGTGGCACATATACACCAGGAAATACTATGCAGCCATAAAAAAGGATGAATTCATGTCCTTTGTAGGGACATGGATGAAGCTGGAAACCATCGTTCTGAGCAAACTGTCACAAGGACAGAAAAACCAAACACTGCATGTTCTCACTCATAGGTGGGAATTGAACAATGAGAACACTTGGACACAGGAAGGGGAACATCACACACCAGGGCCTGTTGTGGGGTGGCGGGAGTGGGTAGAGATAGCATTAGGGGAAATACCTAATGTAAATGACGAGTTAATGGGTGTAGCACACCAACATGGCACATATATATATATGTGTAACAAACCTGCATGTTGTGCACATGTACCCTAGAACTTAAAGTATAAAAAAAAATGGATAAATTCCTAGAGACATACAGCCTCCCAGTATTTAACCAGGAAGAAACTGAATCCCTGAACAGACCAATAACAAATTCTGAAATTAAATCAGTATAAAAAGTATAGAAGTAAAAAGTATAAAAAGCCTACCAAACAGAAAAAGCCCAGGACCAGAAAAATTCACAGCCAAATTCTATCAGATGTATAAAATGAAGAGCTAATATAATACCATTCCTACTGAAACTATTCCAGAAAATTGAGAGGGAAGGACTCCTCCATAAGTCATTCTATAAGGCCAGCATCATTCTGATTCCAAAACCTGGCAGAGGCACACACAAAAAAATCTTCAGGCCAGTATATTTGATGAACATATATGCAACAATCCTCAACAAAATACTAGCAAACCAAATCCAGCAGCATATCAAGAAGCTCATCTATCATGATCAAGGAGGCTTTCTCCCTGGGTTGCAAGGTTAGTTCAGCATACACAAATTAATAAATGTGATTCACCATATAAACAGAATTAAAAAAAAACAGGATCATCTCAATAGAGGCAGAAAAAGCTTTCAGTAAAATTCAACATTCCTTTGTTAAAAACCCTCAACAAACTAGGCATTGAAGGAACATACCTCAAAATAAGTGCCATGTATGACACAGCCGACATACTGAATAGGCAAAAACTGGCAGAATTCCCCTTGAGAACAAGACAAAGATGCCCACTCACAACACTGCTATTCAACATAGTACTAGAATTGCTGGCCAGAGCAGTCAGGCAAGAGAAAGAAATAAAAGACATCCAAATAGGAAGAGAGGAAGTGAAACTATCTCTGTTTACAGATGGTATGATATTATACCCAGAAAACTCTGTAATCTCTGCCCAAAAGCTCCTAGAACTGAGAAACAACTTCAAAGTTTCAAGATACAAAATCAATGCACAAAAACCTAATATTCCTATACACTAATAACATCTAAGTCAAGACCCAAATCAGAAACACTATCCCATTCACAATTCCCACAAAAAGAATAAAATACCTAGGAATACACCTAACCAGGGAGGTAAATGGTCTCTACAATGAGAATTACAAAACATGGCTCAAATAAATCAGAGATGACACAAAAAATGGAAAAATATTCCATGCTCATGGATAGGAAGAATCAATATTGTTAAAATGGTCATACTTCCCAAAGCAATTTACGGATTCAGTGCTAGTTCTATCAAACTACCAATGACATTATTCATAGAATTAGAAGGTTTTAAAATTCATATGGAACCACAAAAGAGCCCAAATATCCAAGGCAATCCTAAGAAAAAGAACAAAGCTGGATGTATCACATTACCTGACTTCAAACAATACTTGGCTACAGTAACCAAAACAGCATGGTACTGAAAAAAAAAAAAAAAAAAACAAAACAAAAAACAGATACATAGATCTATGGAACAGAATAGGGAGTCCAGAAATAATGCCACATACCTACAACCATCTGATCTTTGACAAAAGCAAGCAATGGGGAAAGGACTTCCTATTTAATAAATGGTGCTGAGATAACTGGCTAGCAATATGCAGAAGATTTTTAACACTGGACACCTTTCTTACACCATATACAAAAATCAATTCAAGATCAGTAAAGACTTGTAAAACCTAAGACTATAAAAACCCTGGAAGATGACCCAGGAAATATCATTCTGGATATAGGCAAGGATTTCATGATGAAGACAAGAGTAATTGCAACAAAAACAAAAATTGACAAATGGAACCTAATTAAAGAGCTTCTGCACAGCAAAAGAAACTATCCACAGAGCAAACAGACACCCCACAGAATGGGAGAAAATATTTGCAAACTATGTATCTGACAAAGGTCTAATATCCAGAATCTATAAGGAACTTAAGCACATTTACAAGCAAAAAACAGACAACCTTATTAAAAAGTGGCCAAAGGACACGAACAGACACTTTTCAAAAGAAGATAAATACATGGCTAATGAGCACATGAAAAAAATGCTCAACATCGCTAATCATTAGAGAAATACAAATCAAAACCACAATGATACCATCTCACACCAGTCAGAATGGCTGTTATTAAAAAGTCAAAATACAACAGATACTGGCAAGATTGCTGAGAAAAAAGAACACTTATACACTATTGGTGGGAATGTAAATTAGTCCAGTCATTGTGGAAAGCAGCATGGCGATTTCTCAAAACACTTAAAACAAAAATGCCATTTGACCAAGCAGTCCCATTATTGGGAATATACCTAAAGAAATGTAAATCATTGTACCATAAAGACACATGCATACATATGTTCACTGCAGCACTATTCACAATAGCAAAGACATAGAATCAACCTAAGTGCCCATCAACAGTAGATTGGATAAAGAAAATGTCATACATATACACCATGGAATACTGTGCAGCTATATTAGTCTGTTTTCACACTGTTATAAAGAAATACCCAAGACTGGGCAATTTTAAGAGGCTTAATTGACTCACTGTTCTGCATGGCTGAGGCGGCCTCAGGAAACTTACAATCATGGTAGAAGGCCATGCAGAAGGGGAAACAAGGCAGGTCTTCCATGGGGGCAAGAGAGAGAGAGTGGAGAAACTGCCAAACACTGTTAAACCATCAGATCTCATGAGAACTTACTCACTATCATGAGAACAGCATGGGGGAATTGCCCCCATGATCCAATCATCTCCCACTAGGTCCCTCCCTGGACGCTGGAGATTACAATTCAAGATGAGATTTGGGTGCAAAAACAGAGCCCAACCATATCAGCAGCCATAAAAAAGAATGAGGCTATGTTCTTTGCAGCAACATGGATGGAGCTGGAGGCCATTAACTAATGCAGGAACAGAAGACCAAATAATGCATATTCTCACTTATAAGTAGAACTAAACATTGAGAACACATGGATGCAAATAAGGGAACAACAGATACCAGGGCTACTTGAGAGTGATGAGTAGAAGGGAGAGGAATGAAAAACTACCTATCAGGTACTATGCTTATTACTTGGGTAACAAAATAATCTGCTTATTACTTGGGTAAGAAAATAATCTTTACACCAAACCCCTGTGGCATGCAATTTACTTACATAACAGACCTGTACATGTAACCATGAACCTATAATAAAAGCAAAAAAAAAACAAAAACTTTATTTGAGCCCAAAGTGGATCTCTACCATCTATTCAACCAAGCATGTTTGATACAGTCAGGGCAGGAAAGCAAATGATTATTTCTAAAACTTAAAGCGAATTCTCTAAATATTGGCAACCTGATTAGAAATATTTTAACATGCTCTCTTATAGCAAATAACAAGGATGAAAATGTCAGTTGCATAATAGTAGAAGCTGCCTTGTCATCATGATGTCAGACTTCAACCAAACCCTCAATAGAACCTATCTAAACCCCACTTATAGCCAGAGCACTAAGTTGTTAGTTATATTAATACTAATCATAGACCATCCGACAACCAAACATACTTGGCCCATTGATGACTGAACGCAACGTCACAGCATTTTTCCTTCATTGCTGTATGGTAACCCATTGCGCAGCCTTAAGATAATAAATTTATTTTTGCCTCTTAAATTCTACAAAACAATTAGCATTAGTTATACAAGAATACTATTATCAAATAGCTTTCTGCTTATTTAGAAGGCCAAATTTAAGAGGCATTTGTAGCTGTCTTTTTTCTCTAGCATCATTAATAATAGTTATCTTCCCAAAATATTGCCAGAAAACAATTTAAATCTATTTTCCAAGAATGTAACTATCCATAATTTCAATCATGACCTGATAGTCCTGTGATAATGTAAATTGTAAGACCTGATCCCCTCTAAAACATATAAGAGAATTTTACAGCAAGTCTGAAAGCAAGGAAATGTTCTCCTCCCCCACACCACTTTGCAGCAGACATGTCCAGAGAAGCTTGCCAAAACTTTACATAGTATTCACGTCTTCCATCTGTCTGGCTTCTTGTTCTTGGAAGTCTTTCTGGCAATCAGGTCAAGGCTTCCTTGGGAAGGTCTGTATGTTTTATGTTGCAAAATATAAGTTTGATAAAGTCAATAAATATATAATGAAGTAAGCTCAATCAGCATGGAATATCTATCCTCTACCCACAAATACAATTCTTGTGTTTTGGGGCTTCTGCAGGTTAAATGCAGCACATCTCTTAAAATTGCTAAGGTTCAAAATCTGATAATAGGTGACTGTTCCCCTGAAAAATATATCTTGAGTCTGCTGTTTTTTGCAAAGGTAGCAGACCAACATCTCATTTTTGTGGTTTTCCTTCACTATAATCATGTTTAGCTGCAATTTTATCAAACACATCCACAGGGTTCTTTAAAGAACCTCTTTGGATATGACCATTTCTGAATAGGATGAGACAATTTCTTGTCAGGGAACCCAGTGCAAGGAGGTCACTTCTATTATTGACTTGTTTAATTCAAAGAGTCCTAGGAGAGAGAGAGGAGGAAACACTTTTCTCACTTTATAGATGAAGAAAATTAGATTCATTAAAGTTTCATAACATGTCCAAAGTTATATTTTTTTGCATTGCCAGGGAAGAAGAAATAAGAACAAAGCATGTTCTGTCAGAGAAAGAAAATGTATGTGAACACTGTAATCTGCCTTAAAATATACAATGGCTGTCTCATACCTTGAGATCTAGTGATTTAATTAAACATGCCAATTGTGTTAAGATTTTACTTTAATTTTCAAGCAAAGATATATCTTCTTTGTTAATAACTTCTTAAATTTAAATACTCTTTTTTATGCTGGATCTTATTCATACGGATCTTAAAGTCAAATTACAAAGCTGATAATTTACACAGACTTTTAAATTTTAGATTTTTTTCTAGATCCTAATAGACATTATGCTAGACACCCTTAAAACATCCTCATTGAAACTGTATATGACTGATACTATTCTCCTCAATTTATATTACAACTACATATGGTCAGTATTATTCTCCCTAAATAATAGTAAGAAATTTGGGACACAAAGAGGTGAGATGGCTTCTACCTAAAGACACAGGTAATAAGTAAAAGGGCGAATGTGATATTCATATCCTAAGTATAAGGGTAAGAAGACTGGTCAGAGGGCCTAGGTTCACGTTCTTGTTTAAAATAGTGAACAGATCATATGTTTCTCTACCTCCTCCCTCCACATCCAACTGTAATGACAGGAAGTACGTACAAGAGGGAGCAAGTACAGTGAGGAGAAGTACCTGACCAGAGATTTGAAAGAATTCTCCAGGATCGTGATGATAAGCCAGGGAGGGGTGGCAGCTAAGGCTATGCTTAGCAGAAGCCTGGAGCACAGGTCGAAAATGCTCATGCAGGACAGCTTGTGTTAAGACCATAGTTGGCAGGCATCAGGAGTGTGAGTGGAAACTAAAGCAGGCATCAAGGTGATTAAATGAAGGACTTACTTCTAAACAGATACATGAGTTGCCACATCCCCTCCCTACAGCACAGTGATGGCATTTTTTCCCAAGCAAAAAATCAAGAACTCTTCTGCAGAGATTGAAAGACATTTCTGGGAAGAGTGAAAGTTTCTAGAATGGTTATTAGTTCTCCTAGAGTAAAGGTCCAGGGTGGGGCAGAGACTGCCAGCTTCTTTGTCTAGCTTCCTAAGGGGAAAGAAGCCCAATAGTCAAGGCAGAGATCTGTTGAGGAACAAGGCCTGCACATGTGTCACAAGATACGTCCCACCTAACTTTACAATTTAACCTAGTCCTTCAATCATAAAAATAATGACCAACTAAGGATCATATTTAGCAGAACTGGTGGCATAAAGGAGAACAGACATAAACAAGCAAAACAACTGAAGTTGGAACAACAATAATTCAGGGAACAAAAGAGACTTTATAGATATTTAAATTAAGATCCTCAAAGAGATTTAAGAAAATGAACAGACAACTATGAAAAATAATCCGAGAGCAAAAAAAGGGTTCATGAACATTAAGAGAAATTGCCAAAGGAAAACTATTTCAAAATAACAAAAAAAGAAAAGAATAAAATCTCTCAGAAGTTTTTTTTTTAAAGGAGAAAATGAAAGAAAAGTTAAGAAATATAGAAATCTATCCAGAAAGTCAAATATTCAACTGTAGGAGTTACAGAAAGAGAAACTGGATAGCAGAAAATAATTTATGTAATCATAAAAGAAAGTTTCTGAGTGAAAAAGTCTAAAAGGGCCCACTAAATGGCAAGTGTAATCAATAAAATGAATCACATCTAAGCACATCATCATGAATATTCAGAACCCCAAGGAAAAAGAAAAGATATTAAAAGTTTCCATAAGGAGAAAATATTACCTACAAAGGTATAATAAATCAGGTTACATCAAAGTTTTCATAAGCAACAATGAATGCTAAAAACAATATAACAATGTGTTTAAAATTCTGAGGGCAAAATGACTTTGAACCTATACTTCTGTATTCTGACTAACAGTTAGAAGACATTTTCTGGCACGGGAAGACTTAGAAATTATAAATTCTACATATCCTGTCTGAAAAATGTGTTTGAGTGTTCCATAGGGTGAAAAAAAGAAAAAGAAGAGGAAGAATTTTAGAAATAAGAAGGCTTGCATCCAACACACAGTTGTTGAACTAATCCAAAAGGTCAATAATTTGAAAAGATGTCCATGATAGTTGTTCTGCAAAAGACCTAAAGCGACTTATACAAATCACAGGACTCCAGGAATGTCTTCAATAAAAATATGAATTTTCTTTAACAAATGGAATGATTGATTTAAGAAGTTGGGCTGGCGGGGTGTGGTGGCTTATGGCTGTAATCCCAGCACTTTGGGAAGCCAAGGTGGGTGGATCACCTGAGGTCAGGAGTTCAAGGCCAGCCTGGCCAATATGATGAAACCCCGACTCTACAAAAATACAAAAATTTAGCCCAGTGTGGTGGTGCATGCCTGTAGTCCCATCTACTTGGGAGGCTGAGGCATGAGACTTGCTTGAACCCAGGAGGAGGAGGTTGCAGTGAGCCAAGATCATGCCACTGCACTCCAGCCTGGGTGACAGAGTGAGATTCCGTCTCAAAAAAAAAAGAAAGAAAGAAAGAAAAAGTTGATCTTAGAAATAAAATGACTCCTTGGGTTTTTTTTTTTAACATAATAAAAAGGCAATTAGCAACTCCAATGGGTGGGGAAAAATCTTGATGGAGATATGCACAAATAAAACGTAGCATGGTTTTAAGCAAGTGATCTAGAAAAAGATCTGGACTTTGAAATTTGGAAGATTCTTAAAATGGCAGGATCCGATTATTTATCTGTCAATTCTTAGAGGAAATTAATGGACAAAGCAGAGAATTCTTTTACTCTAGTAACAGAATACAAATGTTATTATCTTTAATTATCCAAAAATATTAGAATAGTCAACAGAGGTAGGAGGGCAAAAGAAGAAAAGAATAAAAGGTATCTAAAATTTATAGATGCAAAAATCAAAATAACCAACAGAAAAATTATAACTATAATAAAACAATGGAGAGGGTAAAGAAAGAAAGGAATATAACGAAACCAAATTCCACATTTTTCATATTGGAGAAGCTAATGATGATTTTATTTCCTAAAACTCATACTGCCAGTTTTCGATTGTGACTACTCTTCACTAGGGATAAGTCTGCCTATACTTCCTTCTCCTGTCATGCAGAATTGGCCTCCTCTAACTCCTCCAAGTCGTCTCACTTCTGGCTCTTCCATTCTTTATTTATTTATATATTTTTTGAGATGAAGTCTTGCTCTGTCACCCAGGCTAGAGTGCTGTGGTGCGATCTTGGCTCACTGCAACCTCCGCTTCCTGGGCTGAAGCAATCGTCCAGCCTCAGCCTCCTGAGCAGCTAGGACTACAGGCATGCACCACCACGCTTGGCTAATTTTTGTATTTTTAGTAGAGATGGGGTTTCACCATGTTGGCCAGGCTGGTCTTGAACTCTTGACCTCAGGTTATCCACCTGCCTCGGCCTCCCAAAGTGCTGTGATTACAGGCATGAGCCACTGGGCCCAGCCTGGCTCTTCCAATCTTACTCCTGTGCCTTGAGTCTCTTACTGGCAGTTCTTTCAGCAGCCCTGACCTCACTCAACATTTTAGACCCCACCATAAAAAAGCAGCAACGTGTGTGTCAAGAAATGCCAGATAACCAGACTTGCCAGCCTCCAGCTTGAAAGAAGTCAGGGACCTGCCAGATGTCATCTCAGGTGGGCTCGTGAGGAAAAGAAATGTTGAGCCATGAATTGACCCAATGTGCCTCTTCCCTTATCCTGCTACTGCTATGTGTGTCTTGAAAACATTTCATTTTACAGGCTTAAGCCTAAGAGCAAGAAAAACACCAAAGTGATTTTTGCAAGGAATTCTGAATTTTCTTTTTTTTTTTTTTTTTACCCCTTTACCTTTCAAATATTTCAGTTTATTCATTTAAACTTGAGAATGGAGCAATTAGGAATAGCTTATTCTTTGACTGAAGTCTCATCAGAGAAGCTGGAAAACCCAAGCTTCCAGAGCTAAGGAGGCAGTGGGCAGGAAGGCCAAGACTGAAAGGAGGAGGAAAAAGAAAGAGACAAAGTAAAACTAAAACGCTACAATAAAGACACCCAAAGGGGGAAAAGATGAAAATGCATTCACAATGTACATATTCCTAGAGGGGAAATCTGTAAAGCACTTCACATGTTTCTATGTTACCACAACATTTTAACCATTTATTGAGCACCTTCTGCACGCCTTCCTCTCATCTTCTACCACATTACCCATCTCTCACTACATTCCAGCAACACTGGCTTTCTTTCTGTTCTTAGATTACTTGAACAGAGTTCATTCCATCTCGAGGTCTTTGTTCTTGTGGCTTCCTCTCTGGAATGTGATGACCTCAGCTTGCTCCATGAACATCTTCTCATCCTTCCTTCCTCAGCTCAGAGTCACCTCTTCAAATAGGTCTTTCCTGACCATCCTATTGAATGCATTCTACCCTACCCCTCAGCCATTCTCTGCCACGTTCCCCTATTTTTTTCCTTATAGCACTTGGTTCTATCAATAATTACTTATTATTTTTATTTTGCCTGTTTATTATGCATTTCCCCCATCCCCACAAGAGTCCATGAGGACAGGGATTTTGTCTGTTGTCTTCACTATTCTATCCCTAGCACCTGTAGCCATAGCCAGGTGCATGTAATATACAGGTGCTCCTCAACTTATGTTCTGATAAACCCATCCCAGTAAACCCATCTTAAGTTGAAAATACGTAAATTGAAAATGTATTTAATACATCTAACCTACTAAACATCATTGCTTTAACCTAGCCTACCATAAACATGCTCAGAACACTTACATTAGCCCACAGTTGGGCAAAATCATCTAAAATAAAGCCTATTTTTTACTAAAGTGTTGAATATCTTATGTGATTGATTGAATGCTGTACCAAAGTATAGTTTTTACTGAATGTGTATCACTTTTTTTTTTGATGAATTCGATTTTTATTTTTTTTTATCATTTTTCTACCTTTTTTTTATTATACTTCAAGTTTTAGGGTACATGTGCGCCCTCAAAAATTTGAATAATTGTAGGTAGAACCATCATAAATCGGAGACAATACATTATAACTTTTAAAAAAAGTTTAGTACATTTCAGAAATTATGTTAGCCTCTTTACATATATAAGATTGTTTACTCTTTACAACAGTAAGAGGCATTCTATACCTTTTGCAATGAGGGAATTGAGCCACAGAGTTACATAACTTTCTAGTGTCACACAGTAAGTGAAAGTGGAAATTCTTGGATTCAAACCTAGGTTTATGATCCCAAAACCCCTCCTCCTAGACACTATTCCCATGCTGTTTTTCTGAAATAGGCAAGGTATTTTCAAGAGACACTGTATTAGTCCGTTCTCACACTGCTACAAAGAACTGCCCGAGACTGGGTAACTTATAAAGGAAAGACATTTAATTGACTCACAGTTCCATTTGGCTGGGGAGGCCTCAGGAAACTTAAAACCGTGGCGGAAGGTGAAGGAGAAGCAAGGCACCTTCTTCATAAGGTGGCAGTGGGGAAAATGAACCCAGGAGGGACTACTACACACTTATAAAACCATCAGATCTCGTGAGATCTCCCTCACTATCATGAGAACAGCTCAGGGGAAGCTGCCCCCACGATCCAATTACCTCCACCTGGTCTCTCCCTTGACACGTGGGAATTATGGAGATTACAATTCAAGATGAGATTTTGGGTGCAGACACAGCCAAACCGTATCAGGCACTGAATACAGGAAGTCACAAAATATGGTCCTGGTACTTAAAAAACCTGTAGAACTCTTTGGGAAACAGGATGTTTACATAAAGAGACAGATAATAACAGGAGGCAGGTTGCTCTTATGATAGCCCCTATGTTACAGTTGAGAAAACAAAAAACCCCAAAAAAAGTGAGGGAGAAACAGGAGTATACAGCCAAGTGATTTCTCATTCCAAGGCTCAGAACCTGTGAGCCCCCTGCCTTCATAAAGCACCTTCCAGACATTTTAAATTTGCAGTACTGATAGGCTCCTTCACAATACTGGAATGTTTCAAGTACCCAGAATGGCCTGTAACCAAATTTTTTCAGTGACTAAAGCTGCAGTTATTTATATCAGCTGTTTATATGAAGCTGTTTATATGAAGCTGTTTCTATGACATGTTTATATGTGTTTCAATTTTATCAAATACTGTTTACTTCTCTCAAGTTTGTGTTTAAGGACTAACTACTTCCGAATTACAAAGACTTTGTGTTTAATATAGACTTCAGATCCTATTGCAGATTGTCTTGTTCACAAGGTCTAGGCAGGGCCTGGGAACATATTATCAGGCTCTTCAGGTGATCTTTATGCCCAGCCAGGTTTGGGATCAGCGAATAATGAACATAAATTAACCTTTATTTGATGACTCAGCATCTTTTTCTTCGTGTCTGTTATTAAACTGCAAGTTCGCTGCAGCCATAGCTAATGCAAGTGATGGTCACCAACTCCCTTGGTCTCATTTTCCTCACCCATAAAAATAAATTGGATTACGTGATCTCTAAAATCCCCTTTACTTCTAAAATTCTAATTCAGAAAGGAGCTTTTCACAAGATGTTTACTAAAAACATTGGTTCTTTAACGAATGCCTCAATATCATTTGTTATTTGCCTCTTTTTCATAAACATGGAAAGACAGATACATTGCTAAATAACTTTCAGGGGACTGTATTGTGAGAGGCTTTCCAAAGAACTAATTATTGTCAATACCCAAAACAACCATCCTAAAAGTTTACCTTATCCAGAAAAATCATAGTCTTCATCTTTCTTTTCAGAAGCCTTGGATTCATCTCTAATATTCACAACATTGTCTCTTATTTCTCCATAATGAACATAGTGTACAACAACAAGCTCCTCCCTTCTCACAGTAGGTTGTGTATGTTTCATGTTTATGGATAGGGAGTAAAGAATTGGTCACTCTTCAGTTTGTGCTAAGGTAATTTGCACCATGAAGCTTAAACATTCTTTTTTATCATGTGGTCACTGTTTGTTTTTGTTTTCTTAAGCTTTCTTCTGACTTAACAGAATTCTAAGCATTCTTAATATTTAAAACTGTATCTTTAAACATATGCTTATTAAAGCTTTAAATAATGTATATGTAGGGCCAGCAGCGGTGGCTCATGCCTGTAATCCCAACACTTTGGGAGGCTGATGCGGGTGGATTGCTTGAGCCCGGGAGTTCAACCAGCCTAGGGAACATGATAAAATCCCATCTCTACAAAAAATAGAAAAATTAGCCGGGCATGGTGGTGCACACCTGTAGTCTCAGCTACTTGGGGGACTGAGGTGGGAGGATCACTTGAACCTGGGAGGTTGAGGCTGCAGTGTGTTGTATTTACGCCATTGCACTCCAGCCTGGGTGACAAAGTAAGACCCTGTCTCAATAATAATAATAATAATAACAATGTCTATGTAATATAACATTTCAATCATTTCTTCTAGGAAATTCATTTGTGATAAGTTCAAATTCTGAACAACTTCTAGTTGAATCAATAAGTTAAAATGGCAAACGGAATATTTAAAAAATACATTGTAAGGTACTAATATTCCTTTAATGGGATAAGCTGAAATAAAGTTCTGAAATGCAAGCACAGTCAACTTATCTTTATAATGATTAAATCATCAAGAACTTAACTCCTCAACTACTTACTAGGGAAAAATAGTTCAGTTTCATCAGAACTATAAAACTGCTCAATGGTAAATGGAGCTTCATGTAAAAATAAGGCAATATTCCGCAGGATGACAGATTGCTAATTGTTTTCCATCAGTTCATTCATCTTCATTTGTTCCCTTTCCCCACTCCTCTACACCAAACTGTACCCCCCTTCCCTCTTTCTGTTCTTCCAGGTACATACACATACACACACACACACACACACACACACACACACACACACATGCTTTCCTTTCTTTTCTCTTTTTTTTTTTTTAAAGGTTTTTTTTTTAAATTATACTTTAAGTTCTAGGGTACATGTGAACAACATGCAGGTTTGCTACATATGTATACATGTGCCATGTTGGTGTGCTGCACCCATTAACTCATCATTTACATTAGGTATATCTCCTAATGCTATCCCTCCCTCCTCCCCCAACCCCACGACAGGCCCCTGTGTGTGATGTTCCCCTTCCTGTGTCCAAGTGTTCTCATTGTTCAACTCCCACCTATGAGTGAGAATGTGTGGTGTTTGGTTTTCTATCCTTGTGATAGTTTGCTGAGAATGACGGTTTCCAGCTTTATCCATGTCCCTACAAAGGACATGAACTCATCCTTTTTTATGGCTGCATAGTATTCCATGGTGTATATGTGCCACATTTTCTTAATCCAGTCTATCATCGATGGACATTTTTGGGTTGGTTCCAAGTCTTTGCTATTGTGAATAGTGCTGCAATAAATACAAGTGTGCATGTGCCTTTATAGCAGCATGATTTATAATCCTTTGGGCGTATACCCAGTAATGGGATGGCTGGGTCAAATGGCATTTCTAGTTCTAGATCCTTGAGGAATTGCCACACTATCTTCCACAATGGTTGAACTAGTTTACTGTCCCACCAACAGTGTAAAAGTGTTCCTATTTCTCCACATCCTCTCCAGCACCTGTTATTTCCTGACTTTTGAATGATCGCCATTCTAACTGGTGTGAGATGGTATCTCACTGTGGTTTTGATTTGCATTTCTCTGGTGGCCAGTGATGATGAACATTTTTTCATGTGTCTGTTGGCTGCATAGATGTCTTCTTTTGAGAAGGGTCCATTCATGTCCTTTGCCCACTTTTTGGTGGGGTTGTTTGTTTTTTTCTTGTAAATTTGTTTGAGTTCTTTGTAGATTCTGGATATTAGCCCTTTGTCAGATGGGTAGATTGTAAAAATTTTCTCCCATTCTGTAGGTTGCCTGTTCACTCTGATGGTAGTTTCTTTTGCTGTGAAGAAGCTCTTTAGTTTAATTAGATCCCATTTGTCAATTTTGGCTTCTGTTGCCATTGCTTTTGGTGTTTTAGTCATGAAGTCCTTGCCCATGCCTATGTCCTGAATGGTATTGCCTAGGTTTTCTTCAAGGGTTTTTATGGTTTTAGGTCTAACGTTTAAGTCTTCAATCCATCTTGAATTAATTTTTGTATAAGGTGTAAGGAAGGGATCCAGTTTCAGCTTTCTATGTATGGCTAGCCAGTTTTCCCAGCACCATTTAATAAATAGGGAATCCTTTACCCATTTGTTGTTTTTGTCAGGTTTGTCAAAGATCAGATGGTTGTAGATGTGTGGTATTATTTCTGAGGGCTCTGTTCTGTTCCATTGGTCTATATCTGTGTTTGATACCAGTACCATGCTGTTTTGGATACTGTAGCCTTGTAGTATAGTTTGAAGTCAGCTGGCATGATGCCTCCAGCTTTGCTATTTTGGCTTAGGATTGTCTTGGCAATGTGGGCTCTTTTTTGGCTCCACATGAACTTTAAAGTAGTGTTTTCCAATTCTGTGAAGAAAGTCATTGGGAGCTTGATGGGGATGGCACTGAATTTATAATTTACCTGGGGCAGTATGGCCATTTTCATGATATTGATTCTTCCTATCCATGAGCATGGAATGTTCTTCCATTTGTTTGTGTCCTCTGTTATTTCATTGAGCAGTGGTTTGTAGTTCTCTTTGAAGAGGTCCTTCACATCCCTTGTAAGTTGGATTCCTAGGTATTTTATTCTCTTTGAAGCAATTGTGAATGGGAGTTCACTCATAATTTGGCTCTCTGTTTGTCTGTTATTGGTGTATAGGAATGCTTGTGATTTTTGCACATTGATTTTGTATCCTGAGACTTTGCTGAAGTTGCTTATCAGCTTACGGAGATTTTGGGCTGAGACGATGGGGTTTTCTGGATATACAATCATGTCATCTGCAAACAGGGACAATTTGACTTCCTCTTTTCCTAATTGAATACCCTTTATTTCTTTCTCCTGCCTGATTGCCCTGGCCAGAACTTCCAACAGTATGTTGAATAGGAGTGGTGAGAGAGGGCATCCCTGTCTTGTGCCAGTTTTCAAAGGGAATGCTTCCAGTTTTTGCCCATTCAGTATGATATTGGCTGTGGGTTTGTCATAAATAGCTCTTATTATTTTGAGATACATCCCATCAATACCTAGTTTATTGAGAGTTTTTAGCATGAAGGGCTGTTGAATTTTGTCGAAGGCCTTTTCTGCATCTATTGAGATAATCATGTGGTTTTTGTCTTTGGTTCTGTTTATATGCTGGATTACGTTTATTGATTTGTGTATGTTGAACTAGCCTTGCATCCCAGGGATGAAGCCCACTTGATCATGGTGGATAAGCTTTTTGATGTGCTGCTGGATTTGGTCTGCCAGTATTTTATTGAGGATTTTTGCATCGATGTTCATCAGGGATATTGGCCTAAAATTCTCTTTTTTTATTGTGTCTCTGCCAGGCTTTGGTATCAGGATGATGCTGGCCTCATAAAATGAGTTAGGGAGGGCCGGACGCGGTGGCTAACGCCTGTAATCCCAGCACTTTGGGAGGCCAAGACAGGCGGATCACGAGGTCAGGAGATTGAGACCATCCTGGCTAACACAGTGAAACCCTGTCTCTATTAAAAATACAAAAAAAATAGCCGGGCGTGATGGCGGGCGCCTGTAGTCCTAGATACTCGGGAGGCTGAGGCAGGAAAATGGCATGAACTCGGGAGGTGGAGTTTGCAGTGAGCCGAGATCGCCCCACTGCACTCCAGCCTGGGCGACAGAGTGAGACTCCACCTCAAAAAAAAAAAAAAAAAAAAAATGAGTTAGGGAGGATTCCCTCTTTCTAAAATTCTCTTTTTTTTGTTGTGTCTCTGCCAGGCTTTGGTATCAGGATGATACTGGCCTCATCAAATGAGTTAGGGAGGATTCCCTCTTTTTCTACTGATTGGAATAGTTTCAGAAGGAATGGTGCCAGCTCCTCCTTGTACCTCTGGTAGAATTCGGCTGTGAATCCATCTGGTCCTGGACTTTTTTTGGTTGATAGGCTATTAATTATTGCCTCAATTTCAGAGCCTGTTATTGGTCTATTCAGGGATTCAACTTCTTCCTGGTTTAATCTTGGGAGGGTGTATGTGTGCAGGAATTTATCCATTTCTTCTAGATTTTCTAGTTTATTTGCGTAGAGGTGTTTATAATATTCTCTGATGGTAGTTCGTATTTCTGTGAGGTCGGTGGTGATAACCCCTTTATCATTTTTTATTGTGTCTATTTGATTCTTCTCTCTTTTCTTCTTTATTAGTCTTGCTAGTGGTCTATCAATTTTGTTGATCTTTTCAAAAAAACAGCTCCTGGATTCACTGATTTTTTGAAGGGTTTTTTGTGTCTCTATCTCCTTCAGTTCTGCTCTGATCTTAGTTATTTCTTGCCTTTAGCTAGCTTTTGAATGTGTTTGCTCTTGCTTCTCTAGTTCTTTTAATTGTGATGTTAGGGTGTCAATTTTAGATCTTTCCTGCTTTCTCTTGTGGGCATTTAGTGCTATAAATTTCCCTCTACACACCGCTTTAAATGTGTCCCAGAGATTCTGATATGTTGTGTCTTTGTTCTCAATTGTTTCAAAGAACATCTTTATTTCTGCCTTCATTTCGTTATGTACCCAGTAGTCATTCAGGAGCAGGTTGTTCAGTTTCCATGTAGTTGAGTGGTTTTGAGTGAGTTTCTTAATCCTGAGTTCTAGTTTGATTGCACTGTGGTCTGAGAGACACTTTGTTATAATTTCTGGTCTTTTATATTTGCTGAGGAGTGCTTTACTTCCAACTATGTGGTCAATTTTGGAATAAGTGTGATGTGCTGAGAAGAATGTATATTCTGTTGTTTTGGGGTAGAGAGTTCTGTAGATGTCTATTAAGTCCGCTTGGTGCAGAGCTGACGAGACAGAAAGTTAACAAGGATATCCAGGAATTTTTTTTTTTTTCTCTGTCGCCCAGGCTGAAGTGCAGTGGTGCCATCTCGGCTCACTGCAAGCTCTGCCTCCCGGGTTCACGCCATTCTCCTGCCTCAGCCTCTCGAGTAGCTGGGACTACAGGCGCCTGCCACCACGCCTGGCTAATTTTTTGTATTTTTAGTACAGACGGGGTTTCACCCTGTTAGCCAGGATAGTCTCGATCTCCTGACCTCGTGATCCATCTGCCTTGGCATCCCAAAGTGCTGGGATTACAGGCGTGAGCCACCACATCCGGCCTAGTGCTTTCCCTTCAAAATTCATCTTTTTATGGGAAACCTTAAATATTAAACATTTAACCATGTAGGTAGTAAAACCATGCTTAGCAACAGATTCTACATATTTAGTCAGATGTTCTTTTTGAGCCCTGATGACATACCAATGTAAATTAATTCATATTTCATTGATCTATCAAAATGTTTCAGTTCTCACTTGTGTCAGGTTCTATATATACAATGATCTTATATTTTAAATAAATAAATAGACATGTAATCTGACAAATGCCTATATGAGCATAAATATATGCACACACAGATATATGTACACACATATGTGTACACATACATACAGAACCCTTGAAATAGGGATAGTCCCAGAGTAGCATTTTATACGTTATGTATCATATGTGCTCCCCTACACCAGTGGCTTTCAACCAGAGGCAGTTTTGCCCCACAGGGGATATTTGGCAATGTCTGCAGACACATTCGGTTTTCACACTGGCAGGGTGTGTTGCCACTGGCATCTAATGGATAGAAGCCAGAGGTGCTGCTGAACATCTTACAGTGAATAAGACAGCCCCCACAGCAAAGGCCTATCTGGTCCCAAATGTCTGTAGTTCCAAGGTTGAGAAACCTTGTTCAGCATAGCGGTCTGAGGCATCAAATAAGAGGAAAATCATACTCTTCATTTTATTCCAAGCAATTGACGGGAAAAAAAGAAAAAATGCTTATCTTCACAATTGCATTTAAATCTCATCGGTCTAAACTGGTTACATTGCTACATAAGAAGTAACTTCCATTGTGAAACCTTTACACACTTTAGAAAGGAGAGACATATCTATTCCCTTCTATTATTAGTCCTCAGTGGTCTTTTATTTTCACTATCCTAGGCATTTTCCCACAGTATCAGAGAAAAACTGCCAGATAACGTGAGAAAAATTAGGATAATTCTGACTTTACCTATTCGGAAAATAAAAGTTGCTGTAGTTTCTAGCACAATATTTTGTGTATTTCACATACATCAAAAAGAAAATGTGGTTACATGTTTTAGTATAGCTTGTCTATTTTAAACAAAACTATTACGAAGACAAATAACAATCTAATTTATATACAGCAGGAGCTGAGTGTGCTGGCTCAGGCCTGTAATCCCAGCACTTTGGGAAGCCAAGGTAAGACCGTGTCTCTACAAAAATTAAAATTAAAAAATTAGCCAGGCATGGTGGCATGTGCCTGTACTCCCAGCTACTTAGGAGGCTAAGGTGGGAGGATCACCTGAGCCTAGGAATGCCATGAACTATAATCTCAACACTATACTCCTGCCTGAGAAACAGAGTGGGACCCTGTCTCTTTTTAAGAAAATAAAAAATAAAAAAATTTACATACAGCAGTAAGGTTTACATTTTGCTTCCATATATGAATATTTTGCTGCAAGTTGGTAATTTATAGATGATAATAGAACTTTGTCGTTGAAGAGACCCTGGAATTTATTTTCCCATTTCCTAATATCACATTTCATCAAATATAAAATGGCATTAATTGTAAGATGCCTTGTTATATTGTGTACCACTGAAAGAAAAGAAATGCCGACTGAATATGACATGCCCTCAATTGTAAGACACATCTCAATTTGAAAGACATCCAAATGTAAAAATGGTGCATATTAGAATTGATACAATATAATTCTTTACTATCATACCATTCCTTCTTTCTCAGATAAAAGCCATGTGTCAAATTCTTCTCTGATAATGTAACAAGGCATACACATTGGACAAAAGACATAAATGGTGAGAAAGCTAAATAAATAAACCAAAACCTTACATAACTCTAAGATTCCTTTTAAGCTATAGGTGCAGTGGGTACTTTGCCAATCGGACAGGTTTTTAAAAATCCTACATTGTCTTGTTTTAGTCATATTTATTAAATGAGGAAGATTATAACAGATATTAAAATGAATAAAAATTAATTGGATCTCAATTAAATAGAAGTATTAGCAACTTTGTGTGGGGGAAGAGAATAGAGACAGAAGCTGCCACCTTGTACAAAAAGATAGGTAACAGGATTTTTGTTTGGAAAAATAAACTTTACTACCTTGGGATCAGATTATATTTAAGCTAATTTGTGTTTCCTCTGAGCTCTACCTATAATGAAAGTAATAAAACTAGATTTATCCTATGATTGCTTTGAGGCACTCAATAATATCCTTGGGTATAAAAAAGAAATTCACTCATGGTTTCTATACTAGATTTGGCACTGTAGGAAAGAGGAGGGTGTGGAGGGGCAAAGCTGTGAAAGACTTAGCCAAGAGGACTAATCCTCTCCTAAACTGAAGTATTTCATGGGACAGTCATCTACCCAAATATTTGTATAGGTCAAGTTTTTCTTCCTGTAGGAAGAAAGACTCAGGAGAGTAATTGCACAGCCAAAGTGGAAATTACGCTATGTGTAATTTTAGTTTGTTACTAAACAAATTTTAGTTTATTACCAAAAGCTGAAAAGCAGATAAAGCAAGCAAAACAAGCCCCACTGATGCGTATGACATTGCTGTGCTGGGAAAAGCTTCACAACGCTGCTGGCTGCAGACTCTCCCAAGCATAGCCCCAGTACTAGTGAACTGCCTATTTGCACATAACAGCCATGAAGCTGCCAAAGTTATCAAAATCCAAATGTGCTATCTTAGTAATTCTGCATAAATAACTCTTTGAACACCAAATCAGCACTGAACAGAGAAAACAGCCAGGGCCTAATGCTTCTGTACCAACCAAGTGCAAAATAGCATCAACAACATACGCCTTGGCATCACAGTATATTACAATGTAATCATAAAATGCAGTGTATGTTGAATCCAACAGCACTCTTAAGACTGAAAAAGGGTAGCCTTAAAATCTGAACCATGTGCAACAAACTGCTGCCTTTCTGGAGTTGAAAGTAACATTTGGCTTATCCAGAAGTTGAGGCTGGAAAATCAGTCTGGTGAGAGCCTCAGTTATCTCTCCAGACAGTAAGCATAACTCTTGTAATTTATTTTGCAGTTTGGGAAATCCCCTTTCTACTTCCAAATGCATATTCTAGAAAATGGGAGGATAATCCTGTACCATTGCTACACCACAACATGTAACCCTTTTTTGAAATTTTAAAGCCAACTACAGAGGCAAATTGAAAACAGGTTGTTTTTAAAAAGTAAGTAGGGAGCTTCCAAATGTCGAAACATGTATTCTCTCGAGAGAAATTATAGAGGTATACTGAGGCCCTTGGTCTAGAAATCTACGACGAAACTTCATGTTGACTCCAAGTAAATCAGGAAGTCTTAAGTCCTGTAAACTCAGATTATGCTTATTCTTATTTTGAAATGGAGTTCTCATTTCCATTATTAGTTTATGTACTTAACTCATTGTACATTGATAGGACTTTCTGTAAATATTCTGTGAGTAAATGATCATTATAAAGTCAAACATGGAACATATGAACATGTTCTGCATTTATATAGCATTCATTAACTGATTTCAGCAGTGAATCAAATAAAACTTTACAAGTTAAAGCAACGCATTGGGCTAGGTGTGATGGCTCACACCTGTAATCTCAACACTTTGGGAAGCTGAGGCAGGTGGATCACCTGAGCCCAGGAGTTCAAGACCAGCCTGGGCAACATGGCAAAACCCCATCTCTACTAAAACTGAAAAAAAGAGCCAAGCATGGTGGCTCGGGCCTGTAGTCCTGGCTACCCAAGAAGCTGAGCTGGGAGGATCACTTGAGCCTGGGAGGTTGAGGATGCAGTGACCTGAGATCGTGCCACTGCACTCCAGCCTGGGCAACAGAGTGAGATCCTGTCTCAAAAAAAGAAATAAATAAAATAAAGTGACATATTGAATGATGTGCATAATCATGGACCTTTAGGTTTATAAGGAGTCATCTTGTCCAACCTTCTCAATTTACAGTTGAAGAAACTGAAAATTAAAGAGGCAACTCCTGCCTCTGGTAACACCCTAAGTCAAAGATATAGTCCAGGCTGGTATCAACTTCTTCTGTCTCTAAGGCCAGTATTTCTACCATGACCCATCGCCATCACAAGCCTTCATAATGATTAGAAACAAAACTAAACCTCTATATAAGTTACAAATTACTATAAGTCAAATGACTTTAATACTAGTAAATGAAGACAGTTATGGCCAGCTGAGGATGGTATTTGGGAAGACAGAAGCTACAATACAAAAATATTTACTAAACTTCCTATGTGATGACAGTTCTTCATTTAGTTTTTACAGAATTTCAAAGGAGATTCACATTACTCTTCATAGCTTAAAGATGATGTAACTGAGACTTAAAAGCCTCCACAGCAGAAGTTCATCTGAAAACCTTTTAATCTGTAACCCAGGCAAACACCTCTCGGCTATTCCTGTAGGTAAGCCTACTCATCATTTTCAGCTCCTATAAGAAAGACATAGGGTATGTTTGGCCTAGAGCAAGACGGTCATTTTTCTTACACTGTGTGAATTGCCCTCTTTTGTTGAAAGCAGAAATCTGTAATAGAATCACTGAAGGAGGTGTGTGGGTGTCTTGTGTGAGGGAGAGAAAGTGAAGTGAGCACTCAGGCAGTCAGTGAATCAGTGACACTAATGTTCATTAGTTTCTAAAAAGAGATTTCCATACTATTGTGATCTTTCCTTTATCTCCCTATTGATTTTTCTTTCTTTTTTTTTTTTCTTAACCAAATACCAGGTCTAACATTCACTTGGTTTCCTCTTCCTCTGCATGAGACTCTCCCATATCACTTCCACAAGGTACTGGATTTATGTATATCAACCCTGTTTCCAAAACATATTTGTTGACCATGTGGATAGGCCAATTAAGAAGTATATGGAAATCATCAAGTCTATTTCCACATTTGTATTATGCAGAAACTGATTTCCAGACAGGTATTACAGCCAGTCAGAGACAAAACTGGGACTTGAGGCAAAGTTCCACCTCAAATTGAATACTCTTCTCACTGTACAACATACTTGGTTGCATTGTTGGCCCAAAAAGAGTAAGTGTATATCACTGGTTTGGGCAAAGTATATTACTTAATTCAAGCCAATATCATCTTATACATTTTTAATGACAAAATTGGGGAATCAAGAGATAGAAATCAGCACAGGATGGTGGAAAGACTATACAGGCTTCATAGCTGGACAGATCTAAATTTTATTTTAGCTCCTTCATTTACTAGCTACATTAGCTTGGGCAAGTTGCACAACTTTTCTGAACTGGTTGCTACCTGAGAGTTCTAAGAATTAAATGTACTGAAATATATAAAGTATCTAATGCATATAGATGCTCAATAAGTATTGGTTTCCCTTAATTCCCACCCACCACAAAAGAGTTATTCCACTTCTAGCAAATTCCTTTAGCTATTTGGGTCTCAGCTTCCTCAACTATAAAATGAGGAGAAACCAAAGGAATTCCAAATTCCCTCTCAGGCTCATCGAGAATTAATTCTTTAAAGGAATTTTAAAGAAACTCACCTTCTTTTAAATTCAACAAACCCTTAAGTACCTGCTAACCATCCTAGGCACTGAACAATTCCAACCACCACCAGAGAGCTATCTATGCATTCAACGGAATGGGATCCAACTCCATAGTACTTTAAGTCCCACGAAGAAAAATCATTATGCAAACAAAAGAACCCTAGTTTTAAGGAAAATGCTTCAAGGATATTACAAAGCTAATGTTAAAAGTAAAAATATTTTCAGGGTATATCTTAAATTATTACTCTCTCTTTTTTGCTAGGATGAAAAATGAGAACCAAGTGTTCATACCATAGATATGTAACAAAAGACTCAAGAAATTCTTAGTTAAGAGAAATGAGTGCCATTTTTTCAAAGACAAAAAATGAGCAATAAACTTCTCTTCCCATATGTGTATTATGCTGGGTCTTAAATTTTAAGATACTTGTGTCATTCTGAAACATAAGGGAATAGAATTTATTCTGAGAGATTGTTTTACAGTGATAAACAGCAATATAAGAAGATATTTTTATGTTGAACTTCTTATAAGAAGTTCTACATATTACTTTTAAAGTTCATGCTTTCGATTTATATTATCTAAAAATGAAATGTAATTTAATTTACATTAATTTAAATGTCTGAATCTTGTAAGTAAGACCTGGGAAAATATTAACTAATCTTAACTAAAAGTTTTTTTCTCCTTTTCTCCTTCACAAGTAAACCATTATCAATGGATTTTCTGTTATACATAAAACTTTTTGCAAATAACACTTCACATGTTTAAAAGACTATTTCAAATCATGATCAGGGCTCCTAATCTGGTTTACCAAAAATTCATTTGAGGTTTACCTTGTTACCATACCTGTCAAATACTATTCACCTATATTGTAGAATTTTAGAATGCATATCTTAGATGATAAAATATCATCAACAAAAAACCTTTTCCTTTATGAGTATGAAGATATACAGAAAGGGCCCATTTTAATATTATCTCAATATATGAAATTAACAATGTAATCTCTTTTTTAAGTGACAGCTGTTTTCTATGGGCTAATTTTTTTGGTTGTCATAAGTAATGATAGAGAATAAAGTATGTCCCTAACACAGGTTGTGTACAGAGGTCCAGAGAGCCACAGACACTTGCATTAGGTATATATTTATCAAGTATAGGATAAACCAGAGGCAGAAGGCCTGGATCCCATTTCTGTTGTTGCTACAAACTTGATACATGATTTTTGGACAAGCCACTTTATAGTTCTGTTTCTTCATCTATGAGACAACAAGTGGAACTATCTGATGCCTGTAAGATTTTCTTCTGGTTTCTACTGTGTGGACCCTCAATACAGCATTTGAAGGGCACAGGATATGGGGCCAAAGCACTCACAGGGGAGCACTTACCTTGTGATTCTACTGAGACAAGCCAGCTTCTATAGAGAGCCAGACACTAAATGGCTGGCTGTGTGCCTTGGCTGAAGAATACCATCTTTGTCTATAAAGGCACTTAAAGAAACAAACTATTTTCTAAACAGAGTGAAAAAACAGGGAGTGTCTGAGCCCTCTCAACCTGAGACTCTTTGTGTCCTCAGCCTCTCAACTTGGCTGCCAGAAGGCACTGAGTTCATTTAGGCAACCTATGCTTTCTGATCCATATGATTAAGAGAGATAATTCTGAAAATGAATGGTTTTCATCCTCAGTTCCACAGCGGCCCTTGAAAATACATATATTTTACACAGTACCTACATTGTTTATAGCAACCCCTAGGACACCTTCATAGAACAGAGTTTGGAATGGTGGTACATATGATATGAAGTATGAAGTGGGCTTAAATCCTGGATCTGCTATTTTACTGCTGTGCAATCTTAGGCAAGAAGCTGAACCCCTCTGGGCTTCAGATTCCTTTTCTGTAAAATAGAGAAAATAATAAAACCTAACTCATAAGGTTGTTGTAAGGGCTAATCAAGACAACGCATGCAAAGCAGTTAGCACAGAGCCTGACATAAAGCGAATGTTAGATGAAAAAGACAGATAAATCCTGGGACTTGGGGCTCCCTAAAAAGACTCATTTAAAGGCTACAGTTTGCTGGCAGTGAATAGCATCTGCTGGTCTTTCCTCTTCTGAGCAAACAGTATGGCAAAGATTCAAAGCTGGGCTCAGCTCTTACTAATAGGATCCTGCAGGAATTAGGAGGAAATGAGATTATCTTGAAAGTAGAAAAGAGTTAGTCTGGTTTAAGACAAGACCTTTAAAAGAGATAGAAACACAGGCAAAGACACACACACATGCACTTAATATGGTCATACAGAATCAGACAAAGGGGTTTATTATCCTTTATGCCTTTGCAAGTGTTGCCAACATTAAAAGCTACAAAACTTGATAACTGGATGGCTCCCTAGAGACTGTCTAGTTCAACTCCCTCACTGGACAGATAAGTAGCTGAGGCCCAGAGAGGTTAAGCAACTTGGTTGAGGTCATTCAGCAGTAAATGGCAGTACCAAGACAAACAAGCCTTCTGACCTTTCCCACTTGCCCACCCAGTACTTGATCTGGCATCTTTCAGCAGGTCAGCATCCTGACCTTGCTGTGACAGGGTATTTAAAAAATAATAAATAATCCACACACAAAGGTTTCTCAGTCCTGCCCAGGTTCCCAAAAAGTACAAAAGCAACCTCAGCCCCCAAGACCCTCTTTCCAGAGCCTTCCCTCATGGGACTAAGGGAAGATCTCAGTTCATCTTGGGCCCTCTCCTAAGCCCTCTTTGGTGTAACTACTCTTTCAGTTCCTTCCTCACATCTACTCTTAAAGGTTGCTTCTAGAAATTCCCCGCCTCAAAGGTCAGGCACTTCCCAGGCAGAAGTTAAAACCTGTTAATTTGCAAATTCTCTGCTTCCCTCAAATGCTATAGTTTGAGACAGGAAGTACAGACTCCCTTAAGTTTCCTCCAGCCTCCTTGAGTGAATTCAGTCACAACTGATGCCTCCCTCCCGAATATAACTAGGTCCTTTTATAAATCATGTGAGTGTGTGAAGGGCTGGAGAACCCTTAAGTATGCCTAAGACAGGGAAGAGGAGGAAAAGGCCACCGAGGAAGGAAAGATCAATTGCGGGGAGAGGGGAGACCGGTAGAAGGAGCACCCTGACCAAGCTGCAAAGTCTGGATCCCAGAGACAGCTAGCTGCTGGGACTGACTCACTGCTGAGGGGCCGGAACTGCGAGGAGATGGCACAGTTTTAATTATAAGCTCTGACTAACAACAGACCGGTGCCCCCAACTGCACACGTAGGAAGCAGGCAGAGGCTACCCCAAAGTGGCAGAAACAAGGAACTCTCTGTTCCTCCTGCTCCCTTTTCGCCTCTCATCTGAGGCTTGCCACTCCGCGGACACACCCGGCGCTCGCCAAGTTGTCGCATCGCCCCCCGGTGGGGAACGCCCCTCCCTGCTCTCCGGACAATTGGAGGGAAGCACAGAGCAGCGGGGGTGTCTCCGTCCTGCCAAGGGCTGCCTGTCCCTCGCCCAGTGCGGGGAAACTGGTCCGAGAGAATGAATGGCTTTCGCCGAGCGCCGGAAGCTGACGGGCGTGGGGCGCTTCTTGCCCCCAAGCACCCGCGCCCGCGTGGGGTGTCCCTCAGCCCGGGTCTCTACTCTGAGGGTGAGAAGCGTTCGCGTCACAGCCAAGGGTTCCTTCCTCACACGTGCACCCACCCACAAGACCGGAAGGAAAGCTTCGCTTTTGCCTTCCCCCCTGCCCCCCGGCCCTCCCTACCTGAATTCCGGGACCAGGTTAGGCTGCAACCCGTAGATGGCAGAGGAAAGAGTAACCAGCCACCCGGGCTTGTAACTCCCGTTCTCGCACTCCAGATAAGGCGGAGACCACTTGAAGTGGCTCTTGTCCCCGCCGAGCCCGTCCTTGCGCCGCCAGCTGTGGCCCAGGCCCCGGGGCCCCTGATTGGGGCCGCGGCGGTGTAAGTGGGGCCTCCACTTGCGCCGGAGGCCGTGGAACCACTCGGTCTCCAGAGTGGCGTTGGCCAGGTGGGGTGCGGAGGAGGACAGGTCTTGGAGCAGGATGCGGCTCTCCTCGCGCGTGGCCTGGAGGAAGACCTGTGGGGCCGGTGCGGACAGCGAATCGGTGCTGAAGGTGATGGCCGCCCGGGAGATGCTGGGCTCGCCCTCCAGAAGGCTCCACACCAGCGCCTGGTACCAATCCAGGTCGTCCTGCAAGTTCTGCTCCCGCGACTTATTGCTCTGCAGCATCACGTTGAGGAAGTTGGTGGCGTGTGTCAGTGTGTCCAGCGCCCGGTGCAAGGAGGGGTGCGCGCTGGCCAGGGCTGGCCACTTCCCCGGCAGGCCCGCCAACTCGTAGCGGCCGGAGCAGTTGGCTCGCTTCAGCTGGTGGGAGTCCCCGGTGTAGAGGTAAGAGGCCACGTCCATGGGCACCTCCTCGGCGAGTTTCTGCGCCAAGATGGTGCCATCGGTGGAGCGGCTCCAGGGAGCCGAGGAGTCCGAGGCAGAGGCTCGACCCGGCTGCTGGGCGTGCGGCTTCCCCTTCGGGGTCCTCTCTCGAGGGGAATCCGGCCGTCCTTGGGGGTCGCGGCTGGCGCCAACAGCTCCCAATCCCAGCTGAGCAAGCAGGAGGCAGAGGAGTAAGGGGTAAGCCATGGCTCCCATCTGCCTCCCAGAGAGAAGAGGAGGGAACGGGAGGGGGGGGAATCACTTTTTAAATTTGGATCGTCAGTTTCTCAACAGTCAGACTTTTTCGAGGAGTCTTCCCCCTTCTCCAGATGGCACCCAGTCCAAAGGACTTGAAAATAAGAATGTTTCGAGATTGGCCCCGGGTGGCTAAGCTACCGTCGCAGAAATCAAGTCACCTGTGGCAGCGCTGGCCGTGCCCGCTGCGCGAGGGGCCGGCTGGGGATTACGCACCTCGCAGCCTGGAGCCGAGCGGGTTACATGGCCTCGCGCTCCCAGCGGCTGGAGTCAGCCCGAGTCCGTCTCTCGGCCCGGCTGCCGCCACCGCCGCTCTCATTGAGGCGCGTTCAGAAGCTGCTGCTGCTGCTGCCGCCGCGGCCGCCGAAGACGCTGCTCCATAGTCTCACCCGCCGCAGGTCGTTCCCGCCTCCCGGCACTGGCTCCTCCTCGACCGCTTCGCCCGGAGGCGCGGGGCGCGCGCCCAGACCCGCACCGCGAGCGCAGCCG
Source organism: Homo sapiens (assembly GCF_000001405.40). Lineage (NCBI taxonomy): Eukaryota > Metazoa > Chordata > Mammalia > Primates > Hominidae > Homo > Homo sapiens. The sequence continues at coordinate 25,174,892 of NC_000010.11, read as the reverse complement.
CGACTCCCGAGGAGCGAAGACGTCCTTTAAGACGTTCGTCTGTCCGGAGTAGCGAAGGCCGGGCGGCTGGTTAATTGCAGCCTTTAGGTTTGGCCGCAAACCACACTCCACCCTCTCTCCCTGCTCCCTCCTCGGGGGAGGAAAGCCAGTTTAAAGAGGCAGCTTGGCCGCAACCAAACCCTTGTAGGGCGGCTGCAAGTCGTCTTGTTCCCTGTTTGGTCGGCTCCTCTGTCAATCAGCCGACTGCCATTTGTGGGGCCGGGGAGGGAGCTGTCCAGTGCTGAACCCGAGGCGGCCCGCGGGCGGCGGGGGCGCGGGAGGCAGCCTGCCGAGTCCTCGCACCCACTCGCGTTCCGGATGACTCGGAAACCTGCGTGGGTGGCGTAGGGTGGGCGGCAGAGGGGGGAGAAGCAGAGATTCGGTGGCTCAGAGCGAAGGAAACTTGGACGTACTGAGGGGGAGGGTGTTGGCGTCTTGCATGCTTAGTTAAATCAGCCTTTTGCCTGGAAAAGAGGGAGAAGGGAGTAGTTTTCATTTCTAGGTGAAATTAGACAGAAGGGACATAGGATGGAGACGTGTCCTCCTGAGCATCTGCTCATTTTAGGCAAATTATCAAATCATCTTTCTTGTTGTCAGTTAAAGAAATGATTAAAACATACTTGTCTAGGCTCATCTTAGCTGAGGGAGTAATGGAGAAATCTACCAGCTGTGCTTTAAGGAGAGAAAAAAAAGTCATATTTAAGGAATCTCTGCTTGGGGGCCAGAATGGAGGGGAACGTGTAAAAATGTATGCAAGTAAAGATGTGTAAGGGAGAGAGCAAGGGGGAGGACTCATGAGCTCTGGGAGAATGAGAAGGAGCCTGTGTTGAGTGAGAAGGGAAATCATCCTGACTGGGAGTTCCTGGAATTGAGAGATAAGAACTAAGACTTCTATTTAGCTAAAGGTTGGGATATCCCAGCAGAAGAAAGAAGAACTGAGCAAGTATGCCAAGTCCCCCAAATTATTGGTAAATTTCTTAACACAATCTAATTGATGTTTTGACGCTTATTAGAGAATTTAAGTGTCTTCTGACACTCCAAAAGTAGACTGGTACCAGAAAAGTAGTGTTTTGCACAGCTAGCTCCACTTTCCATATGCACCTCTATTTTCAAATTCCCCAAGAAAGACACAAATAGAAAATATCCAACTTACTTTAATTCCCAACTAACAAAAATGTCCCTCATGGCATTCTAAGCAGGCACTGCTTAGATTCACTGTACTATTTCATGTCATCCTTCCTATTGAGAAAATACTTAAGGACTGGAATGTAAGCTCCAAAAGAGCAAAAATCTTTGTCTGCATTGGTCACTGAGGTACCTTGAGCACCCAGAACACTACCTGGCACATAGTAGGCTCTGGCTAAATAGTTGCTAAATTAGTGAATGAATGGGAAGATCATGATGATGAAGCTAACTTAAAAATCAATCTCCTCACCCAAGAAGAGAAGTCTGCCTGACACACCAGTGATGAGGGTTTTTGGAAGAAGACACAGCAACCAGTTTTTCAAACCGCAGTGGTTGGTCTCCAAATGAGTTTTTATAGTTATGCAAAGAGTGGTTATTAGATTTATATTTACTTACAAGTAGATTTCATGTTCATTTCCGACTTTTTGTTTAAATTTTTCTTTGCAATGTATGCTCCTATGCTAAGTAAAGGTCATCCCGGTTTAGTGCTCTGCCACAGTATGGGTGGCAATAATAACAGAAAGAGTTTCTGCTTATTTAATGTATCAAAGTATAAACTATGGTATTCCATTTACTTAACCATCTAAAGTCCGAAGTATAATTTCCTCATTCATTGATCCTTTTAGAAAACCTATATAACTTATTAACAATTCTTTAAAATCCTCTAGTATCTAACTTAAAAGAAGACATAATTGTATTCGTAGATCCTTCTGTAAGTAATCAAATGAACTAAGCACAATCAAAAGACCTGGATTCTGGTTCTAGCTTTATTTTAAAGGAAGATATATGACCACTGGCAAGACATTTAAAATTTCTGTGTCTTGGGACACAAACTGTGTGTGGGCCTCGGGATTTCACATTGAGGTTGTACGGGGGAGGCACCTGAGCTAGTCTCCCAGGGCACCAATCCTTTCCCAAGTGCATATCTAATGAGAAAGATGCAGAATATGAGAGACTCTTGCAATTATAGTATTCCCTTCAATGGATCCCCTTCAACCTACATTGCCAAACAGCTGGGATGAGCTAGTTGGATCTAGAACAGCACTGCCCAATAGAAATACAATGTGAACCAGAAGTAGGATCCTTATAAATAATTTCAAATGTTCAAATAGCATATTAAGATAGTAAAAAGAAAAAGACTGAAATTAATTTTAATAGTAAATTTTATGTAACCCAATATATCCAAATTTTTATCATTTCAATAAGTAAACAATGTAAAAGTATTAATGATATATTTTACACTTTTTACACTAAGTCTTCAAAATCTGATTTGTATTTTACACTCACAGCACAAGGCACTTCACACTAGCCACATTTCAAGTGCTGACTAGCCACCCGTGGCCAGAGGCTACCCTAGAGTACAAGCTCTAGAAGACAGTCCATTGCGGTCCAGAGTGCTAAGAAATCTAGGTCCATGCAAGATAAGGCACAAAGTTCCAAATGCTCTAGGAGTTCTGGTCCATTTAATAGGTCTGGAATCAAGGTAACTGAGTAGGTAGATAATCCTATGTCTATGTTAGTGTCTATCAGTAAAGAGAATAATCCAAAAGAGATTCTTTTAAGGGATCAAGGTTTGACACACACACTCACAGACACACACACACTCCTCAAAGCAGACAACAAAATTCTACACCATCTTGCATAAGACATATTCATTCATTCAACCAATGTTCATTGAGCCTCTACTATGTATCAGGCATTGTGCTTGGTACTGGGACGAAATAGGCACATCTTCTGTCTACGTGGCTCTTACAGCCAAGTGGGTAGAGAGAGAGAGCTAGAGATAAAAATGCAAACAAATAAATAAGACAATAGCATGTTGTGATAAGTACCACGAAGAAATAAACACTGTGAAGTGATAAAGGGTGCAAGGTACAGGAGCAGAGAACATATATAAAGAGATAAAGGAAAGAAAGACTATGAGGAGGTGACAATTGAGCTGAAACCCCAAGAATGAGGAGTAACTGCCTAGGTAGTAAGTAGTAGTGAACCAGGTAAGTGTAAGATGGGAAGAAACTTACCTTAAGTAGAGGGAGTAGTGAATGGAAGCACTAAGAATACAAATATTCTCTCCTTAGCAGGAAAGGCAAGTGGAAAAAAATAAATGCAATATGCTAACGGTCATATGTAATAAGAATAGAACAAACAATCGACACAAAGGAAAATCATTTTATAAGATAAGACAGGAAGTGGGGCGGGGATGATTATCTCCCTCCCCCAATTATATAAGCATGCTTTGTAGATAGAGATAAATATCCCTATGCATGCCTCAAAATTAAGAGCTAAGTTGTCTAAATGAACATATATACTGTGTAGGAGCTTTATTGTATTTTAATAGAACTATGGGTACATGACCTATGACCATGGGTGGAAAAGCCCAAGGAGTTTTTCAACACAGCCTGAAAAGTCAATCTAATTGCTTTAGAACAACCAAATTTGCACTGATGAAAAAGCAGTATGTAATGGGCATATGGGTTATTAGTTGTCTTTATATGATTGATTTATCACTATTATAAAGAGGAAGATGTGACATTAACATATCTTTAAATAAAATAAAGGTCACAAACTACTGAAATCATATTTTATGTGAGCAGTATAGGTTGAGTTTTAAAAAATATTTAAATACAGCTTTAAATCATTTAAATAAGCAAGGATTAAGACTACAGGATGTGGTGAAAGGGCACTGGATTGGCCATTGAGAGACTCAGCTCTAACTGGTTCTACCATTTTCTAATCATGTGACTCTTGACAATTTTTTTCAACCTCCCTGAGCCCTTTCTCTAAATCTAGAAAATAGGAGTTCTGTTCAGATACGTAGTCCACAACTGGAATAATTACAGCTAAGTGTGAATCATAGTCTATGCATATTTACCAGGAACTCATTGTTCTTGTCCTCCCAGATTTATAAGGTAAAGGTTATTTTTAGATTAAATAATAATGGATCTCAGTAAACAAAGTAGCACAACTCTGGTCAAATTTCTGATAATGTAAATAAAACTACAGACAATATAGTTTTTTAATATAACACAAAATCAGAAATCCAGTTCTTATTCCTGAGTCGACTGAGACTGGCTTTCTCTAAGTATATGTTATCCCTGTGTCTCATGTGCTCATTTGCAAAATGAAGATTATAGTCTTTGTTATCCAAGAGTAATGGTTTTGAAATTTCAGGATGCAGAAGTATCGCCAAAGAATTCAAATTTTTGATCTGGGTGAGACTTTAGCATCTGCATTCTCAGGTGATTCTGATACAAATGATCCGTGGAACACATGCTGAGAAATACTGCCTTGAGCCAAGGAAAATAACTCTAAGATATTAGGAGAAAAGTCGTTTCGTCGTTTTTGTTTTTTGTTTTGTTTTGTTTTGGTAAACACAAAGGCTTACTAGCAATTGTGAAACATAGCCTGTGAAAAAATAAAACCAGTAAAAAGTATTATTAATATTATATTTATATAGCACTTATAGTGGCCAGGCATTATGCTAAGGATTTTACATACTTTAGCTCACTTAATCTTTATTATAACACTGTAAGTTTGGTACTGTTTCCACTTTACAGATGGGAATCAAACAGCCCAAAAAATAAATTGCCCTAATTCACCCATCTGGCTCCAGATGTCATGCTCACAATAATTAGACCAGTGACTCGCAAATGTTTATATATTGGATTCACCTGGAGACGTTTAGTCAGCACACAGATTAGTGCCCCTGCTCCCAAAATTGCTGATTCAGTAGTCTGGAATAGGGCCTGAGAATCCACATTCTTAACACATTTCCAGTGATGCTAATACTGCTGGCCCAGGGATCACACTTTGAGAACCACTGCCCTGTACCATGCTTTTTACCATTATAATCTGTTGCCTCTATATGCTTACACGTTTCCACGTATTTTACATGGAAAAAGGAGAAAGTCAACATGAATGAATGAAAAGATGCCTAAAATCTGCTAAGAAAAAAAATGTCTCTAGTTTGTCTATTTCCAACTGAGAAAGCTTACCCAAGATATTTATGTTTTTCACTTAGCAATTTATTCTCATCTGCCTCCAGTTTACCCTTAAACTCTTACTCCCTGTCGGCATCACTTCTAACAACACTCCAACTCTTTCTACAGTTATCTCCTCTGCTTTTCGCTATGAAGGCATGACTTGGGCTGTCCCTGAATTCTCAATGAAATGTTTTGTTTTTGTTGTTTTTTTAAGTACTACTAAAAACAGTATCATCTCCATAGTCACTGGGGCTTTGACCCAAATTGCTAGTTTCCTCCATCTTCTCCCCATCACACAAAATTGATTGGTAAACCCAAAGACATCTCAAGAACTTTCCAACCACAAGGGAAGAAAACACTAGGAGATGGTATTTATGTAGGAAAATCCTGAATGTGCTAAGGCAAAACATTTACCTAAATGACTTTCCATGTCATTGACCTGACATGCAGTGCAGTTAAGGGCCAATATACCATTTACTAAAAATTATAGCAAATTATGGACAGCCCAACTCCATTCAATCCAAAGACTGCCTCCCTTTCCCATCAAGAAATAAAAGCAACCAAAACTTTGAAACAAAATCTACTGAAAAAGATTGATCTTGTGGATAAGAAGAGATGAGAAATGGATTACTTTTTTTTTGCTCAATTTTGCCTGCTTCCCTCACTGGAGGGAAACACATCACACCTTAAGTATATGTATGTTGTCAGAGCCCACAACATCGTTTCCATCAGCACATTACCTTGTTACCTTGGGTGTCACGGGTGTTTATTTCATAATCAATGTAGGACTTGGCTTTCCGTCTTAACACAGGAGATGAGGAAAGTTGGGAACTTCAAGTATTTGGGACTGTTACTGGAAGGATGGGCCATGAGGTCCTTGGTTTTTGGAACAAAGAATTGAACAAAACACGCAAACAAGTATTAATAACAAAGGAATGAACCACAGGAATGAAACAGCAAAAGGAGGGATTTATTAAAGCAAGGAAGCACTCCACAGGGTGGGAATGGGCCCCAGCAAGTGGTTCAAGGGCCCAGTTACAAAGTTTTCTGGGTTTTAAGTACTCCTTTTGAGGTCCCTATCGGCTCCCCCTTATCTGGATGGTGGATTTGGTCTGTGGCTAAAGGCTGAGGTGAATTGGCACCCTATGCAGATGACGGGATGGTCCATACTTGGCCCACGCCAATCCTGGGCATTTTCCTTTCCACCTGAGCCTGGTGGACTAGGGAGGATTGCTGGGAGGGTAGCCTTTGATCCTTTGCTACTCTGGTGTGGGGAGATGGGGTTTTTCCTTTTGGTTTAGCTTTAGGAAGTTTGTGTTAATTGCTCTTAGGTTCCCTGCCCGCAGATTCAGGTGTTTTCCCTTTGAGTTAACATTAGGACATTATCACGAATTGGCCTTAGATTCCTTGCCCCAGACTTTGGTGTTTTCCCTTGGTTCAGCTTTAGGAAGTCAGCACCAACTTGCCTTAAGTTCCCTGCCTCCAGACCCTATTCTCCTGCCTCAGGACCACGCCTATATGATGTGTGCACATCTCACACACACACAGGACACACTAATTAATGACAATTCTTCATTGATAAAGAGCAGAAACGTGTGTGACAACATGGATAAACCTGGAGAACATTATGCTGACGTGAAATTCACCAGGCACAGAAAGACAAACACCACATGATCTCACTTATATGTGGAATCTAAAAAAGTCTCACAGAAGCAGAAAGTAGAATGATTGTTACCAGGGCCTGGGGTGGGGGCAGGGAACTGGGGAGATAGTGAAAAGACACAAAATGTCAGTTAGACAGGAGGAATAAGGTCAAGAGATCTATTACACAACGTGGTGACCATAGCTAACAATAATGTATACTTCAAAATTGCCAAGAGAGTAGATTTTAAGTGTTATTACTACAAATAAATACTAAATATGTAAGGTAATGCAAATACTGAATAATTAAGGTGGTGGCTCACACCTGTAATCCTAGCACTTTGGGAGGCTGAGGCGGGCAGATCACTTTATTCCAGGAGTTTGAGACCATCCTGGCCAACATGGCGAAATCCTGTCTCTACTAAAATTATAAAAATTAACCAGGCATTGTGACGGGTGCCTGTAATCCCAGACTGCTTAGGAGGCTGAGGCAAGAAAATCACTTGAGTCTGGGAGGTAGAAGTTACAGTGAGCCAGGATCACACCACTGCACTCCGGCCTGGGCAACAGATAGAGACTCCGTCTCAAAAAAAAAACAAAGTTGAATAATTCAATTTAGCCATTCTACAATGTATACATATCTCAACACATCATGTGGCATACCATAAATATATACAATTTTTGTCAATTTAAAAAAGTAATAAAAAGCAGAAATTATAAATCCAAACTTACAAAGATCAGGTTAAAATAATAGGAAGCTGCTTGTAAAATGTTTACTATTTTTAAAAATTGAGGGAAAATAATCCAGTAGTGTTGATTTTGTTCACATTTCAGATATTATCTTGATTTTATTTTATCTTATTACTTTTTTTTATAGAGACAAGATCTCACTATGTTGCCCAGACTGATCTCGAACTCCTGGCCTCAAGCAAATCTCCCACTTCGGCCCCCCAAAGTGCCGTGGCTACAGGCATGAGCCCCTGCCCCTAGCCCAGGTATCATCTTAAAGTTAGGATTGTATGAAATAACAAAACAAAGAAACAAACATATCACAGAAATATGTTCTAACAAAATATTGTGAAAAGAGAAAATTACTGCATATGTCCTGATGGAAATATCTTCAGGCTAAGAAAATGGACTATTACCGAGGTATGAGTCAAAACAGAAAACTGTTTTGTAGATCTATAGTTGTATTTTAACTGCAATATTATGTATGCCTAAAAATGTTTCCTCCAGACCTCTGCTGTCCCTAAAGAAAAAATAATGGTGACAAATTTACTTTCAGGCTTTTTTAATCTAACCTCTAGTCAATTGGTCTCTCCTCCTTCTCCTTCCTCTCCTCCTCCTCCTCCTTCTCCTCTTCCTTTTCCTCCTCCTTCTCCTTCTATTCTTTTTCTTCCTTTTTCTCTGACAAGCATCAAGTGCTCAATGAGAAATTAGCTGTAAGTGTGAATTGTCCCCAAGGGAAGGGAAGAGAGGGAACTTCCATATCTGTGAGGTACTTATTAAAATGTACTAAAAAGTGGCTTGTTTTGATTGCTTTGGGTGCTATCATTAAAGTAGGTCTGATGCAGAAGCCTCACTGCTGTGGCCTATATAAATCATTTCTACTTGTCACTTTGATGTACGCTTTGGAATGAACAGTTTCGGGCAAGATTTTGCCTGCTGTTTACCAACAGCTCTCTAGTCAGACACACAAGAATTTTAGAGTTTTGGTATAACAAGCTTTCAGCTCCCTTTGTTCTCTGTGTCAAAGAAGGTTCTTCAATAATAGGACTGACTTCAAGCATACATGACAATCACTCATCACAATATCTGGGGAGGCATGAGTTCTTTTAGAGCACTATACAGAAATAACAAGTTCTTATATATTGCATCGAAAAACACAAGCTAGAGGACAGAGGGCAAAAAAGAGAAACAATTTTCAAGAATCCACAGTGTCATGAGTACCAAATGTGATTAAAACGTAACCATTTCAACTGGTTGTTTTTATATCCCAAATCAGATTTTTTTTAAGTAAAGAATTACAACTTGCCAGGCACAATGGTATGTTCCTGTATTCCCAGCAACTAAAGAGGCTGAGACGGGAGGATCACTTGAGCCCAAGTGTTTGAGGCTGGCCTATGCAACATAGTGAGACTCTGTTTCTTAAAAAATAAAATAAAATTTAAGGAAGACAAAAAAAGTGATAAGAAAGCTCTCTGAATATCAAGGTTGTTTTCATTGAAATGGATTAACCAAGAAATGAAGAGAATCTCATTTCTTGAAGAATCAGTTGTGGTCTCCAGTAAAACAATATCCATGTATCAGAAATGAGCTGTATTTAATTCTGACTAGATTGACAGGTGAACCAAATAACCATGGGACTCCATCCCTTTCCTGCTGTTCTATGATAGACTAAGGAATGCATCCTATTATGTCTACACAAACAGGAAAACTAGTAAATATATATTCAACCGTAATACTAATACTTGTTTTAAGCATCAGAATCCAATCTATTTTTGCCACCACTTCTCTCATGCCACATTTTCAACCTGACATTTAAGACTGTTTACTGATTTTTTTTTTTTTTTTTTTTTTTTTTGCTTATCCCACCAGTTCTTCACGACCTTTTGGAGATTCTCCATTCCAATGAAGTTAACCTGTTTACACTCTCCCATTATAAGTTATTTGCACACTCCAGTCCTATGTTTGCCTTTGTGGAAACTAATTCTATTGAGAAAACTTTCACAAATACATGTTTCCTCTTCTTAAAACCTTTAACAACTACCAACTCTCTGAATAGACATATATCCAAAGACAATATATAAATGGTTAATAAGTGTATGAAAAGATATTCGGCCTCATTAGTGATTAGAAAAGTGAAAATCAAAACATCGGGTTCAAGTTGTTGTTTGAAAAAAACAACCAAAAAAGAAAATCAAAACAATAATGAGATACCATTACATATTTTCTAGAAGGACTATAATAAATAAGATCAACAATAACAAATGTTGGTAGGGATGTGGAGAAACAGGAAACTTCGTGGAGCAGATGGGAATGTAAAGTGCATATCCACTTTAGAAAACAATTTAGCTGTTTCTCAAAAGTTAAACAAAAACTGACAAATGACCCAGCAATTCCACTTTTAGGCACTTACCCGAGAGAAATGAAAACATATGTCCACACAAAGGTGTGGATGTGAATGTTCACAGCAGCATTGTTCATGACAGCCAAAAACTGGAAACAGCCTAAAGGTCCGTCAACCAGTGAATGGATAAAGAAAATGTGGTGCAGCCATGTAACAAAATACTATTCTGCAGTAAAAATGAACAAACCACTAACCCATGCAGCATCATGGGCACAGCTCAAAAACATTATGCTAAGTGAAAGAAGCTAGACACAAGAGACCATGCACCTATAAAAAATATCCAGAACAGGCCGGGCGCAGTGGCTCACGCCTGTAATCCCAGCACTTTGGGAGGCCGAGGCGGGCGGATCACGAGGTCAGGAAATCGAGACCATCCTGGCTAACACGTGAAACCCCGTCTCTACTAAAACTACAAAAAAAAATTAGACGAACATGGTGGCGGGTGTCTGTAGTCCCAGCTACTCAGGAGGCTGAGGCAGGAGAATGGCTTGAACCCGGGAGGCGGAGCTTGCAATGAGTCGAGATCACGCCACTGCACTCCAGCCTGGGTGACAGAGCAAGACTCTGTCTCAAAAAAATAATAATAAAAATAAAATTAAAAAAATATATATCCAGAACAGGCCTGGCATGGTGGCTCATGCCTGTAATTCCAGCACTTTGGGAGGCCAAGGCAGGCAGATCACGAGGTCAGGAGTTCGAGACCAGCCTGGCCAATATGGTGAAACCCTGTCTCTACTAAAAATACAAAAATTAGCCAGGCGAGGTGGTGCACGCCTGTAGTCCCAGCTACTCGGGAGGCTGAGGCAGAAGAATCACTTGAACCCAGCAGATGGAGGTTGCAGTGAGCCAAGATCATACCACTGCACTGCAGCCTGGGTGACAGAGCGAAACTCCATATCAAAAAAAAAAAAAAAAAAAAAAAAAAAAATCCAGAACAAGCAAATTTGTAGAGACAGAAGGTAGATTAGTAACAACTCAGCCTAGAAATGAGGACAAGAATCAACTGTAAAAAGGATCTTATTGACGGGATAAAAGATTTTCTAATACTAATTAATGGTGACAGAGGTGAAGCCGGCTGAGCTTCTGGGTCAGGTGGGGACTTGGAGAACTTTTCTGTCTAGCTAAAAGATTGTAAACACACCAATCAGCACTCTGTGTCTAGCTAAAGATTGCACCGATCAGCACTCTGTAAAAACGGACCAATTAGCACTCTGTAAAATGGACCAATCAGCGCTCTGTAAAATGGACCAATCAGCAGGATGTGGTCGGGGCCAAATAAGGGAATAAAACCTGGCCACCCAGCCAGCAGCGGCAACCTGCTCCGGTCCCCTTCCATGCTGTGGAAGCTTTGTTCTTTCTCCCCTCACAATAAATCTTTCTGCTGCTCACTCTTTGGGTCCACACTACCTTTATGAGCTGTAACACTCACTGTGAAGGTCTGCAGCCTCACTCCTGAAGTCATCGAGACCACGAACCCACCTGAAGGAAGAAACTCCGGACACATCTGAACATCTGAAGGAACGAACTCCTTGACACACCATCTTTGAGAACTGTAACACTCACCGCCACAGTCTGTGGCTTCATTCTTGAAATCAGCGAGACCAAGAACCCACCGGAAGGAATAAATTCCGGACGCAATAGCTCAGTGAAATTACTAAAAATCATTTCATTTGAAAGTAGTGATATGTAAAATGTACCTCAATAATTTTATTTTCTTTTATTTACTTTTTTTTTTTTTTTTTTTTTTTTTGAGGCAGAGTCACACTCTGTCGCCCAGGCTGGAGTGCAGTGGCATAATCTTGTCTCACTGCAACCTCCACCTTCTGTGCTCAGGTCATTCTCCTGCTTCAGCCTCCTGAGTAGATGGAATTACAGGCACACGCCACCACGCCCTGCTAATTTTGTATTTTTAATAGAGACAGGGTTTTGCCATGTTGGCCAGGCTGGTCTTGAACTCATGACCTCAGGAGATATGCCCACCTCAGCCTCCGAAAGTGCTGGGATTACAGGCATGAGCCACCACATCTGGCCCATAATTTTATTTTAAAATCAGAACTACCAACTCTAAGTAGTCCCCCAACAATTCACAATTCAATCAACAATTCACTTGATTTTCTAGAATCATCTCAGTTCTTATGAACTCATTTTGTATAATGTGTTTTATATTTCCTGATTTGATGTTATCTGTGAACATTTATGTAAACAAGAAACTTCTGGTTGCCTCGTCATCTATATAATCTATTATTTTATTTTATTTAGCAAATAAATATCTACTGGGCATCAACTATGTGCCAGACATAGTCCTAGCCTAGATAACATCTTTGATGTTCTAGACAAAAGATACCTAATTGTTCTAGATGAAAGTGATATAGCAGTGAACAGTCACGTTTCTGCCATCATGGTGCTTGCAGTCCACAGAGGAGAGCAACAATAAACAAATAAAAAATAATATGACATAATTTTAAGATATAATAAATGCTTTGAAAAAAATACAGTAAAATAAGAATATATATAGGGATTGGTGGTCAGGGAAGGCACCTCTGATTAGGAAGCACTGAGCAGACAAGTGAATGATGTGGAAGAGTGATGGACAGGAACACCCAGGAGAACAAATTTCCTGGCAAAAAAATAACGATCATAAAGGCGCTGATCAAACTCGGTCTATCAACAGGATCAAGCTCAGTCTATCCCAGGAATAGCATCAACAACTGCATGGATGAAGGCCAGAGAATTAGGGATAGAAAGAGGAGGCAAGGATCAAATCATGTAGGACTTTATGGGAAGTCATGGGGGGATTTTGCCAGGAGTGACAAAATCATAGGGGCTGCCATACAGACTTAAGAGGGAGGGTAGGAGAAGAAAAGAACCAGTTAGGAAGCTGTTGAAGTAGCCAAAGAAAGAGGTGATGGTGGTTTGCACTAAAGATGAGTGGGGATGGTCATAGTGGTTGAAAATTGTTGAATTTAAGATTGTAATTTTCAATGGATAAAGAAAGCATGGTAAACATACATAGTGGAATATTATTCAGCCATAAAAAAGAAGGAAATCTTGTCATTTGCAACAACATGGATAGAACTGGAGGTCATGATGTTATGTGAAATAAGCCAGGCACAGAAAGACAAATATTGCATGTTCTCACTCATATGTGGGAGCTAAAATTTAAAATTTGAACTCATAGAGATAGAGTAGAATGATGGTTACCAGAGGCCGGGAAGGATAGCGGGGAGTGGGGGATAAAGTGGAGATGGTTAATGGCTGCAAAAACTCAATTAGATAGAATGAGTAAGATTTAACATTTGATAGCACAATAGAATGACTACAGTAAATAATAATTTATTATATATTTTTAAATAACTGAAAGAGTAGAATTGGAATGTTCCTAACACAAAAAAAAGATAAATACTTTTGATTATGGATACTCCAATTACCCTAATGTGATCATTATACATTGTATGTCTGTTTCAAAACATCATATTTTGATAAATATAAGCAACCATTTTGTACTCACAATTAAAATTTTTTTAATTAATGTTTAAAAAGATTGCAATTTTCAGAAGATCATGAATGTTTCCCATTAGTACTCCCTATATATTAGATGCAAATAGGATTTTCCTAGTGTAGAAATAATAATAATATGAAAATCATTTCTATAAATCCATCTGGGAGTAGAATACTAAATTTAAATTTTGAAAGATTTTTATTATTTAGAAAAATCACTGTTCCTGCATATCAGCATAAAAGTACTTTTATCCCAATTGAAAAATGACCAGAAGACATGAACAGAAATTTCAAAACAAAAGAAACATATGTGACCAGTAAACATGAAAGGGATGTTCAACCATATTACTAAGTGTGGAAATGCAAATCAAAACACAGTGAGATACAAGTGAAACTGACATGCCTGACAAAAATTTAAAAGTCCAATAATGCCAAGTTACTGGCATTGGACATGGAGAAAAATGGAGGGGATGTGGATCTACAAATTGTACTCTGCTGGTAGAAATGTAAAATTAGTATGTTTTGGAAGATAATTTGCATTATCTTGTGATGTCAAGTATTCACCTACTCTATGAGCAATTTCCATCTCGATATATACGCAAAAGAAACTCTCACACAGGTATACCCTGTGATATGTACAATAATATTGCTACATCACTATTTAAATATGAAAAACCTAAAAACAACATAAGGGCTCATCAACAGGAGAACAGTTACATAAACTGTGGGATACTCACACTTTTAAAAACAAAAGCAAGGAAATTGTGAATACAGGATTCCGGGAGGTGGCTGAGCTCCTTGGGTGGAGTGAGGTATGAGGATGAGAAAGGGAAGGACTATAGAGTTAGATGTAAAATATTGTCGATGTCCTAGTTTTTGTACTAGGTGGTGGACTCATGGTTGTCTAATTAAAATAATTAAATAAATGAGATCATAAATGGACCAATGATGAAAGTGTATGGAACCAAGGATTATGGTTAATCAGAGGTCCTGAGGTCAATTAAAGAAATGAAAGAAAGGAACAGAAAGGGAAGGGAAAGGAAGGAAATAAATCATTATCAATTACCATTTCTTCTGTGGTCTTGACCCCAAATGAATGAGTCTCATGGGCTACATGACCACCCCTCACCCTTTGCAAGTCACTGGGCTGACACATCTGATAAGCCAATGGTACAAACGTCTCCATAGGTGCCAACACACTTTGCCTCCTGAATAACATGGCCAGCCCTTCTTACTGTCCTTAGCCAGTGGTCCAGCAATTTGCCTGTGGAAAGTTCTGTGCTCTGGCAGGCCTCTGGGGGTAGCATTTGAGATCAGGACGGGTTTTTCTTCAGGATATTTCTTCACCTGGATCTTTGCATTAACGGTTGTGAATCATTTACAGTACATTTTGCAGAGCCTTTATCTTGAGCAGTGTTCCACTTCAGGCTGAAGTTGAATTTCACTTTCTGAGGGTCAAGTCCTTTCTTCACTCTCCTATCTGTCTCTAAACTTATGTCATCTGTATCCACAGCACTATTCCTAGGCCTCCAAGGTGTCTCCTCAAAGACTGGCTGACCCACTTTCCAGATGGAGCCAACATCATCCTCTGTCTCATCCATAAATCATGAACAGAAGGCCCAGGAAATGAGAAGCGGAGTCCCCACTGGGAGAGTAGCAGAGCTTCCAGCATGAGGCCCACAACGAGATCACAGAAGCACAGCAGAATTCTCCAGAAAGCCAGTTGTGATCAATGGCAGCACAGCCTGGTCCCACAGGAAATGTTCCTGGATTTTAAAACACAAATAAACAGTAATGCAGAAATTAGAGAAGATGTATCATTTACCAAATTTAATCTGGCACATTTAATAATACATTATGATAATTATGGCACCTGAAAGCTAGATATAAATACTCATTCATTTGCAATTCATTGGCAATAATAGTTATTTCTGAGATTCCCTCAGACCAATGATGGTAAAGAGAAAAGATAAAGTTAATGAGCTTCTCCTCTGAGAGAAGGAGGTCACAGGCCACTCTTCCGGTCGTCATTCCCTATAAAGGATTAAAGGTATGAGCTCAGGGAAGGATGACTTCCCCCAGTACTTTCTTGAAGTTCTTTTGGAAGAAGAAATAGTTAGATACCCTAGAGAGTCTGATTTTGGTGTTCATTTAGAAGTCAAAGGCATGAGGTCAGACCTTGGTCTCATAATAGATTAGCAGCAAGAGAAATTATTACTGTGGGTTTTGTTTTTGTATTTATTTATTTATTTAGACATCAAGAAACTGTGAAACTGAGCAGCCCTTCAGTAGGAGCTGGTAGGAAAGGCAGCTTGATATGTAAGCAATCTAGAAAAACAGCTGTACTTTCAGTAATTAATAAAATTTAGTCCAAGTATTTGCCTAAGACTTTTGCTTTTTAGTACTCATACTTTTTACTACTCATTCCAAGTAAATTAAGAATTGAAGTCGGAAGGGCCAGATCACAGAATGTCTCTTAAATATAGGCAAATGATTCTAGATTTTATACAGTAATTCCTTGATCACTAATAAGTTTGTCTCTAATATTGACCCAAAGGTGAGGAAAAGAGTAGTTCTCAGACAAAAAAATGCCCAGGAATAGGTGTCAACATAGCCGAATGACTTGTGAATTAGTGAATTCCTACAAGCCAGGACAGAGCTTTTGAAAATTATAATAAAGTTATTTTCCTCTCCAGTTTTTTGGCATTGTATTACAATGTCTAGGAAGGAAGCTAGGTTTCCCCACCCTCACATATACTCCCTTCTATGAAGAAGGCAGATATAGGACAAGGACCAGGACAGTACTGGACCATAGCACTAAGGGGTAGGCTTTTAGGCATTAAGAGTGCGGAAGATAAAATTTAAAAATCAATCCATCTTAATCAATAAAACATCTTACCTCTGCATAGTATACCTACCTGAATTCCTTTTTTGGAATCTTTTTCCTTATTTAAACTTGTCATTTGAGCAGCTGAAGTAAAAATATGGGCCAGGACCCTCTTCTTAGTGAGAAAATCACTTCCTACCTTCACCCCAACAACATCGTCACTAAAACAAATCAATAAAAACAGCCTCCAATCAAAGGTCAAAGGAAACCAGAGGGAGCTAAGGGAAAATGCACCATTAAGTGGGCAGTTCAGCCTGGTCATTCTAGCTCTTCCTTCTAAGAGCTTTAGTTTTAATTCATAAATTATCTCTTCCTGGTTTGGTTTGGCTTTTGTGTTTTTTTTCTTGCCATAAAAGTGATAAGGCATGAAATTCCAAGTTTAGGGTGTGAGCCTGGGGGAAAAATTGCCAAGAAAACTATTTGGTTGCCTTCAGGCTAGGCTTCTAAGTCTTAGGGGCAAAAAAAAAAAAAAGAAAAAAAAATTCGTTGCTACTGCTCCTAGCTGAACGCACTAGACAGAGGGGCCATGTCCAAGTTGGAGTCGAAATTCTAACAATTAACAATATGTGTGACTTGGGGGTGGTTTTCACCTCCTACACACAAAGCTGAATGAGGACCCCATTCAGTCTGGCTGGCCACATTCTTTATGACCAAGACTGATTCATACCTCCCACTGCCATTGGATGGCTGTGAGGTGGCATGCAGGAGTCTTGCCTGTTACTGGGCAGGTTAGGCTAGGCACATGCCCTCTGAGCCTGGGCTGGGCAGATCTCTCATACCAGGTACTCTGCAACTCAGAAGGACCACAGGGAACACAGGGGAACCATGTGAGGACACAGTCAAACACAGGAGTAGGGGACCAAGACCATGCATCCATCCTGAATGGTTTTTTTGTTTTTTTTTTTGAGATGGAGTCTCACTCTGTTGCCCAGGCTGGAGTGCAGTGGCGCAATCTCGCTTCACCGCAACCTCCACTTCCGGAAGGGTTCAAGCAATTCTCCTCCCTCAGCCTCCTAAGTAGCTGGGACTACAGGCACCTGCCACTATGCTCAGCTAATTTTTGTATTTTTAGTAGAGATAGGGTTTTATCATGTTGGCCAAGCTGGTCTTGAACTCCTGACCTCAGGTGATCCACCCATCTCAGTTTCCCAAAGTGCTGGGATTACAGGCATGAGCCACTGTGCCCGTTCTGTTCCTGTTCAATGCAAACAGTGCTTTTTCTTGAGGTCTGACCACTGGACAACAAGAGTCAAGTGCCAGTCACCAAGATTTTGAAACTCCAAATTTGTTTTTGTTTTTGTTTTTGCTTTTTGTTTTCGAATCATTGTAAGCAAAAATCTCAGTTAACAAACTCGGATATATATGGAGTATGGTTTTAAATACTCTAGAAGCTAAATTTTTACTTTAATACTTCATCTGAATGAGCAAATCAGAAATTCAGCCTCAACCACTCTGGAAAGATCTGCCTGCCCTATACCAGACTGGACTAGGGTTCTTGGGCCTCACATGGTGGCAAGGCATGGGGTCATAGTCATCAGGATCTAGCCATGCTGTTTACCACTAAGATATAAACTGCCCTTGATTGTATAGACCGAGACCCAGTGGTTCTTCGATGCATGCCAGGCCATTCATGGGCCACAGGAATCTCTGTCCCGTGCAAAGCTGAACTCTGAGGTGCCTGTAACCTAGGATTGCCAGATTTAGCAAAAACCAAACAAACAAACACCCAGGATGTCCAGTTAAATTTGGATTTCAGATAAATAAATAATACTTTAGCATAAATATGTTGCATGAAATATTTGGGACATACTAAACAATTATTCATTATTGGCCAGGTATGGTGGTTCATGCCTATAATCCCAGCACTTTGGAGAGGTAGGAGGATCACTTGAGGCCAGGAGTTTGAGACTAGCCTCGACAACATAGTGAGATACCATCTCTACAAACAATTTTAACAATTGGAAAAAATTCTTTTTAAATAAAGTATTTTCCAGAAACTTGACAGAGTTAAAAATAAATACATGAATTTAAAAAATTAAACAAATGGCCGGGCATGGTGGCTCACTCCTGTAATCCCAGCACTTTGGGAGGCTGAGGCGGGTGGATCACAAGGTCAGGAGATCAAGATCATCCTGGCCAACGTGGTGAAACCCCGTCTCCACTAAAAATACAAAAATTAGCTAGGCGTAGTGGCACGTGCCTATAATCCCAGCTACTCGGGAGGCTGAGGCAGGAGAATTGCTTGAACCAGGGAGACGGATGTGAGCCGAGATCTCGCCACTGTGCTCCAGCCTAGTGACAGAAAGAGACTCCATCCCCGCCAAAAAAAATTAAATTAAATTATTCAGCATTTATATAAATCTTAATTTTAACTAGACAGCCTGCACTTTATCTGACAGCCCTACTATGATCCCACCTGCCAATATTCTTCTCTAGATCTTGCTGCCTCCCTGAGACACTGTCAGTAAACAAGGCCTGGGTCACTGTTGCTCTGAGATTACAAAACTCTTTTTTTTTTGAGACAGGTTCTCATTCTATTGTTCAGGCTGGAATGCAAAGGTATGATTATAGCTCACTGCAGCCTCAACCTCCTGGGCTCAAGGGACCCTTCCACCTCAACCTCCCGAGTAGTTGGGACCACAGGTACACACCACCATGCCTAGCTAATTTTTAAAAAAAATGTTGGCAGACAGGATCTCCCTGTGTTGCTCAGGCTGGTCTTAAACTCCTGAGCTCAAATGATCCTCCCACCTGGGTCTTTCAAAGTGCTGGGATTATAGGTGTGAGCCACTGCACCTGACTGATTGTGAACCACTTCTAATATGAGACCAGGGGAACTTTCTTGGGGAATTTGTTCTCATTAGGATTAGACTTTTTGAAACAAGGCCAGGAACATCTTGCAGATGATTCTGCTTACTACCTGCCACGTGCCTGCCCTGAGACAATGAATTACCATCCACAAACTTGAAATGAAAGAGTAGAGAAATTAAAGTCTCAAAGTCTCAAAAGATTTGTCTATACTTTATTCTTTCCCTTTAGTTCTCTGTCTGTCTGTCTCTCTCTCTCTCTCTCTCTCTCTCTCCCCCTCCTCCCACTTCTTTCTGCTTTCTTTTTGCAATATCAAAAGAAAATGTTGGAAAAAAGCATTTTTCTTCCAATCAAGAGATTAGGCAGTTCTGAAATTATGAAAGAGATTGTTTTAAAAAATACAATAAGATGTTAGAATCCCAGGAAGCAATGGGTACCTTAGAGCAGAAATATGAAGGGGCAAATATACTCACATCTCCCAAAATCTTTTTTTCTAGATTTATATTTCAAGATAGAAGACTTCTTTCTATACAAGTGTGATCCCATTATAACTGACAATAGAAGTACTAAGAAAATAACGTTGTTGTCTGACAGCTACATATGCTTGTTTTTAAGATGTCTTTTATTTACTTTACATGTGTTTAATTGACTAGATTATTCCAACAAACCCAGGAATTCATTCTAAGGAATGAATGACACAACTACATAAGATATATGTGAAAAGGATGCTCACTACAGCATTGTTTATGACAAAAGTGTGGACCAATTTAAATGTCCTTCAACCTAACATTGGCTAAATAAATTTTGTTATAATTACCTACTACAGCTATTAAGCTGGATATTTTATTCATCATTGTTTCAGAGTTTCTAAAGTAAGAAAATGAAATTAAAAGATCGAAAGAGTTGAAAAGAAGATATAAAATTGCACTTATCCAATGGCAACATAACTGTGTTTGCATAAAATCCAAAACAATCTACATATTAATTATTTGAATTAATAAATGAGTTTAACAAGGTTGCTAGATGCATGTGCAATATACAAAAATTAGTTATATCAATATGCATATTAGATCATATATATCAATATATATTATACCAATATAGTTTAAAGTTGAAATATTTGTTTAAAAAAGTTAGGCTGGGCGCAGTGGCTCACGTCTGTAATCCCAGCACTTTGGGAGGCCGAAGAGGGCGGATCACTTGAGGCCAGGAGTTCAAGACCAGCCTGGCCAATATGGTGAGACCCCATCTCTATAAAAACACACAAAAAAATTGCTGGGCATGGTGGTGCACGCCTGTAGTCCCAGCTACTTGGGGGGCTGAGACAGAAGCATCACTTGGACCCAGGAGGCAGAGGTTGCAATGAGCAAAGAATGCACCACTATACTCCAGCCTGGGTGAATACAGCAAGACTCCATCTCAAAAAAAAAAAAAAAAGAAAGAAAAAGAAAAAAAAGTTTACAGCGGTGTCAAAAAAGATTTGCAAAGACTGCACAGAAAACTATAAAATATTATTTAGTGAAATTAAAAGAGACCAAATAAGGGAAGAATAGATGATGTTGATAAAATACAAGACTCAATACTGCAAAAGTGTCTACTTTCTTCTGATTGAATCTATACTTTTAATGTAAGCCCATCTAAAAACCCAGCAGATGTTTTTATGCCTGATGATTTTGGGACTTAAATGGAAATGCAAAGAGCCTCACATAGCCAAGACAATCTGGAAAAAAAAAAATGTCCTTAAACTCCCAGATATTGACACCTTTGGTAAAGCTGCAGTAATTAAGACATGTGGTATTGGCTCAACGATTGTCAAAGAAACCAAGAAAACAGAATAGAGTTCAAAATCAGACCCAGGTATATGGTCACTTGATCTGCGACAAAGGCGGCTCTGCAGAACAGTGGGAATAGGATAATCTTTTCAATACGTGATTCTTAGTCCACTGAATTACATAGATCCACCTTCAGCAGTGAGGCACTCATTTTCCCAGTTGCTGGAAAAGTGGGCTGCAGATGGCTTGGAGCTGCATCCCTTTCTGGAACTTCTCTTAGCTGAAGAAAACTGCTTCATCCAGCATGATACTCTCTCCCTGAGGGTAGCCCGTATCCAAGAACTGTCTGATGCATAGGTTCAAAGTCCTGGCCTCTTGCCTAGATTGGTCTCTGAAGGACACTTCTGGCTCAAGATCTCCCCTTGGGACTAGTTTAGGTCACTGTTGCAATGGTATCACTACAGCTTAACTTCTCCCTCCATCCTTCTGGGGTAAGTGCCAATTCTGTTTCCTTCACTCCCTGTTAGGTTCTGCCTGAGAGTTTTACCCCAGTAAAACTGCACACAAATCTCAATGTTCCAGATTCTGTTTCCCGGGAATCTTGACCTGAAACACTTAGAGAAAAGATTAGCCTTGACCCCAGCTCATACCTTACATACAACCACTTCTAGTCCAGAGGTTATCTAAAAGTAAATGATAAAACCATAAAGTTTCTAAGAGAGCTTCTGACATGGCAGAATCTTTATGACTTTGGAGTAGAAAATAAAACGTTCTTAAACAGGACACAGAAGCACTAACCATGAAAGAAGAGACTGATAAATGCAACTACATTAAAACTTAACAAATTTTATGAAAGGATACCACTAAGAGTGAAAAAGACTAGCCATGGAATAGGGGAAGATATGCGCAATATCTATAATCTACAAAGGACCTGTATCCCAAATATAAAAAGAAAGACCAAAAAAAAAAAAAAGGTAGACAACCCAATAGAGAAAACAGCAAGAGATTTGAACAGGCATTTCTCCCAAAAGGATATCATAATGGCCATGTGAAAGGGAATCTAAACATATTAGTACTCAGAGAAAAGCAAATTAAAACCACAGTAAAATACTCAAACCCACCAGAATCACAAGACTGACAGTACCAAGTGTTGATGAGAATGTTGAGCAACTGGAATGCTCTGACACAGTTTGTGGAGACTTGTTTGACATAATCTATTAAAATTGAGTGTGTGCATTGCTATAGATTGAATGTTTGTGTTGCTATAAAATCCTTATGTTGAAATCCTAACCCCCAATATGATGGTATTAGGAGATGAGGACTTTGGGAGGTGATTGGTCATGAGTGCACAGCCCTCATGAATGGGATTAATGCCCTTATAAAAGACACCCCAGAGAGTTCTCTTGCCCCTTCCAGCAAGTGAAGTTACTGTCAAAAGACCCTGTCTATGAACAAAGAAGTGGGCTCTCAGTAGACGCTAAATCTGTTCATGCCTTGAACTTGGACTTCACAGCCTTCAGAACAGTGAGAAAGAAATTTCTGTTGTTGTGTTGATAAACCACCTCATCTATGGTATTCTGTTGTAGCAGCCTGAATGAACTAAGGCATGCATGTATGCCAGTTTTAGGAATGTTCTCAACAGAAATGAGTATATGCATACACCAAAACACTTGCATAAAAATGTTCATCTCCCATGCAAAGCTGAGCTCTATGACTGAGTACTTTCATTCTTGATATATACCTGAAAGAAACTCTTTTTTTTTTTTTTTTTTTTTGAGATGGAGTCTTGCTCTGTCACCCAGGCTGGAGTGCAGTGGTGCTATCTTGGCTCACTGCAAGTTCTGCCACCTGGGTTCACGCCATTCTCCTGCCTCAGCCTCCCAAGTAGCTGGGACTACAGGCACCTGCCACTGCGCCCAGCTAATTTTTTGTATTTTTAGTAGAGACAGGGTTTCACCGTGTTAGCCAGGATGGTCTCGATCTCTTGACCTCGTGATCCACCCACCTCAGCCTCGAAAGAAACTCTTGCACATGTATACCCTGTGATATGTACAAGAATGTTAATAACATTACTATTTAAATAGCAAAAACCTGAAAACAACCTAAGACTCATCAACAGGAGAACAGTTAAATAAACTGTGGGATACTCACACTTATAAAAACAAAAGCAAGGAAATTATAAACACAGGATTCAGGGAGGTGGCTGAGCTCCTTGGGTGGGGTAAGGTATGAGGATGGGATAGCAAAGTATCATAAAGCCAGATATAAAATATTGTCAATGTCCTAGTTTTGTAATGTTGTCCTAGTATTATTCATAATAGCAAAAAATGGAATAGTCTAAATTCCTGTTACTTTTTATAGTAAATAGATGACCAGGCACAGTGGCTCATGCCTGTAATTTTAGCACTTTGAGAGGCTGAGGCAAGTGGATCAGTTGAGGTCAGGAGTTCGAAACCAGCCTGGCCAACATGGAAAACCCCATCTCTACTAAAAATACAAAAATTAGCTGGGTGTGTTGGCAGGTGCCTATAATTCCAGCTACTCAGGAGGCTGAGGCAGGAGAATTGCCTGAACCTGGGAGGCAGGGTTTGCAGTGAGCCAACCAAGATCATGCCCCTGCACTTCAGCCTGGGCGACAGGGCGAGACTCTGTCTCAAAAAAAAAAATTAGAGTCAAAATATATAAAGAGGAATGAAGAAACACCTGAGAAGCAATCAGATTATGCTGAAGCAGAGGGCCTAGAAATTGGAACAGCCTTGAGTGACAGAATGGTGGTGGGAATTAAATTAAAATTGTAGCTATGGTGTCTCAAACAAGAAGTTGGTTAATGGGTACAAAAATATAATTAGATAAAAGGAATGAATTATAGTATTCAATAGCACAGTAAGGAAATTATAGTTAACAATAATTTATTGTATATTTCAAAATAGCTAGAAGTGTAATGTTCCCACTGCAAAGAAAAGATAAATGTTTAAAATAATAGATATCCCAATTACCCTGATTTGATCATTCCACATTGTATACATGTATGAAAATATTACATGTAGCCCAAAAATATGTACAAGTATATATCTTTCTTGTTGTATTTTGTTTTTATATTTATACTTTTCCCTCAGGATCTAATATTGACTTTTAGAAATACAAAAATAATAAATACGCATTTTAAAAGAAATAATTAGGCCAGGCATGGCAGCTCATGCTTGTAATTCCAGTGCTTTGGGAGGCCAAGGCAGGAGGATTGCTTGAGGCCAGGAGTTTGAGACCAGCCTGGGCAACATGGCAAGAGCCCATCTCTACAAAATAAAAAAAAAAAGTTAGCCAGGCATGGCGATGTATGTCTGTGGTCCCAGCTACCCAGGAGGATGAATCAGGAGGATTGCTTGAGCCCAGGAGGTCAAGACTGAAGTAAGCCATGTTGGCACCACTGCACTCCCACCTGGGAAACAAAGCAAGACCCTGTCTCAACAAAAAAAAAAAAAAGAGAGAGAGAGAGATAGAGAGAGATAAGTAATTATTACTTTGTTTATAGTCAAAATTCATATAATTCATCCCTTTCCTCTAACAAGGATATTAGTTTATGAGTTAAAATAAGCTGAAAGTGAATGAAGTAGTATATCCTTTAGGGAGCAGCTCCCCATCAGATCTCTACTCCCCTTATTCAGTGCAGTAGCAGCACACCACCTCACTGGCACCACTTTCCCCAGCCTGGTAGCAGGCAGCTTTCCTGTGTACAAGCCTGTGATGATTAATTTTATGTGTCAGCTTGGCTGGACCATGGTGCCCAGATATTTGGTCAAGCATTATTCTTGAGGAGGTGATTTTTTGGATGAGACTAATATTAAAATTGGTAGACTTTGAGTAAAGCAGATTGCTCTTCAAAATGTGGGTGGGCCACATCCAACCAGTTGACGGCCTGAATAGAACAAAGACTGACTTTCCCCAAGCAAGAAGGAATTCTCCAACTGCCCTGGAGCTCAAACTGCAACTACTCCCTGAGTCTCCAGCCTGCTAACATACCTGCAGATTTTGGACTCACTAAGCTTCCACAAATGCATCAGCCAATTCCTTAAAACAAATTTCAATCTCTCTCTGTCATCTCTCTCTCTCTCTCTCTCTCTCTCTCTCTCACACACACACACACACACACACACACACACACACACATCTACACATATCCTCTTAATTCTGTTTTTCTGGAAAACTCTAGCTAATACAAGGCTTACTACCTGGGAAAAGTCAATTTCCCCACCTGAATAAGCCTGGCATGAATTTTCCTGACTTCATTGTATTCCTAGTTCTACGTGAAGACTGCCATGCAAATTTCTCTATTCTCTCTGATGCTCATAATCTTAAACATGACCGCTCTCTCAGTCTCTAAAACACCACGATTTTTTCTGTGTGTTTACAGGGAATAAACTGAAGACAATCTACATTTTTTTTTTTGCAAGAAATGGGTACCTGTGTCAAGTTCTGGTCCTTTGCTGTGCTTTTGTGTCTGCTCTGACATTTGGATCTCCTCTGGGCAGGCTTGCCCCAGCTCAAGTGTCCTCTGACATGCTTCAGTTCCTTCAGGATCTATTTAATTCTATTAATTTTTATTCAACAGATTGAAATCTCCACAAACTAAACCCTTCTCTTTAATGTGAAAGCATTTCAAATTTCAATTTTTTTTTTAATAGAACCACATTCCCCAAGGTCAGTCTTGCTCAGCTCTGCTACTGAACAAGACTGATAGCCTAAGGTTACAGTTTCTTCCCTCTGGCTAACTCCAAGAAATCCTTTCCAACCCTAAGGTTGATTCACTACCTTATCATTCTCTAGCTCAGAATTACCCGAAGGGCTTGTACAAACATAAATTGCGGGCCCCACTCCCAGAATTTGAGTCAGTAGGTCTCAGGTGAGGCCTGGGAGGCCCTCCAAGAGGAAGATGATGCAGTGGATCCAGGGGCCACACTTTGAGAACCACTGCTCTAGCTCTGATTTCTGAATTGCTATCCCTGCACCTGTTCCTGCATTGACTCTCTTTCATCTTCAAATAATTTTTTTAAGAGACAGGGCCTCACTTTGTTACCCAGGCTGAAGGGCAGTGGTGTGATCATAACTCACTGCAGCCTCCATCTCCGGGGCTCAAGCAATCTTCCTGCCTCAGCCTCCCAAGTAGCTGGGACTACAGAAGCAGGTCATCACGCCTGGCTAATTTTTGTATTTTTTCGTAGGGGCAGGGTCTTCTGTGTTGCCTAGGCTGGTCTCAAACTCCTGGCCTCAAGTGATCCTCCCATCTTGGCTTCCAAAACACTGGGAGTGCAGGCATGAGCCACCACATCTGGTCCTTCCAAATCTTTTAGAGATATTATTTCTGCTGGTTTAGGATGAAACTCGGAATGGGGAAATGGACTGGAAGCTTTCCACTACAGAGATAGGCCAACGATAGAGGGAATTCAACATCATAACCATTTCTTTTGAGTGACTAAGCACTTGGAGAGGAAAGATTAGAAAGAGAATAAGTTTCTGCTCTCAAGAAACTTAAGATTTATTAAGGGGAAAGGCCTGCACAGAGATAACTATAATATGAAGCAGAATATATTGTAATAAGTGTTAAAAAGGCCATGGGACAATGAGGAACACTGTTGGTGCCCCAAGCTTATCCCCAAGGCCTGTCCCAGACGTCAAGGTCAAAACTTGTTCTCAGATTTGTGCAAGTGCAGCTCAGCAAGTCCACAATCCTTAAATTGTGCCTAGGGTGACTTGTTTCCCACAAGCCCTGGTCCTGACAGAGGTCACGACAGAGAGTTCCAGTATGCCCTAATGGGTTCCAGCATTTCTCTGCATAGGGACATTCTCAGCCACGGGAGCCTGCTGAGGAACAACCCGTCGGATTAGGGGCCCACTCTCTTTTACTCTATAGGTTAAAAGTTCTTTAAAGGCCCTATCTTCAAATATAGTTACATTGGAACTTAAGGCTTCCATATACAAATTTGAAGGGGCCACATTTCAGTCCATAACAATAATGTTACATGCTACTGTGAGATACAGGGAGAACAAAATTTGAGTGAATGGGGACCGGGCACGGTGGCTCACGCCTGTAATCCCAGCACTTTGGGAGGCTGAGGCAGGCGGATCACTGGAGGTCAGGAGTTCGAGACCAGCCTGGCCAACATGATGAAACCCCATCTCTACTAAAAATATGAAAATTAGCCAGGCGTGGTGGTGGGTGCCTATAAACCCACCTACTCGGGAGGCTAAGGCAGGAGAATCGCTTGAACCTGGGAGGAAGAAGATCAGTGAGCCGAGACATTGCACCACTTCACTGCAGGCTGGGTGGCAGAGCAAGACTTCATCTCAAAAAAAAAAAAAAAAAAAAATTGGGTGAATGGGGAGACTTTGGATACGATAGCTGTAGACATTTTGGCTTTAGACCTTCTGATGGTTAATATTGAGTGTCAACTTGATTGGATTGAAGGATGCAAAGTAATGTTCCTGGGTGTGTCTGTGAGGATGTTGCCAAAGGAGATTAACATTTGAGTCAATGGACTGGGAGAGGCAGACCCACCCTCAATCTGGGTGGGCACCATCTAATCAGCTGCCAGCGTGGCTAGGAGAAAAGCAGGCAGAGGAACCTGGAAGGATGAGACTTGCTGGGTCTTCTGGCCTCTATCTTTCTCCCATGCTGGATGCTTCCTGTCCTCAAACATTGGACTCCAAATTCTTCAGCTTTTGGACTCTTGAACTTATACCAGTGGTTTGCCAGGGGTTCTGAGGCCATCTGCCACAGACTGAAGGCTGCACTGTTGGCATCCCTACTTTTGAGGTTTTGGGACTCGGACTGGTTTCCTTGCTTCTCAGCTTACAGACAGCCTATTGTGGGACTTCACCTTGTGATCATGTGGGTCAATTCTCCTTAACAAACTCCCCTTCATATATACAACTATCCTATTAGTCCTGTCACTGTAGAGAACCCTGACCAATACAGACCTGATAGTTGCTTAAATTACAAAAATATCCAATAAAACATTCTGCAATAATGAATATGTTCTCCATCAGCATTGTCCGTTGTGGTAGCCACCGGTCACATGCGGCCATTGAGCATTTCAAAGTGGCTAGTGAGACTGAGGGAGGGAATTTTTAATCATATATACTTTTAATTAAATTTAAATTAAATTGTATTGGGCAGCACAAGTTACAGCTATAGGAACTTTAGGCAAAGGAAGGAGGTTCCGCCAACAGTTAGTCCTTCCAGGCCTTAGACTGGAGACTAAAGTCTTAGACTGTAGATCTACTTTAAACCACCTTTTCTGACAGATAGAAAAGCAAAGCTCTGAAGAGGTGTCTTTTCTAGATTAACACAGCTGGCTACTACAGATCCTTCATAAGGGCTTGAGTATTTTAATGGCAGTGGCCTTGCAACCGGGACTGTTTCGCAGGCAGCTGAAGATGTGTCACACGCATTTAGAGAAATTGTCAAGGACAGAGATAAATGCTCTGGAGTCATCCCGTGGATGGAGTGATGGTTGCAGCCGTGAATGTAGATACAACCTAGGAAGAGAAGAGCGTGGGGCTCTGTATCAAGCCTTAAGAGATACTCGCACCTACATAGAAGGAAAATAAAACAAATCAGACCAGGCGCGGTGGCTCACGTCTGTAATCCCAACACTTTGGGAGGCCAAGGTGGGTGGATTGCTTGAGGTCAGGAGTTCAAGACCAGCCTGGCCAACATGGTGAAACCCTGTCTCTACTAAAAATACAAAAATTAGCTGGGCGTGGTGGGCGCCTGTAATCCCAGCTACCTGGGAAGCTGAGGCAGGAGAATTGCTTGAACCTGGGAGGCAGAGGTTGCAGGGAGCTGAGATCATGCCTGCACTCCAGCCTGGGTGACAGAGCAAGACTCCGTCTCAAAAAACAAAAAAGAATAAAATAAATAAAATAGAGAAAATTATTTTTAAAAATCAGAAAAGGAACAAGCTTTGCCTCTGTCAAATGTATACCAATAATCAGATAGCTCCAGAGTTGCCGCCACCTCACACTTTTAAAATTCATCTCTGAGTGAAAGGCACAATGATAAAAAGTGGGAGCCCTTGCTGGCTTCATGTTCCATCTTTACCATCTATTAGCTGGGTGGCCAGAGTGAAGCACACAACCTCTCTATGCTTTCCTTATGTCAACAAGACATCTACACCCCCATGTTTATTGCAGTAGTAGTCACAACAGCCAAGATATAGAATCAACTCAGGTGTCCAACAACAAATGATACAATAAAGGAAATGTGGTGTATACACAATGGAATACTACTCGGCCATAAAAAAGAATGAGGTCCTGTCAGTTGCTACAGTTTGGATAAAACTGGAGGACATTATGTTAAGTGAAATAAGGCAGGAGCAGAAAGTTAAATACTGCATGTACTCACTCATAGTGGAAGCTAAAAAAAGTTGATCTCATAGAAGTAAGAAAAGAATACCAGAGGCGTGGAAGGGTAGGGGAAAGAAAGGGATAGGGAGAGATTTATCAAAGGATACAAGATTACCACTAGAAAGGAGGAATAAGTTCTAGTGTTCTATTCCATTGTAGGATGACTATGGTTAACAGTAAAATATTATGCAGTTTCAAATAGCTAGAAGGAGGCTGTTGAATGCTCCCAACACAAAGAATTACTATGTACCCCATCAATATGTACAATTATTATTTGTCAATTTAAAATGTTTTAAGATTTTTTTTAAATGGAGGTAATGACAAGGCCTACTTCAGAAAACTGTTAAGATTGAGGTAACAAATAAAATGCCAGCAAAACCCTGGCGTATCATATACATTCTTTATTTTTTCTTTTCATTTCTTTTTCTTTCTTTCTTTCTTTTCGTTTTTGTTTTTGTTTTCTGTCATTGTTAAAATAGAGACGAGGTCTCCCTATATTGTCCAGGCTGGTCTTGAACTCCTGAATTCAAGCAAGCTTTCTGTCTCAATCTCCCAAAGTGCTGAGATTACAGGCATGAGCCGCCACACCCAGCTACAGTCTTTAAACTTTATTTAAAACATAGAAGTTACCATGTCCTTAATCTCATTCGTCTACCCGTGTCCCTGATCGGGAATAATAGCATTGCCCTTCACCTAGTCAATATTTTGAGAACCCTGAGTCCATCTTTGATTCCTTCTTCTTCTTCATTCTCCATATACAGTAATTCACTGAGTGTTATTGATTCTAGCTCCACACTGTGTTTTAAATACGGTGACTTCTCCCCGTGACCTCTGCTGCTGCTCTCACTCAACTTCCCAGCACTGTCACCTGGACCACGGTCACGATGGACTTTCCACCAAAAGCGTCACCACTACCAATGTGTTTGTTACATTCACCCATTCTCAACACCATCTCCAGGGTGGTATGCATAAGCCACAGGTCATTTTGCATCCATCCCCCTCTGGCAGTTTCTTTTTACAGACAGGATTAAGTGGAGACCCCTCAATATGGCATTCAAAGCCCTTCACAACCTGGCCCTAACCTATCTCTCCATTTGGAGTCTGTTTTTATATTTCACCTTTTACTTTGAACCAATAATACCTAAATAGGAATCAAGACATTTAAAAATTTCATATGAACAATTGTCTTATGACTGCATGTGGACCTGATAGATGGAAGCAGACTTTCTATTTGCCTCTATAGGGGAAAATGCTCAATTCTTTATTAAACCTTCCAGAGAGAGGCCGGTGCAGTGGCTCACGCCTGTAATCCCAGCACGTTGGGAGAGCAAGGAGGGTGGATCACCTAAGGTCAGGAGTTCGAGACCAGCCTGGCCAACATGGTGAAACCCCGTCTCTACTAAAAATACAAAAATTAGCTGGGCATGGTGGCACATGCCTGTAATCCCAGCTACTCGGGAGGCTGAGGCAGGAGAATCTCTTTAACCCAGGAGGCGGAGGTTGCAGTGAGCCAGGATCACACCACTACACTCCAGCCTGGGTGACAAAACAAGATTTTGTCTCAAAAAAAAAAAAATTCAGAGAGATTCCTCATGAGTACTTCCTGTAAGTAGGGGGATCCCAAGACAGGTGTAAATCCCTTATTTACACCTGTTGATCCTGTATAATTTTTAAGAGTTCCTCCATGTGGAGATAAAAGTGATTCCATCTTTTTTTTTTTTTTGAGGCAGAGTTTTACTCTGTTGCCACGTTGAGTTCGGTGGCACTATCTCAGCTCATTGCAACCTCCTCCTCCTGGTTTCAAGCTATTCTCCTGCCTTAGCCTCCCAAGTAGCTGGGATTACAGGTGCACACCACCATGCCCAGCTAATTTTTGTATTTTTAGTAGAAACAGGGTTTCACCATGTTGGTCAGGCTGGTCTCAAACTCCCAACCTCAGGTGATCCACCCACCTCGGCCTCCCAAAGTGCTGGGATTACAGGCATGAGCCACCGCACCCAGCCGTTGACTCCATCTTAGAGGCTAATCTCCCATGTTGACTTCTGATTATTTCCCGGCTGCATGAACGCCTCCTGATTCATCCTTTATTTACTATCCCTATTGTAAGAACAAATCTACCTTAATGTTATCACACAAATTATAAGTTATGGCACACAGTATAGCATTCTTGCCTGTACTGAAGAGTTGCTTTGCCTTGTCTTGCTGGAGCACAGATACCCTTTCCCTAGAGATATAAGCCCTGGATCTGGGGAATAACAGTGCAGAGGGCCACCTGTCCTGTGGTCACCCAAGACCACACTTGTGTCTGTCAGTTCCCCAATAAAACACCTTTAAGAACACACTGGACTGATGTGCCTCCTTCTTTGGTTTCTCAGCTCCTTTGGCATTTAGGAGTTGCTTTGTATATATGGTCTTTTCATGGAACACCCCATTTTTCATTCTCAAAAGTGTTCTGCTTTGGGCAATATGTTACATAGTTGCCTAGAACTCCCCCTTGCCAAAATAAGTCAATCTGAAGACGTGAAGGACAGTCCCAGAATGAGCGTTCCTATTCTTCCCACCCAGTTGGTTCTGGAAGTCACTCTCCTTTTCTGTCAGCATCTCCTACTTCCTTTTGGAACCCCTTCAGGGCTGCTTAGTCCTTGCTGAAACATCTTTTAAGGTATTGCCTCATATTTTCTCAACTCCTTTATTAAAAAATGCTTCACAGCCCTGTTCACTGAACCTAGCTGATTAGACAAACATAATAGCTGAGAATTGGCTAGATATGCCACTTCCCACAGAGCATGCGTGAATTTTAAAAGGACCTTAAGAGCCCTGACCAAAGGAATGACTAATGGAGGGATTTTAGGAGAGCTGTGTAGGTGTCAGCAGTCGTTGAAGTGATGCATCAGAGGCCAGGGATGGCGTGAGGAACCAGGGATGACGTGAGCCATTGCTCACACTCTGACCGACAGGAGCAGAATGAGGGAGAGAGAGAGATGGAGGTGGGGGACGCTAGGGGAAGCACATAATTAATGGATGACCCTGGAGACTACGAGCAATGTGAAAATTAAAGAAAAGAAAGATTCAGAAAAATTGCAGCTAGGAACTCTCTGGGTATGTATTTGGAAAGTAAACATGAGAAGAAAATTGTCAAGAGAGGTAGAGAATATGCAGGCTACTACAAAGAACCAGCAGTATTCCAGCCAAGCCAAGCCAGGCAGGCACAGTGTAGGGTGCATGGGATGGGACAGCAAGGGGCCTGGCTGTGTGGGGCTCCCACGCTCCCCATCTCTGCTCGGGACCGAGAGATGTTTCAGAGTCTGGGTTGAACAGGAGAACCTTAGGGGGGCAATGGAACGACATCCAGGAAACAATTACATAAGGATGGGATCACTTCCTTCAAAGGGGCAGGAGAATCTCGTGTATCATTAAGAGAGCAAAACAAAGCATTTTTGCGTTTTGTATTAGTGAAGACTTAAAATCATAAAGAAAAAATACAAGGTTTGTGGGGAAGGAGTAAAATAGGTAATCATATACAAATGTAAGATTACAAATAGGGACAAGATTAGGCAATATCTATCAAAAGCTTACAAAAGTTTATATAAAGAAAGCAATCAAAAATATGCAAAAATCAGCAGGATGTGGTGGATCATGCCTATAATCTCAGCACTTTGGGAGGTCGAGGCATATCACTTGAGGTAAGGAGTTTGAGACCAGCCTGTCCAACATGGCGTAACCCTGTCTCTACTAAATATACAAAAAAAAAAAAAAAAAATTAGTCAGGCATAGTTGTGCATGTCTGTAGTCCCAGTTACTCGGGAGGCTGAAGCAAGAGTCCCAGTTACTTGGGAGGCTGAACCCAGGAGGCAGAGGGTGCAATGAGCCGAAATTGCACCACTGCACTCCAGCCTGAGCAACAGAATGAGACTCTGTCTCAAAAAAAAAACATGCAAAATAGTTTTATATAAAGATATTTATTGAGGTGTTACTTATAATCGTGAAAAAATTAGAAAAAAAATAAATATGCAATATTAAAGGATTTATTAAATAAATTATGAGGCATATAATAAAATACGGTATTAAAGATTATAAGAAATATAAGCATGAAGAATATTCATATTATATTTAAATCTAAAAAAATTTATAGAACAGTATTACACATAGATTTCAATTTTTGTCATATTACACATGCATAATAAAAAGTGAGAAAGGTCTGGGCAAGGTGGCTCATGCCTGTAATCCCAGCACTTTGGGAGGCTGAAATGGGAGGATCACTTGAAGCCAGGAGCTCAAGAGCAGCCTGGGCAACAAAGCAAGACCTCCATCTCTACGAAAATAAAATAAAATAAAAAATTAGCCATGGTGGCATGTGCCTGTAGTCCTGGCTACTTGGGAGACTGAGGTGGCAGGATTGCTTGAGCCCAAGATTTCAAGGCTTCAGTGAGCTATGATCACACCACTACACTCCAGGCTGGGTGACAAAGCCAGACCCTGTCTCAAAAACAAACAAACAAGCAACAACAACAACAAACAGTGAGATGGCTTTATATATAGTGTGTGTGTGTGTGTGTGTGTGTATATAAAATACACAATGTGCAATTACACATACCTATATGTACATAGACAGCTATATATATAAAAGATATATATGTTATATATATATCTTTTATATATATAATATATATATTATATACTATATATAATATATATATTATATACTATATATAATATATATTATATACAATATGTATTATAGATATTATATACTATATATTATATATGTTATATATATTATATATTATATATGTTATATATATTATATATTATATATATATAATATATATATGATCTTTGTTTTGCTTTAAACTGAGCTCACCACTATGGCCAAGGTTCTGATATAGATCTTGATTTGCCAAAGTCCCTGTTGGTCCAGGACTTGGCACATGCTATTCCTCTGCCTAGCTACCTAGACTGCTCTCCCACCCATCTCATCCTCCACCCCTAGTGTATTCATCTGTTCTCTTGCTGCTAATAAAGATATTCCTGAGACTGGGTAATTTATAAAGGAAAGAAGTTTAATGGACTCACAGTTCCACATGGCTGGGGAGGCCTCACAATCATGGCAAAAGGTGAAAGAGGAGCAAAGTCACATCTTACATGGTGGCAGGCAAGAGAGCATGTGCAGGAGAGCTCCCCTTTATAAAATCATCAAATTTTTTAAGACTTATTCACTATCATGAGAACAGCACAGGAAAACCTGCACCCATGAGTCAATTACCTCCCACCGGGTCCCTCCCATGACACATGGGGATTATGGGAGCTACAATTCAAGATGAGATTTGAATGGGGACACAGCCAAACCATATCACCTGGTAAAGCTCTAATCATTTTTCAGAAGACAGTTGAAGGATACCTTCTTCATGGAAGTCTTCCCTGATATCTGGCCCTGACCTGATTCCTCCACTATGTGCTGTCTCAGACTAGCTTCCTGTTTCTTCAGAACCCCTCAGTTTGCAGTAATTCACATGTTCATTAGCATAATTATTTTTTCAATGTCTGTCATTCCCACTTGAAAGTAAACTATACCAGAGCCCAGACCATAGTTGTTTTGTTCACTATTGTATCCTCGTGCCTAGCCAGTGCCTGGCACATATTTTTTTGTTCAATAAATATTTGTTGAAAGGATCCATTAATATTTGAATATTCATATTTGAATGAATGAATGAACATCAAGGTTCATCCTAATTTGATAATCTGGAAATTTTCCATATAAAATAGTGCTTAAAACTGGTAGAAACCAATATGAATCCTCCAGGCTTGTTGTGGTTTGGAGTCAAATAACCTTCATCACCCAAGAGTATAGATACCAAACATGCTGCATACATTTATCCACCATCTGTGAATATAGTGTAGAGGTTAAGATCACAGTTTCTAGAGTCAGTGGCCTGGTCAAATATTTACTGTGTGACCATTGACCAGTTAATGAGCAGCTCTGTTTCCCCATCAGATAATAGGACTTTTAATAGTACATATCTCAAGAGGTTGTTGGGAGAATCAAGTTAATACAAATAAATCACAAAGCTTGGCACATGGCCACAGTGTATGGGATCAATAAATGTTAATTATTGTTATTATTACTATTAATTTTTGTGTATAGAATCCTTGGTACTGTAGGATATGTAGGATGCAATGATAAATCAGGCAAGATATTGCCCTTCAAGAGCTTGTTAAGTAGGTGAATGCGTAAGTGTGATGGTTAATTTTATATATCAACTTGACTGGGCCACAAATTAAACATTCCTTCTGGATGTGTCTGTGAAAGTGTTTCCAGATGAGATCCACGTTAATCCCAGCACTTTGAGAGGTCAAGGTGAAAGGATAACTTGAGCCCAAGAGTTCAAGACCAGCCTAGACAAGATATTAAGATCTCCATCTCAGAAATAGGAACACTTTTACACTGCTGGTGGGACTGTAAACTAGTTCAACCATTGTGGAAGACAGTGTGGCGATTCCTCAGGGACCTAGAACTAGAAATACCATTTGACCCAGTCATCCCATTACTGGGTATATACCCAAAGGATTATAAATCATGCTGCTATAAAGACACATGCACACGTATGTTTATTGCGGCACTACTCACAACAGCAAAGACTTGGAACCAACCCAAATGTCCAATGATGATAGACTGGATTAAGAAAATGTGGCACATATACACCATGGAATACTCTGCAGCCACAAAAAAGGATGAGTTCATGTCCTTTGTAGGGACATGGATGAAGTTGGGAACCATCATTCTCAGCAAACTATCGCAAGGACAAAAAGCTAAACACTGCATGTTCTCACTCATAGGTGGGAATTGAACAATGAGAACACGTGGACACAGGAAGGGGAACATCACACACCGGGGCCTGTTGTGGGGTGCGGGGAGGGATAGCATTAGGAGATATCCCATCCCTAATGTAATGATGAGTTAATGGGTGCAGCACACCAACATGGCACATATATACATATGTAACGAACCTGCACGTTGTGCACATGTACCCTAGAACTTAAAGTATAATTAAAAAAAAAAAAATATATATATATATATATGTATGTATATATAAAGATCTCCATCTCAACAAAAAATGATTTTAAAAAAATCAGCTGGATGTGGTGGCTCACAACTGTAGTCTCAGCTACTTGGGAGGCTGAAGAGGGAGGATCACCGGAGCCTGAGAGGTTGAGGTTGCAGTGAGCCATGGTCATGTCACTGCACTGCAGCCTCGACGATAGAGCAAGACCTTGTCTAAAAAAAGCAAAATAAAACATTTAAATCCATGGGCTTAATAATGTACATCACCCTCCCTAATATGGGTGGGCACTATCCAATCTTTGAGGGCTTGAATGGAAGAAAAAGTGGAAGAAGGAGGAATTTGCCTCCTTTCCCCTGCTTTTTTTTCTGTCTCACTGTTGGAGCTGAAATGTTTCATCCCATCTTCTATTGCCCTTAGACTGAAATACCCACCATCAGTTCTCCTGGTTCTCAGGCCTTTTGACTTGAACTGATTGCACAATTGGCTTTCCTGGGTCTACAGCTTGTGGATGGTAGATCATGGGACTTCTCGGCCTCCATAATTATATAAGCCAGTTCCTCATAAGAAATATATATGTGTGTGTGTCTATATATATATAGATAGATACACACACAGATTAAATATATATATATATATATATATATATATATATATATATATATATATATATACAGTAGAGATGAAACAAGAGTGCTAGGAGAATTCAGAGGAGGGAGTAAAGTCCATCCAAGGTTGAATCTTCTGTGGGCATCAGATCAAAGACAAGCTCCCTCAAGGCTGCAGTGAACCATGATCACGCCACTGCACTCTAGCCTGGGCAACAGAGTAAGACTTTGTCTCATTAAATAAATAAATAAATAACTCCAGTATGGTTTAAACAGCAAGATATATCTTGTTTACATTTCAATCACCTCAAACAGATGCTCTTAAAAAAATTAGACAAATTCCCCACCAACCCGGTTAACCACTCTAGCTCATTTGTGCTGTAGCCACAGCAAGAGGAAGCCACAGCTCTGTGCGCATTTTGGAAGGATTCCCACAAAGTAGAGACAATCTCTATGCAGGTTCTCCTGAAAGCTGGCCAAGGAACGTAAACATCAGACTCTGGACAATCCTATTCCCTATACCCGTAGTATTCTGCTGTTCAGCCTGATAGAAATGAAGGACCACTCTTTATCTCATTTGGGAGCAGCAATTATCTGCCAGAATAAGATCACACCAGAGAACATGATTATTACCTAATAAAACATCTTTCCCAATGCAACATTTATCATGACTGAGTAATTTTATGAACCGCTTAGAGAAGTATCACTTCCTTCACCCCAGTAGGAGTCTGTGTATACATTTTCTCTTTCAGTATAGTAATTATCAACAATCATCAAAAGGCCATTGTCATAGAATATTGTTTATAGACAGATTAGCCCCATCAGGCCTTTCTCTGAAATATCCACCATCACCGTCATCATCCTCACCTCCACCTCCCCCCAACATCTTTCTTCCCCCATTGTAGAAAGGCCTGTTAATTCAGGCCTTCAAAAAGTTTACCACACTTCAGTTCTCAGAGTAGATCAACAAAGCAGCATGTGTCAAATGGCGGACAGAAAGGAAAGTCGATCAAATCCAAACACAGCACCATTTAGACTTTAATACACTTATCCACAGTATCTCAAACAAGCATAAAGGAAAATAAGCAGTCTTTGCGATCCATAACTTTCCTGGCTGATAGACTTAAACCACCTTAAATGGAAGACTTGGGATGCTTTTCTACAGTTCTGAGATTAAATAGAATGCATGTATTTAAACAAATAAAATAAAATTGAGAATTCTTGCCTAAGGCCTTTCATGAACTAACTTCCATGCATTAAATGAACTCATTCTTGTATGCAGTCATTCATTTATCAAAATTGTATTGAGGACTTGCTTGTGCTGGTTAGTGTCTAGAGGCAGGGGATACAGCAGAGATCCAGGCAGACACATTTCCTCACTTATAGAAAGGGAGATGGACCAGAAACAAGCAAACAAATACACATGGCACTTGCAGACTTTCTAAGTGTTATCAAGAAATAAGTGGGATGGAATAAGAAGAATAACCTGAAAAGGGAGGGAAGGGGAATAGAAGGGGAAGCTAGAAAAGAGAGAGTAGCCAGTTAAGGCCTCTGTAAGAACATGATGTTTCAGCATGAACCATGCAGAGTGACCTACACAGAGGGAACAAATACAGAAGTTCAGATACGGACAAAAGCTTAACGTGTTAATAATACAGAAAGGGGACTCTAACAATGTCATGCGGTAGTGTGAGGAGGTTGGAGTACTGAGATAAAGTTGTAAGATATGCTAGATTGTGTTTGGATTTTATTTTTAAAATTATTGAAACACCACATACAAAAGTTATCTCAAAATGGGTCAAAGACCTAAATGTAGCAACCAAAACTATAAAACTCTTAGAAGAAAACAATGGGGTAAAGCTTCATGACATTAGATTTGGCAGTGGTTTCTTGGCTATGACACCAAAAGCACTGGCACCAGAAGAAAAAGTAGATAAATTGAACTTCATCAAAATTTGAAGGTTTTATGCATCAACCATACACTATCAACAGAGTAAAAACACAACCCACAGAATAGGAGAAAATATTTGTGAATCATATATCTGATAAGCAGCTTATATCCACAATATGGAAAGAACTCCTAAAACTCAACAAGAAAAAAAGTCCAATTCGTAAATAGGCAAAGGACTTGAATAAATATTTCCCCAAAGAAGACATACAAATGGCCAATAAGCACAAGAAAAGGTCCTCAACATCACTAATCACTACGGAAATGCAAATGAAGACCACAATGAGATATCACTTCATCCATTAGCATGGCTACTATTTCAAAACAAACAGAAAATAACAAGTGTTGGTGAGGATGTGGAGAAATCGGAGCCCTTGTGCCATTGATGGGCAGGAATAAAAAAGTGGTACGGCCACTGTGGACAAATGTATGGTGGTTCTTCAAAAAATTAAACATGGGCTTGATCTAGCATTTCACTTCCTGGTAGGCACCAAAAAGAACTGAAAGCAAGGGCTCAAACAGATACTTGTACACCAGTGTTCCAGCAGCGTTACTCACCAGAGCCAAGGGGTGGAAACAACCCAAATGTCCATCAGCAGATAAATGGATAAACAAAATGCGGTATACATGTACAATGGAAAATTACTCAACCTTAAAAAGAATGAAATTTTGACACATGCTACCACATGGATGAACCTAGAAACATTATGCTAAGTGTAACAAAGCAAATACAAAAGGACAACAGTATATATCTACTTATTTTAGTTACCTAGAATAGGCAAATTTATAGAGACAGAAAGTAGAATGGTGGCTGCCAGGGGCTATGGAAAGGGGAAAATTAGAAGTTGTTTATTGGGTATAGAGTTTCAGTTTGGTAGGACAAGAAAGTTCTGGAGATGGATGGTGTTAATGGTTGCACAAAAACGTGAATGTCCTTAATGCCACTGAATTACACACTTAAAAATTCGATATTTTAAGCAAGGCATGGTGGCACAAGTCTGTAGTCCCAGCTATTTAGGAGGCTGAGGTAGGAGGATTGCTTGAGTGCATGAGTTCAAATCCAGCCTTGGGCAACATAGCAAGACCCTGTCTCAAAAAAATGTGTTATTAAAAATGGTAAATGTTATCTTATATATATTTTGGTACAATAAAAAAGTTATTGGAAGGTATTGAAAAGTTTTAAGCAGGGAATTTTCATAAGTTGTCTTACCTTTTTAAAGATCATTTATGAAGATCATTTATTTGTTTTATGAAGAATAGATATTTTTCACAGGTGGGGAAACAAGATAGAAACAGAAGAACAAGCTGTTCCATGTTAGAAACAAAGGGTTAGTGACAGTGCAGAGTGCATATGGAGTCAAGTGGCCAGATTTGAGATTTTGGATGTAGAGCTACAAAGCTAGAGGATGGACCTGATGTGGGGTGTAAGTAAAAGAATGAAACAAGAATGACACTCAGGTTCTTTGCTGGAGCAATTGAGTGGCACCATTAAAAAGACAGGAGAGGACTGGGCGTGGTGGCTCACACCTGTAACCCCAGCACTTTGGGAGGCCAGGCAGGTGGATCACGAGGTCAGGAGACCGAGACCATCCTGACTAACACAGTGAAACCCTGTCTCTACTAAAAATATAAAAATTAGCCAGGCATGGTTGCGGGTGCCTGTAATCCCAGCTACTCGGGAGGCTGAGGCAGGAGAATCACTTGAATCTGGGAGGCACAGGTTGCAGTGAGGCAAGATCACACCACTGCACTCCAGCCTGGGTGACAGAGCAAGACTCTGTCTCAAAAAAAAATAAAAAGAAAAGAAAGAAAAAATAAAAAGACAGGAGACTCCAGCCAGGGGTGTTTGCTATTCCTTCTGCCTGGATGTTCTTCTCACAAATCTTGGACTCTTTTTTTTAAGATAGGGTCTTGCTCTGTCGCCAAGGCTGGAGTGCAGTGGCGTGATCTCGGCTCACTGCAACCTCCGTCTCTCTGTTTCAGCAGTTCTCCTGCTTCAGCCTCCCGAGTAGCTGGGACGACAAGCACACGCCACCACAACCAGCTAATTTTTGTATTTTTGTAGAGATGGAATTTCGCCATGTTGGCCAGGCTGGTCTTGAACTCCTGGGCTCAAGTGATCCACCCCCCCTTGGCCTTCCAAAGTGCTGGGATTACAGGTGTGAGCCATGGTGCCGGGTCCTTCTCACAAATCTTAATATGTATTTCTCTCTATTATTTAAGTCCTTGCTTAAACACTGCTGCTTCAAAACAGCCTTCCTTGACTACCCTAATCACTCCCCACTATACTCCCAATCCCTCTCTAGTCCCCAAACCCCACACATTCTCCCCATAGCACATCATCAAAAGGATACCATGGTTGTTTGTTTTACATGATTATTTGTGTTTACTCTCCCCACTAGAATATACAAAGGAAGGGACTTTGTCTTCTTCACCTATGCACCCACAGGGCAATAAACATCTGTTTCTTGAATGAATAAATGAGTGCAGTTGGAGGGAGGTCTAAGAATTTGCTGGTAGAAATACAAAGGAGGCCCACTCTTTCCTTGGTCATTTTTCACCCCAAGTTATTGGCTGAGAATTTGTTTGTTTGGGGGTTTTTCTAATTGTAAATTAACAATTTATAACTGTACATATTTATGGAGAACAAAATGATGTTATGATTCACGAATGCCATACGGAAGAATTAAATCAAGCTAATTAACATTTCTATCACCTCAAATACTTATCGCGTTTTGTGGTGAGAACATTTGAAATTTACTGTCTTAACAATTTTGAAATGTACAATACACTATTGTTAACTATATTTACCACTCAGTGCAATAGATCTCAGAAAACACCCTTATTCCTCCTGTCTAGCTGAGATTTTGTACCCATCACCTTCCCACTCCCCCCACAGCCTCCGAAATCACCATTCTACAGCACAGAATTAGTTTGTAAGAGAGGTACATTAAGAGAGAGGAAAGTGAAAGTATAAAAAAGGATTTTGAAGAATGGAAAACTAGAATTGTGTGAAATTAAGTCACCACTTGAGTTTTGTGGTTCCAAATTCAAAGCGAATTTATTCAACAAATATTTGAGTGCCTGCTCTGGGTCAGACCCTGTGCTCTGCTGGTGATTTAACAAGAGAGAAGTCTACCCAAGGGATTTGACTTTATATCACCAAACTTGACCGTGTCATGGGGAGTGTCCTTTCTCCCCAACACCTAGAAAATATGCCAACAGCAGCAACAGGAGTCGAGTTTACATGAGTTCAACTCTCATTTTCAAATTACCTATAAGATGCAAAACATGTATTCAGGACTCTAGGATTACAGAATTATATAATTATACCATATAATACATGCCACTTTCCTCATGGATATTATACTGCAAACTACTTAGGGAAGCCCAATATCTAGATAAGCCAATCTGCATGACCTCCAACTTGAGTCCTTGAACACCAGGGTAAGTTGAGCTAAGACTATTGGGTAAACTCCATCTGTGGATATTCATTGAACTAGTCTTTTGACTTCCTTTTAGCAAGAGTTTTATTTTCTATTTGAAATTGCCCTTCCCCAGGCTCTGATTAGGACTGCACAGGAGAGGAGCCCATGCAGAGGATATGGCCTCTATAGGAAGCACGTTGTAAGAAATAGAAAACTCAACATAAACTGCAGGCACAATTAAAAAGTCCAGAGATGGCCAGGTGCGGTGGCTCACGCCTGTAATCCCAACACTTCAGGAGGCTGAGGTGGGTGGATCACGAGGTCAGGAGATGGAGACCATCCTGGCTAACACGGTGAAATCCCGTCTCTACTAAAAATACAAAAAAATTAGCTGGGTATGGTGGCAGGCGCCTGTAGTCCCAGCTACTCGGGAGGCTGAGGCTGGAGAATGGCGTGAACCCGGGAGGCAGAGCTTGCAGTGAGCAGAGATCGCTCCACTGCACTCCAGCCTGAGCGACAGAGCGAGACTCTGTCTCAAAATAAAAAAAGAAAAAAGAAAAAAAACAGTCCAGAGATGCCATACTTTCTAAAGGCTGTTAAAAAGAAAAACAATAATTTAAAAAATCCAGAGATAGAGTAAAAATCAAATGCTATTTGATCAGGACTCAGGACTCCAGCAC
Source organism: Homo sapiens (assembly GCF_000001405.40). Taxonomy (NCBI): domain Eukaryota; kingdom Metazoa; phylum Chordata; class Mammalia; order Primates; family Hominidae; genus Homo; species Homo sapiens. The sequence continues at coordinate 25,131,824 of NC_000010.11, read as the reverse complement.
AATCTTGGCAGTTATCTCCATTCCTCTGTGACATTTCTTACCTATGTCACCCTCAAGGGTGTGTTACCTTCATCCTCAAGCTAGACATCTTTGAGACAAGACGGATATACATGGAGGCATCAGTCCCAGGCCTCCTATCTCCACCTCGTTCCATTTAGGAGGACAAGAAACTCCACATGGTTCCATTTAGGAGGACAAGAAACTTATTTCTCTCACCATCAATTCTTACACTTTAATTGGCCAAAGTTAGCTCTCATATCCTCTTGGAACTAACCGGTGAGACCAGGACACTGTAAGGGGCTGACTCTCATCGGTTTAGAACTAGGAAGGGATTCTCTAAGACAGTCACCATGGAAACATGGATGGGATTCTGCTGATTGGTTTAAGACATTGAGGACCCACCCCTCCCCACTTTTGGCAGAGGGTGGAGGTGTCAGGAGTCAATCTTACCCATAAATATTGGGGTTAGGAAGCAGGAAGGGGAAGATTTTGCCAGAAAGGAAAGTAACAACATACACCACAGAAAAGCTCTGAAAGGGGCTGTGAAATAGGCAATTTTATAGACCTCTCTTCAGACTTTTCAGTTTCCTCTGACACTGGAAAGCTTCAGACTCATTCACTAAAGTAAGGCAATAATGTGGTGAGAGACTTCTGGGGAAATGAATCAGTGCCTGTAAAGCATTTTGTAAGAATGACCTACTAAACAGTAAGAGTGTAATCACTGGAATGCTTCATACCCGCACTAACTCTGCAGCCTGCCTGAGCTCAGGATGACTCTGCTACTGTTACTCTGGCAGCCGTCCTCCTCGCCAAGATTTGTTATGATGGGACCAGCTGAGCCTAGAGGGTTCTTCAGCTCCTCATTCTTCTCTACGACACTTATTACCTATTTCATAGCCCCCTCAACATCAAAAGAAAGGAAATGGGAGGAAGCTGAGCAGTCATGGAATCTGGCCACCTCCTTGCGGCCCCGTCTTAGCACAAATCTAAACACCTTTGCAGGAATGGGGTAGACCCCCTTCCATTGGTTCAGTATCTCTCATCACTCCTTTCTCGGAAGGGAGCAAGTTCATACCTACCTGCCTATCAGCTGCCTGCTTCTTATCATGGAGATGTCAGGGAGGACACTTGATATGGATCAGACCACTGGTTTGGATGTCAACCCAACTGAGTTCTACATGGGGCCATTCTGCAGTGTCTACTGTGTGACCTTAGTCCTCATCTTTCTGAGTGTCAGTTCCTTCTCTGCAAAATTGGTTAATGTTGCCCTGTCATGTCTTAAGGTTTTAGGTTTCTATGAGCCAAGAGAAACTTCCCCAGTAGAAAAGTCTCAATCTTAGTTCAAAATTTAAAAGACATTCTGTCTTAGTTGAGTGCCCTCCAGGAAACAGACCCTGAGATGAAGATTTGTATGAGGAAGTTTGTGGGAAGTGCTCTTAGAATCAACACTCATGCAGAAGGGAAAGAAACAGGATTGGGAAAGGGAGGAGTTAAATTGCAGTGCAATCTTAATGAAGGCCTCAGTCATCATCACACAGAGGGCAGGAGAGCTGGGATGGCCGTTCAGAGTCCCACTTGAGGCAAGGAGCCTGTGTTTTATTCCCATCCCCCATCATCAAGTCCCCAGTTACAGCTTCCTCCAGTGGCAGAGACCTGACCCTGGGTGAAGAGGTTTTCTTCAACTATTGACAATTGCTCCGGAAGGACTCAGTGGTGAACTTTCAATAGCCAACACCCCCATAAATCAGGGCATTTGAATGTCTCCATCCTGAGGGGGGATTTTGGGATCTGGGTGTTGGACCACAGCACCCACTGCATGTTCTACCCCTAAATCCTCTGGGTAGGGGGACCGAGGCAACCAGAGCCATGTCTCTTCCCTTCCCAGTTTCTGTCCCCATATCATGACACAAGGTATCCATTTTTTCCTCTGGGGACTTACTGAAGGAAAAACTATCCCTGGAGTCCTCCTCACTTAGCTTTCCTCTGATGGTGTGAGTGAGCGTAAGTCAATTCTGCAAACAGTCCTCAGAGGAAAGCCAGGCTCCTTGGCGTTGCAGAGGATGTTACTTTGACCCCGGTGAGCTAATGCACTCCCTTTTAAAGGGCATTTTAATTTATCTGCCAGAAAAAGGAATTTGATGCATTGAATGTTATCTTTATGAACAGCTCTATCCTGAAATATCTTCATAACAGTTAATAACACCTAGTGAGATATTATTAGCATTTCCTTAATTTATACCCATGGGAGCTAGAGACCAGCAACCTTTTTCTGATGGGGTCCTATGTTTGAAAAACTCTAGTGAGAAAGAAACAGTCTTTACAAATGGAAATAACCTGGCTGGCTTAGACATTTATTTTCTTTTACCTACCGTTTTCCTCTGACTTAATTAATTATCTTAGAGTATGCTTTTCTTGTATTCCTGTCCTTTGGTTTTGAGCAAAAGGTACATCTTAAAAATATCTAATCAATAAGGAAGATGCAACCCCATTACGCTTCACTACCTTTAATAGAATCTATTTTAAACTTGGACTTCCTGGAACTAAGATATCCAATGGCTTATCAGAAACAATCAGACATTTCGAATAAAGTATATTTACAGGTCCACAGCTGCCTCTTTGGATGCAAATTTATACACAGCCATCCTAGGAACTCTGTTAAAGCTAGCCCACCTGAGATGACATCCTCACTGAAATAGAATCATCCTATCGTGGTTATTCAGGAAGAAGCAAATAGAGACAGAGCCTCAAAAATAATTGTGGCTAGAATCCATCAGGGGTTTAGGAGAATCCAACTTTCCAAATATAACTCCATGATAGAAGACATTTTCCTGGTTGAAAAAATGCTCACTCTTACTAATCAATTGTAAAAATTTTACTGAAAGTTCATTTTATGCCCAATAATGCTGGCATAAAAATATTTTCTGAAATTTACAGTCTCACTGGGGAGAACAGACTAGCACATGAAATAATTAAAGCACAATTAAATCTGAAGTCCTGGAAGTTTAGTGGTAGTTCAGGGAGGGGAGGGCTCCACCACTGCAGGCTGATGTAGATATGAAAGCTTTCACAAGGGGTTAGGAGCAAAGCCTTTGAAAGTCCCAGTTGAACTGCAGAAATATTTTCTGGGAGGGGCAGTGTTTTATGTGCTCATTACTTTTTAATGTCTTATCTATAAATTATTGATTAGACTGCTGAACACTGAGCTGTACTTGAAAGCAATAGTCAGGTGAGTTCGAAGAAGGAGGACTCGGGGAAGGTCTGAGAGCTGGTGGCACCACTTGCGGGAGGGTAGGCCTGGGTAAGAGTCCCAGTGTCTGCAAGAGGGTATTGACAGTCAAGGTGGATAAAGAGACATAAGGAAGAAAAGAGGCAACCAGGAGAGGAAGTTTCCCCAAAACAATTTGTCCCTGCTCTAAATTTCAGGGCCACGCTTGCTGACCCACTGCGTTAGTCTGTTTTGTGTTGCTAAAGTAATACCTGAAGCTGGGCAATTTATAAAGAAAAAAAGGTTTATGTGGCTCATGGTTCTGACGGTTGGAAAGTTCAAGATTGGGCATCTGCATCTAGTGAGGGTGGGCCTTAGGCTGCTTCCACTCATGGTAGAAGGTGGAGGGGAGCTGCAAAGTGGTACAGAGATCAGATAGCAAGGGGGAAGGTTCCAGGCTCTTTTAAACAATCAGCTCCGGCAAGAAGTAATAGAGTGAGAACTCACTCACCCCCACAGGAAAGGCATTAACCTATCCGTGACCAGCTCCATCATCCAAACACCTCCCACCAGGTTCCACCTCCAACCTTGGGGACTGAATTTCAAGATGAGGTGTGCAGGAGACAAACATTGAAACCATTGCACCGACCATTGAGAATTAAAAGAGGGGGAAGTATTTTGGCCCCTCTGGTCATTTCAAATAACCCCTTGTCCTGGGGCACAGTTACTATCTGCAGGGGTTCTTTTATGTTCCCATCCCTTTTTGCTTATTCTCAGCCTTTAAAGGGAGGGGTAGGGAGAGATTTAAAGGATACCAAATTATCGCTAGATAGAAGGAATAAATGCTAGTACTTTATAGCACTGCAGGATGACTACAGTTAACAATAATATATTACTTAGTTTCTGGCCAGGCACAGTGGTTCACGCCTGTCATTCCAGCACTTCGGGAGACCGAGGCAGGCAGATCACCTGAGGTCAGGAGTTTGAGACTGGCCTGGCCAACATGGTGAAAGCCTATCTCTACTAAAAATACAAAAATTAGCTGGGTGTGGTAGCACATGCCTGTAATCCCAGCTACTTGCGAGGCTGAGGCAGGAGAATTGTTGAACCCAGGAGACAGAGGTTGCAGTGAGCTGAGATTGCACCACTGCACTCCAGCCTGGGTGACAGAGGGAGACTCCATCTCAAAAAATCACAATAATAATAATAATTATTATTATTATATATAACATAGTTTCAAATAGCTAAAAAGAGTATACACAATGTTCGCAATACAAAGAAACAATAAATGTTTCCGATGATGGATATGTTAATTATCCTGATCACTGTACATTCTCTATAATTGAAACAACACTATGTACCCCATGAATATGTACAATTATTATTTGTCAATTGAAAAATAGGACCAGGCATGGTGGCTTACTCCTGTAATCCCAGCACTTTGGGAGGCCAAGGCAGGCAAATCATTTGAGGTCAGGAATTGAAGACGAGCCTGGACAACATGATGAAACCTCATCTCTACTAAAAATACAAAAACTAGCCAGGTGTGGTGGTGCATACCTGTAATCCCAGCTATTCGGGAGGCTGAGGCAGGAGAATTGCTTGAACCTGGGAGGTGGAGGTTACGGTAAGCTGAGATTGTGCCACTGCACTCCAGCCTGGGCAACAGAGGGAGACTCCATCTCTAAATAAATAAATAAAGCACTAGAGTACACGTGGGAAAGGCCTGAGCCACAGCAGCAGCAAACTCACTGAAGAATTCAGAGGGGAATCCTGTTAAGAGCACATAGTAGGCAATCGATAATAATAATAACCATTAATTGGGCAGGAACTGTCTGCCTGGGCCTGCTGTATGCATTTCTGTTCAGTACCTCATTTAATCTTCAAAATCCTCCACTGAGACTGGTACTGTCCCATTGTACAGATGAGAAAAGTGATGCTCCTGGAAGGTTATAGAGCCTGCCTTAGGGAAGTATCTGAATGAGCCGCATAATTCATCCACTGAAGGACTACCTCAATGAATACATCAATTACAAATGTCCCATAGGAATAAAAATTACCAAAATTATCAAGGTCTGTTAAGTGCCTAGAGTATTGACAAAGAACTTTCATATACATTACCTCTCTCTTACCACAATTTGGCAAGGAAGACATTTACTTCCTCCTTCTAATTCTCCTTCCCAGAAAGATGTGACTCTCCCATGATCTTTCAGTTTGTAAAAGCAGATTGAGGCTGGGCACACTGGCAGGGAATAGTCCTAGCTACACAGGAGGCTGAGGTGAGAGGACCGTTTGAGCCCAGGAGTTTGAGGATGCAGTGAGCCTGCGGTGAGTTGCACCAGCCCAAGTGATATAGCAGGGCTTCCTCTCTAAGAAATAAAAAAAAAATGATAAAAGAAAATAAATGACTGAAACAAGATTCAAACCCAGATGTTCCAACACCAAAGCCCCCTGTTTCCACCAAAGGCTCCAAGTCCAGGAATAGGAAGACACTGTGAGGGTTGAAGGGAAAAGACACCCTCACATGGATGAACACAGTATGACTTACAGGATTGTTGGACATTCCCGTGATGATTACTCTTTTGATTTCCTTGTATCCCATTATCTTGCATACAAAACCCTCCTTTTTCCAAAATGGATTTTTTTTTTTTTTGGTTGGGGGGAACTTTGATGGACGGAAGGGAAGGTGAACACAGTCAAAGACAGCATCTTACCCTAAAACTAGTCTTGGGCAGGAAGAAAGACTTGATCACAGTGATCTCAAGGATTAAGAGAGGTGACACCAGCAGAACGTCTGGGGTTTGGGAAAAAGAAGAAAAGGGGTCTAGGGAAACAAGAACAGACTTGAAAGGCGGCATTGGGGCTTGGCTGGTGAGAAACCTGCCTGGTCCGTGCCACTGGGGATGTTACCATGGCAGTGGGAACAAGGGCCCAGCCTCCAGCAGGAACCCAACAAAGCCAACCCTCTCTTGGAAAGACAGTGTGGAAATCATTATGATAATGCAGTTCCTTGCCAGCTTTGCCATTGGGAACACCAGGCAGATTCCCTGAGCCAGACTTTCTCTGAATGGAAGAGCTAGAGGAGTTGCTGCCATGACAACGCAGTTCCCCTGCCCATTTATACCATCGGTGAGCTGGGGGAGATCCCTGGAGGAAGTGGATCCCCACCTCCTTCACCAGGGCAGGGAAATCGCCAAGGACACACAGATGGAGAGGAGCCTTAGGGAATGTTCCCTCCAGCCTGAATGGCTGCTGGAGTTGCCATGGCAACCGGATTCCTTGCCCACCAAACCATGAAGGAGGGAGATCAGCTTCAGCTGCAGGAGCCCGCCTCTGCCGGCACAGCTCCCGGGGGCCCCCAATCTGGCAAGTTCTAGCAAGGGTGCACCTTAGGTGAGAGGCATCCCTGGGAGTGCAGCTGTTTCCTGTGGTGCCTGGAGGGACTGACTCTTAGATCCTTCCGTGAAAGGACATGCCAAGGCCGTCCAGGAGAACAAAAGACACGCCTAAGGAAGATGCATGGATGGTTGCTGTCAATCTCAACAGTGGTTTTGTCATTGGGAAGCCTTTGAATTGTATGTGTCATCCTGAGCTTTATTTTTGTCTCTGTTTTTTGTTTGTTTTGTTTGTCTTTTTGAGACAGGGTCTCACTCTGGCACCCAGGTTAGAGTGCAGTGCTGCGATCATAGATCACTGCAGCGTTGAACTCCTGGCCTCAAGCAATCCTCCTGCCTCAGCCTCCCAAGTAGCTGGGACTACAGGCACGCACCACAAAGCCTAGCTAATTATTTGTTTGTTTATTTATTTATTTATTTATTTATACAGATGAGGTTTTGCTATGTTGCCAAGGCTGATCTCAAACTCCTGGGTTCAAGCCATCCTCCCGCCTTGGCCTCCCAAAGTGCTGGGATTACAGGCATGAGCCACCAAGCAGGCCCTGTCTCTGTTCTTGGGTTCTCTTGGGTAAATCCTTTAACTAATACTAATGTATCTAATATTCAAATAGGTGGGTTTTGTCTCTTGAGGGCAAAAGAAATAGAAAGGGGAGGTGGGAGTCTCTGTGGGAGAAAACTTCTAGTAAGTTAATTTAAAAAAAAATTACATTCAGGAGGTACAGGTGCAAGTTTGTTATATGGATATATTGCATAATGGTGAAGTTGGGGCTTCTAGTGTACCCATCACCCAAATAGTAAACATTGTACCCAGTAGGTCACTTTTCAACACTTACCCTTTTCCTACTGTTACAGAAAAGTGGTCCTGATCCAGACACCGGGAGAGGGTTCTTAGATCTCACACAAGAAAGAATTCAGGGCGAGTCACTAAAGTGAAAGCAAGTTTATTAAGAAAGTAGAGAAATAAAAGAATGGCTACTCCATAGACAGAGCAGCCCCAAGGGTTGCTGGTTGCCCATTTTTATGGTTATTTCTTAATGATGTGCTAAATAAAGGGCAGATTATTCGTGCCTCCCCTTTTTAGACCATATAGGGTAACTTCCTGACATTGCCATAACGTTCATAAACTGTTATGGCATATAGCAGTGAGGACGACCAGAGGTCACTCTTGTCACCATCTTGGTTTTGGTGGGTCTTGGCCAGCTTCTTTACTGCAAACTGTTTTATTAGCAAGGTCTTTGTGTCCTATATTTTGTGCCAACTTCCTATCTCATCCTGTGACTTAGAATGCCTTCCATCTGGGAATGCAGCCCAGTAGGTCTCAGCCTCATTTTACCCAGCTCCCATTCAAGATGGAGTTGCACTGGTTCACACACCTCTTACATTTCCCCCCTCCCTTTTATAAAAGAACCCTTAATCCTAAGGGTTGCAGAGGGACAAAGATTCATCTTCTGTAACTTCTTCAGGCTGAATAGGGGTGATGATCTATTCCTGGCTGACTATTAGAGTCTCTTGTGTTAGGGGTAGAGAGGAGCTCAGTCAGAAAGCATCAGTATGGTAAGGGCCATTCATAACTCTTAAGTTCTGACAAAAGGTGCTATCTGAAAAAATAATAAGAGTTCAGTTTAAGACAATGTTGAGTAAGCTTATCCTGCATTCCTATACAAAGAGTACAATAGCAATATATTCCACAACAGTAAAGCAAAATACGTAAAATTATTCCAAGTAAACTAAATTAGAAGGCTTTCCATGAACTGGGCAACTGTTGGAACCAAGCTGATATGGGGTTGCTAGTTGATTGCAATGTGCCCAGAATTAGAATATTGATTTAGATTGTTATATTACCTATCCCTCTTGTTTTTTCTGAGCAGCAGTCAGAGATCACTGGTTGGTTCACAGGAATAAGCAGGGTTAGCCTAAATTGCAGAAACAAACTTAAAAACAACTGATGAGACTAAAATTTAATACAAGTGTACCATAATTTCTGAAACATAACTTCTCTCTCCAGTTTCCCATTTTTATTAAAGACAAATCATGGTAAGACTGATTTGCTTTATTATACTTGGCCTGATTATTTGTATAAACTGTAGCAAGAATAATTGTTTTTCACATAAGCTCTTTTTAAATTGGCTTTGATGGAACTCGGTTGCATAGAAGGAATCTTAGATAACACTTTTTTAGAGCCCAACCCTGCCATGGGTTTGTACTCTCAAATACCTATGAGTTGAGTAAATTCTTCTTTTCTTGGGGTACGAAGATAACTTGGGGTTCCTGGACCTGTTAGAAAGTGACATTCTTTACTTACCACAGGTCAGAAACCCTGCATAGGGACTCTGTAGGCAAAGTATAGGCCAGTTCCCCAAGCGGCTTTCATTGGCTTTACAAGTCAAGTTTGATTGCTTAAAGGAAAGCATCCATTCCAGTCAAAGCCTTGGTAAAATAACCAATTTCTCCAATTTTGTTCTGTGGCAAAAGAAAACAGGTTCTTATTGCACTTATGAAAATAATTATATTGCCATAAATTAAGATCTTACAAATAGTTTCCAAATTCTAGAGAAATCAGGTAGAGAGAAACAAATATGCTCCAGATTTTGTTCACAGGAGTACACTTTGCTCAATTGTTAAAAGCTGTAAATAACTAAAAAGAAAAGTTTTCTGGACTCTGGAAAACAAAGGATCAGCAATGTTTTAAGCAAAAAGTGAAAAAGATCATTTTAGACTGCTGTTAGTTCAGTCAATTCATTTAACTCCTGTTCTGCTTGATATGTATGAACATTCCAGTTCTCCGTGTGTCCTGAAACTTTTTTCCTCTATTCTAACGTCACAATCTCCAAAGTTATCAGAAACTTGCATTTAAGAACATCTGTCAAAGTCCTGGCCAGGCATGGTGGCTTATGCCTATAATCCCGGCAGTTTGGGAGGCCTAGGCAGGTGGACCACCTGAGGCCAGGAGTTTGAGACCAGCCTGGCCAACACGGTGAAACCTTATCTTCACTAAAAATACAAAAATAAGCCAGGCATGGTGGCACATGCTTGTAATCCCAGCTACTAGAAGGATGAGGCAGGAGAATCACTTGAACCTAGGAGGCAGAGGTTGCAGTGAGCCGAGATCACACCACTGCACTTCAGCCTGGGCGACAGAGTAAGACTCCATCTCAAAAAAAAGAAAAAAAGTCCTATAGCTGATTATAAACCATCTTCTAAAGAGGATTAAAACAAGACAATAATTATCTGTGGATGACAAAACATCTTAGGACAGCTACAGTCAAAAACTTGATTGACAAAGAAATTTGGTTACCTCTGTGGCATAGAATGATTTTAACATAATAATTACTAATAACATACACTAAGTCATACCAGATTTATAGGAGTTTCCCACAATTTTGGATCATGTACCAATAACACATTTATACAAATACAGCCCCCCAAAAAAAAACACTATTTCACATTTGATAATGCTTCCTGTATGACTTTTATACCAAATAGGCCAAATGTTACTGTTGCATTAGTGCATTATTGATGTCAAACCAAATTCTTAATAAGACCATATAGACAAGTGTATTTAATCTTAATCAATTTGACCATAAGGTAAGAGTCTCATAAACCTTTTATAACCTTTTACAATTTTTGTTAAAGAGCAGATCATAAGCAGGTTTTTGCTTGAAGAAAAACTTGTTGTGCATTTATTATATGCCTCTGACACTTCCTTTCCCCCTTTTGGAATCCCCAGTGCCTACTGTTTCCATCTCTATGTCCATGTGTGGCCATTGTTTAACTCCTACTTATAAGTGAAAACACACAGTATTTGATTTTCTGTTTCTGAGTTATTTCACCTAAGATAATGGCCTCCAGCTCCACCCACGTTGCTGCAAAAGACATGATTGCATTCTTTTTTACGGCTGAGAGAGAAAATCATCATTTTCTTCATCCAATCATCCATTGAAGGACATTTAGGTTGATTTTATGACTTTGCTATTATGAACAATGCTGTGATAAACATGAGTGCAGGTGCCTTTTTTATGCAATGATTTCTTTTCTGGGAAGGTAGATACCCAGTAATGGGAGTGCTAGGCCAAATGATAGTTCCATTTTTAGTTCTTTGAGGAACCTCCATGCTGTTTTCCATAGAAATTGTACTAATTTACATTCCCACCAACAGTGTATAAGCACTTCCTTTTCTCCACATCTGTTGTTTTTTTGACTGCTTAGTAATAGCTATTCTGACTCGTACAAGGTGATATCTCACTGAGGCTTTACTCTGCATTTCACTGATGGTTAGTGATGTTGAGCACTTTTATATGTATATTGGCTGCTTGTATGAGGTTCAAATTTTAATATCCAAATTATTTATGTGTATATGATTAATGTGATTAAAATTTAAAAGAAATGGAAAATAAATAGAAACAGAGCCATTCAAGGAGCCAAAAGGCATGACTTCAATAGTCCTAAGACTGTTGATATCAAGAAGCATGTTACTCGATTAAAGCACAGAGACCTCAGGGTCTGCATTCCTGTCCACCACCATATTCTACTTGTCAAATCCAGAGACTAACAGGAGTGGAGGATAAATAAAACACACTGATATATATTTGATTGGTCTTTTTATTGCATTTCCTCTAGTTGGGTCATTTGCACTTCCATTTGGGTTCAGAAAATCAACATCCCTTGAAACATGATGGGGGTGGGTAGTAAATTAAACCAGCTAACAGGCCACATGGCTAAACTTGCATTAGTAAGAAGAATGAATTGAATTGATTTTACCATCATTTTACCGTCCAAGAACTACACAGAGGCATTGCACAGTGACCTCGGCACAAGATGCTGGCTGCAGGTGACATGTCATACTGCTATGCGATCACAATGACAGTGACCATATATCAGGTTCCTATTCTGTGTCACACACTGTGCTCCAGGCTTACATAAATTCTTTCTTTTCATCCTCACAACAACACAGGGGAGGAGGTATTATTATTCCCATATCACAGTTGATGGAACTGAGGCTAAGAGAGGTTAAGCAATTTTTGCCTAAGGGTAGTTGAAAAGTAAATATAAAATGCCCAGGCAATGCCCAAACACAGCTCTGGTACAAAGCAGGTGCCCTTGACTCCTATATCCTAAGCTTTCTGGGTGGTTCTGTACATAGAAGCCGCCTACCTCACCAGTGGCATCTGGATTCATTGGAATAGGACAATAAAAATAAAATCAAGGGAATGATTAATAATTTCCTCCTCACAGTTTTCATTTAAACTCAAATCCTTCAACAATACCACTGTTTGCTCTACCAACTTCAGGCTGTCTCTCCTATGCCTTCCCTTCCGCCGCTATGTGCTTTGCTTGTGTGATCTGATTAGCTCTCAAATGCCACAATAATTCTATGATTTATATTTCATTTCAATACATACAGAGTCCCAACTCCTAAATGTGCAGAGCTAGTTTTATTTCAGATGCTATAATAAGAAGGAACATGAATAAAAAAAAAAGAAAAAGAAACATACAAATCTCGTAACAACCTTACAAATCCACTGGAAAAATGAATATATTTCAAGTCAATAGCTGATCAGCACGTTATCTATCCAAGTATCTATGTAAAATTACTCAATCTCACTAATTGTAAAATATGCAAGCTAAAATCCGACACCATCTCTTCTTATCTATCCCATTTGATCTATTTGCAGAGGCGGGTTTAAATGCGTGCAAACACACACGCACACACAAACAGTGCTAATAAAATTGCAGTGGGATTGGGCCTCTCATCCATTGCTGATAGGATTTTAGTTTGCATCTGTCTTTCTCAAAGACCACTGGGCAAGACACACACAAACACACACACACACACGCACACACACATATGCGCGCACACACACACACACACACACATATACGTGCTCCAGAAGTGCTTCTACCACTTGGCCCAGTGATTCACCTTCTAGATATCTACCCTAAGGAATGAAACTGAGAATACAAGATTTACCTAAAGGCTATTTATCATTGCTTTAGAATAGTCAAAACTATAAAAACAACTGAGATGTTGGCAAGTGGGAGACCAGTTAAATAAATCCTGGTACAGTCATATCAGGTGGACAGTTGTGAAGCTATTAAAATTAGGTTTTTGAGAAGTATTTAAAGACCTCAGGAAATGGCCACCTGATACGGCTAAGTGCAAACAGGATAGAAAACTTATGTAGAATATGATTCCAATCTTGTAATAGAAATTGTATATATATATATGTGTGTGTGTGTGTGTATATATATACATATATATGTCATTATACTGAAACTTTATCAAATACTTCTATTTTTCTTTTTAGAAAATATGGATGGAAAGGACACTAAAATTTAATAGCACTAGTATTTTGTGGGCTATTAATTATATTCTTCATATTTTTCTGTACTTTTTAAATGGTCAGAAGAACTACTTCTATAGCCAGAAAAAAATAATGATGCCACTTTTTAAAAAAACAAGCCAGGCAGAGCGGTACATGCCTGTAGTCCCAGCTACTCAAGAGGCTGAAGCAGGAGAATCCCTTAAACCCAGCAGTTTGAGACTACAGTGAGCTATGATCACACCACTCCACTCTAGCCTGGATGTCAGAGCAAGACGTTTTTTTTTTTTCTTCTTAAAGACCAGTTTGATAGTAGGGACTCCATTTTAACAACAACAATAACAAAAAAGCAAAATAGTAAATGAGTCTGGCTACAACCATTTATTGTCAGCATTTCCTGCCTCTCCTCATTCCCATAAAAGGGGCTAACCAAGGCATGGAAGAACAACCCAAACTGGGATTGCCACCATTAATCCTGTGAAATGCGATGAATTTTCTACCTGGGCTTGGTGACATAGATTTTTGCCTTTAGCATCTGTAAAAGGAAGACCATTGGTAACTTGCATAGAAACATTAAGACGTAGTAATATTGTATACAGATATCAAACTAGCACAGGTACTCCCCAAATATGTACAACTCATATATCAATTAAATGTATATATATATATATAATAATTTTTAAAAATACCTAGTAGAAGCTGTGTTGAATAAGGTCATGGCCCTTTCAGAGGAGAAGGAAAGCTGTGTCATCCTTTGAGTACCTATTTCTAGCACTTTCCTTTGTATAAGGACAGCATGACTAGATTACAACAAAAGAATCTTAGGAAAAGTCACTACCAAGAGGGAGTCAGTCATGTGAAAGGGTCAGGGGAAGAAAAAAGCAAGGCAAGTGTGTGGGAGGGACATCGCAGACACACTGCCCAACAGACAGAAAATAGACATCCATATATCAACAGCGGTCCCTACGGTCATGGGACGTTACTCATATCCCATGACTTTGCTTTCTGTACTTGGTTATCTCAAATACATGAAAACATTATCAATCAGCCTTCCAGAAAAATATCAACTAATGAGCCGCCTTTTCGTTTCTTTCATTTGTCTAAGTTACAAGGCTCAATGTAAACCTTCCTGAAATAGACAGCAAATTTCTTAAAACATGTTTTAATGAGCGGCCCTCCACATTTCCCCTTTCCTGTTACTCTCTATGTCTCTCAGGAGAAAAATAAGAAAATTTATTCAAATTCTTTTCCAATTGATTTTGTTTTGATTAGTGGTTCTGGGTTTTTTGTTGTTGTTTTTGGTTTGTTTGTTTGTTTACCTTTTTAAAAAAGCTGGCTTGGCACAGTGGCTCACGCCTCTTATCCCAGCACTTTGGGATGCCAAGGCAAGCAGATCACTTTAGGTCAGGAGTTCGAGGCCAGCCCGGCCAACATGGTGAAACCCTGTCTCTACGCAAAATACAACAATTAGCCGAGCATGGTGGTGCATACCTGTACTCCCAGCTACTCAGGAGGCTGAGGCAGGAGAATCGCTTGAACCCGGGAGGCGGAGGTTGCAGTGAGCCGAGATCATGCCACAGCACTCCAGCCTGGGCAACAGAACCTGACTCTGTCTAAAAAAACCAAAATATTAATTAAAATATGCTTAATTCATTTGGATAATATCTTTATAGGCATAAAGAAATAGCCAAGGAGGTTCATTATTGCCATGAGAAGATCAGCAATCTATCAGCTTCAAATGTAGTGTTTATTAAATGCTTCTATGCAGGTAATCATCCCTCCAGTATTCCCGTTGGCCAGATTCAATTTAGCTTGGTGAAGCATGTGTGGAAAACCACAAGCAAAGCCTGTGAGATACAGAGAGGGAAGGGGCTGAAGAAGGTAGACTTGTATGCCAGGCAGGCCCAGGTCTGCTCATGAAAAGGCAGGACTTAATGGAATATTCCTAGATCCTGAAATCCCAGAACAGGGGAAGGGAGGTTGCTGGGCTGTGGTGCAGGTGCACAACAAGAAAGGTTACATAAGTATGGCACAGAGAGAATTTCAGGACCCACACCCCCAAACCCAGGCCTGGAAAATGTGCCTTTGCTGAGTAGCAGAACTCATACCTTACGTGGTAGGGTATATTGTTTCTGGATGCTGATGGAACTTTTTAAGATGTAGATAAATTCCCAGGGGCCCTTTTAAGCAGACTCTCACCCTGGGAAGACTGCTGATTATCACAGCTGCAGAAGGGGGACCCCAGGAAGCCCAGGTCTGTGTCTTTGGTAAGTAAAAACATCACGCAGAGAGCCTGGAGGATTTTTATTAAGCAAAAGATTCACAGGTTACCAAAATAATATAAAAGCCAAATTTCATTTAAAACACACAACTGTAGGAAACCTTCCATATAACCTCAAGATCCTCACCAATTCATTTATTGCAGAAAAGATGCTAAAAATATTCCAGGTCTATAGAAGAAGTCTGGAAAAAAATCCATAATTAAATTTTGGAATTTAGATGATGACAGGATGTAGAATAAAGAAAGACTCAGAGATCTTTAGGGTTGATCAGGCGTGGCCATATGGAGGAAGCGATTTGGGGAATTTTATTTCCAATGTGTTGGGAACATAATGGCAGGGGAAGATGAAAGATCTCAGGAATGTCTACAGCAAGGCGTGGACTGGAATAACCACACATGCCAAGTGAGGCTGCTTCACCCTCACACCTCGAAAGGAGCAATTCTGGCTTACAGTCAGTCTTGGTCTTTATACCCTTGTTTCTTCTGGGTCAGATTAAGGGTTCCAGAATGTTCTGCATACTCCCAAATTTTCTTTCTAAAGCAAAGTCTGCCCTACTCTAGGAATCTAGGGTCTCCCAGAGATCCTGTTACTCAGGAAAGATACTTGCATCCTGGGGATTCCTGGGATTCAAGCCTTTGGTCAACGGGCTTCAGTCTCTAAATTCATATTTTGATGAGTTCAGTTAGTCAAAAAGCTGGGGATCAGAAGTTGAAGCCCAGGAGTTCGAGGCTGCAGTGAACTACAGTCATGCCACTACAATACAGCCTGGGCAACAGAACGAGAGACCTGTTTCTAAAAAAAAAAAGAGGATGAAGAACAAAATAATTTGCAATGCTCATAAAACACACAGGGGGAAAGGAAGCATGTGGCAGAGAAAAGCACAGGAAATAGTAGATACAAGACAGGTTGAGATAAGATAATAGAGCTTAGTTTACTCTTTATACTGAAGGTAAGTAATTAGAAACAACAGGTAGATTTTTCTAGCCCTTTCTACTCATATACAACTAAAAAAAAAAACATGTTGAGCAGTCAGAAACACAGGACAGTTTCTTTCTCATAGTTACAGAGAGAACCGCCCCCCTCATGTTAAATCTGAATCGAGAAAAAAAAAATGCTGCCCCTTTGCAGAGATGAGGAACAGGGAGGGAGGCAGAGAGGGAGGGAAGGATGGAGGGAAGGAAGGAGGGAGGGAGGAAGGGAAGGGGGGAGGGAGGAAGGAAGGGAAGGAGGGAGGGAGGGTGGAAGGGAAGGAGGGAGGGAGGGTGGAAGGGAAGGAGGGAGGTAGAGAAGGGAGGGAGGGATGGAGGGAGAGAGGGAGGGAGGGAGGGAAGGAGGGAGGGAGGGTGGAAGGGAAGGAGGGAGGTAGAGAAGGGAGGGAGGGATGGAGGGAGAGAGGGAGGGAGGGAGGGAAGGAGGGAGGGAGGGTGGAAGGGAAGGAGGGAGGTAGAGAAGGGAGGGAGGGATGGAGGGAGAGAGGGAGGGAGGGAGGAAGGGAGGAAGGAAGGGAGGGAGGGAAGGATCAACGGCCACAGGACATGACACTTGCCTGTCCCAGAAGGGCAGCTTTGCCATGGCCCATAATTCAAAGTGGCTGATACAGACTAAATAAGCCAACGTGCTGTGAGCACCTACTAAGCCCAAGATGTGGAAGCTGTGGGAAATACAAAGATGGATAGGGTATGGCTTCTTGATCCCGGGCTCACGATCATCTGGAGGGAGCCAGATCAGATTAAGAATAAGAAGGAAATCCAGGCTGGGCACCGTGGCTCACGCCTGTATTCTCAGCACTTTGGGAGGCTGAGGTAGGCAGATCACCTGAGGTCAGGAGTTTGAGACCAGCTGGCCAACATGGCAAAACCTCATCTCTACTAAAAATACAAAAATTAGCTGGGTGTGGTGCCGGGCGCCTGTCATCCCAGCTACTTGGGAGGCTGAGGCAGCAGAATCACTGGAACCCAGGAGGCGGAGGTTGCAGTGAGCCAAGATTGTGCTGCTGCACTCCAGCCTGGGTGACAAAGTGAGACTCCACCTCAAAAAAAACAAAAAGAAAACAAAGTAAATCCAGTCTTTAGGGTCATAATAAACCAACCCTAAGGATGCCAAACCAGGTATTCAGGAGAAGAACAGCAATCTGCTCAAATGTAACCCAAAGGCAGTAGCTCTCAGCCCCAGCCAGCCTGCCACATAGACATCGTTTGTGATTGTGGGGGTTGCCAACTAAGAACACCAAATCACAATCCCTTTCTGCCCCCTGGTAGCCCACAGTCCAGTGTTTCACATGTCTGAATGTTCTCTGGTATCTCAAGCAACGTGTGAGCCTAAGAGTAAGAACTCCCTAGATTCAAATTGTGACTCCCCCATCTACTGTGTGACCTTGGGCAAGTTACATAACCTCTCTGTGCCTCAGTTACCTTATCTGTAAAATAAATACCTTCTTTGCCACATTGTTGAGAGAATTAAGTGAGCCAATACTGCAAAGCATTGAGGAGAGTGTCTGACACATAGTAAGCGCTTAATAAATGTTAGCTACTTTTATACCAAAGTCCTCTATTTAGGAAGTCCTTATTGTTTCTTATCAGCCAATACCTTCACAGGAATGAGCAAGAAGTTGTATAGGCTGAAGAGGGTGGAGGTGGAGACAAGTGGAGTGAGGAGTTAAAAGCATGGCAGAAAACAAAAAGCTCTCTGTTTCTCAATGCTGCTGGGTATCTGTCACCATGGTGATTTGGGGCTGGGACTAGGGGAAGGTGCACAATGAAAGCAGCTGCCTGGGCGCCTCTCAGCCCCACCCTGGTTCTGGCTCATCTTGGCACTCATACTGGTTTCCTCCTAGGGCCTTTCTTTGGGTTTTCCTGGCATCCTCTTTGATGACATAG
Organism: Homo sapiens; assembly: GCF_000001405.40. NCBI lineage: Eukaryota > Metazoa > Chordata > Mammalia > Primates > Hominidae > Homo > Homo sapiens. The sequence continues at coordinate 25,113,746 of NC_000010.11, read as the reverse complement.
GAAAGAACATGGACAAATATATGAGAGAAATAAAGAAAAGTTAGAAAACTAGTTACTCACCAAACATTCCGTAAAACTACAGTCAATGTGGGAGCCCAAGAGTGATGCCCACTTTCAAACACCGCTGCCCCCACCAGTGACTCAGTCTAGAACAAGTAGAGTCTGAATAGAGAGCACCCCCCATCAGCTCCCACTCCCGCCCCACACCGCGCTGAGAGAGCTGCCCAGGGTGGGTAAGAGTTAGGAGGGACTGTCTGGTCAGCCGCGGGGAGCGTGTCAACCTCATTTAACCCTGCAGAAGCATTTCCCCCTTGTTTGTACTTAGAACAAACCAGGAATCCATTCTTTCACAGAGCACTGCTCCTGTCCTGAGCTGGCCGCTTGCCTGGTAGCCAATCGAAATGTCTAGCCGCCCCCTAGTGGTAAAGGTTTGTGCCATGGCTGTAGAGAAGGCACCTAAGATCCTGAAAGGTGATGGGAAGGGTGTTTGAGAATGCGCCTTCTTCCCCCTCCTGTGCAAATGGATGTGCCAAACATTTGCTGCGCCAGGGGCCACCTTGGCTCACTTCTCTGCCAGACGCTATGGTGGGAGGTGAGATGCTTGCTGGGCAGAGACCAGATTTAATTTTCTGCTTGTTTCCATAAGTAAACTGTCTATCCCTTGTCAGAGCTTCTCCTTAAGCTCTTTCTGCATCAGGGTGGTAGACACAACATCTGTGGATGCTTTTGATTTCTTGTTTGCCTAGGAACTAACTGGAACCTCTGTGAAGATGGAATGTGGTTTTCTTTCCCTTTCTTTTGGTCCACCTGTCAGTAAGGGGACAGGAGGGAAACCCTCAGGGCTGGCTCATATCTTTAAGGCAGCCCCTGAGTGGTATTCCATGTGGATTGGCTCATTGGTCTTTAATTTCCAGGCTTAGCTTGATCGTAGATTTTAGACAATTTATACTTAATGGTAATTAACAAACACCGATCATTTGAAGGAGTGTTGCTTGGTGACTAAGAGCATAGGCTCTGGCGCCCAGACTACTCAGAATCAACCCTCATCTTTATCACTTACAAGCTGTGTGACCTTGGGAAAACTCCTTAACTTCTCTGTGCCTCAGGTTTCTAATCTGTAAACAGGGGTAATAAGAGAAATTACCTGATAGGCTTACCCAGAGGACTAAATGAGTTAAATTTGTAAAACCCCTGGAGTAGAACCTGATACATTGTGAATGTTGTGTTAGTTATTAGGAAAGTTGTTGTTATATGTCATGGATATCAGTAATTATTATGTTTATTATTATTATGCATTATTAGACATATCACTTCCTTTATCTCCTCCACAATCCTTTTGTTATCCCCATTTCACAGATGAAGAAACTAAGGCAGGAAGTTGTTAAGTGTCTTTCCAAAAGACTGTGTCAAACGGGCCCAGCACTGAGGAGTTCACGCAATCCATCATAGGAGTTCAGAGAGTCACAGGGTAAGCTCATGATCTAAACAAATATCTGTGAGGAAGTGTTATCAGTCCTCAGACAGAAATCTGAAGAGGGTATTGTGTGGTGGATAAAATAGGGAGGCCAAGAGGGGAAGGAAGAGTCAGGAAATCCATGGATAGAAAGGGGAAGAGAAGGGTGAACAGAAGAAATATTGTGAACAAAGGCAAAGATGTGGGAGGCAGCAAGGGATGCTCTGCAAGCACGGTGAGTGTTGGTTGCAGTGAGAAACAGGATGAGCTGTGTACAGTGACTCACGCCTAGAATCCCAGCACTTTGGGAGGCTAAGGCAGGAGGATCGCTGAAGCCCAGGAGTTCAAGACTAACCTGGCCAATGTAGCGAGATCCCCGTCTCCAAAATATTTTTTTTTAATTAGCTGGTCATGTTGGCTCACATTTGTAGTCCCAGCTGCTTGGAGGGTGAGGTGGGAGGATTGCTTGAGGCTGGGAGTTCGAGGCTACAGTAAGCTATGATTGTGCCACTGTACTCCAGCCTGAGGGACAGAGAAAGTCCTTGTTTCAAAAAAAAAAAAAAAAAGAAAAAAGAGAGAAAGAGAGAGAGAAGCAGGATGAGATGGGATTGAGAGGAGAGGAGGAGTCAGATCAGCCCTTTCAGGCTGGGCTGCACTGTTGGACTAGAAGCCCATGAGCAAAGGCTCTCAAATAGGGAAGTGACATGAGAGAGCCAGAAAATCCACTCGTCTGCCCTCTTTTACAATAACTGATAAAATTCCTGATGTGGAGTAATAGTTTTGAATTTTATTTTAATTTTATTGAGACGGAGTCTCGCTCTATCACCTAGGCTGAAGAGCAGTGGGGCAATCTGGGCTCACTGCAACCTCTGCCTCCTGGGTTCAAGCCATTCTCTTGCCTCTGCCTCCCGAGTAGCCAGGATTACAGGTGCCCACCACCACACCTGGCTAATATTTGTATTTTAGTAGAGACAGGGTTTCACCATGTTGGTCAGGCTAGTCTTCAACTCCTGACCTGAAATGATCCAAATACCTTGGCCTCCGAAAGTGCTGGGATTAGAGGTGTGAGCCACCACACCCAGCCTGAATTTTTTTAGAACACACTGGCCCTTAGATTTAGAAGTATTGGTGGTCAGCATCTCTCCTCCACTGGCCATTTTTCTAGTTGGTTCTTACCAATTCTAACCTGACTGTAGATGAAAATGGAAACAAAATTAAAAAAGAACAACCAGGCTGGGCGCAGTGGCTCACACCAGTAATCCCAGGACTTCGAGAGGCCAAAGCAGGAGGGTCACTTGAGGTCAGGAGTTTGAGAACAGCCTGGCCAACATGGCAAAAACCCATCTCTACTAAAAATATGAAAATTAGCCAGGTGTGGTGGCACACGCCTATAGTCCCAGCTGTGTGGGAGGCTGAGGAAGGAGCATCGCTAGACCCCCAGGAGGCAGAGGTTGCAATGAGCTGAGATCACATCACTGCACTCCAGCCTGGGCTACAGAGTGGGACTCTGCTTAAAAAAACAAAAACAAAAACAGAAAAAAACCCACCAAATTATTGCCTCCTCTCTACACCTTCTCCTGTCAGCCTGAATGACAGCTGCATAATGCAAATGTCCCATTAAAGTTACTAATGGTTCCAAACTAATAATGGCTTCTGGCATTTCTTTTCTTTTTTTTCTTTTTTTTTTTTTTTTTTTTTGAGACAGGCTCTTGCTCTGTCACCCAGGCTGGAGTGCAGTGGCACAATCTCAGCTCACTGCAGCCTTGACCTCTTGGGCTCAAGCAATCCTCCCACCTCAGCCCCCCAGCTTCCTGTAGCTGGCACTACAGGTGCATGCCACCATAGATGGATAATTTTATTTTATTTATTTATTTTTTTGAGACAGAGTATCTCTCTGTCTCCAGGCTGGAGTGCAATGGCGCGATCTTGGCTCACTTCAACCTCTGCCTCCCAGATTCAAGCGATTCTCCTGCCTCAGCCTCCCAAGTAGCTGGGATTACAGGCGCCCACCACCATGCCTGGCTAATTTTTTGTATCTTTTAGTAGAGACGGTGTATCACCACGTTGGCCAGGCTGGTCTCGATCTCCTGACCTCGTGATTCACCCACCTCGGCATCCCAAAATGCTGGGATTACAGGCATAAGCCACCATGCTCAGCCCATGGATGGCTAATTTTTTAAATTTTTGGTAAGGACAGGGTCTCACTGTCAGACATTTGAACGAGAGCAACTCCATCTTGAATAGGGGCTGGGGAAAATAAGGCTGAGACCTGCTGGGCTGCATTCCCAAGAGGTTAGGCATTCTAAGTCACAGGATGAGATAGGAGGTCAGCACAAGATACAGGTCATAAAGACCTTGATGATAAAACAGTTTGCAGGAAAGAAGCCAGCCAAAATCCACCAAAATCAAGATGGCGATGAGCGTGACCTCTGGTCATCCTCACGGCACATTATATGCTAATTTTAATATATTAGCATGCCACAAGACACTCCCACCAGCGCCAAGACAGTTTACAGATGGCATGGCAATGTCAGGAAGTTACCAGAAAAAGGGGAGGAACCCTCAGTTCCAGCAATTGCCCACCCCTTCCCTGGAAAACTCATGAATAACCCACCCCTTGTTTAGCATGTAATCAGGAAGTAACAATAAGTATCTTTAGGCCAACAGCTCAAGCCGCTGCTCTGCCTATGGAGTAGCCATTCTTTTCTTCCTTTACTTTCCTAATAAACTTGCTTTCACTTTACTCTATGGACTCACCCCAAATTCTTTCATGCATGAGATCCAAGAACCTTCTTTTGGGGTCTGGATTGGGACTTTTTCCCAGTAACATCACCATGTTGCCCAGGCTGGTTTTGAACTCCAGGGCTCAAGCCGTCTTCCCACCTCGGCCTCCCAAAATACTGGGATTGCAGCTGTGAGCCACCTCGCCAGGCTGTGGCCTCTTATGTTTTCTGCTTAACACTATTGCAACCTAACCCACTCATTGCTACAATTAGAGATCTAGGGTCAAGGAATCTGTCCTTAAGGAGTTTAGATGCTAAACAGTCAAAGTCATAATTGGGAATAGAAGAGACTGAGCTATCTATCGCTCCACTGAAACTCAGCATGCTATCATCCTAAGGAAGAGCACTTCCCCTAGAAATTGTTAATGGAAAAATCAAACTCTGTAAAGTATTCAGAGTTTTATCCTGAGCCAACAAGAGTACCCATGGCCCAGGGAACAGTCACAGCAGGTCATGAGAAAGCGTGCCCAAGGTGGTTGAGTTATGGTTTGGTTTTATATATTTTAGGGAGACAGAAATTACAAAGACATAACTCAATACATGTAAGATATACATTGGTTCAGCCTAAAAAGGTAGGACTTCTCAAAGTGGGTCATAAATGGAGTCAAAGGTTTTCTAACTGGCAATTAGTTGAAAGAGTTACATTGTATCTAAAGACTTGAAGCCAGTGAAAAGAAATGCTTGAATTAATATGAGGTGGGTTATGGAAACCAAGGTTCTTGTTATGTAGATGAAGCCTCCAGAGAATAGATGGTAAATATCTTTTTTGGGACCTTAAAAAGGTGTCAGACTCTTAGTTGCTCTCTTTTAGATCTTGGAACGGCCTGGCTGCATTAATGGAGATTCTCTGCAGATGCAAATTTCTCCCACAAAAGACAGCATTGCAGGGTTATTCCAAAATACATCAAAGAAATATATTTTGGGTCAGATAAAAACTATATTTGATTTCCTTCCGGGTCTGCTATCTTTCATGTGATGCCATACCGAAGTCAGGTTGGAATTTGGTATGTTATTGCCACAAAGAGTCTGTCTGGTCAGCCTTACGATCTCTATTTTAATGTTAAAGCTTGTCAGCTGTGCCTAAACTCCTAAGGGTATAATGAGGTGTGTTCAACTTCCCTTCCTGTTATGGCCAGGAATTCAGCTTTCAGATTTCTCTGTGATCCCCTTAGCCAAGGGGGTGTCTGTTCCGTTGGTTGGGGGGCTTAGGAGTTTATTTTTGTTTTACACAACCTTCAAAAGAGACCCGAGCACCAGTTAGACTTTCCTCAACTGAGCCCACTGGTCACCAGCAAAATAATAGAGGTACAAACAGCAGAGGACACTTACGATATCCAGACTGAACCCTGCACACCACATCAAATGGCAAGGCTTTATGACTAGCCAGGGAGGTTAACAGGTACAGGCATCATTGCATTTCTCCACAAAGTGAACATCCATAGCAAGGTAAGTATAAATAGGAACTAAATCATGGCTACAGTGTGAAGTACCAGAATAGGGCTAACCCTTTCCTTGACCTGATTCTAATGCATTGTATGAGCATGATTGACAGCAATGGTGATTATAGTAATGATGAAAACACATTCTGGGAATCCAAGTTCATCTGGGATTCTAGGATAGTCATTGGTAATGAGATTTCTCCTGTCTCTGACATCCTACGATACCTCTAAATCCTAGTTGAAGGTTAGAATTACCTGGCGAGCTTTAAAAACTTTCCCTGGGTGCCAACCCAGAATGTCTGCAGGAGAGGCCTGGGCTGCAGTATTTTTATAAAAAATCATTATTACAAAATATTCCTTTATAAATTAATGGCAAATATGTGATACCATTTCTGGGCCATCCTGATCATAAGCAACAGTATCATTCCCTTCAGAAAAGCGGTGAAATGGGAAGAACAAGCAGGAAGGCTGTGGCTTTTAAGCCAGCTCTTTAAACTCGAGCCACTTGTCTTTCACTTAGCAGTTGTGTGGACAAATTACTCAACTGTATAGACTTCCGGCTTCTCCATTTGCAAAACGAGGATAAGGTAACCCATTTGGAAGATGTAGTGCTTGACTCAGTAGAAGCTTAACTAAAACTAGCTGTAATAGTAACCATCACTAAAAAATAAAGAATAATGAAAAGTCAAGGCATGTATAGTGAACCAGGCACCGCTACTAACTAGAGATGAAAGTTGCAACTTCACCAGGGAAACTGTTTAAACACTCTGGGTCTATTCCCTCATAAAATGTCCACAAATTGAAAAGCTTGAGATAGGCCAGGTGTGGTGGCTCGTGCCTGCAATCCTAACACTTTTGGAGGCTAAGGCGGGTGGACCACCTGAGGTCAGGAGTTCGAGACCAGCCTGGCCAATTTGGTGAAACTACTTCTCTACTAAAAATACAAAAATTAGCCGGGTGTGGTGGTGCACACCTATAATCCCAGCTACTCGAGACGCTGAAGCATGAGAATAGCTTGAACCCAGGAAGCAGAGGCTGCAGTGAGCCAAGATCGCGCCACTGCACTCCAGTCTGGGCAAAAAAGAAAGACTCTGTCTCAGGAAAAAAAAAAAAAAAAAAAAGGAAAGAAAGAAAAAAGAAAGAAAGAAAGAAAGAAAGGTTTGAGATAGATGTTCTCTGCAGTAACTTTTATCTTTAACATCCTGTTGTATTTAAAAAGTAGCAACAGGCTGAAAATAAGTCTTAGGAGGTACATAGTGAATACTGTTGTCTGTGACTGACAGGAAGAACTGAGGAGACAGAGTAGGAGTCAGCTCTGGGAGGCTTGGTTCATAAGCTGCACTCAGCCCTCTCCTGACCACATCTGAAATAGAAGTGCACATCTCTCTTCCAGCTCCAGTAGATCTGTACACCTAGCATTTTTCTGGTCCAATTATCAGGCACCCCTCACTAGTGACCTAGTTAGGAGGATATAAAAAATACATTAACTAGAAATCAGAGGAGCAGATTCTACCTGTTACTCCAATACCAACTGAGTGGAGGCCACAACTTCTCTGCATCTCAATTTCCCCTCTACAAAATAAAAATGACAATATCTACCTTCAACATATTTTCAGCGATGTAGGGAAGGTAAATGATTTCGACCTAATAAAATGAACTTTGGGAACTTCAGAATATCCACAGAAAAGAAAAATAGAGATGCTCTAAGTCAACTCCAGTCAGGCTTTTGAAGACCAGAAAGGTTATCTCCCCTTTCAATGAGATCTTCAGTTTTCAAAAAAATCACCATTGCAATCTAGAGGTGGCCTCAGAAGGTTGATAGTGGTGATGCCAATTAATAGAAGTGAAAGCACAACGTGAATCATTTACCCCTCTTTAAAAAAAAAACAAATCATGGGTAAGCATCATGTACAAACAAACATCAGATTGCATCCCGGGGTTCCTTGTATTCAGATGGTCAGCATCACAGCTAGTGTCCACAGTAGTCTAATGGAATGTATTATCCATGAATGTGCATACATTAGCATTATCAAGAATACAAAATGGTACTATTATTATGTAAGCAGCCTCAGTTTAAACGAGCTGTCAGTCAACTGCCTCCAGGCTTGCCAGCATCTAGTTTGTTGGCAGATAGAACATCTCAACCTGCTTTTTCCTGTCATGTATTTGACAAACATTATCATAAACCAGGTGCCTTTTTGAGCTGTCACCTCTTCGTGGGCATCTGCCTTATCCATCGAGTGGAGCACCCATTAAAAAATGGGGACATTATTTCAGCAGCTAATTAACCAAGCTAAATGAATATATAAATTCATTTTTTCAATTCAACTTTCCATTTCTCCTTCCAGCTGCTAATAGAGGGAGTAGAGTCAGTAATGTGTTATGAATGGATGATGTGTGAGGTTATGTCTTAATAAAAAACCCGCATGTCCATGCAGATTTTTATAACCAACAATTAGGAAAACTTTGACAATTTTAAGACACTCACAACACATCCAGAAGAAGACTATTGTGTTTCATAATTTCCAGAGACTCATTGTAAACATGAAAAGCTTTGTTTTTCTTTAAGGAGACTTTTAAAATGCATTTGCAATCAGAGCCAAATAAAGAGTCACAGGATGAGTCCCTAAGTTACCCAGTGTGAATTTCAGCACCTGACAATGACCTCATCTTCCTTAAGTGCCCAAACCAGGACATTCTTCAGGAGGATAAATAGATATTGTCCCATATAAACACTTTGCTTCATTTTTAAATGACTGGCAATGAGAACGATGTCTATAAATTTTGATTTATTGGGTTTTTAAAAGAATAATAATTTGGGGATTGTAAACTACCCAGTCACTCCCCTCCTTTAAAATAATGTTTTGTAAAAAAAAAAAAAGATGCAAAGATGTTATCCAAACCTCAGTAACGTGAACCATAGCATTACGCTTCAGGCAATGAGCTAAAAAGTAGTTTTCAGGGAACAGAAATGAGTTTTCACTTACAGCAGAAAGAACTCTGTGAAACTGGGGAGAACAAAGCCCAGAAAGGATGGGAGACAGGAATCAAGGTGCTCAACCTTAGCCTGTTGCCAAGCGTGAATGTCTGTTTCATTATGAGGACAAGACAGCTTTCTGTAAATGGAGGCTCCAATAAACTTGCAGAGATGGGTGTTGAATGGTTAATGCTTAACACCTCTGAATGTGACAGGACCTTCCTTCGAAAAGATAACTCCTCCCAGATATGACAAGCTGATTCGTGAGCGCAAACTGGTCCTGAAACTGAAATTTGGGAAGGGTCAAGAAAGTAAAATCCATGATGTGGAAAGAAAAGCAAAAGTGGAGATCTTCCTGTTAATGCAGAAGCCCAGTGTCATTTCTCAGGTGGCAAGGCCAGATCTAGCCAGCACTCACACACAGAGCATTATGCAAAGCAGGCACAAGATGGACAGGCTGGCAGATATCCCACTGGCTCCGATTCTGCAGGTCCCAGCCAATTCATCTGCTAAGGAAAAATTGTGTTAATTAATAGAAAATGAGTGTGAAGAAAACGAATATCACACGGCAATTGCAACACTCTGCTCCCATACCAGGAGATTTGGGTCTTCTGTTGGGCTGCAGACACAGAGCATCTTGAATGAAGTCCTTATCCTGTGCATTCCTCTCAATGCCAACTTCCTTGCCCTCTGCCATTCTTTCATTGGCCAGTTGACCCTGAAGTGACCCATTCACTCACTGCCTCTGTCTACAGAGTTTATTGAGTATCTAGAATCTTTCATGGTTCATGTTTCAGGCCTGGTCCTAGGCTCTGGGGATGTGGAAATGACTCTAGAACCCGGTTCTTTTATTTTTATTTATTTGTTTATTTTTGAGACTGAGTCTCGCTCTGTCACCCAGGCTGGAGTACAATGGTACAATCTTGGCTCACTGCAACCTCCACCTCCCAGGTTCAAGCAATTCTCCCGCCTCAACCTCCTGAGTAGCTGGGATTACAGGCACCCGCCATCATGCCCGGCTAATTTTTGTATTTTTTGTAGAGACAGGGTTTCACTGCATTGCCCAGGCTGGTCTTGAACTCCTGACCTCAGGTGATCTGCCGCTCCCGTGGCCTCCCAAAGTGCTGGGATTATAGGAGTGAGTCACTGGGCCCAGCCAAAACCCAGTTCTTATCTCAGAAATTCACCATCCATTGCAGTTTAGCAGGAGGAGGACTACTCTGCATGTGGGTAATTAAGGAAATGAGACACGCTCTGATGGCAGTAGGAATGCATAGAGACTTCTTGGAGAAAAGGCTGGCCTATCCCTTGAATACAGGCTGTACAGGGAACTGAGGCCCTTTGTTTTAGGTTAAATGGAGGTTGCTAGGTGGAGGGCGCTAAGTGAAAATGCTATACAAACTGCATGCTTTTCACAAATAGCAGCAGTCTTCCCATCCAGCTCATTGCCAGTGGACCATCCCTGTATGTAAGTCCCCTGAATAAACCCTAGGTCTTGTTGGCTGGCTTTGGGTCTTTTCTTCAGCCTCTTGACCATGGTGCCATCCCTATTGAAGTCAATAGGCATCCAGCATGACAATACCTGACTCAAGATGGGCTAAGAGATTCTTTGTCTTGAGAAGTAGAATTGTAACCCAAAGAAGATTGTCTTTGGGTTACACTGGAGCTGAGAGATCCAAAACAGCCAGGGCTGCAGCAGCTAATGGATCTTGACAGGCAGGCAGAGAAAGGCTGGCTGTGGAGACAGGGCAGAAGGAAGCAGCTACCCAGAGGTATGAGATTACCTCAGTGTCCCTGCAAGGATGGGGGAGCAACTTCAGGCTCTGACTGGCTGGCACCTGTTCAGCCCCAGTGGGACCCAGCTATACCTCCTGTTGACCTGAGTCCCCTTACTAAGCCAATGCCAACAATGCTGGGGGGGTTGGGAGAGAAGAGGGCTGGCAGGGCTGATCCTGCCAGTGGATTTGCAGGAACAGGGGTTGGGGAGCGCTGATCTGACAACCCCTGCAGTTTAATTCCCTTCACTGAGACAGTCCTGGAGGGGCTGCTACATGAACCTGCGGGAATTCCCCACCTTGGGCACTGAGGTCCCCTTTGCTGCCTGGCAGAGAAGGCACAATGTATGGCTAAGGAACATTTATTTTTATTTTTGAAGTTCTGGGGTACGTGTGCAGGATGTGCAGGTTTGTTACATAGGTAAACGTGTGGCATGGTGGTTTGCTGCACCTATCAACCACTCACCTATGTATTAAGCCTAACATACATTAGCTATGTTTCCTAATGCTCTCCCTTCCCCCACCCCACCCAGAACAATTTTTTTAACCCTTAGTATAAGACGTAGCCCCTGTGACCTTGGCCTCATTCGTTCCAGCTTTCAAATGACTGCCACTTCTATTTTCCCCAAAAGAACTCTGCAAACGTTACCGGGCAGATGCTTCCCGAGCCATGAATCAGCAGGCTATAATCAGTCCCTCTGCGAATTCTAAGAACCTGTTCTTTCCAACACTCAGCTGACACCCCTTCCCATGATGCTTTCAGGGGAGGCCTCTAAAGCAGCTTTTTCATCTTGAGTTGTTTTTCATTTATTGCCTGTTTGTCTATGTCTTGTTTTTACAGAAACTCCTTAAGAACAAGGGCCATGAAAGTGTTCTTTTTAAACACTTAATATGTGATCACTTTAATGCAAGAATATGAGAATACACCCTTCATTAGCAATGACATCTGAGTGCCCTCTGGGCTCATCACCTCATCAGCACGCCACCCCAGCGATGAAAGGGATCTCCACACATCAGCTGGGCCGTTCTTTTGCCCATGAGCCCCTCCTAACCTCTACCCCAGGGCAGGACTGAACTTCAAGGCCAGATTCTCAGCACAGGGAGAGAGACCTTACAGAACAAAAAGACCAATCTATATTTCAGAAGAGAAAACCAAGGCCCATAAAAGTTAACTTTCTCTACATCATATAGCTAGTGAGTGGCATTATCCAGTTCTACTGCATTTATCAAATAGATGGTTCCCTGGGCTTTATAAAGAGGAGGAGGAGGTGGAGGTGGAAGCAAAGCCTGCTCTTTACCCTCCCTCTACTTTTGCAACTCCTGGGGCTACAGGGAGCCTGCCTTCAGCTCCATCTCCTGTTCCTGCCTACAGATGCTAATTAGCCATGCTCCTGGGCAGAGTCCAGTTCAGCCCTGACCTGAAATGACTGGACACAGGGCTTCCCAAGACTTTTCTCATTTAAGCCCTTTTCCTCTGCATCTCCCTTCCTCTCCTACCCCTAAAGAAAACAGTTCCAGGATGCATAAAACAAGGCAAGTTGGCTGTATCCAGCTTCCAGGCTTCCCCTATTGGAGTTCATTCTGGCTCCCTGATAGCAACCACTCACCTACCACAGCTTACAAACTCAGCTCCTGTGGGGAGGGTGTCCCAGAACCAGTTGCTCTACTCCAAGTCCAACCTCAGACAAGCTGTGTTATGCAAAGCAGGCACAAGATAGACAGTTTGGCAGGAGTTCAGTTACCTCGTATCATGGAAACTCTTACCAATGTCTAGGCAGAGAGGAAGCAGTGTATTAATTAATAGGAAATTCATGCAAAGGAGGTTCATGCTGCATTTCATATCAAAGCCCCTCTCAGGAAGTGGAACTCTAAAGGGAGTCACTGCATCAGGCAGGTTGGGGTGTTTGTTAAGGAAGAAGCGGTCCTGCCTTTCCTCTAGGGAATCACTCAATCTTCCCATTCCTCCTGTCCCCACTGGTGAGCCACTTTCCTCTTTCTTGTCTCCAACAGCAGCAGAAATTAGTCTTTGCAGAGTATTTGGCACCAGCAGAACCTACCTCTGCAGTGGTGCACAGCCAACAGATGCAGGTGCCTTTGGCTGGAAACATGCAGGCTCTAAGATGGTAATCAGTGGCCTCGGCTTCCCCCTGGGTGTTTCTCCCCATTAGCTCCCCTCCCCCAGGCTCGTACAGAGCAGTGGGGTCTCTGGACATCCAACCAGGCACCCGTCCTTACCATGCCAGAGGTCAATTGCTGTCAATTGCTGCTCCATGTGCCTGTTTCTCCCACAAGAGTATACATTCCCTTAGGACACAACCCTGCCACATTCATTGGCCTATATTATGGGATTGTTAAACATGTTTGATAAATCAATGGAAGAACGAATGGCTAAACTCTCAAGATAAACTATTATGAACTCTTTCAGATTAAAGTGAAAATTATCACTAGGGCCAAGCGATATGACTCCAGGGTATGTGCATTCTAAAAGCCTTTCACCTAAATGGTGAAAACAGGAGAATTTTAGGCACCAGGTAGTTGGGAAGGAGAGTTTAGGGGAAATCCAGTAGCCTCTCAAGGGCAGAAGAGCAACTGAAGCCCTCAGACCCAGATGATAAAAGGGAACATTGTCTGCAGAGAATTTCAAAGCAATAACATCTGACCAAAACCAGTTTGCATTTTATTATCATCTTTGTAAGTAATTTTAAACAATGTCAATGATAAAGTATCCCTCCCCACTAAAAAAATCTTTAGCTGGTTTAAATTCTGAGCAATTGCTGCGCTTTATTGTTCAATATTAATAATATATGCAAATGTCAAATGACCTCATGTTAATAACTTATTCTTGAATACACATTGTATTCTATATGGAATTTAATTTGGAGAAATCCCAGTTACACAGTTGGCCTCCAACACAGACACAGCTATACATGTTCCTTTGAAGAGTAAGTTTTTCCCCATTCAGAATCTTTCGAGCTTGTTTTGGATGAAGTTCATGTCTGCAATCCCTATGGTACCATATGTCCTTGCATTTAAACAGCAGATTCTAAATAAACAACAATAGCTCAATGATTATAAAGATGGATTTGAGTCTCAATTTTGGCGTTCAGTGTGACCACTAATAGTGTTTTTTTGTGTTTTTTTTTTGTTTGTTTGTTTGTTTTTAGGGACAGGGTCTCGCTCTGTCTCCCTGGCTAGAGTAAAGTCGAGCCATAATAGCTCACTGCAGCTTCCGATTCTGGGGCTCAAGCAATTCTTCTGCCTCGGCCTCCTGGGTAGCTGGGACTACAGGGGTGTGCCACCACACCTGGGTAATTTTTTAAATTTTCTATGGAGACGGGGATCTTGCTTTGGTGCCCAGGCTGGTCTCAGACTCCTTGCTTCAAGTGATCCTCCCACCTCAGCCTCCCAAAAGTGCTGAGATTATGGGCATGACTACCAATTTTTTGTTATTTAATATTTAAATGTTAAAACACAAAGGACTAATATCCAGAATCTACAAGGAACTCAAATAAATCAGCAAGATAAAGCAAACAAACAAATAATCCCATTAAAAAGTGGGCAAATGACATGAAAAGGTATTTCTCAAAAGAAGATAAACAAATGGCCAAAAAACATGCTCCTCATCACTAATCATCAGGGAAATGCATATTAAAACCACCATGAGATACCGCCTTACCCCAGCCGGAACGGCCATTACTAAAAAGTCAAAAAACAACAGATGCTGGTGCCAGTGCAGTGAAAAGGGAACACTTATACGCTGTTGCTAGGAATGTAAATTAGTGCAACTTTTATGGGGAACGGTATGAGATTTCTCAGAGAACTAAAAGTAGATCTACCCTTTGATCCAGCAATCCCACCACTGGGTATCTACCCAAAGGAAAAGAAGTCATCATACAAAAAAGACAGCTGCATGTGTGTGTGTATCACAGCACAATTCACAATTGCAAAGCTATGGAATCGACCTACTTGCCCATCAGCCAATGAGCGAATAAAGAGAATGTGGTATTATATATACCATGAAATACTACTCAGCCATAAAAAAGAATAAAATCACATCTTTTGCAGCAACTGGACAGGAGGCCATTATCCAATGTGAAATAACTCAGGAATGGAAACCCAAATACCACATGTTCTCACTTATGAGAGAGCTAAGCTATGAGTATGCAGGGGCATACAGAGCAGTGTAATGGACATTGGAGACTCAGAAGAGGGGAGAAAAGGAGGGGGGTGAGGGAGGGATGAAAAAGTACCTATTGGGTACAACATACACTGCTCAGGTGAGGGATACACTAAAAGCCCTGACTTCACCACTATATAGTTCATCTATGTAAACAGAAACCATTTGTATCCCTAAAGCTATTGAAATAAATTTTTAAAAATAAAATGAAAATAAATTTTAAAACAGTGAAGTACTGAGAACTGTGAGGTGAGTTGTAGTTTATTTATTTTTTGGGGGGGTTAGGTACAAACTTTATTTCATATATTATTTTACGGAATTTTCATAATATCTTTAACTTGAAATGTATTTATTTTATTTTATTTTATTTATTTATTTTTTTCGAGAGGGAGTCTCTGTCACCAGGCTGGAGTGAAGTGGTGTGATCTCGGCTCACTGCAACCTCCACCTCCCAGGTTCAAGCGATTCTCCTGCCTCAGCCTCCCGAGTAGCTGGCACTACAGATAATTGTTTTAAAAGTAGAGAATGAGTTGAGAAAAAAATATTTGTGGTATGATTTCATAGTTACCTAAATTATAATTTTTGTAGATCTTTCTACTTTATTAATATTTATCTAATAATTACTAAAAATTATTCATGAGATATTATATCAGACTAATTATATATTAGTTCAAATTGCTGTGTAGATATAAGATCTGTTGAAGTGCTGTACAGTTTCTCTTTTATGTGTTGTAATGTTTATCTTAGGCTTTATTTTTAAAAACAATTTTTATTGGCCTAAATGTGTAAACAAAGTTCAAGAAAAGAAAAATCTTACTGCTTCTTTTCTGGTCTTTCTTTCTCTTTTTTTTTTTTTTTTTGACAAGGTCTCACTCTATTGCGCAGGCTGGAGTGCAGTGGCACAATCATGACTCACTACAGCCTCAACCTCCTGGGTTTCATTGATCCTCCTGCCTTGGCCTCCCAAGTAGCTGGGACTACAGGCATGCACTACCATGCCCAGCTAATTTTTTAAACATATTTTTGTAGAAGCAGAATCTCCCTATATTGCCCAGACTGGTCGCAAACTTCTGGGCTCAAGCTATCCTCCTGCCTCAGCCTCCCAAAGTGCTGGGATTACAGGAATGAGCCACCACGCCCAGCCGTTTCCTGGTCATTCTTCTTTTACTATTATAATTCTTATTGAAAATACTTTGCTGTGTACAAGAGGTGGTTGTTAAACTATGATTCATTCACTTCAGGTGTCAAATATGGCAGTAATGACAATGGAAGATCTGGGGCACTCATATCTTACTGTATGACCTATGCCCCTACTCCAGGCCACCGCTGCCCCTATTGGTCGCTGTCTACTTCTTTACTCTGTTTTACTTTCTACATAGCATATCTTAACTGTCTGAAATTCTCTCTCCTCCCGCTCCTCCTTTTCCTCCTTCTCTCTCTCTCTCTTCTCCAGAAGACAGTGTGTTTGTCTTTGTACTGTCCACAGAAGGTGCTTAAAGAACATTCATTGAATAAATTAAACCACCCATACCGAAAACAAATTTTGATTCCAATCTGGAGATGTTGGCCCCCTGTATGGTACTTGGAGCCAGGGTGGGTTGACTTTCCCCTGTAGGCTGGCAAAGTTCCACAGAGCCATATCCTTTAATTAAGTTGCTATTTTTGCTTAGTGGTGCTCTGATAGCTCAAGTCAAGTTGCTAAGGGCAACATACCTTTGCTTTTTCCATTTGTTCCACTCCCTTCAGAAAAAAAGTACAAAAAGATTTTTTAAAGGCTCAGGTGAGAAAAGTCTCCAGAGGAAGAAAAATGCCCCCAAACTATACACTTACATAATCCAGTCATAACCATGAACATCTTAGCTCAACAGTTTAAACAATTCTTTCAGCTAACACCTTCACAGATTTTAAAGGTATTTGCTTCTTAGTAACTTTTACATTTTATGATAGTGTTTGGGGGGAAAAAAGAGGAAGAATCTTCAGGACATGAAGAAATTAAAAAGACAGAATTCCAAGGATGTGGAGAAGGAGGCAGAGCAAGATGGCAGAATAGAAGGCTCCACTGAACTGTTCCCCTGGCAAGGACATCGATATAACAGCTATCCACACACAGAAAGAACCCAAAATCAGGTAAGCACTCACAGTACCTGGTTTTAACTTCATATAACCTAAAGAGGAACTGAAGTGGTAGGAAAAACAGTCTTGAATTGCTGACATCACCCCTCCCCTAACTCCTGGCAGGGGCAGAATGGTACAGAGAATCTTTCTGTGCACTGGGGAGAGGGAGAGCACAGCAATTGTGAGGCACTGAACTCTGTGTTGCCCTATTATAACAGAGAACAAAACAGGACCAAACTCAGCTGACACCAGTGCACGGAGGGAGCATTTAAATCAGCCCTGGCCAGAGGGGAGTTGCGGAGCCTTGTGATCAAAACTTGAGTTCCCACAATCCTCGCCACCATAGGCTAAAGTGCTCTGGGGCCATAAATACACTTGAAAGACAGTCTAGGCTACAAGGACTACAACTCCTAGGCTAGTCCTAGTGCTGAACTAGGCCCAAATACAGTAGACTGGGGCTGGCGGTGAGTTAGTGGGGTGGCAGGCAAATGACTAACTGGGACATCAGCTGGCATGGCTTTGGGAGTGGTGGTATCACCCCTCCCCTAAACCCAGACTGCACAACTTGTGACTCCAAAAAAGACCCTTTCCTTCCACTTGAAGAGAGGACAGGGAAGAGTGGGAAGGACTTTGTCTTGTACCCTGAATACCAATTGGTAGGATAAGGCACTGGTTAAAGGCATGAGGCCCCCTTTCTAGACCCCAGCTCCTGAAGGACATTTCTAGACACACCCTGAGCCAAAAGAGATCCTGCTGCCTTGAAGGGAAGACCTGGTCCTGGCAGGATTTATTACTTGCTAACTGAAGACCCACTCTTGGGCCCTGAATAACCAGTAGCAATACTCAGATACTACATCAAAGGCCTTGGATGAGCCTCTGAGACTTGCTGGCTTTAGGTGACACTAGCACATTCCCAGCTATGGTGGCTATAGGGTGAGACTCTTTCAACTTGAGAAAAGCAGAGGGTAAAGTCTTTACTTTTCCTGGCACTTTAGGTACCAGCTTGGCCACAGAGGGGTAGAGCACCAAGCAGGCACTTGGAGTCCCTAGTTCCAAGACTTGGCTCCTAGATGGCATTCCTGTACCTGCCCTGGGCCAGAGGGGAACCCACTGCCCCAAAGGGTGAGTCCCAGGCCAGGGAGCATTCACCACAATTTGACTGAAGAGACCTTGGGTTTTAAGAGAACATCAGTGGTAGTCTGGCAGCACACCCATGGGCCTGTGGTGGTGGTGGCCATCAGGTGAGGCTCTTCTTCCTTTGGAAAGGGGAGGGAAGAGTGGAATGGACTGCATCTTGTGGTTTGAGCACCAGCCTAGCCACGGTATGATAGAACACCAGGTGGATTTCTAAGGTTTTTGACTCTAGTCCCTGGCTCCTCGACGGCACCTCTGGAATCACTGGGGGCCTGGGGGAATGCATCACCTGTGTCCTGGGGAACACAGGCCTAGCTGGCTTTTCCATCTGTTGATTGTAGAGCCCCAGGGCCTTGAGCAAACACAAGCCATAGCCAGGGAGTAGTTACAGCATGCCTGGAGTGAAATCCAATGCTGTGCTAGCTTCAGGTCTGACCCAGCACAGTCCTAGTGGTGGTGGCCACAGAGGTGCTTGTGTCACTCCACCCCAAGTTCCAGGAGGCTCAGAACAGAGAAAGAGACTCCAAATTTCAGGGATAAAGTAAGGGAAGAGGCAAGAGTCTCTGCCTAGTCATTCAGAGAATTCTCCTGGATCTTGTCCAAGACCATCAAGGTGATACCTCTATGAGTCTGCAAGAACCACAGCATTACTGGGCTTGGGGTGCCCCCTAAAGCAGACACAGCTTAGATCACAACACCCTAGTCCTTTCAAATATATGGAAAGTCTTCCCAAGAAGAATGGCTAGAAACAAGTCCAGGCTTCAAATACTATGATAAATAGCTGACTCTTTAATGCTCAGATACAGATGAGCATCTACAAGTATCAAGATGATCCAGGAAAACATGACCTAAATAAGGTGCCAGGGACCAATGTTGGAGAAACTGAGATATGTGACCTTTCAGAGAGAGAATTCAAAATAGTTGCTTTAAGGAAACCCAAAGAAATTCAAGATAACACAGAGAAGGAATTCAGAATTCTATCAGATAAACTTAACAAAGAGATTAAAATAGTAAAAAAGAGTCAAGCAGAAATTCTGGAGTTGAAAAATGCAATTGGCATACTGAAAAATGCATCAGAGACTTTTAACAGCAGAAATGATCAAGCAGAAGAATTAGGGAGCTTGATTACAGACCATTTGAGAATACACAGTCAGAGGAGACAAAAGAAAAAGAATAAAAAATGACAAAGCACACCTATGGGATCTAGAAAATAGTCTCAAAAGGGAAAATCTAAAAGTTATTGACCTTAAAGAGAATGTATAGAAAGAGATAGGAGTAGAAAATTTATTCACAGAGATAATAACAATGAACAGCCCCAACCTAGAGAAAGGTATCAATATTTGAGTACAAGAAGGTTATAGAACACCAAGCAGATTTAATCCAAAGAAGACTACCTCAAGGCATTCAATAATTAAACTTCCAAATGTCAAGGATAAAGAAAGGATTCTAAAAGCAGCAAGAGACAAAAAACAAATAACATGCAATGGAGCTTCAATACATCTGACAGCAGACCTTTCAGTGGAAACCTTACAGGTCAAGAGAGTAGCATGACATATTTAGAGTGCTGGAGAAAAAAAAATTTACCCTAGAATAGCATATCTAGAAAAAATATCCTTTAAACATGAAGGAGAAATAAAGACTTTCCAGACAAACAAAAGCTGAGGGATTTCATCAACACCAGATCTGTCCTGCAAGAAATGCTAAAGGGAGTTAAGTTATTCAATCTGAAAGAAGACAAGGATGCTAATGAGCAATAAGAAATTACCTGAAGATACAAAACTCACTAGTAATAGTAAGTACACAGAAAACCACAGGATATTATAACACTGTAATTGTGGTGTGTAAACTACTCTTATCTTAGGTAGAAAGACTAAACAATAAAGCAATAAAAAATAATAACTAAAACTTTTTAAGACAGCAGTACAATAAGATATCAATAGAAACAACAAAAAGTTTAAAAGCAGGGAACAAAGTTAAGTCAGAAAATCTTTATTAGTTTTCTTTTTTTGCTTGTTTGTTTGTTTATGCAAATAGTGTTAACTTGTTATCAGCTTAAAATAATGGGCTATAAGATAGTATTTGCAAGCCTCATGGATACAATGGACACACAGAAAATCAAAAGCAAGAAACTAAATCATATCACCAGAGAAAATCACCTTCACTAAAAGGAAAACAGGAAGAAAAGAAAGAAATAAGAGAAGATCACAAAATAACCAAAAAACAAATAACAAAATGGCAGGAGTAAGTTCTTACTTATCAATAATAACACTCAATATAAATGGACTAAACTTTCCAATCAAAAGACATAGAGTGGCCAACTGGATAAAACAAGAGCCGTTGATCTATTGCCTACAAGAAACACACTTCACCTATGAGGACACATATAGATTGAAAATAAATGGATAGAAAAAGATATTCCATGCCAAATGAAGCCAAAAAAAAGAGCATGAATAGCTATAAGAAGAGACAATGGGCTGGGTGCAGTAGCTTATGCATGTAATCTCAGCACTTTAGGAGGCTGAGACAGGTGGATTTCTTGAGCCCAGGGGTTTGAGACTAGCCTAAGCAACACGGTAAAACCTCATTTCTACACAAAATACAAACATTAGCCAAGCACAGTGGTGCATGTCTGTAGTTCCAGCTACTCAGGAGGCTGAGGAGGAAGGATACCTTGAGCCCAGGAGGTTGATGTTGCAGTGAGCCGAGATCATGTCACTGCCCTCCAGCCTGGGTGACAGAGAAAGATCCTGGCTTGAAAAAAAAAAAAAAAAGAGAGACAAAGAAGGTCACTATATAATGATAAAGGGGTCAATTCAGCAAGAGGATATAACAATTCTAAATATATATGCACCCAACACCGTAGCACCCCAACATATAAAGCAAATATTATTAGAGGTAAATAGAGAAATAGGCCCCAATACAATAACACCTGGAGACTTCAACACCCCATTTTCAGCATTGGACATATTTTCCAGACAGAAAGTCAACAAAGAAACATCAAACTTCATTTATATTATAGGCCAAATGGACTTAATAGATATTTACAGAACATTTCATCCAATGGCTGCAGAATACACATTCCTTTCCTCAGTACATGGACCATTTCCAAAGATAGACCATATGTTAGGTCACAAAACAAGTCTCAAAATATTCAGAAAAGTTAAAATAATATCAAGCATCTTCTCTGATCATAATGGAATAAAACTAGAAATCAATAAAAAAGAAATTTGGAAACTATACAAATACATGGAAATTAAACAATATGTTCCTGAATGACCAGTGGGTTAACAAAAAAATCAAGAAGAAAATTGAAAAATTTCTTGAAACAAATGGTAATAGAAACACAACATAATAAAACCTATGGGATACAGCAAATGCACTACTAAGAGGGAATTTTATAGCTATAAACGCCTACATCAAAAAAGTAGAAAAACTTCAAATAAACAACCTGATGATACATCTTAAAGAACTAAAAAAGCAAGAGCAAAGCAAAACTAAAATTAATAGAAGAAAATAAATAATAAAGATCAGAGCAGAGATAAATGAAATTGAAATAAACAATACAAAGGATCAATGGAACAAAAAGCTGGTTTTATGAAAAGTTAAACAAAATTGATAAAACATTAGACAGACTAAGAAAAAAGAGAAAATATCCAAATAAATAAAATCAGAGATGAAAATGGAGACATATCTGATACTACAGAAATTCAAAGTACCATTAGTGGCTACTATGAGCAACTATATGTCAATAAACTGGAAAATCTAGAAGAAATGGAAAAATCCATAGACACAACCTACCAAGATTGAACCATGAAGAAATCCAAAATCTGTACAGACCAATAACAAATAATGAGAGCAAAGCTGTAATAAAAAGTCTCCCAGGAAAGAACACCTGGGGCCCTACAGTTTCACTGCTGAATCCTACATTTAAAGAACTCATACCAATCCTCTTCAAACTATTCCAAAAAATAGAGGAGGAGGGAATACCTCCAGCTCATTCTATGAGGCCAGTATTACCCTGATATCAAAACCAGAAAAAAAGACACATTGAAAAAAGAAAACTACAGACCAATATCTCTGATAAATATTAATGCAAAAATCCTCAAAAAATACCATTATAGTAAGCCAAATCCAACAGTATATTAAAAAGACCATCAGCTGGGTGCAGTAGTTCACACTTGTAATCCCAGCACTTTGGAAGGTTCATGTGGGAGGATCACTTGAGCTTAAGAGTTTGAGACCAGCCTGGGCAATATGAGGAAATCCCATCTCTACAAAAAATACAAAAATTAGCTGGGCACAGTGGCCCGCTCCTGTAGTCCCAGCTACTCAGGAGACTGAGGTGGCAGGGTCGCTTGAGCCCGGGAGGTTGAGGCTGCAGTGAGCTGTGATCACACCACTGCACTCCAGCCTGGGTGACAGAGCAAGACCTTGTGTCTCTCTCTCCATATAAATACATATATGTATATAAATATTATATATTTAAGTATTTATTATATATTGTATAATATAATCATAATATATATATATATATTTCATCATGATCAAGTGGGATTTATCCCAGGGATTAGGGATGCAAGGATGGTTCAACATATGCAAATCAATCAACGTGATACATCATATCAATAAAATGAAGGACAAAAAACATATGATCATTTTAATTGGTGCTGAAAAATTATTTGATAAAATTTAACATCCCTTCACAACAAAAACCTTCAAAACACTGGGTTAGAAGGAACATACTTCAACATAAAAAAGCCACATATGGCAGACCCACAGCTCATATCATACTGAATGGGGAAACACAGTATGATTTGGAACACAACAAGGATGTTCACTTTCACCACTGTTATTCACCATAGTACTGGAAGTCCTAGTTAGAACAATCAAACAAGATAAAGAAAGAAAGGGCATCCAAATTGGAAAGGAAGAATTCAAATTATCCTTATTTGTAGATGACATGATCTTATATTTGATAAAACCTAAAGGCTCCACAATAAAACTATGAGAACTGATAAACAAATTCAGTAAAGTTTCAGGATACAAAATCCCATCTACAATAGCTACAAATAAAATACCTAGGAATTAAACAAAGAAGTGAAAGATCTCTGTAATGAAAACTATAAAACACCGATGAAGGAAATGGAATAAGATCCCCCAAAATGGAAAAATAGTCCATCTTCATGGATTGGAAAAATCAATGTTGTTAAGATGTCCATACTACTACAGATTCAATGCAATTGCATCAAAATGCCAATGACATTCTTCACAGAAATACAAAAAACAATTCTAAAATGTATTTGGAACCACAAAATACAAATAGAACAAAACTGGAGGAATCACATTACCTTACTTACAATTATACTGCAGAGCTATAGTACCTAAAACAGCATGGTACTTGCATAAAAACAGACACATAGACCAATGGAACTCTATAGGGAACCCAGAAACAATCCACACACCTACAGTGAACTCATTTTCAATAAAGGTGCCAAGAAGATACATTGAGGAACAGATAGTTTCTTCAATAAATGATGCTGGAAAAACTGAATATCTATATGCAAAAAAAATGAAACTAGACCCCTCTCCCCCACCATATACCAAAATCAAACTAAAATGGATCAAAGAGTGAAATCTATGACCTCAATCTATATATCTACTATAAGAAAGCATCAAAGAAACTCTCCAGAACATTGGTCTAGGCAAAAATTTTTTCAGTAATACCCCACAAGCACAGGAAACCAAAGCAAAAATGGATAAATGAGATCACATCAAGCTAAAATGCTTCTGCACTGCAAAGGAAACAATCAACAAAATTAAGACACAACCCACAGAATGGGAGAAAATATTTTCAAACTACTCATCCATCAAGGGGTTAGTAACCAGAATACATAAATAGCTCAAACAACTCTACAGGAAAAAATTTAATAACCTGATTAAAAATGGGCAAAATATTTGAACACTCTTTTCTCAAAAGAAGACATACAAATGACAAACAGGCATTTGAAAAGATGTTCAACATCATTGATCATCAGAGAAATGCAAATCAAAACTACAATGAAATATCCTCTCACTTCAATCAAAATGGCTTATATCCAAAGACAGGCAATAACAAATGCTAGCAAGAATGTGAAGCAAAGGAAATTCTCATACACTGTTGGTGGGAATGTAAATTAGTACAACCACCATGGAGAACAGTTGGAGGTTCCTCAATAAGCTAAAAATAGAGCTACTATATGATCCAGCAATTCCCCTGCTGGTATATACCCAAAAGAAAGTAAATCAGTATATCGAGAAGATATATGCACTCCCATGTTTATTGCAGCACTGTTCACAATAGCCAAAATTTCGAAACAACCTAAGTGTCCATTAATAGATGAATGGATAAAGAAAATGTGGTACTTGGCTGGGCGCGGTGGCTCACGCCTGTAATCCCTGCACTTTGGGAGGCCGAGGTGGACGGATCACGAGGTCAAGGGGTTCGAGACCAGCCTGGCCAACACGGTGAAACCCCATCTGTACTAAAAATACAAAAATTAGCTGGGCATGGTCGTGGGTGCCTGTAATCCCAGCTGCTCGGGAGGCTGAGGCAGAGAACTGCTTGAAGCCGGGAGGTGGAGGTTGCAGTGAGCTGAGATCACGCCACTGCCCTCCAGCCTGGGCGACAGAGCAAGACCCTGTCTCAAAAAAAAAAAAGAAAAGAAAAGAAAATGTGGCACTTATACACAATGAGGTACTATTCAGCCATAAAAAAAGAATGAGATCATGTCACTCACAACAACATGGATGAAACTGGAGGTCATTATGCTAAGTGAAACAAGCCAGGCACAGAAAGACAAACATTGCATGTTCTCACTTATTTGTGGGATCTAAAAATCAAAACAATTGAAATGCGGATAAAGAGTTGAAGAATGGTTACTGGAGGCTGGAAAGGGTAGTGGGGCAGCGGGAGATGGAGATGGTTAATGGGTACAAAAAAACTGTTAGAAAGAATGAATAAGTCCTAGTATTTGATAGTACAACAAGATGACTTAAGTCAATAATAATTTATTTGTACATTTTAAAATAACAAAAAGAGTATAATTGGATTGTTTATAACACAAAGGATAAATGCTTGAAGGGATGGATATCACATTTTACATTATGTGATTATTACTCATTGCATGCCTATATCAAAACACCTCATGAACTCCATAGATGTATATATATACATAGTAGATGTATATATATACATCTACTATGTAACCACAAAAATTAAAAATGAAAAAAAAAGAATTCTGAGCATGTGATTTGCAATCCAAAGTACTTGGGGTGAAATGGGGTTTTGTTCTGTTGCCCAGGCTGGAGTGCAGTGGCACAATCATAGCTCACTGCAGCCTGGAACTCCCGGGCTCTAGCAATGCTCCCGCCTCAGCTTTCTGAGTAGCTGGGATTACAGGTGTGCACCACCACAACCAGCCGGTTTGTTCTTAAGGTGAGGTTGGCTGTGGTATGCGGGGTTTGACAATCATCCAGTACTCCCTCTGCGTTATCCCTACATTCAATCAACCTCCAGTCGTTCCAGATAATAACTCTCAACTATTTCTCAAATCTAACCCTCCCTTTCCATGTATCAATCAACAGCCTTCTGGTTTCCCTGCCTCCAGTATTATCCCCAATCCACTTTACCCAATTCCAACAGCCTAACCATGCCTCCTCACTGTATAACACATTTTAATAACTGCTCTTTGCCTAGAAAGGAAAGTCCAAGCTCCTTAATGAGCCACAAAAGACTCTCTAGAAGAGTACCACCATTTCTCACTCCTCACCTTCCAGTGAATGATTTACCGAACGAAGCTCTTGCACTCTTCCAAACATGCCCATGAGGTTTCTCAGTTTCTCACCTCGGTGTCTGTGTATAGGCTCATGTTATGCCCAGATTCTTATGGCCATCCCTCTAGGCTCTGGCTGATTCCTACTCATCTTTGAAGACTCAGTGTAAGTGTCCTTTCCTCCCAGAAGCCTCCTCTGAAACACCCGTCCACCCAATCAGAATTAGGTTCTTCTCTTTTATATTCCCAAAGAGCCCTCTATCACTCTGTGAATGTTGCCAAATTATAATTATGTGCCTACAGATCCATTAACCCTATTGGACTGTGGACTTCCTGAGGTCAATGACTGTATCTTATATCTACATTTACATCTTTTTTTTTTTTTTAGATGGAGTCTCTCTCTGTCGCCCAGGCTGGAGTGCAGTGGTGCAATCTTGGCTCACTGCAAGTTCCGCCCCCACCAAGTTCAAGCGATTCTCCTGCCTCAGCCTCCCAAGTAGCTGGGACCACAGGCACATGCCACCACACTCGGCTAATTTTTGTATTTTTAGTAGAGATGGGGTTTCACCATGTTGGCCAAGCTTGTCTTGAACTCTTCACCTCAAGAGATCCACCTGCCTCGGCCTCCCAAAGTGCCTGGATGACAGGCGTGAGCCACCACACCCAGCTGTATCTTACATCTTTATCTTAGTGCCTGGAACAGTGTCTGGCATATAATTAGCACATAAGTGCTGGCTGTATGGATGAAGTAAATGAATGAACATATGAATGATAAGGGTTTATCTTAAGCATATGAAAATTCTTAGGAAATCCTAAAAGTAAAATACATTTAATTATATATTTGAAGAACTGCTTTTATGTAAAAAAAAAAAAAAAAAAATCCCCACCTTGCAATCCAGAGAAGTTTACCAACCAGCCAGTCCAATTCCTTCTTGCCTGGCTTTCTTAAGTTCCAGGAAGAGGACTGTTGCTTCATTTTGTGCATGGAGGGTGCTATTCTCCAGGGTTGCTAATTTAGCACTTCTCCTGGCTATTAAAATAACATGTTTATCACTGGGTCTAGATGTACCTTAGTTCAGGGCACAAACAGACATAATGAGCTGGAGGCAGGACATGTTTATTTGGAGATTTACTGAAACTATAGTCTTGATCTGCAAGCTTCCGGGGGTACCCAATTAGTTATCCAAAATTAAATCTGTATTTTGGGGGAGAGATTTTTCAACCTACATCCATCTTGTTTACTCCTTGAATCCCTTAAGTACCCAACCCCACTGCTACACTCACTTCAGACTCTGACAAGCTTTTATGGGTAGGAACATATCTCTTCTTTTTGTTGTTATTGTTATTGTTGAGAGTCTCGCTCTGTCACCCAGGCTGGAGTGCAGTGGCATGATCTCGGCTCGTTGCAACCTCCACCTCCCGGGTTCAAGCGAAGCTCGTGATCCTCCTGCCTCAGCCTCCCGAGTAGCTGGGATTACAGATGTGCATGACATGCCAGGCTAATTTTTGTATTTTTATTAGAGACCCAGTTTCGCCATATTGGCTGGGCTGGTCTCGAACTCCTGGCCTCATGTGATTCACCCACCTTGGCCTCCCAAAGTGCTGGGATTACAGGCATCAGCCACCATACCCAGCCAGAATATATCTATTCTGATAAACCTTTCCAGTTACTCTAATATGTCCTCAGACCCATCTGGCCAAATACAACCCACCTGCACAACTGTTCCAACTTTTCCTTCACCAATGAAGTGCTAGGGTCAGAGCAAGAGCAGCAAGGTTTTTCTGGGACTAGATACCTCATTTTTCCTCTTATCAGAGTTCAGCTCCAGCATTTCTGTAGTGCCTTCCTAAAAGAACAATAAGAATCAGGAAGAAATCACATTCTAGGTCATTGGAAAGGACATATCAGATTCTAGATGAAAATGTAAATTAGAGAACTCCAGGGAGATGAGTACAAACAGATCTTCTGAAATTGCACAACCCAAAATAAGGTTTTTCTGGCCAAGACCACGCCAAGAGTGTGTTCTAGCAGTCACCAAACCTGCAGCCTTGTGATAAGAGCACACTTTTAACCCTTAATGAAGGTCCCCAAAGGCAGAAAGAAAAAATTAATAGGAAATAATGATAGTAACTGCCACCTGTACTCTTTTGAAACAGTTGGGATTAGAAGAAGATTGTGCAAATATCGTGATAGAACAAGATTATTGTAAGAAGATATTGTCCTCATAGCACTCCTAGTGCCTCTAGATATCTGGAAACTCAGCTATCAAGATATTCTAGGAATTTCTCAGACCTCTTGTGAAACAAAATGTAAACACTTATTTATTAGTCATTTATTTATTTGATATTTATTGAGTTCCCCACATATGCCAAACACATGGCTAGGTCACAAACTAAAAGACTGTGTTCCTTTTGTTCACCACTGTACTCCCAACACTTAGTATAGCACCTGATATATAGTAGATGCTCAATATAATGTTTGTTTGTTTGTTAGTTGGTTTGTTTGCTTTGAGACAGTCTAGCTCTGTCGCCCAGACTGGAGCACAGTGGTGCAATCTTGG
Source organism: Homo sapiens (assembly GCF_000001405.40). Lineage (NCBI taxonomy): Eukaryota > Metazoa > Chordata > Mammalia > Primates > Hominidae > Homo > Homo sapiens. The sequence continues at coordinate 25,085,521 of NC_000010.11, read as the reverse complement.
CTCACTGCAACCTCTGCTTCCCGGGTTCAAACAAATCTCCTGCCTCAGTCTCCCAAGTAGCTGGGAGTACAGGTGTCCACCACCATGCCCAGCTGATTTTTGTATTTTTAGTAGAGACGAGGTTTCACCATGTTGGCCAGGCTGGTCTTGAACTCCTAACCTCAGGTGATCCACCCGCCTCAGCTTCCCAAAATGCTGAGATTACAGACATGAGCCACCGTGCCCAGCCAGAATGTTTAAATATAATAAATTAATACAAAGATCAACGTCTGGCAGCACAATATGGGGAGCTCTGCAGGCCTGCTTCCCAGTGAAATTGGTGAAAATTATTTTTAAAACAACCACATAAAGCCTAAAGACATACAGCAAAAGAAGATACACCTATTCAAGAAAATCTATGAAAATTCAGTAAGAAAAAGAAGAGTATGGTATTTGAGCCAAGACTATTCTCTTTCTGCCCCTTCCTAGCTCAGTGAGGCAGATGATACCAGTGGGCTGGGGACAGGGGAACACTTAACTAATATAGGCAGTCACTAAACAAATAAACAAGCAAAGAACAATAACAAGTTCTGGGGCAGGGCAGAGGAGAATCAGTACTCAGAGTTTACTACAATACGTCCAGTTTCTAACAAAAATATTACAAGACATGCAAAGAAACAGATAAGTATGACCCATACACCAGACCGGTGATACAAACTGCCTGAGAGAACAAATCGATTATGGGATTAACAGAAAATGGCTTCAAAAAGGCCATTATAAATCTATTCAGAGAACTAAAGGAAGCCAAGATTAAAGAAGTAAAGAAAGGTGTGATGATGATGTCACCTTAAATAGACACTATCAATGAAGAGATAGACATCAAATAAATGAATAAATGAATGAGTGGGTGAATGAATGAATGAATATAGACTTTTAGCAGCATGCTCATCTCTAATATTTGCAAAGGCCAGGACAAGAGTAAAAATGGAGGCCTGTATTCCATATGTCTAAACAGATGTGAAATCAAGCGAACAAACTTAAATAAATCATGTTCTGTCCTCATACTTTAAAAATGTACTTTAATAATGACTTAGATATAGAAGGTATAATTGTGAACAACCTACCTACCAGTTCAAGCACTGTCTAGCTCTCAACTTTCCTGGGAGAGCTGCTTTTGGCCACTGGAAGCACATCTCTTCCAAGACCCAGGAAGGAGGCTGGTGCCAGCCCTCAAGGTGGGCAGAGCCCTTTGAATAGAGAATTCCTGGGTCTCGGGCATCCCAGAGCGTGGTTTAGCTCAGAACAGTTCTGAAACTTGAGCAAGCATCGAAATCACCAACAGTGGTGTTAAAAAACTGACTACAGGAGCCATCCTTCAGAATTTTTGATTCAGGAGTTCTGAGTTGGGAGAAAAGAATGTGCATTTCTAGCAAATTCCTAGGTGATGTGATGCTACTGTTTGGAGGACCACATTCTGAGAACTACTGATCTAGAAAGAAGGGCTGCAGGCTCTGAGTGGGCATAGTTTCATTGCCCTCTGGGGAGGGGATCAGCTGAAGGAGAGTCAGGGCAGCGTCTTCTAAAACACGGGGCCCAGCGCAGGGTTCTCACGTCCAGCCTGACTTGGCCGTGGCAGAATATATACCAGGTGGCCTGGGAGACAGCAGGGTCTGATGTACAGTGAGGTGTCTGCGCCTTTCAGTGTAGCCATTCTTCAACACTGGAGTCCAGTCATTTGATCAGGAGACACATACTCCCTAGCAACAGACCAGCAAATTTCCTCCGACCAAGTCCAAGTGCCAGGGGGCACAAGGATGCTCTCATTTCTTCTATCGCCAGGCATGGGATGACACAGCGGCAGGGTCAGCTGAGGTTCCAGAGAGAACAGGGATTACTTTGTTCCCTTTGAGAAATACTAAATTCATTAGAGCACAGAACCTTTTTTTCTGGGGTGTCGTTTATTAACTTGCATCACATGCAAATATTTTGGGAACCGTATTACTGCCCTACTCTAACGGGGGTTCAGCCACCTCCCTCATCAAATTTTTAAAAAGGTAACCAGTGGTCAAATAAAGGATTTATTTTCTTACTTTCTCTAATTCAAGCTCAAAGATGTTAAATAAGTACACTGAAAACAGAACAGACTAAAACCAAAATGACATGGTTACATCACAGTGTTTATTGTCTGCACCTAAGCAGGCAGAAAGGTGATTCTGCAGGCGTTCCAATAAACTGAGCCTGGACTAATTGCAGTTTTGTCCAACAAACAAATTGTTTTTATTTTAAAATCTACTATAGTTATATTTTACAATGGGCATGCCAATGCAGTAGTAGTCTACTTTATTTCAAAAAAAATTCATGCATTCTTCCACTATGACTAAATGAAAATATCAAGATTTTAAAAAAATACCAAGTCTTGAATGATGTGCAAATAAACTAGTCAGTGTCAATGCACCCTCATCCCTACTCAAAAAGACTTCCTCTTCTTCAACTGCTTTTTCTTCCCAATTCCACAGGTCCCCATCAGCCAGAGCAAGAGCCGTCACACTGAGGAAGTGACTTTCTCAAGACCATGCAAGTGAATCCTGCCCTCCCCACCCGCTACCTAATCACCCATTTCTCCCAGACCTCTGGAAGAGCAGCGTGTAGGTGGTATGTGCCAGGAAGTGAAGGGTTAATGCACAGTTTGGCCTTTTGAAATAAAACCCCCTGAATTCGCTCAAGGACGTCCTTTAAATTCCTTTCCTCCAGCACTTTGCAAGCCCATAAATAGCTCCTCTTCAAATACATACTGAAAGCCCAACCTAATACAAGAGGTAAAACTGTTTCTGGGCTGAAGTGCTTATTGTATTTGCACAGGTCAGAGCTATAGTGTTCACTGTTGTCTCAGTTTAAATCAAAGACAAAGGATTCACATACAGCCATCCCATTCTTGAGATTCCCATAAAATGGGGGCATTTTTCTTCACCCATTGCAGCTGCACGTTAAGTACTAGAGGCTGTCTGTTCTTCAACAAGTACAGATTTGAAATGCTCAAATGCCCTGGTCAGAACAGCAATGGCACATTTAGAGGACACTTGAGCCAGGAATGAGAAAAAGGAAATGTTTCCCGCTCTGTTGACGGAACTTGCCTTAGATCACAGGCAAACAGTGATGGTGGCAGACAACAGTGGAAAGAAATCTTCCCTTAGGTGTCCTCTAAGAAGAGACTACATGTTATTTTTCATATGGACTTAGAACTAGAAGAGCTGTTTACATCTCATCTAATTCAACCCTGTAATTTTACAAATAAGAACATCTAGACCCAGCGTTTCCAAGCAGTTTGCCCTAGGTAGGTAGATACGTAGGAGGTATAGGTCCACTGCCAGGAACCAGGTTGTATTATCTGGATTACCAAGACTTCGTTATAAGCACATGTAGAGACCAATAAACGATTTAGACAATTCATACATAGAAGCTTCTGAATTCCTTCTTAAAATGTCAGGATGGTTATCTGAGGTGATTGGATGAACTGTGAGAAAAACATATTATAGACCCTTCGGACATAGTATATGGTTTTCCAGTAATCCTTGTGCTGTGGCTTGAATGTGTCCCCCAAAAAAACATGTGTTGGAAACATAATCCCCAATGCAATAGTGTTGGGATGTGGGCCCTAATAGGAGATATTTAGGTCATGGTGCCAACTATAGAAGGACTTCGGGCTTCAAGTCTTCAAGTTGTCTCTTTTTCTCTGTCTCTCTCTCTCTCGTGCTCTTTTGTTCTTCCACCATGGGATGACAGAGCAAGAACAGCAAGAAGGCCCTCACCAGGTGCTGTCACCTTGATAGGGGACTTCCCAGCCTCCAGAACTGTAAGAAGTTAACCTCTGTTCTTTATAAATTACCCAGTCTATGGTACTCTATTATAGCAGCACAAAACAGATTAAGACAGCTTGTAACAGTCTCTTCTGTTTTTCTCTACATTCCTAATGAATTTTTTTTAAAGCAAAAGAATGATTTTATGACTTTTTTCCAGTCCTTTATATGAGCATTCTCAGATTCATAGCTTGTTTCTTTTGGGTTCTGTTCACATTAGTAATGCCTCTTGCCTGTGGCATAAAGTAAATCTGGACATAACAAGTCTCCAACGCTAGTGAAAAAGAAACACAACTCTGTAGATTATTGAATTAATTGCTGCCCTGAAGGAAAAAAAAAATCCCCTGATGTCTTGTGGCAGCAGTCGACACAGATGGCCCGCTAAAGACAAAAACTTCTGTGGACTGGGAAGAGTCTCCTTCAGAAACACAGCTTCCATTATTTCAAGAGGGCATTTAAGGACACTTACTCCTGGCTTCTGGACTTTGCCGGGCGGAATTATTGTTTGCCTAGTGGCGCTGTCCACTAGAGGGAGTCAGGGTCCTTCCACGGAACTCTACAGGGAAGAACTTCAAACGAATGCAGCCATCTGAAATACAATGACGGGAGCAAGGAGGGGATAAGGGTGTCACTTCTACCTGGGACACATCTCACTTTGGAGAGCACTTTATTCATGGATGTGTTTCTTCCTTTGACAGATCATCACTGAGGGGAGATACAGTGTATTAGACAATAGGGAACACTACATCAACACTCACAGAAGGGCCAGCCTTACTCTCATTCTGGAATAATGCATGGAAGATAGAAACTAGGAAGCCTGCAAACTCGGTTTACTAGTTGAAAATTGGTCAACTTTCATCTGACTTACCTAAGTGATAACCTAAGCAGGTGTCAACAGCAGTTGCTTGATATCTCTGGCTTCAAACATCCTCAAAAATAGCTAACATTTCAACAAGCAAGCAAAGCAAGAGCCCCTTATCTCTTCAAAAGTATAACTGCTGCCTGTAGCCAATTCCTGCAGTTCAGTGTCAAAGAGACCCTTCTTTTTTCTCTTTTTCTTTAAGAAGAAAAGGATCTCACTATGTTGCCCAGACTGGACTCTGGACTTGAGCTCCTGGACTCACACAATCCTTGAGGCCTAATCTCATTCCCAAGTAGCTGGGACTATAGGCTCAAGCCACTGTACCTAGCCACAAAGAGACATTTCTTGTGGTCTTCAAGAATCCCCTATTATGATAAAATGCCCTAGAGGTCCAGCATGGTGGCTTACACCTGTAGTTCCAGCAATTTGTGAGCCCGAGGTGGGTGGATCACTTGAGCCCAGGAGCTCAAGACAAGCCTGAGCAACATGAAAAAACCCTATCTGTAGAAAAAATACAAAAATTAGCTGGGTGTGTTGGCATGTGCTTGTAGTCACAGCTACTCAGGAGGCTGAGGTGGGAGGACTGCATGAGCCTGGGACGTAGAGGTTGTAGTGAGCTAAGATCACACCACTGTACTCCAGCCTGGGCAACAGAGCAAAACTCTATCTCAATAAAATAAAATAAAATGCCCCAGACATATGGGGGAAAGTATTTGTTATAGTATTATTTACAATAGCAAAATTGGAAAGGTCTATATCAAAGGAATGGTAGAGTAAATTATGATGAAGCCACATAATACAATATGATGAATCCTTTAAAATCATGCTTCAATAATAACTTCAGTGACTTGGGAAATAATTATAAATTAGTGTCAAGTGAAAAATAGCATATTAAAGAACTGATGTACAAAATGATCTCAATTATTGTAATTTTTTTAAAGCAAAGGTACCAAAAGTCTAAGACAAATATCTCTGAAAGGTAGGATTACAGATGAATTTACATCATGCCTCCAATGTTTTTGTATTTAAAAACACTATTAAAATAAATGTTTTTAAAATTTATAACTGGAAAGAAGTAATTTTGGATTTATATACCAATACTCCTGAAAAAATGGCAACAGACTTTTTTTGGTTCTCTATAAATTTTGCTAGTGAGCTACAGGATTATACCAACTGCATTGTTAACAGTCATTCTGGAACTCACCTAGAGATAGGCTGTACAGAAAGGGAAAAACTGCAGGTTACCAGGATCTGGAATAAGTTGAATCAGAAAGGAAAGGTTATAAAAATTTGGGGAAGGGAGATGGGATTCATCAATAGGCAGATGTGTGTAAAGAAATTAAGTAAATCAAGATTACAACAAATGGGCATAAAACCACTTGGACATAGGGAAAGTTGTAGAGGTGAAGACAGAGTGCTCTGTCTTAAGTAAATGTCAGGAGGGCCCACAGCTGAGTAAGAGCTTAGTGCCGTGGAGAAATCCTGAAACCATTCCCGCTGTCATCCTCACATTGCCCTGAAGACACAACCCACACTGTGCACCGTGGGGGGAAATGGAAACCATGAAATTGACCACATCAGCCACGTAGACTAATCGCTAGACTTTGAACTTGTAAATGTTCCTATGATGCTCTCCAACTTTCTTATCTTTTTGTCATGGACCTTGTTTGCCTGCCTAGACTTAAAAATTGTAAATGATTAACTGGTGGAAATGAAATTCCTAGTCCTTTTGGTGGTTTCCCCAAACAGATACTTTCCCTTAACAGCCAATAGTGGGTTTTTGTGTGTGGTTTTTTTGTTTGTTTGTTTGTTTGTTTGTTTGAGAAACTTATCTTCCAAATTGCTAAAATTGGTCCTTTTGGAAAAAGTATATATATTTATTTAGCTCAAGGAATTGTTGTTATTGCTTCAGGGCAACACAGAACGGCATAGTCACAGTTCCTCAGTGCAATTACCACAGTCTTATTTGGAGCCTGATTTAGCAACCAGCGTGGGAGCCAAGGCAAACAGAAAACCATGAGAAGATGCTTCCCCTTGGGGAAGAAAAAAAGGACACATTTTAGACATTATGAGAGGGAAAGAGACACTGTCCTTCATATGCCTGGAAACCCTGGAGAACTGGAGCTATCACAATCATAGTGCACCAAGTGGGAACTGTCTGTATGACAGATTCTCCGAGGAGATAGCACAATGTTTTTGTAAATGTATGACAAGAAGCAGCAGCCCAAATAGAAGGGACATGTTGAACATCCCTAATCTGAAAGTCCAAAATCTGAACTGCTCTAAAATTTGAAACTTTTTGAGCACCAATGTGACTCTACAAGTGGAAAATTATGCACCTGACATCATGTGATGAATTCTAGTCAAAACTCAGTCAGTACTTTGTTTCATGCACAAATTGTTTAAAATATTGTATAAAACTACCTCCAGGTTATGATATAAGGTGAATATAAAACATAAATAAATGTTGTGTTTAGATTTGGGTCCCACCCTATTCCAAAATTTAAAAAAATCCAAAATCTGAAACACTTCAGCATTTCAAATAAGGGATTCTCAACCTGTGTTAAGCCATTTACTATGTCTCAATTAGATTAGCCAAAACAGCCTCTTTGAAGCCACTGTTTAGAATATTACACCTTCCATAACTTGGAATTATTTGAATTCCAAGCCTTTAAATGTTGGGTTTTTTAAAATTAAGTACTTAATTAAGTACTTTGAATTAAGTACTGTAAGTACTTAATTTTTTACTTAAGTACTATACTATAATATACTTAATTCAAAAAAATTAAGTACTATAAGTACTTTGAATTAAGTATTAGAGCATAGAAAAACTTTCAACCATGCCCACTGTCTTAGCTCAGATTTCCTAGAAGCAGATCCTAAAATGAGGATCTTATTCAGTGACTTATTGGCTTGTACCCTCAGAAAAGGCCGGGCACAGTGGCTCACGCCTATAATCCCAATGGTTTGGGAGGCCAAGGTGGGCAGATCACTTGAAATCAGGACCTGAGACCAGCCTGGCCAACATGGTGAGACCCCATCTCTACTAAAAATACAAAAATTAGCCAGGCGTGCTGGCACACGCCTGTAATCCCAGCTACTCGTGAGGCTGAAGTAGGAGATTCACTTGAACCCAGGAAGCAGAGGTTTTAGTGAACCGAGATCGCACCACTGCACTCCAGTCTGTGCGACAGAGCAAGACTACATCTCAAAAAAGAAAGAAAGAAAGGAGAATAAGAGAAAAGGGGAGGTTTGGGGTTGGGGAAGCTAAGCGAGAATGTAGTCTCCGATGGAGACCGCATGGGGACACCCTGGAGTACATTGCACCAGAGCTGCATCCTACCTTGAGGTGAAGGGGCTGGTTTGAGCTTGTCCAACGTCCGCCAAGGCCTGTTAGGGTGGGTGGGTGGGTTATGCAAGGCTCCTAGGTCTGACAGGGGGAATGGGGGATTCTTTAGAATGGAGGCAGCTGTGAGTTGTTAGAAGATACAGGCTGATGAGCTGGCACGTGGAGAGAATGTAATTGGGGCAGCAACGGCCTCTACTCTATCAAGCAGCCATAACTACAAAAGCATCAGGCTGTAAACCAAAAAGTGTCTGAGACAGGTCTCAATCAGTTTACAAGTTTATTTTGCCAAAGTTAAGGATGCACTGGGGAGACAGGTCTGTCCCTTTCTCCAAAGATGATGTTGAGGGTTTTAGTTTTAAAGGGGAAAAGCAGGCTAGAGGAAAAGCGGGAGGCCGTGGTAATCTACAGGTTGCAAGAGAAAAGGAGCAGGTAGGGGAAGAGGCAGTGACACATGCTCCTGAGCTCAGTAAATCGGCACTTCTCACAAGATAAAATGAACATAGAGTTGCTCCCTGTGGAGATAGTTAACCTTTTATCTGTAGCTGTCTACTTAGGAACAAAAGGGAAAGTATCTTCTTGCATGATTCAGCTTTCAGCTTACTTTTTTTTCTTTTGGGAGCATGAATTGGGGTCCTGGGTTTTTATTTTTCTTTTATAAGGCTGTGCCCTGATAGTAGCTTGGCAGAGCAGCGGCTGAAGACGATAGGAAGCTACTGTAGACATTCGCTAAAACCCATTCCTATCTTACCAGAAAGTCCTTCCTGTCCTGGCAGTTTAGAAAATGAAGTTAAAGCCACAGTAAGATTCTCAGGGAGCGTGAGTCAGACAGCGGTAGAGAGGTGCTTGCTAGGCTCTTCCAAGCTTGGTAACATCAAACAAGTTACTCACTTTCTCTTAACCTCGATTTCTCATTTATAAATTAATAAATATAAATACCTGTATTAGTAGAGATAATAACACTACCTTAGTATGTGGTAAGTATTAAGCAAGACCTTATATGTTAACGAGCTTAGCCCAGTACCTAGCACATAGTAAAGGCTCTATAATTAGGAGTTATTATTAATTTGGAAAGCAACATTTCCAATAATATTGGAATTATTGATTGATAATTGACCCAGGCCGGGTGTGGTAGCATGCGCCTGTAATCCCAGCTACTCAGGAGGCTGAGGCAGGAGAATTGCTTGAACCTGGGAGGTGGAGGCTGCAGTGAGCGGAGGTTTGAGGCACCACTGCACTCCAGCCTGGACAACAGAGTGAGACTCTGTCTCAAAATAAATAAATAAAAAAGATAATTGATCCAAATTGAAAAGTGATGTCACATCAACAGGAACTCTAACAATGATACCAATACCTCCCATAGGTATCTCTGGTATGATTCAGATTAGCATGCGTTTTCGCATGCATAGTCCCATTGTCCCCATTTTACAGCTGAGAAAACAAAGACTCAACTGAGAAAGCCCATCAGGAAAAGCCTCTGGCACCACAACCACGTGGTAGAAGTCTCTTGAAGATCTCTCTTTCTTGCTGCTCACAAAGTTCCATCAACTCCAAGGTGACAGATTTACCAGTTTTTCCAAAAGGTTGAGTGACGTCTAAATTTCTTGTTGGAAAGTACTACCCATACTTGGTATTTTATCCATCCTGAAATGAATGAATCACTGAATCACAAGGGAATGGCAATGTGTGATCATCACACATTGAATGGCTTCCCCGAGGTTGAAATATTGATTTATCTGTGTAGCGAGGGAGCCCAAGCTCATCTCCCATCCTTACTCACGTAAGCTTTGCACACGGACTGGAGAGAATTGTATCTGTTAGTCTGAAAACCAGAACCCAAAAGCAGCAAGAAGCAGGAGGAGATTCAACCCAAATAACCTCTGCCTACTCTTTCAGCTCAGAAATTGGCCAACAAGTGCAAAAAAAAAAAAAAAAAAAAACCTAAAAATGTGAGCACGCATTGCTTTGCAATGTGCCATCGAAGTCACAGCACAACCATTTGGAAAAAGTGAAATGGGTCCTCATTTTCTCTTTGTATGGCTAGTTCAAAAGCAAAAAAGTTTTTTTTAAAATTTTTTTCTTTCTAAGACTACGTGAGAGTAAACAACAAATTTAGCTAACTTTTTTCCCCTACTGAAGTTTTGTGAGTGTCACATAATCATTTGTGTAGTCAAAGCACCCATTAGTCCACATAGGTGGGTAATTTTCTGCAAGTCACAACTTTCCTTTGCAATGTGTTCCTAAGCTCTACAGTTTTCTCTTCCAGGAATTTGTTCCTCATATTGGACCTAGACTGTTTCTCTCAAAATACTCTCTTATTTTGTTCTTAATAAAAGAAAGAACACTACATTACTAGATACAATAAAATAATATACCTTCATCTGTGTGGAACATGCTGGTCTACTTCCTCAAACTTCTCCCATGTCATTCAAATAACCTCCAGTTCTGAACTTTCTCATCTCTTCCCTATACATTACATGTAGGTCACCCTCCCTTTGCTTCCAAAGTTCCATATAGTTCTGAAATTGTGTGCTCCAGGACTGGTGTGGTCTTTCCAGGTTCTTTGTCAAAGATCCCCCACAGAGAGCCGGATTCAAGGCCACCTGGATAGGGCCATTCAAGATATTTGGGAGACACCAATCTCCTCTGAGTACAGTGGTTAAGATTGTGGTGAGGTGGGGGAACAGATCTGGGTTTAAATCTCATTGCCATTTACTAGTTGTTCCTACTTGGAACGTCTCCATGCTCATGAAATTGGGCTAATAGTTGTGTCTATTTTATAAAATTGTTATGAAGGTGGAATGGGACAAAACTGTGAAATAATAGGCATTCAAGGCCGGGTGCGGTGGCTCACGTCTGTAATCTCAGCACTTAGGGATGTCGAGGCAGGCAGATCACCTGAGGTCAGGAGATCGAGACCAGCCTGGCCAACATGGTGAAATCCCATCTCTACTAAAAATGCAAAAATTAACCAGGCATGGTGGCAGGCACCCGTAGTCCCAGTTACTCAGGAGGCTGAGGCAGGAGAATCACTTGAACCCAGGAGACAGAGGTTGCAGTGAACCGAGATTGTGCCACTGCACTCCAACCTGGGTGAAAGAGCGAGACTGTTTCCAAAAAAAAAAAAAAAAAAAAAGGCATTCAAACACTAATATTACTGATAAAGTAGTAAAGGTTAGTTATTGCTATTGCTATGATGTCATCTGCTGTTTGCCTGACTTCTATTGATGAATGAAATATTATAATATTTTGAGTTCATATATATTCCTTCCTAATCTTTCGATTTTCCCTTTTGAATGTGTTAATGTAATGAATGTCATTGACATTCTTGGGCTGAAAATATATTCTGTCTCCCCTGAGTCATTCAAAGAACCTTCTGGCTAGATCACACCCAGTCCGGCGCATCTGAGCAGCACACTGAGGCTTTAGGACAGGTAGGAGACAAAGTCAGTCTTTTGAGGAAGCCACTCTTCTAATAGCTTTATAATTGATCCCTGGCTCATGCTCTGAAAGAAATCAAGAGTTCAGAGGGAAATTCAGCACAGAGCAGGTATTATTTCGATTTAGAATAATAGAGTTCCCCAACATTACTGGTAGAAGAAGTCTTAGAGTCCGTCTTTCAACCCAATGCACAAATTGACTTCACAGTGCCCTTGAAAAGTGATCATTCAGTTCAGTCAATTTTAGGTAGAATTTAGAAAGTTCTTCCATATTTTGAGCAAAAGCATTCTTTACCATGACTTCTACTCATCAGTTCTCACTCCGCCTTTAACATCGTACATCTGCCTCACATCATCTCTCAGGGTTAAATCCCTCTGCTATGAGATAAATCTTTCACACTGAAAGTATCCATCAGGTCCATTCTACACCCTCCTCATCACTCTCCAGGTGACCATTTTTTCAAAGTAAATATCCCCAATTCTTGTGTTAAAATTAAAAAAAAAACGCTTGCACTTAAAGTAATTGCTGTGAGTACATTGTCAGCAGAAAAGGGTTATTAAAAATCTAATTCTCTATACATAATACACACAAATACTTATTTATACATGATCATATATATGTACACACACAATTACACACACACACATGATTACACACACACACTTTTGGACCTGACCCCAACTACCATTTTGCAGCAAAGAGCCTATGGTGGTTTCCTTCCATAGTCCTTTTGCTTTCTTGCTTTCTTACCCAGAAATTTACTTATTGAAAGAGAACTCAGATATTTGAGGATGAGAAATATAACAGAATGCACCAAATATTGCCATTCTGTAGGTAACTTCCCATGAGTTGTGTCTCACATGGACAATAGCTTGTTTGGATATGCCCAAAATTTCCAGGGTCAATGGAAGTCACCATGCCATTGTCAAAGATCTCACCTTCCCCACTCCAACCCCCTCCCCCAAACCCTGTTTAAAGCAAATAATCAAACAGGTAATTTAGGAGGCTAGTATGGTTTTCTACAATTACAGGAAGACATTTGGCTGTGTGCCTTCCTTAGCTTGACACATATTACTGGTTTCAGGGAGGAAATTATTCCATGGAAAGAAATGACTAACGTATCTACTTTAGATATTAGGATATCACATTAATATAGATAAGTATACGTTAGCAAAAAATAAAGAAAAAAGAATCTATTATAGCCATAGTGGGCATTAGTAACAGGACACAGACAGCAACAACAGAATGAAGTGTTTCTCAGTTGCAGTGCAGAGTTTTTTATGTAGCATTTACCTTAAAATATCTTTAAGGAAGAATAAATTAACTGGAAGGAACTAGGTGGCATGTATGGTCATTATCCTAGTATCTTGAATGGGCAGAGCATGTAATTCATACCCTGTAGAATAGAATGGTGACCAAACAGACCTAATTCGTTTTGGATATTTACACTGATCCATTTGGATCAGTGTAAAGATACACTGATGTATTTCCCCCTAAAAGGTTGCACCATGTAGAATACCTACTTAAAGCTCAAGGCTAATTTGATTTCAGGGTTTAGGATAAGTGGTAAGTAATTCACATATTTGACTTTCTCATAGCTGCCGCTATTTTATTCTCCTAAGTGTGCTTAATTTAAGAAAATTCTAGACTCTTGAGCATTACCTCCAGGGAAGTTGTTATAAATTCAAAACTCTAACCTCAAAAAGAATTATAGGATCTTAAGGCAAATTTTCAGCCAGACCTTGACTATTAGGGTTTTCCTTCTTCTTCCTCCTTTTTTTTAATTTTAATTTTTATTTTTTATTTGACGGAGTCTTGCTGTGTCACCCAGGCTGGAGGGCAGGGGTGCTGTCTCAGCTCACTACTACAGCCTCTGCCTCCCAGGTTCAAGCAATTCTATCTTAGCCTCCCGAGTAGCTGGGATTACAGGTGTGCTCCACCACACACGGCTAATTTTTGTATTTTTAGTAGAGACAAGGTTTCACCATGTTGGTTGGCCAGGCTGGCCTCAAACTCCTAACCTCAAGTGATCTGCCCACCTTGGCCTCCCAAAGTGCTGGGATGACCGACGTGAGCCACTGCGCCCGACCTCCTCCTTCTTTATAAATAAGGAATTTTTTAAACAAGTCTATCCAATGCCAAAAAGGCAAGAATTGATACAATACAGTTTTTTTTTTTTAAGCACATGCTGTTTCTCTGGTTAAAAACATTGTAAGCCTGACATCCCCCTAGGATTTCTTAAAATTATTTCATTAAAAAATCACAGTGACATAGAGTTGTGAGTGAGGCACCCTTATAAGATTAATTTCAGTATCCAGCTGCTCAGATGCTTGATGTCGTTTTATTCACTCTGTTGTTGACACCACATATTAGAAAGGAAAAGAAAAATAGAATTTCAGTGTAATGAGTTTGAGAATATTATTACCTTATCAACACTATACAACATGAAATATTTTAAGGAACCTAATGGAGTTTATTGTGAGCTTGTCCTAAGCACCATGCGGTGCATATTTTTCAAATAATAAAAGACCTGCAGAAACCCCATAATGGCTTGTTTTTGTCAGTGGGCCATGAAGCCACTTAGTTATACATAGGCTTTTGCCAGGAATTTTAATCTCCTTAATGTGATCCACAAGATGTGACCAGTTGTCACATTCATCATGAAGAACAATAGTATACTTATAGTTTGTTAAAGCCAAGGAAAATTCTTAGGGTTAAATGTCAATAAACCCTGTCTCTAAATGGCCTCAAGTGAAGTCAAGATATAGCCAATGTTCTGTTCTTATGTCCAAGACAGAGAGGCAAATCAGATCATTATCAAATCAATTCAAATCTATCTTGCTTGGAAGTATCACATTTTAGCTGCCTATCTTGGTCTTCGTTCTACCTGGTGCTGAAAAGAGGCATCCATATTCTTAAAGCATAGCTTCCATTCTATCTCAGATCCTTACTCAACTGATACAGAGAAAAATCCATAAAGGAATGAAGAAAAAGTGTGTATAGGATATAAATACTTGGAGTTACCTGGTTATTTCCTAAGGTAATAGAAGCCTCTCTGTATTTCCAAAAAAGCCTCAGAAAAAAAATATATATTGCTAAATGTTTATTACAGTGCTGCCATTCTCTGATTTTTATAATAAAAATGGCAAGATCATTCTAGATGAGTAGATTAGATCTATTTTTTACCTACTCACAAAATAAAAAGTCTGTCTGCTTAGTGGAAAGGCCCCCTCTGTGTCCTGCACTGAGTGGAAAGGCTTGTTCCAGAGATAACATGGTTAGTTTCCTGGTTACATGGTCTGAAGACAGTTATGGCTTGCAAATATTCCCATTCAATCATCAATTGGCTACTGCAATTGGAAAAAGTAGTGTGGGCCTTGGATTTATTGGGGGTTTGACTATTCTCTGGAGGCTTTATAAAATTTTTTTAGCATTCAATGAATAACACTGTGAAGTTAGAGGTTTAGTTCAGCACAAGATTTACCTGACTTTTGGTCTTAAAGCCATTTTTTGTTTAAAGCCATTCTGGTTTTAAAACCAAAATGACCTCCTTGGCCATCCCTGTGTTTTCAGCAAGTAGACCTAAAATCCAACAATTTGATATGAATAATTTACAATTATCTCCATTTCCCAACAGCCAAGCAAAAGCCTCACAGATTATGTCATCTTATCAAAAAAACTGCCTATAAGTACATATATAAGTAAGGGAGCTGATCAAAAAGAGATACAGATCATTTGAAAACTAAAAAGCACATTTAGGAGAAGAGATAAGGATATTAAGACATAGAATCAACATGCAATAAAGCCCAAATGTTTATGGGAGACTGTTTCATAGCCCTTTATTTCTCGTATGGAATTGTCACGCAATGTTAGAGATAGACAATAACTCCTAGGCAAATCTCTTATGGAGTGAGTGAATAAAATTCACCACGCTACTAACCTCTGCTGAAATAACTTTGGAGAAATACCACTGAAGTATTCCTTTCCATTTTTTGATAATCACAGAAGTGCTTCTATATATTAAGCAAAATTCTATCTGTAATTTCCAAATCGAACTCAGTTTTCTCCTCTTCCCCCCAACTACCATTCAACCATTGGGTAGGATGGTAACTCTCAAAGACCCCTCCCAGGGGGTCTCTGCATAAAGCTGTATATCCCCATCTAATTTATGCATTTGTTCATTCATTCAATATTTCTTGAATATCTATTATATAGTAGGTACCGGGGACATAAAACAAACAAGGCATAATTCCTGCCCTCAAGGAGCTAACAGTGGAGATTAACACATAAAAAGAAATTAGCCATAGAGTATGGTACATGCTTCCATAGAGGTTGGTCAGGCTTTGTGACAACACAGAGTAGGGACTTAAGGAGGTGACTAGAGAAACCTCTAAGAAAGGAAGACACTTGAGATGAATTTTAATGATCAAGTGGAAGTTAACTAGGTGATTAATAATAAAAGCAAAAATGATCACATTTTTCCTGTGCAGGCACTGAGCTCCTTATAGACATAATCTCACCGCAGCCTCCACCTCCCAGGCTCAAGTGATCCTCCCACCTCAGCCTCCTGGGTAGCTGGGACCACAGGTGTGTGCCACCACAGCCAGGTAATTTTTCATTTTTTTGTAAAGACGGGATCTCCCTATGTTGCCTAGGCTGGTCTCAAACTCCTGGGCTCAAGCAATCCTCCTGCCTCGGCCTCTCAAAGTGCCGGGATTACAGGCCACTGTGCCTGGCCTTCTTGAAAGATCTTAAATTGTACAGGAGAAACTTGAGGATATTTATATGCTAAGGCTCTAGTTTATTTATCTTTGATTTTCTTTGAGACCTGGTGTTGCCAGTTTAACCATTCCATTGAACAGGGGACTAAACAGCAGTTAGTGACAGGTAGTCACTACTCACTAGGTTTCAGCATTTATTAGCTGGTGAAAGCAAGACTTAGTGAGCAGGCACAGAAACTCTCATTCACCTGTTGATGTCTAGTCCTGCTCTCTGATCCTGGACACTCTGGTAAGCACCTTGCACTGAAAATGCACATAAAAATGTACACTGCAATGGAATGCCACCATATTTTAAAGACAGGACAACAGAGTCCTACATACAGTATGAAAGGGGGGATGTAGGGGCCTCAGGAAGCATGGGGCTCTGTACCTGTAGTTTGTCTATGGGAGTATTGTCTTTGGCTTGCTGCATTCTTAAACCTTGTTCCAGCTGGGGTGGTGGGAAGCACACTCTTTCCAGTCAAAATCATCCCTTGAAAGCTACCATTCCACCAGGGAAATTTTTACTTCCACCATCTCTTATGCTAATGAACACACCGTTTGTGGGGTAGATTTCAATAACAATATTTGAAGTGCTAAGTAACCCCCTCCTAAGTGTGGATCCCTAATTAGGATGTTTCAAATGCTAACTAACAACTCTTGGAACGTGGATGTCTGATTAGGGTACTTCAAATACCTCCTCCTTCCTCCCTCCTCCTAGGGTGTCGATTGCACGAAAGTATTTTAAAGTAAATCAGCACAGAGATGATGTCATCCCTACATAGGACTTGCTAGTGAAAACAAGAGAAAAAAGTGTCCCTTTGTGTGCGTGAGATACTCGTCACAAGGACAAGTAGAGACAAGCTTGGAGTGATGTGGCCCCAGTCATTTCCTCTTCCCGAATGGGTATGCAGATGATGAGTTAGTAAAGCATGAGTCTCTGTATCCCTTTGTCTGAAAACCCACATGACACATGCTGGCTCTACAAACACCACCATTATCCCTCATGACTTTTCCATAGCTGAGCAGTGCTGACGTAGAGGAGTCAAGGCGCAGACAGGCTGCCACCCTGAAAAATAAGAGCACTACCCGAAACAAAGGCCCCGGGTAGCATCATGATTTTATGTGGCTGGGCTTGAGACAGATGGCACATTCACTGGGCTCTGATTGGGAAAGGGTACTTATTCTGGGCTAAAGAGAAGACCCTGCCACCCTGGGCAAGCTGATGGAGCCAGGATGCCTCCCCCTGAGTGAGATGTGGCCTGTCTGTATTTTGTTTAAGTGTGACACCTTCAACTCAACATCACACTTCTGGGATAGCACAGAATCACTGAGGACCCTTAGGTGTCCCATGAAAGCTCTGGACCCAATATGCAGAAAAAAGAAAAAACGAAGAGCACATACGCATATACATACTTTTGTACATAATTACATAATTTCAGGAGGATTATGAACTCCCTCATCCCTTTCTAAAATATATTTTTTTGGAAATAGAGTCTCGCTCTCTTGTCCAGGCTGGAGTGCAATGACACAATCTTGGCTCACTGCAACCTCCGCCTATGGGTTCAAGTGATTCTCCTGCCTTAACCTCCAGAATAGCTGGAACTACAGGCGCTCGCCACCATGCCCAGCTAATTTTTGTATTTTTGTTAGTAGAGACAGGGTTTTACCATGTTGGCCAGGGTGGTCTTGAACTCCCGACCTCAAGTGATCTGCTTGCTTCAGCCTCCCAAAGTGCTGGGATTACAGGCATGAGCCACCATGCCTGGAGCTTTCTAAAATATTATGTGCCTTTCAGTGCAATCTAAAATTATTTTTTTTTAGGGCAAAATATTGCAATAAAATAAATAAATTTTTCATAATGTCAATTCATTTCAAATTGGATTTTAGCTTAAAATAAAGAATTTTCTGGTCTTGGGAATGTCCAACAGTGGCCTAAATGGTCCTGATTTCCTTTGTTACTGAACCAACCTTGGGTCCACGCACTGGGCTCTGCAAAGCCAATACTCACATCAGGATTGCAGCAAGAGAAAGTGGGAGATTTATTGCAGGATGCCCAGGAAGGAGAATTGACAGCATGTGGTTAAGATGTGAATTCCCTGACAGTTTACAGGTAAGGGACTTCAAAGGTGGGGAGCCAGAGGTGACAAGCAAAGCCATAAATCAATACATGAAGGCGACATATTGGTTTGACCTAAAAAGGGGGAACATCTCAAAGCAGGTATGCTGGGGTAGATTAGAAGATATTTTATTTTACTTTGAGACGAGTTTCACTCTTTTTGCCCAGACTGGAGTACAATGATGCGATCTTGGCTCACTGCAACCTCTGCCTCCTGGGTTCAAGTGAGTCTCCTACCTCAGCCTCCCAAGTAGCTGGGATAACAGAAGCACACCACCATGCCTGGCCACTTTTGTATTTTTAGTAGAAACGGGGTTTCACCATGTTGGCCAGGCTGGTCTCGAACTCCTGACCTCAGGTGATCCACCACCTCGGTCTCCCAAAGTGCTGGGATTACAGGCATGAGCCACCACGCCCGGCCAGATTAGAAGATTTTCTGATTTGAGATTGGTTAAGGAGCTGAAGCTTTCTCTAAAAATTTGGGGCCAGCAGAAAAGAATGTTAGCTCTGGCTCGTGGGTGTGACCTCCTCCAGGACCCCAGGAAGAAATTTAGATAAAGAATGGCGGTCAGAGTTCAGTCCTCAGCTTCCCCTTCTCTGAGGTCTACATTCTAGCAGATGGTATTTTCCATTCGGTGGCGTCTGGGTTTCTGAAAAACAGCTCAGGGACGCATGTTAAGATGTCGTCTTTAGTTTCTATAGTTTCTATAGTCACAAAACATTTTGTGACTCTAACTTCCTTGGTGATTGTTTTAAGCTATTACCTTTTTAAATGTTTTGTATTTTTTTTCATGATGTCTTCTGACAGAGGGTTGATATAATCTTTTTTTAAAAATTTTGAGTTCCCAGGTACATGTGCAGGATGTTCAGGTTTACATACTCAGCAAATCTTCTCGATTATAAAGTTCCTCATCTACTTCTCAAGGCTAGCTAGGTTCCTGGAACTTCCCTTGAATGAACTCTAAATTTTTCTTTCTTTCCATGCTTGGGAAGATTGTTGGGGTGACTGGCAGGCCCCTATGGGGGGTCCCTGCTCTGTCTAACCTTGTTCCTGGTAATGTTTGGCTGAGGTTGTTGCTGCCTGGCAAGGATGTTAAGGAAGAGATTCCTATACAGGGTGGGGACTGAAGAAGATGCCCTGCACATGGGCCTTTCAACTCTAAGAATCTATGAGCTTCCACTTTCAGGCACCCTTACAACCCCAGGGAAGGAGCGTGCTGGAGAATCTTCTGGAGTCATGACTCCATCTCCCCACGGGTGGGTCAAACTTTCTCTGAGGGTTAGGTCTGTACATTAGGATCAATTCCAACATCAAGTTCAGTAGCCTCTTCCTGTGGAGAGTAGAGTAGGGACTTGTGGATGGAACTCAAGGGCAGAGAGCAGAACAAGGGCCTAGGGATCAAATTTCTTCCAGGACTAAGAAGACACAGATGCAAAACTAGGGGCAGTTGAGATTTCAAGCAGAAGTACAGTTTTCCTGTGGAATTTGTTTCCTCCTTACTACCTGTATTAGTCTGTTTCTGTGTTACTATGAAGAAATATCTGAGATGGGGTAATTTATAAAGAAAAGAGGTTTAATTGGCTCACGGTCCTGCAGGCTGCACAGGAAGCATAACAGCTTCTGCTTCTGGGAAGGCCTCAGGAAGCTTCCAATAATGGTGGAAGGCAAAGGAGGAGTAAGTGTCCTACATGGAGGGAGCAGGAGTGAGAGAGGTGGGAGGGGCCACACACTTTAAGATCACCAAATCTCACGAGAACTCACTCACTGTTGCAAGGACAGTACCAAGGAGGATGGTGCTAAAGCATTCATGACAAATTCACCCCATGAGCCAGTCACCTCCCACCAGGCCCAAACTTCAACACTGGGGATTACAATTCAACATGAGATTTGGGTGGGGACACAGATGCAAACCACATCACCGCCTCCTATACAAATCCCCAGCCCCAGACAGAGAGGAAGTCAGTGTAAAACGATTCTTACTTGAAGAATGAAAGGGCCAGGCACGGTGGCTAATGGCTGTAATCCCAGCACTTTCGGAGGCCGAGGCGGATGGATCACCTGAGGTCAGGAGTTCAAGGCCAAATGGTAAAACCCCATCTCTACTAAAAATACAAAAATTAGCCAGGTGTGGTGACAGCTGCCAGTAATCCCAGCTACTTGGGAGGCTGAGTCATGAGAATTGCTTGAACTCGGGAGGCAGAGGTTGCAGTGAGCCATGATTGCACCACTGCACACCAGCCTGGGTGACAGAGTGAGACACTGTCTCAAAAAGTAAAATAAAATAAAAATAAATCAAATATAATGGTAGCCTTCAGTGATTTTTTAAAAAAAAAAAAGTCCCTTCTTTGGAGCTCTGTTTCTTTGGTCATCCTCTCTTTATCCTGGCAAAATTTTACCCTTCCCTCCTTCTTTGGGAGTTAGGAGAGGTTGCAACCAGTTATCTGGGCCACTCCTTCTATTTCTCTCCCTATGACAGCCTAGTCTAGTCCCTGTAGCCTAGTCTAGTCCCTGTAGCCTCCTGGCTGAACTACAACAAGAATCTCTTAACCATTCTCTGCCTCTGTTTCATCCTTCCCACTGAGTTTCCTTCATGCCATTCCATCTTGCCCCGTGAATCAACACCTCAATCTGAATTAAGAGCAATGATGGGTGCAGTGGCTCATACCTGTCATCCCAGCACTTTGGGAGGCTGTGCTGGGAGGATCTCTTGAGCCCAGGAGTTCGAGACCAGCCTAGCAACACAGGGAGACCCCTTATCTCTACAAAAATAAAAAATAAAGTTCAAAAAAACTTAAAAATAAAGTGTTCTTAACTGCAAGTACTGATTTTCAGTCAAGCTGTTTCGAACATGAACAAGTTCATATAGAAAGAGCCAGGGAAATGACAAGCAGGAATTTCTTTATTTGAAAACATTGAGTGATTCTCCCCTTGCCACCACAGGTCTACCATTGGTGATTCACATGTTCTCATTTCAGCCATGTTCTCTTTTGGACGAGGCTTTGTGGTCTACAGGAGTGGAGTCTATGTCTTCTACCCCTTTTGAATCCTCCACTTCATTTCTTATAAAGCTGAGCACTGAGACAGGTACTTTATAAAATCTTATTGACACACGCACGGTGGCTGAGGAAATCAGCTACTCTTTCAATGGCGGTGTACCCTTCAAACAATAATCAGTGTTCTTGAAGGCCGGTGACAAGACCACTCCAACCACCAAATATATGGCAAGAATCTTTCTGGGAAGAGCAAATAGATTTTGAGGGGGCTTGAAGATGGAAAACACTCCAGAGTTACAGACTTTGCTCTCAAACCATCTGCGCACGTCCGACCTATTGAGCCGGTGTCACTTGTCCCTTGCAGAGTGTGCCTGCCTCATTCCACAATCTGCCCATGAACATTTAGTGAGTGTCTGTTATTGGCAGCTCCTGGTTAGGTAAAGTGGGAACAAAGATGGACACGGGAGAGCCCCGGTCCTCAAGTAGTCCAAATCTGCTGGCAACTGGGACACATCAGAGCAACTATGACTCAATTTAGTAATTGTCTACAGAGTGTGGTTTTGCACAAAGGGCTTCTCAATTGCAAGGGGGAACAGGAGAAAGTCTCAAAGGGGAGAAAATATTTGAATGGGGCTTTGATGCACAAGGAAGACTAAACCAATACAGATTTGAGGGAGGAGCATTATAAGCACAGGGAATGACAAGTAAAAACACAGGAGCCAGGCATGCTGGCTCACACCTGTGATCCCATTGCTGTGGGAGGCTGAGATGGGAGGATGGCTTGAAGTCAGGAGTTTGAGACCAGCCTAGGCAACATAGTGAGACCGCATCTCTACAAAAAATTTTTTAAGTACTTAGTCAGGCATGGTGAACACACCTGTAGTTCCAGCTATTCAGGAGGCTGAGGCAAGAGGATTTCTTGAGTCCAGGAGTTTGAGACTGCAGTGAGCTATGATGATGCCACTACACTCCAGCCTGGGCAGCAGAGTGAGACTCTTAAAAAAAAAAAAGACCAGACACAGTGGCTCATGCCTGTAATCCCAGCACTTTGGGAGGCTGAGGCAGGAAGATCACAAGGTCAGGAGATCGAGACCATTCTGGCCAACGTGGTGAAACCCATCTCTACTAAAATACAAAAAAAATAGCCAGGTGTGGTGGCGCACATCTGTAGTCCCAGCTCCTTGGGAGGCTGAGCCAGGAGAATAGCTTGAACCCGGGAGGCGGAGGTTGCAGTGAGCCAAGATTGCGCCACTGCACTCCAGCCTGGGCAACAGAGCAAGACTCCATCTGAAAAAAAAAAAAAACAAAAAAAAAAACCACAAAAAAACACAGAGGAGTGAGAAGCAAGTGCCTGTGGTGCAGGGGTGGAGCATGCAGTGGGAAGGGGAGGGAGGTGATGTGCAGGGGGATTTCCTTTCCTGGCCCTGCCTTTCCTGTCATTTTCGGGCAGCCCAGGTGACCAGGCCCTCTTCCACCACTGTGTGAGTCACCACCTATCTCCTCCACCCAGGCCTGAGTGTGGCTGATCAAGGTACGTGCTGTTACTAACACGTTCCTCCGAACACAGCGTCAACAATTAGTAATGAATGAGGCCAGACCCGCTGTGTCACCAGCTGCCGGAAAGCCAGCTCCAGAGGTGCCATCAGCCCAGCTCATGGCCAGGGCTTCCTTCCCAGCCATGCCTGCAGACAGGCTCCTGCTCCAGGAAATAGGACCACATTCTTAGGAGGGACACACAGAGGGGAAAAACAGAAAGAAAAACTGCAGGAGGAGGCTGACCCGAGGCTGCCCAGACAGGGAGTGGCTGTGAAAAAGTCCAAGGTTTTCCTCAAACATTCCACAATCGTCTATAGACACTGAAAAGCAGGCATGTTTAACTTTTTCTCTCCCTTAAGAGAGGAACACTGGTGGAAAAGTGACAAGAGAGCAACAAGTCCTACTTGCTCAAGAAGAGAATGACTCAATACGCAGGATTAGGCTTATAGGTAAGCAAGGAAGGAGTCGCTCCAAACAATGTCATGTGTGGGGTTCCAGGGAAATTTCTGTACAAAACCACATTAAATATGAGGTCATCAAGCTGTTAGAAATGTCGAGATCCTGCTTTTAGACTGTGTAAAGTGACTAGTAAATGGCAGTTAGCTAGTAGTCGTTATCGTTACGTTATTTCTCTGTGCAAATACCCCCAAGAGTCTCAGCCAGTTGCACACTTTTGCAGTCTGACTCAGCAAATACATATTGGGTGCCTTCCATGTGCCAGTAACTATCCTACATATAAAGAACATAGCAGTGAATCGCTGGGGTTTCTAACGCAGTCATTGATGATGCAGCAGTCACGCCTCAGACTAACTTCTCAGACTGAAGAGACAGAGATGAAGGGAGAGAAGAATGTGCAGGCCTAGGTCTGGGGAAGGTGGGAAGTGCCTCCAGCTGCTGGAAGTCACCCACTACTGGGATGTCAGGTGGAGAAGGGCAGCTTGTAGGTTGGAGAGAGATGAAGAAAGGGGTTGTTGGAAAATCTGAAGAGAAACATGTTGATTTTCCGATTTTGTTTGAGACTGGGTTTAGCCATAGCCAGCATTTGGAAAATCACCTAGCTGCTCTGGTTATCCTGCTCAAAGGAAAAGTCACCCAAAGCTTGTAGATCACCAAAGTTTTTTCCTTTTTTTCCTGAAAATAGAAATGGTGGTGGCGGGGGAGAACAGTAGGCTCAGGCAATGAGGAGCAGAAGGAGGAAGAGATTCAGTTTGTGTTGGGAGGTTCCACCTTGCCATCTGTGCACTGTTACTCCTCCTTCCAGAGCCCATGAAGCAAAATGGAACAGAAGGAGCTGCACCCAACAGAGCAGGCGGCTGGAGGAGCGGCACAAGAAAGCCTGGGATAAAGTTGATTTTCCATATCTGGATGTGTCTGGCAGCATCAACCATATAGCTGCAAACCAGGGTCGATTTCAAAGCCCAGGGCCTGGCCACACGTGTCCAACACCTATGAACTTCTTATGGAGATTGTTCACCACGGAGCATGAAGACAGAGCGGGTGACTGGAGGTGGCTCCCCAGGTAATACTGACATTCTTGTGTTCACAGGTTTTGCATCTGGGCAGCCAGCCTAATAGGGGGCCTTAGAGATATCCTTGTCTCATCTAAAGAAACATAAGGGCCAGGCCCAGTGGCTCTTGCCTGTAGTCCCAACACTTTGGGAGGCTGAGGTGGGAGGATCACTTAAGATCAGAAGTTCAAGACCAGCCTGGGAAACATGGTGAGATCTTGTCTCTAAAAAAAAAAAAACTTTTTAAATTAGCTGAACATAGTGGCACACACCTGTAGTCCTAGCTACTCAGGAGGCTGAGGCAGGAGGATCACTTGAGCCTAGGAGTTTGAGGCTGCAGTGAGCTATGATTGTGCCACTGCAGTCAAGCCTGGGCAACAGAGTAAGACCCTGTCTCTAAAAAAACAAAAACACGTGGGTTTTACATCATCTTTCCCTAGCACTGCTTGGGTGGGGTCTACCCTGCCAACAGAGTGAAGTCTCTAGCATTCAATTTAGGTTCAAGCCCCATTCAAACTTTATAATTGAAGATGACAGAAACTGGAAAAGTTCCCTCTTGGAAAACGGCATCGTATTTTCGGTGTATTTATGCTTATGTGGAGAGTATGTGGGGAGAGGATAATGTACTTCTTCAGTTTATTTGTAACTAAGGGACTTTCAAGTATTATTTTTCTTCAATAGACTTTACCTGTTGAGGATGAGAACTGTGTTTTCTGCTGCGGATCTATTTGAGAAATTAGAGCAGTGTGGACCAATTTCTGGTCATGGTATTCTTTGGCTCCCTGTTGGAGTGTGTGTTATGAGAATGGAGACCAGCATTCCTCCTCCGGAGCCTGTTCCAGCCCAGCCAAATTACCCAGGAGCCTGGCGCCCGGTCTGCTTGCACAACACATTTTTAGAGTCTGAGTCACCCTCGGGTTTTCTTCTTGTTATCACATTGAATTAGACTCCACAGCATCCTATTACCTTGGCCTCTCCTTGTACAGACGTACAGACAGGTCGGCTTCACAGGCTTCCTAAGCACCCCGCCTTCAGGAAGCAGAGAAGCCCAGGCAGATAAAAGGGTTGCATATATTAGACAACCACTCACCTGGGACAGCCAGGGATTAGGAACAGGGATTATCACTCATTATCACTCCCAACCCCACAGAACGCACACAAGGCTGCCCGAGGCAAAATGGTGAACCAACTCCAATTCATCCAGGGTTTTTTAGCCTCTCCTTATGTCAATACCAGCTGGCATAGCCTCCTTCCATCCCCACTAAAATGTAATTTCTTTCCTTCTTTTTTTTTTTGTTAAGAGACTGGTCTTGCACTGTCACCCAGGCTGGAATGCAGTGGCACTATCATAGCTCATTGCAGTTTCAAACTCCTGGGTTGTTCAAGCAATTTTCTCACCTTGGCCTCCCAAAGTTCCAGGCTTACAGGCGTGAGCCACCATGCCTGGCCCTAAAATGTAATTTCATGCAACAAGTGCTTGTTAGCATTTTTTGGGGGGTGCCCAGTGGGGGTACCAGGCACTGGTCTGTGTGCTGGAGCTATGGTAATGAATGAAATAGATGGGTGGGTCTGCTCCCTCATGGAGGTGTTGAAAGCTGCCTTGATGTTTGTTACTTTACCATATGAATTTTTTTATGTTATATACAGATCTCCATACATAGTATAATACTATACTAAGAAAATTAGGACAAGGCTGGGTGCAGTGGCTCACGCCTGTAATCCCAGCACTTTGGGAGGCTGAGGCGGGTGGATCACCTGAGGTCAGGAGTTGGAGACTAGCATGGAAGATATGGTGAAACCCTGTCTCTACTAAAAATGCAAAAATTAGATGGGTGTGGTGGCGGGCACCTGTAATCCCAGCTACTTGGAGGCTGAGGCAAGAGAATCGCTTGAACCTGGGAGGCAGAGGTTGCAGTGACCAGAGATTGCGCCATTGCACTCCAGCCTGGATGACTAAGCGAGACTCCTTCTCAAAAAAAAAAAAAAAAAAGAAAGAAAAAGAATATTAGGGCAAAACAAACATCAATGAAGTGCCCTCTTAGATAGAAAATTAGACTACAAAGGGGAAAACTACAATCTGAAGGTTGGGTGGGTGGGGAGGGAAGTGAGCACCTGCTTCTTGGAGGAATGGGTTTGTATCTGAGTTTCAGGTGGGCCCTGGGTCTCCCCCTCCTTACTTTTTTTTTTTTTTTAAGATGGAGTCTCACTCCGTCACCTAGGTTGGAGTGCAGTGGCACAATTTCAGCTCACTGCAACCTCTACCTCCTGTGTTCAAGCGATTCTCCTGCCTCAGCCTCCCGAGTAGCTGGGACTACAGGCATGAGCCACTACACCTGGCTAATTTTTGTATTGTTAGTAGAGACAGGGTTTCACCATGTTGGCCAGGCTGGTCTCGAACTCCTGACCTCAGGTGATCAGCTCGCCTACGCCTCCCAAAGTGCTGGGATTACAGGCATGAGCCACTGCACCTGGCCTCCCCCTCCTTACTAATTGGCCAGCTATAGGTCTCTCTCTTGTTGGCTATCTCTGTGTCATGAATAAGCGCTCTCATTTCTAATCAGTATGGGATAGATCAAGGGTGAGAACCAATTTTTGCTCTATTTAAAATTGAATGAGTCTGGTCCCAACGACTCATGCCTGTAATTCCAGTGCTTTGACAGTCCAAGGCAGAAGGATCGCTTGAGGCCAGGAATTTGACACCAGTTTGAAAATCATAGTGAGACCCCCATATCTACAGAAAATTGAAAATTTAGTGAGCATAGTGGTGCATGCCTGTAGTCCCAGCTACTCGGGTGGCTGAGGCAGGAGGATCACTTGAACCCAGGAGTTCAAAGCTGCAGTGAGCTGTGATCATACCACTGTACTCCAGCATGGGTGACAGAGTGAGACTCTGTCTCAAACCAAGCCAAAACAACAACAACAAAAACACCAAAAATTGAGTGATAGAGGACAAGTAGAGGGAGGAAGGTGACAATAGCCATAAGACCTTCCTGAACCAGGAAGGAAACAGATTACTCGTGGACTCTGGGCACGAAGCGTTTCAGCTGACAGGGGCTTTCTTCCTATCAACCTCACTCACCTCCGTCCACTCTTGGGGTTTGGCATTACTGAGGCTAACAGAAGAGAGGCTTTTGTGATGTAACCTAAGACACTGTTTTATCATGATGTTATTTTATATATATATAAAATTACTTTTGCACCACCATGCCTACATATTTATATATGTAAACACTAGGTAAAGTTTGCATTCTGAGATTTCCAGTGACCTGAAATAAATACCTAACTGCCCTTTCTCCAAGATTCCCTGGGCAGGGTCACTCAAACACAGGTGCAGGCTGCCTCTTAAACAAAAAATGCTGGTCAAAAGGGCAAGAGGAAGGGGAAACTAAAATTCAGCTACCAACACTATTGGGAGGCAATGCCCTTTTCTGTATGTGCTTGATTGTTGAGTAAGACCATTTCCTTATCCCACAGAGGTAGTGGTACAAGGGTGATAATTTTGATATGGCAGACTTAGCAGCAGCAGCCTGATACTGACTTTTCCAGAACCTAGGAGTCTGGAAACATTATGGAGCCAATTAATTCATTGAATAAAATGTTATCACTTTTCAATAATGGGTCACCAAGCTAATACTAGTGTCCTTAATCTTCCCAGCATTCATAGACAAGAACTGAAGAGCGATTTAAGGGCATTGTGTGTGTGTGTGTGTGTGTGTGTGTGTGTGTGTGTGTGTGTGTGTGTACCAAAGTGCAGAGGGTTAAGCTGATTACATATCTTAGTCCCTCACAGAGTGTTAGCTGTAAACTATACAAGGCATCACTGTTTTTTTATTTCTTCTATCTCATTACTTCACTCCCATTCCCCTTCCCTTTCCAGGCAGCCATTCTGATGACTTTAGTTTGTATCTTTGTGGATGCATACCATCTTGCAAAAATATGTATTACTTTGGACAAATCGATTCTAAATGTACATACATTTTGTATTATATAGCTCATTTTCTTTTTACTTTTTCTCACCAACTATTATTACTTGAGTCTTTAGAGGAGGAGGGATTTATTTCCAAGTAAAATGTGTCTTTCTGATCTTGGAGAAGAATGCTTTGACAGCGACTTTGATCTGGAGAGCGATGAGACCAGTCCTGCTCTAGCTATGACATCTGTCTGCAGACATGTGCTCAGTAGGTATTGATTCCAGAACCTACCTGGATCACTTCCATAATGGCCACTCTTGGCAACGTCCTAGCTGCAGGTGCCTGTCTCATTTAGACCAGGTCCTAGTGTTAAGTTTTGAGTTTTCAGCACTTTGCCATTAATAAACAGAACAAATAGCCTCTCTATATTGACACCCCAATGATATGACACAGGCCACTAGTCTCTGGTGATGCCAGTTACTTCCTAAAAGTACATTAGGCACTAACGTTTCAGTATGTCTTGCAGTCTTTTACTCTTGTTTTTATTAGAAGTCTAGCCCTTCCAAAAATTGACTGCTGGCTTTCCAGGTATATTTCCCTTGAAATAACACCCATCAATCACCTTATCTTCATACCTACTTACAATTTCTAAACGCTAAGTACGTTCTCCCAACTCGAGACTTAACAACTGTATGTTCTCTTTACCAAATGATTCCATAGTGATACCTGATGAAGTTCTACCTTTTTAAAGCCTTCTCAAATCCCTAATTTTCCCAAAATATGAATGCGTCTTCCCCCATTCTCATAAGAGATGTTCCTAGTCCCTCTATAGAAATTTGCATGACTGACCTGCATTGGAATTGATTCTGCGTGTGCTGTTACCTTCCCATTGAGCTGAGAACTTCTGGGGTATGAGGCAGGTATTGTCATCTCTGTATACAGCCTATAGTTCATGGCATATGAGTGACATAAGTGCTTCACAAAGGCACTGCTCATTGCAGAGCATGGGCTTTGATTTCCAACAGACCTGGATTCAAATTCCGACTCTATCACTAACAGGGTGAACTCAGGCTAGCTGATTAACCTTCCTGAGCCTCAGTTTTCTCATTTGTAAAGTGGAGATAACAATATCTTGAAGGAGATAAAGACAGTCAGGAATACAGTAGATACTCCAAATGGCCCTTATAATGACAATGATGGTGATGATCATGACAATGATAATGGTGCAACATTCTTACCAACTTCTAAGTTATAAGCAATACAGTGCAACCCATGCCAGCAGAAAACAACGACTGCAGAAGAATTTCATAGCCTTCTTCATACCTGGCAGGCTGGAGTTGCATCAGTTGCTGGCTTGAATTCCTCTAATGGAAAAGTAGATATTTGGTTGATGCTGCAGGGATAAACAGATGCATCATACCGTTTTGAGGGTCTTCAGTAAAAGTGTAAAGAGCAGCTGAAAAGATACACAACGGAGCTTCACCATGTCCTTCAGCCATCACTCATAAAGGAATAGAAGGTATCCCAAATTTTAAAAATCGAAGATAATTTTTTGATCATTGCCATTTCTGTAGAATCTTCTGACTGTTGAAGTTATCATTCCAACGTAGACCAAATTTAGAGAGTCATCTGATGGGCAGTCCCTTTTTTTTTTTTTTTTTTTTTTGCCAATTTGTTTCATCCCTGAATGATGTATGAGAATTTCATGTCTGTGGAGAGAGATTATACTACAGGGAAGCAACTTGGCATGTTTGGGAAGTGTAGGCCTTTCACAGAGCATTGGGTTAAGGCTATGCCTATGCCCAGAATGCAGGCCTTTAGCCAGGAGGGAAGGTGCATAATACCAGTGAAGGCTGAAAACTAGGACCTTTTTTTTTTTTTAGAAGTGGCCTGTATGGTAAATCACCCCTTATTTCTTCTCCCTGCTCAACTTTTGCATGCAAGCAAAATCAATGTAAAATAAACTTGACACTTCGCATTTAAATTGAAATGAAGTCACAAGAGGGCAAGGAGAGAGGAGTGAGAAGGAAGGGCCATCCCTGATTCTTGGTGATTTTAGTGGGGGGAAATGGTGGCATAATTGTAGGATATTTTAACAGAATGACCACAGAAGTTGGAATTAAAAGATTTAGATGTGAGTTCTGGCTCCTTCACTTAATAGCCAAGGATCTTGAGATATTTACTTATCAATCAGAACCTCTCTTCCTCACCTCAAAAATGGAGAAAAAGAATAACCCAGCCAGGTGCAGTGGCTCACGCCTGTAATCTCAACACTTGGGGAAACCAAGGCAGGCAGATCTCTTGAGCTCAGGAGTTCGAGATCTGTTTGGCAATATGGCAAGACCCTGTCTCTACAAAAACACAAAAACTAGCCAGGCTTTGTGGCATGCACCTATGGTCCCAGCTATGAGGGGGGCTGAGGTGGGACCTGAGTCTAGTAGGTCGAGGCTGCAGTGAGCCATGATTGCACCACTGCACTCCAGCCTGGGTGACAGAGTGAGACCCTGTCTCAGAAAAAAAAAAAAAAATTAATCGCCCACATCATAGAAATGCTATGGAATTAAATGAGGTGAGAAATAAGAGAGCACCTTCTGTATGAAAAAGCACAAAAAGAAGAAAGAAAGGAAGAAAGAAAAGAAAGAAGGAAGAAAGAAAGAAAGAAAGGAAAGAAAGAAAGAAAGGAAAGAAAGAAAGAAAGGAAAGAAAGAAAGAAAGAAAGAAAGAAAGAAAGAAAGAAAGAAAGAAAGAAAGAAAAGAGAAAAAACACCATTCTATTTATTTGTTTATTTGAGACGGAGTTTCACTCTTGTTGCCCAAGCTGTAATGCAATGGCGTGATCTCCGCTCACTGCAACCTCCGCCTCATGGGTTCAAGTGATTCTCCTGCCTCAGCCTCCTAAATAGCTGAGATTACAGGCATCCACCACCACGCCCAGCTAATTTTTTGTATTTTTAGTAGAGATGGGGTTTTACCATGTTGGCCAGGCTGGTCTCAAACTCCTGACCTCAAGTGATCCGCCCACCTCAGCCTCCCAAAGTGTTGGGATTATAGGCGTGCGCCACCATGCCCGGCCAGCACCATTCAATTTAAAGCAAGTTTTTATCCCCAACCTTTCTACAATGAGCATGCATTACGTTTGCAGTCAGGAAAAGTTATATTCAGAAATTAATATATGTGTGGCTTGGAGTTACCCAACCAGTAGTGACAATATAAAGGAATGCAGAATGATAAACACCGATGTCAGGAGATGACCACTGGTGTAAGAAAGCGGCTGAGATTGAGAAGGATGCTTGGGGGCTCCAACCATATTAGTGAAGTTTACTTTCTTAAGCTGGGTGGTAGGTGCATGAGTATTTTTTAAAAAATATTTTTATGCCTTTTCATGTGTCTTAAATATTTTATCATAAATTTAAAAAAAATCAGTGCTGGGTAAAAAGATGTATGTATAAGAATGCTCATTGCAGGGTTATTTACAGCATTCGAAATATTTCAAACTACCTGAGTGACCAAGAACAGAAAATTAATTGAATAAATTATGGTGCAGTAAAAAACCCGAAGGTAATATTGTTAATATTACTATTATTGTCCTATGAACCTGAAGTCACCTACTTTCATTGAGCTAGCTGCTGCATCTAACTATTTATAATAGAAAATTAGTGCCCACAGAAAGACAAATAGGGCAGGGCCTGACTTATATGCAGAATCTAAAACAGTGAACTCCTAGGAGCAGAGTAGAATAATGATTACCGGAGGCTGGGAAGTGGGGGAAATGGGGAGATATTAGTCAAAGGGTGCAGTTTCAGTTAGACAGGAGGAATACGTTTTTTGAGATCGATTGCATAGCTTGGAGACTATAGTTAATAACAATGTATTATATACTTCATTTGCTAAGAGAGTAAATTTCAAATGTTCTCACCACAAAAAGGGATAAGTATTTGGAGTGATGGATATGTTAATTCGCTTGATTTTACCATTCCACCTTGTATACACATATTGTAATGTCACTTTGTGCTGCATAAATATATACAATTATAATGTCGGTTTACAATAAAATTTAAAAAATGAAAAAAGGTGCCTAACTGAAAATTAGTTTCCTCCCATTTTATTTCCTCCAGTCCTTTTTTTTTTTTTTTTAAAGAGACAAGATGGGTGTGGTGGCTCATGCCTGTAATCCCAGCACTTTGGGAGGCCGAGGTGGATGGATCACCTGAGGTCAGGAGTTCAAGACCAGCCCAACCAACATGGTGAAACCCTGTCTCTAGTAAAAATACAAAATTAGCCAGGCATGGTGGCGCATGCCTGTAATCCTAGCTACTCGGGAGGCTGAGGCAGGAAAATCAGTTGAACCCAGGAGGCGGAGCTTGCAGTGAACTGAGATTGCATTCCAGCTTGGGTAACAAGAATGAAATTCCGTCTCAAAAAAAAGAAAAAAGAAAAAAAAGAGAGAGTCTCACTCTGTAACTCAGGCTGGAGTGCAGTGGTGTGATCATAGCTCACTGCAGCCTCGAACTCCTGAGCTCAAAGCAATCCTCCTGCCTCAGCCTCCTGAGTAGCTGAGACTACAGGTTCTCAGAACCACACCCAGCTAAATTTTTTTTAAAAAAATCTGTAGAGATGATGTCTCACTGTGTTTCCCAGGCTGGTCTCAAACTGCTGGCTTCAAGCGATTCTCCCACCTTGGCCTGCGATTACAGGCATGAGCCACTGAGCCCCGCCTCTAGTACTTTCTTAAATCCATGATTAGTGTAAATGTACTTACTAGGTGACTATTCCTGAGGATTTAGAAATGTCAGTCAACATTATATATCTTACCATAATATATAATAATATTTAATACTTAAACAAGAATATGTTAATGAAGGAAAAATTTGAAAGGCCCGAATAAGGCCACCTCTTATCATGATCCATAAAATGCAGCCTTTAGCATACTGACCTCTTTACTTGCCAGACAGCCAGGGCTAGATTTAGGTTTATTTTTGTTTGCTTTGTCTTATCAAATTGCTCAACTAAGGTAATCATTTCTCACTTATTAGACTCTCCCACAGATATTATACAGTGAGAGACCCAGCCTGTCCCTCCTGTTGGTACATTCTACCCAAGAATTCTAAGGAACATAACTTTCTAGTTAATGATAAATGACAATGGACTTTCTGCTCTATTCTTTGGTGCTTAAATTGTTATTTTTGCTGCCTAATGTGAATTTTTTTCTATTAAAACAATTGAAAATAACATTATTTTATAAATGTATATGTTGCTGATGCAGATATGGCTACAAGCCACTAGGTATCCTAGCTGTGAATTGCAGAATCATTTCAGAGGAACAGGGGACAGGCTCTAAGCAGAATGACGACCTAGTAGGGACAATGGATTTGTGGTCATTAGCCTCTGTACTCCTCGTTCTGCCTTGATTGCTTCCATGGCTTGGTGACTTCTCTCTCGAACCTTCAGAGAAAGGACCTGATATAGTTTGGATATTTGTCCCTGCCCAAATCTCCTCTTGAATTGTAATCCCCAGTACCGGAGGCGGAGCCTTGTGAGAGGTAATTGGGTCATGGGGGTGGATTGCTCATAAATGGTTTAGCACCATCTGCTTGGTGCTGTCCTTGTGATAGGGAGGTCTTGTAAGATCTGGTAGTTTAAAAGTGCGTGGCACCTCTCCTGTCCCTTGCTCCTGCCTTCACAGTGACATGCCTGCTCCGCCTTCACCCTCTGCTATGATTATAAGCTTCCAGAGGCCTTCCCACAAGCTGAGCAGATGCCAGCATCATGCTTCCTGTACAGCCTGCAGAACCATGAGCCAATTAAACCTCTCTTCTTATAAATTACCCAGTCTCAGGTATTTCTTTATAACAATGCAAGAACAGCCTAATAGGGACCCAACACAGCTTTGCAGGAATAGGAACATATGTACTGCTTCTCCAAGGAGGGTTTGCATTTCAAATGTTATCTCAAACTGTAGAAATGCTTATTCTCTATTAATAAACTGGAAGCAAGAAGAGGAGCTATATTTCAGGAGTGGGAAGAACTATAAAACCCTTAAATCATTCATCCTTTGGACAAGACTTGCAACTGCATTCAGTTTTATACGGTCGTTTATGTAGCTTTTGTGTACTGTTTTAAGTGCAGAAACTTGTAAGTTCCAAGGATACATAAAATACATAATTTTCAAAGTCTGTACCTATAAGGCATGCACGGGAAAATAAATCATCAGTAAAAAGTAAGTATGAAGTTTGGAATGAATTAGAAACAAATTTTTTATACCACATTTCATCAGCACAAAGGTGACCCATGTTAATTTTAATAAGACAGTCCTCCTTTACCATAAAATGCCCTTCACCTTTTTTGAAACTTAAGTAGGGTACATATATATTGTTTGATAATCTGACTTAACTCCACTTATTAGTAGGTCTCATAGACATTCCCTTGTTCTTTTTGACAGCATTACCTCCTTTTAAGAAATTCTCCACAAACCGCAGCATCTAATCCTGGGTTTCACTGTCTCCTCTGCACATTCTTATCACCCCAGCTCCTTGTCATTACAATAACATGTTTCTCAGGATGAAACATGATATGGTTTGCCTGAATCCCCACCCAAATCTCAAATGGTAGCTCCCATAGTTCCCACGAGTCGTAGAAGGGACCAGTGGGAGGTAATTGAATCATGGAGCCAGGTCTTTCTCATGCTGTTCTCGTGGTAGTGAATACGTCTCACGAAATCTAACGGTTTTATAAAGGGCAGTTCCCCTGCACATGCTCTCTTGCCTGCCACCATGCAAGACGTGACTTTGCTCCTCCTTTGGCTTCTGCACGATTGTGAGGCCTCCCTAGCCATGTGGAACTGTGAGTCAATTAAATTTCTTTCCTTTACAAATTACCCAGTCTTACGTATGTCTTTATTAGCAGCGTGAGAACAGACTAATACAAAATGGTTTCTCTTACTACTTGATATGGTTTGGATGCTTGTCCCCTCCAAATTTCATGTTGAAATTTGAAATATGATCCCCAGTGGTGGGAGGTGACTGGATCATAAGGGCAGATCCCTTCTGAGTGGTTTGGCACCATCCCCTTGGTGATGAGTGAGTTCTTGCTCAGTTAGTTCACACCAGATCTGGTTGTCTAAAAGCCTGGGACATCCCCCTGCCCTCTTGCTCCTGCTCTCATCATGTGACATGCCTCCTCCCCCTTCACCTTCCACCTTGATTGGAAGCTTCCTGAGGCCCTCACCCCATGCAGATGCTGACACCATGCTGCTTGTACAGCCTGCAGAACCATGAGCCAATTAAACCTCTTTTCCTTATAAATTACCCAGCCTCAGGTATTCCTATATAACAATGCAAAAATGGTCTAATACACTACTGTCTCCCAGAAACTCTTAACTCTTTTTTTTTTTAAATTTTAATTCTTGAAGTCTTTTTTTTTTTTTTTTTTGAGACGGAGTCTCACTCTGTCAGGCTGGAGTGCAGTGG
Source organism: Homo sapiens (assembly GCF_000001405.40). Taxonomy (NCBI): domain Eukaryota; kingdom Metazoa; phylum Chordata; class Mammalia; order Primates; family Hominidae; genus Homo; species Homo sapiens. The sequence continues at coordinate 25,049,745 of NC_000010.11, read as the reverse complement.
CATGATCTCGACTCACTGCAACATCCGCTTCCCAGGTTCAAGTGATTCTCCTGCCTTGGCCTCCCAAGTAGCTGAGATTACAGGCATGTGCCACCACATCTGGCTAATTTTTGTATTTTTAGTAGAGATGAGGGTTCACCATGTTGGCCAGGCTGGTCTCGAACCCCTGACCTCAGGTGATCTGCCTGCTTCAGCCTCCCAAAGTGCTGGGATTATAGGCATGAGCCACCATGCCTGGCCAAAGTCTTGTTTTGATACAAACATTACTTTTTCTATTTCCCCAACTTAACTAGTAGAATGATGATCTCCTGACATCTGTAACTCAAGTTGACTTTTTTTTACCTTCCATAAGTTTTTATTTACATACCCTTATTGAGATTTCCAAATTCTGTTCACTTATTACCTCCTGAAATTGGCCATTTTGTTTATCACAGTTTCCCCAGTACCTAGCAAAGTGCCTAGCACGTTGTAGGAGAGCAATACTTATCTGAGAGAATGTACCCCTAGAGAACGAAGTAGCACCTAAAATATATTGAGCACCTACTTTGTGCAAAGTACTCTAAGTAATTTACAGTTAACCCTCCCAACAACTTTAGAAGGAAGGATATGTTATCATCTTCAGTTTACAGATGAAAAGTGAAGAGGTTCAATAACATGCTGCCCTGGTCACTCAGCTAGCAAATAGTAGTGATGTGGTTAAAATAAAGGCATCACGACTTCAAAGCCAGCCTTCTTAATCGCTATTCTTTATATACAGCCTCCTAGAAGGCACTGAATGCCTTCTCCTTCCTCTTTCTTTCTGATTTCCATGTCCATTTCCTCCCTTTTCCCCATAACATTGGACATTTCCAAGTTGATCTGTATCTATCTTCAAGAAAAAAAAAATGAAGTTTTATTCTTACCCCAAATCGCTGGGGTAAAGATATAAAAAGACCTCAACTGCAAGAGATTCCAACATCTGAGAATGACTTTGGAAGAATCCCTTGCCTCTCTGGACTCCCAGCACGCCCTGAAACCCCAGCCTGAGCACACCCTTTGCAAAGTCATAAAAGCAGGGCTGAGAACAGCTATCTGAGACCTTGGCTCATGGACTGCATCTCATTTGCTTTGGCTGTTGATTTGGGCCATTGCCTGTGTGGGACTTTGTTTCTCATCAGCAGCTTCTGCTTGGTGTGAACTCCACGACTGGGGCTTGGTTTTCTTTCTGCTGGACTGTGCTTCCCCATGGAGACCTTGATGCGCTAACCCATTACCCGTCCCTTTATAACTCAGAATGCTCAGATTCAGAACTTGGCTTTGCTTTCTACACCTAATGAGACTTACCTGCCCCTTTTATGTTTGTGAACATCTTGGACTTGAACCCATATATCGCCTCCACGCTTCACGGATATAGACCCCTAGTTCTGATCATCTATCATTCCTCTTTTGGCTGCCCCTATAACCCAAGGCTAACATTTTTACCCTAGGTTTTCTTGTTTTCCCACTTATCAATTAGAAGTCCTCAGTGTATTCTCTCGGCTCCTCCCTTGCTTCCACTTCTTACTAATACTCCTTGGCTTACTTCCACCCCATGACCTGCGGTTTTGTGAGAGAACCACATGCAGACTTGGGATTTTCCAAATTTTTCCCACAGACACTCTCCAGAGGAGCCTGGTGAAGCCCTTTTTGATAACAGTATGATCCACTTTTCTCTGTGGTGTAGAGATTAGGGTAAGGAAGGAACAGGACTTGACCTTGAAGAATGCTTCAGAAACTGTATGTGAGGAACGAGGAACCACAAAGATAAAAGGCAGAAACAATGACAATAAAAAAATTGTGACCAAGTGACCATTCTGTGGGAAAGAAGACAAATTAAAATAGATCTAACCAACTCCATTTATGCTTTCTTTTTATGCTATGTATGTATTTTAGGAAAACTGCCAAGACCATCTGTTAAATGTTTATTTCCTTTGTTACTTCTGAGGTGCTAAAAAAGACTATAAAAAGCCTATAATGAGAAGAAAGGGGAAAAGTCGCCTTTAAAATTGTTGGAAAGTGATCAACAAAAGGAAAAGCCAAACTCAAGCTCAAGATCTGGCTTGCTTTTTATAACCAGAATGTTCTAGAACAGGCAAGTCTACCTTATTCATAAAACTATTACCTAGACTTGTGCTTTGTTTCTAATTGTTGATACTGCTTTGTTAAGGCAGAAGAAATGGGGCACTTGGGAGGGAGATGTATTTGTCAATACTTTTCTGAAAGGACAGAGGAAATTGAGCAAAGCCAGGAAACACTATTCCACTTTACTTGTTAGCTCTTCTGAAAAAAAGAAAAAGTTTGAGAAGCACGGTGAAGGAAGTCTTCAGCCAAAATAAGGTACAAGAGCTTGTCTGTACAATTCAATTATTCATGCTTTCCCTGCCCACAATTAGTCTGGATAATCAAATACTGAGTGACCTAGAAAGAAAGAGAGACAGTGGAACATTTTCCAGTGGCCTCACACGCTCCTGATGTTGAATCCTGCTTGCTGACATTCAGTAATAGCCTCATCATGGAAAAATTGAAGGGAGTAATTAGCATCCCTGAACAAACCTTGAGAGTTTGAATTACATTTATGAGAGGAAAAATTGGGTTTTTCTGTTCTCTGGACTATAAGAATTTGGATAGACAATGCCCAAATGGCCAGCAGCCTCAGAGTCAATTACTCTGAAGTTTGTTGCCAAACACTAATTTTATTCGGTGAAAAGCAAAGTAAGAGTCCACAGGTTTGGCCCAGACCACAAATTAGCTTGCAAATGACAAATTCTCACTTTTTCCACCTAAATAAAATAAAATAGCTTCTACTGAAACATCCTGAATTTCTAGAGGATGGAAATTAACACAGAGGGCTTACTTTCAAGTACAGCCACCATTCAACAAAGCCCTTGTGGTGCTTTAGTAAATAAACTCTTTGGCTGGGATACAACAGCAGAGGTTGGTGAAAAAAAGTCAATCTGTTCATGAAAAGTTATAGTGAGATTTTAATATTTTATGAAACAAGATTATTTTAGGCTCATTCTATGAAAGGGCCATGATTTTGTAGAAAGTGAAAAATTATAGAGCTTTATATGCACTATCTCCTGTCATCCTCACAAACCAGCAAAGCAGGTATTTTTATCCTTATGTTCTAGATGAAGAAACAAAGGCACAGAGAGATTAAATCACTTGCCCATGGTCTTGACGCTGGTGATAAAGCCAGGACGCAGATGCACACAGGTGATCTGGCTGTAGAGCTGCTTCTTTAAAGCGTATGGAAAGTTTTTCATCTCTAGGGTATTGTAGAGATTATCAGATGCAAGAAAAAAATTAAACTATGGAATTAGGGCTTACTACCCCCAGGAGAAAATGAAGGCAATAGTTCTGATGATTGACATAATGCGTTCATCAAAAGGCTGAAGGTACTACTGGTTGTGAACTTTTTTTAATCCATGAGATTAATTCTGAACTTGATAGAACGTAGCATTTAATAGCTCATTTTGGCCTTGCAAAGACAGAATTTCTAGTATCATTCTGATTGTTCCACCAGGAGATATTCCATCTCCTCAGTGAAGAAAACAGCCAGATTGAGTTATAATAATTAATAAACCTCTCATAGCATTTGCTAAGCTTTGCTCTATATATCCTCTTGCAGTTTGGTTTTTCTTTCAATCCTGTTACCATTGACAAAAAGGATAATGAGAACATTTTGATTTTAATCAATGTTAAACCAAAGAATGACTTAAATAATTTCTGGAAATTATATTTGAACTATGAAATCAGGTTCATTGATCAGAATTCTATCAGTCATATTTATGTCTGTATTTATATCTCTCTATATATCCTTTTATTTTTGCTCTGAAGACACCTTTGGTAGAATTGCTGCATACAGTTACTTCAACTTGATAGGACAACTGGTTCTGCCCTTAAGTGTCACCATAAGCTTGCATTTCAGGATGCTTGAACAGTTTTTTGTTTTATAAACAAGTTTATAATCTTGTTTCATAAAATATTAAAATCTCACTATAACTTTTCATGGCTTTTAACTTTTTTTGTATTGCCTTATTATAAGCAGAAGAGAAGTGGGATTCTTTTGTCTCTTATTTATTAGTCAACAATGTCTCAGTTTCAAATTTAAAAGTCAGAAAATAGCTTCTGAAATACAGAGAACTACTTTTCAAGGGATGGTTAGCCTGCAGATCTTATGTGACTAAAACTTAGATGTTTATATTTTTATGCTAATATATTTCATGTATATTTGGAGCTGTTTCATTTCTTGGAGAATTCCTCTTTTTTTATAGAAAGAAACTCATTATTTTTCTCACTACTACAGCTTGTATTTTTAAAATCATTTGTTAATATCATATTATCCTCTTACTTTTTCATAACTTGGCAAGGAATAGAAATCTGACCCTCAAAAGAAAAGCATAGGGCAGTATGGGTCATATAATAAGAATACACTGGAAGAAATTAACTGGTTCTGGTCTCATCTTGCCCATTCTACCAGCTTCAGATAAGGTAAAGCAACTTTTATCAGACTAACCCACTTAAAAATATAAATTATGAACTCTAGACAAAATAAAAATAAATCAAACAGCCTCTTAAAGGTAATGGACCATGAATAAAAGTCGGCAAAAATGAAAAGGATTTCAACCCTTGAAATAGGGCAACTACATTGCATGAGGTCCATATGTATTCATCTTTTCCCTGAGAGCATTCCTCAGATGGTAAGGCATAAATGGATAAAGTGTAAGTGAAAAGCAGCTACTTTGCTGAGCTGAGGCATCAGAGAGGGAGTCAGGAGCTGCCAAAGTGGTCAGAAATTGAGGAGAGAAATTCCATAAAGGGAGAAATCCACAGTAGGGATAAGCCCCAAAAGTCTGGGCATAAATTACCTTTAAATACTTGGCTGATTCTTGAATGGAGCATGTACAAGGCAAGACTCCAAGGATACTCAAGGGAAAACAATAACTAGAAACTGGAAAGAACGAACTGAGCAGAGCTTTTAGCATCTGCATATTGCAGGAAAGACAAAGGGAGTTTAAGACCTGACCCAACAGAGCATGGTGGCTCATGCCTGTAATCCCAGCACTTTGGGAGGCCAAGGCAGAAGGATTGCTTGAGGCCAGGAATTCAAGACCAGCCTGGGCAACATAGCGAGACTATGTCTCTACAAAATATGAAAAAATTAGCCAGGCATGGTGACACGTGCCTGTAGTACCAGCTGCTTGGGAGGCTGAGGCAGGAGGATCACTTGAACTCAGGAGGTTGAGGTTGCAGTGAGCTGAGACTGTGCCATTGCACTCCAGCCTGGGTGACCGAGTGAAACGCTATCTCTAAGAAAAAACAAACAAACAAACAAACACCTACCCTAAGAAGGGTCATGCTTTAGGACTAAAATCTACATCCCAGTTCTAAAGTATTTGCCTTAGAACTCAGAGAAAAACTGAAATATACCTACCCTAATAAAGCCTAAAACCAAACATTCACAAATTCAAAGTTATATGCAAGAAATTTAACAGCCTGCTAGAATGGAACTTAACATTCTTTTAGAGAAGATAATAGAATTCAGAACCTTTACAATGATTTAGCCATGATGTGAGCTATACAATAAAAACTTAGTAGGTCTGAAAAGAAACAGAAGAATGTGACCCACAGTTAAGAGAATAATCAATCAATAGAAACAGTCTTACAGATGATCCAGACATTGAATAGTAGACCAAGACTTTAAAATAACTCTAATAAATATGTTTTTAAATCTATAGGGAAATGGGACTGCAATGGGTATGGATATTCAAGGAATGTGGGAAGTATAAAAAAGAATCAAACAGAAATCCTAGAACTAAAAAAAAAAAAAAGAATATCTGAAATTAAAATTTCGTCAGATGTGATTAATAACAACAGAAGAAAGAATCAGTTAACTAAAGACTAGTCAAAGAAAGTAATCTAAATTGGAGCTCAAAGGAAAAAGACTGGAGAAAAAGAACAGAGCCTTGAGAACCTTAGAACAATGCCAAATGGTCTGATGCACATGTAACTGAAGTCCCAGTAGAACAGAAGAGAATCGAAAAGAAAAATTATTTGAAAAAATAGTGTCTGAAAAACCTCCAAATTTGATCCAAAACATTAGCCTGTAGATCCAGGAAGCTCAGCTAACCCAAATCAGGATACACTTTAAAAAAAAATTCATAGGCATATTATGGCCACACTTCTAAAAAGTAAAGACAAAGAGAGACTCTTGAAAGTAGCCAATATAAAAAGATATTATATACTGGGGGAAAGATGTTATATACACAGGAACAAGGATGGGAAAAGGTATAAATGATGACTAATTTTTAATTAGAGATTCAACAATTAAAAATTAATTATAATTAGAACATAAAAAGCTTTCACACAATTCTATTGATATAAAAACATGCATAACTAACAATATTTTAAATTTATTCCATTACATCTTCTTATAATTTTATTTCAGTGGCTTTGAGAAATCCCAGAGTAGAAAACTTTCAGAGTGGTTTTATTGTTAACTAAAACTAAAAGCACTTCCTTTTATTCTGTGTAGAAAGGGGAGAAAAGATGGTAATGGCAATTACATTAATGTGGTGGAATTATATTCCTTTTCTCCATATTTCATCTCAAATTTTCAAACCTAATTTTGGTGCCTTGTTCTCCCTTAATACTTCAATGTTTATTTCTGAAACATAATGCCGCTCTCACATATAACAGTAACATAATCTTTAAAATCAGTAAATTAACAGTGATCTATTATTACCACCTAATCCAAATATTTCTCTCAAATTTTGCTGATTGTCCTAATATTGTCCCAAATAGGTTTAGGATTAAGTTCAGATCATGCACTGCATTTACATTTCTTCCACCTTTTAATTTTTAATTTTTTTTTTTTGAGACAGTCTCACTCTGTCACCCACACTAGAGTAGTGTGCTCATAAGTCACTGCAGCCTTGAACTCCTGGGCTTAAGCAATCCTCCCACCCCCAACTTCCCAAAACGCTGGGATTATGGGCATAAGCCACCACACCTGGCCCAGGTGCTCTTCCATTTTGTATAGTTTTCAGGTCATTTCTTAATTTTCATGATCTTGAGGATTTTTTTAACTTTATATTTTGAACTAATTTCTGACTTAAAAATTTTTTCAGGGCCAGGCATGGTGGCTCACATCTGTAATCTCAGCAATTTGGGAGGCCAAGGCGGGTGGATCACCTGAGGTCAGAAGTTTGAGACCAGCCTAGCCGACATGGTGAAACCCCGTCTCTCCTAAAAATACAAAATTTAGCCGGGTGTGGTGGTGGGTGCCTGTAATCCCAGCTACTCGGGAGGCTGAGGCAGGAGAATTGCTTGAACCCGGGAGGCGGAGGTTGCAGTGAGCTGATGCTGAGATCATGCCATTGTACTCCAGCCTGGGTGACATACTATCTTTCAAAAGATTTTTTTTTTTTTGAGACTCTGACTCAAAAAAAAAAAATCTTTCCAAAGATAGTACAGAAAATTTCTATATGCTGTTCATCTAGCTTTAATCTTTCTCTCTTTCTCCCTATAAATGTACATAAAATAATTTTTTTCAGAAACATTTCAGAGTAAGTTGCAGATACAATGCCTCTTTACTTTCAAAAATTTCAGTGTGAGTTTCCTAATAACCAGGGCTTTCTCTTACATAACTGTATCACAGTTATCAAACTTAGAAAAATTAACCTTGATATAATACTCCTATCTAAACTACAGACATTCAATTTTGTCAATCAACTTACTAATTTTCTTTTTATCAAAAGAAAACTAATGTCTGGTCCAGGGTTCAATTCGGGATCACAAGTTTCATTTAGTTTGTCATGCATTTTTTGTTTCCTTTAATCTGAAATAGTTCCATAGTCTTTTGTGTCTTTCATGACCCTGGCATTTTTTAATAATACAAGCCAGTTATCTTATAGACTGTCTCTCAAAAAATGGAAAATCTCAGCAGACAAATAAAAACAATGAAAAGAACCAAATGGGAGATTTAGAACTGAAAAAGGTAATAACTGACATAAGAAAATCACTGGGTGAGCTCATAAGAATGGGGATGACAGAGGAATAAGTCAGTAAACTTGACAATAGATCCATCAAAATTATCTAATGTGAAGAACACAGAGAAAAAGACTGTAAAACAAAATAACAGAGAAAAAATTAACAAAGCCTCAGGACCTGTTTGACAACATGAAAACATCTAGTATATATGTAACTAGAATTCTAGAAAGATAAGAGAAAGAGATTGAGACACAAAAAATATTTGAAGACATATTGGCCAAAAGCTTTCCAATATTTGGTGAAAGACATAAATGTGTAGATTCAAGAAGCTTAGCAAACTCCAAACAGGATAAATTCAAAGAAGGGCATGGCTAGACATATGAAAATTTAACTGCTGAAAAGAAGGCACAGAAAACAGCCCTTGAAAACAGCTAGGAAAAAAAGACACAGGACATACAAGGAAACAATGATCTGAATCACTGCAGTTTCTCATCCAAATCATAGAAACCAGAAGACAGTGGAAGAAATTACTTTCAGAAGGGCAGCATGAAAAATTTTAAACATTCACGCCCTTTATCTTAGAATTCCACTGCTAGGAATTGGTCGTGAATAAATGAAAAAAAAGTGACTAAAATGTACACATAGGATGCTATTTACAGTGTTGTCTAAAACAGCAAAAACTGTAAATAATAAACATTTTTTGGAGGAAGGGTTCAATATATTATTGTGTACCTATATAAATACTAGGCAGCCATTACACATCTTACTCATATATTTATTGACATATAAAGATGTCCACAATCTTGTTAAGTGTTAACAGCAGACTATTAAAAGGATGCACTTATGTATGTTTCTGAATTTACACAGCAAGTTCTCATTAAGGTAAGAAAGACAATAAACCAACTTGGTCTAAGTAGGAAAACCAAATGGTCAAACTACTTTTAGGTTCAGAAATTAGTATTCTTTTCAACATTATTTCATCTTAGTGTTAAAATTCTCAAATCGTGACCAAAAAGCCATGTCTTCTTGATTGAAGTGAGTTCCTCTTGAAAAGCCCATTTAGGGCCAGGCGCTGTGGCTCACGCCTGTAATCCCAGCACTTTGGGAGGCCGAGGTGGGTGGATCACGCGGTCAGGAGATCGAGACCATCCTGGCTAACACGGTGAAACCGTTTCTACTGATAATACAAAAAAAGTTAGCCGGGCGTGGTGGCAGGCGCCTGTAGTCCCAGCTACTAGGGAGGCTGAGGCAGGAGAATGGCGTGAACCTGGGAGGCGGAGCTTGCAGTAAGCCAAGATCACGCCACTGGCACTCCAGCCTGGGAGAGAGCGAGACTCGGTCTCAAAAAAAAAAAAAAAAAATCCCATTTAATATACCTGTGGTAGAGTGTTTAAAGTGGCATCAATGAATCATACCTCCCTAGTCCACACACCTTTGTCATGTGACTTCACCACTCCTTCTATCAAGGAGTGAAATCTGTTTCCCCACACCTTGAATCTAGCTGGCCTTGCAGCTTGCTTTGACCGCTAGAATGCAGCAGAAATGATGTTCTGGGATTTTTGAGCCTATACCTTAAGCAGCCTTGTAGCTTCTGCTTCTGCTTTTGGGACCCAGCAATTATGTAAAAGCTACTCTACTGGAAAGAGAAGCCAAGTGAGGAGAGAGGCCCCTGAGGATGGGAGACCATAAAAGAGAGAGGACAGACACACAGAGAAGAACAGAGTACGTACCACGGCCAGCAGCCAGCACCAAGGCCCAGACTCCAGAGTGAAGCTACTTTTTTTTTTTTTTTTTTAATACTTTAAGTTCTAGGGTACATGTGCAGGTTTGTTACATATGTATACATGTGCCATGTTGGTGTGCTGCACCCATGCTATTTTGGATCCTCCAGCTCCAGTTGAGCTTTCCTGGCTGAAACCATGTGGAACAAAAAGATAAGCCTTCTACACTGAGTTCTGCATAGATTCCTGATCCACAGGGTCATCAACAAATGGTGGTTGCTTTAAGCCACTGTTTTGTGATAGTCATGCAGCAGTAGATGACTGAAATAATACTTTCAGTTGAAAATCTTAACAAGGTATGCACTGCACATAGCTAGATAATAAGCAATGTCAGAATAAGCAATGACCACTTAGTGACCTTTGCTTTTTTTGAAACAAGGGTCTCACTCTGTCCCCCAGGTTGGAATGCAGTGGCACAATCTCTGCTCACTGCAACCTCCACCTCTCGGGCTCAAGTGATTCTCTCTGCTCAGTCTCCAGAGTAGCTAGGAGTACAGGCATGCACCACCACACCCTGCTAATTTTTGTATTTTTTGTAGAGATGGGGTACTGCCATGTTGCCCAGGCTGCTCTCAAACTCCTGGGCTCAAGCGATCCTCCTGCCTCAGTCTCCCAAGCTGCTGTGATTACAGGTGTGAGCCACTGTGCCTGGCCCAGCAATCATTTTGAATGACAGTACAACAGCAAAACTGTCCCTACTGAAAAGACTGAATTGAGGTATTCAAATAAAGCTTAATGAATTTGATTTCCAAGTGGATATCAGTCACCAAGATCCTATTATAAGAAAAAAAATGTTTAAAGCTTTGTCATTCTGACACTTAAAATTGTAATGTAGACTTAAATTCATTTTACAAAGGTATATTTGAAAATCCACAGTAACAGGGCAAATAATTTAAAACAATGTTCTGCTAAAATGACTCTAATAATTCATGGCAGTAAAAATTTTGAGTTCAATATAGAGACATCTACCATACAACAAATTATCAAGGTGATCTCAGTAATTCTCACTGTACACATTTTTATTTAAATAACTCACACAACCTTTGACAACTATTGAATCTTTCTCATTCCAAGTCCTAAATAAGCAACTTCAGGTCATTTCACATAGTTAACATTATGAGAAACAGATACCTTTTACCATTCATTTAAAAACATAGTATGCATTTAAAATCATATTCTCCCATTCGGTTCAGGTGCTGATAACCAGCGTTCATTTCAGACATCAACCTAAAACAGGGTTGTAGGGATTCTTCCTGGTTACATTAAAATCATTGCCAGAAAAGGAAGCTGCCATTATTAAAGAGATAACAGATTTCCTAAGATGAGTTCTCTCCAAATTTGACAGTAATAGCAACAGCACTCATAAGAATAATATGATGTATCCTTTAAAACCCTCCTTACACACGTTATTTTATTAGATCCTCATAAAGGGCATATATCAATTTTATAGAGTTATAAACAGATGTCTGTATAGACAAGAAGGATGCTTGCTGTCACTATAATGAAGTTAAATTGTAAGCCTATGCCTCCTAAAAGTAAAACAAATGTCTAATGCTTAGTTCATGTATTATCATAAGTGGAGATACGACAGACAGGCACACTCAGCCCTGTAACACAGGTAGGAAAGTGAGGACATAACACAGTTCCATGTCTACTTAAAGTGTAAATTTCACGGAAATCTTTCAGACAGTTATCAGACTTTGGTCACTTTTCTTGATTACCAAAAGAGTCAAACAACAGTTCCTTTTAAAAGGAAACCATCATTTCCTATGATACCCTATCCTATAATAAACAAAACAATTCACAAGACAATTGAGAATAGATATTGAAGAAAAATGGTACCTAGAGAGAACTGGAAGTATCGTATTATAGTATGTAATTTAGAAAGTGACTGCAAATTAAAATGTTCCATTAAGGCTGCCCAATAAGCTTAAAATTCAGTGGTTTATTGTGGGATCTATTTTACTGCTAGTTATCAGAATGAAGCATAACAAGAAGTCAATTAACTGAGAATTTACCCTTTTAAAGAAATTTATGATTAAATTGTGAAAATGATAACGATGAGAAAGAAATTCAGGATCTTAGCAAGTTAACCAGAGAGGAGTCATAAACGGCATATAAATGCTAAAGCTGAAATGAACAGGGATGGCAGCTGCTCAGGGAACAATGAAGTGAAGTCAATCCTGAATTCCAACTTGAAAATGTTTAAAGTAAACAAGCAGGATCTAGGAGGTCATCTAGGAGGTCATTTTAAGGAAATGATAAGGAAAGACAAAAGGAAAGAAGAGCAAAACAGCTTTAGAAGTTAGTTAGGGGCAGAAATAGAAATTCATGTTTGGAGGTAAAAGTTCTCCAAATTTCCAGATGCTTTCATTAGTAATTGAGTCATTTTACTTTCTCTTCCTGGAAGAGGGTTTGGAAATCATTTATTTTAAGATGCAATGGGAAATAAAAGTGAAAATTAAATGTTTGATGAGCTAGACATGCAGAACAGTCAATATCTTCTCCCTACTCTGTTCTTCATTTTCCAAGCCAGAATTTCTCTGCATGCCTTTCTCATCTAATTTGTCACCAAATCCTATAAAGCTACTTTTTAAATATTTCTTGAACCTGCCAACTGCTTTCTGGTTCCACCTCTTAAGTCCGTGCTATGTCCTCCTAATTGGTCTCAGGCCCATGAGTCTTAATTTCTCCATCACTACTAAGTTGCAAAAATGATCTTTCTAAAATAAAGAGGATTATGGCATTCTACTTAAAATCCTTCAGTGACACCTCATAGCTTTCAGAAAAGTGTACACTCATGGATCCTGCTTGATTTTCTAGCTTCATCTTCACAACTCCATACAGGCACTCTTTGTTCCAGGCAAAGTGAACAGCACATGCCCCATGCCATGCTCTCTCCTCCAGCCACCAATTTGCCGGTGTAACTGTCACTTGGCTTTAAATTTTGGCTTGCACGGGATTGTTTCCTCAGAATGCCTGCCTTCTTTAATCTCACAGTGTGATTTTGATGTTTCTTTTCTTGGCTCCCCTCCCATAGCCTCAGGTGTAAAACACCATCATAGCCTGAAGGGGATTAGGAAAGGACCAGCAGGCAATTGTCCAGGGCTCCAATCCTCAAGAAAATGTAAACGTCATTAGGAATGTTGCAGATCAATACTCTATGTGGTAGGGAGATTACTGTGACAAGCTTCTAGGAATGAGAAGGCTAAAATGACCCAGGAATATGCTTGAATAGTAATAAATCACTTTTAAAATACCTTTCAAAGAGGGTAAGTTTGGTTAGTTTCTGTTTTTGTTCTGCTAGTTAGGTGTGCAAGCTTGAAGTCAGAGCTGAGCTGCTTAGAACAATACTCTGCTAGCAGACATCCTTCCTCATCCTTCACTGCACCGTGCTTGTGGTGCAGTAGTCTGTGCAAAACTGTGATCTTTCCCCAAAGAAAAGTGGAACAAATACTTTAAAAACATCTGTTTGAAAGGGAACTGTATTAGTCCATTTTCACGCTGCTGATAAAGACATACCCAAGATCGGGTAATTTTTAAAGAAAATGAGGTTTAATGGACTCACAGTTCCACGTGGCTTGGGAAGCCTCATAATTCTGGCAGAAGGTGAAAGGCATGTCTTACATGACAGCAGATGAGAGAATGAGGACCAAGCAAAATGGGTTTCCCCTTATAAAACCATCAGATCTCGTGAGACTTATTACTACCATGAGAACAGTATGCAGAAAAGCACCCCCATGATTCAATTATCTCCCACCAGGTCCCTCCTACAACATGTGGGAACTATGTGAGCTAAAATTCAAGATGAGATTTGGGTGGGGACACAGCCAAACCATATCAGAAACCAAATACCTAATTAGCTTTCTCAGGCCATGCTATGTTTCTGTCTGGTCCTGATTATAGTATTTATCACACAATATTCTAATAAGTTGAATTACTTATCTAAGGTCTCCATAAGCTTCATAACGACCAAGGCTATAACTTTTTTGTTTTGTAACAAATATGAAAAAGAAACTTGTTCACCCAAAGTGTGTGATCTTTAAGTGCAGTGAACTGACGCCCAAAGATCAAGATTTAGCAGTGTATGTTCAACGCTGTCCAGAGAAGAATGACCTTGAGTCAAACAGATAAGAATATTCTGTTCATTAAAGAGGCATTCTTTATTGTGAGGCAGATACCAATCATTGTGAGTGAAATGTCCCTTAAAATTATTTTTATCTTTTTGGTTTATCTTTGTATTCATCAGATAAATTACTGACTGTTCATTCCATTTCCTAAATACCATCATAGAAAAAATGAAGAATACTGGAGGGAGAAGACCAAATCTCTGGTCACTGGAAAAATAGAGCAACCATTATAAATCAATAAATTTACACTTTTTTTTTTTTTCCTTGAGACAGAGTTTAGCTCTTGTTGCCCAGGCTGGAGTGCAATGGTGCAATCTCAGCTCACTGCAACCTCCACCTCCTGGATTCAAGCGATTCTCCTGCCTCAGCCTCCCAAGTAGCTGGGACTACAGGTGTGCACCACCACGCCCAGCTAATTTTTGTAGTTTTAGTAGAGACAGGGTTTTTCCATGTTGGCCATGCTGGTCTTGAACTCCTGACCTCAGGTGATCCACTCGCCTCAGTCTCCCCACGTACTGGAATTACAGGCATGAGCCACTGTGCCCGCTTGATAAACTTACATCTTATCTTGTGCATTATTCTCTTACAAGCATGATTAGCAGGTGAGGAGGTCTTAAGTTTGACCAACTGAGTTCATGGACAAAAAGTTACTTCTAGACCATTCACTTGGCACTGTCACCTTTCTGAGGTCTTGGGAAAATAAAATCCAATAATATATGTGTAACCGTTTTCAAAGTTATAAAGCTCCTATATTTTTTTTCTTTGACAAGAATGACCTTTATATTTCAAAGGATATTTTAGCTTTGATTGTTTTCTCCCTAAAATAAAATTTTATCTTGGTACTGCTTTTGGCCAGCCAAATAAATTTTATGCTCTTGACCTGATTTAAACTAATATTTTTCTTCTTTCTGATGCCAGTAAAATATTGTTATACTCAACTTTTCTCAAGAGAAAGATGTTCTGTGTTTCTTCATAGTAGGCAACAGCATTTAAGGGAAAAGGGGGTATCTCTTGAACTGATGACTCTTTTTCTGGAAAATATACAGAATACTGTGAAAAAATAAGCTGTAATGATCTGTTAGGATTACATTACATTACTTTAATAGAGAAGAATCCTACACATATGTGGAATTTACAAGAAATGGTGTTATTTTCTGGTAATGACCCATGTTGACTTGGCAGTTGTTTAACTATAATGTCAACCAATTACGTTTAAAATCTCAAGCAAATTGGAAAGATGGTTCCAGAAAAAAGGTAATATCGAGGGCAAGTAAAATTATTTCCTGAAAACTTCTGCTACTTGAGCTTTATAACATTTAAAACAAATATAGATAATCTTAAATTTTGTCAAATTGGGAAACGGAATCATTCAGATTAGGCCACTCAACCCAGTAGAAATACTATTTTTTTCACATCTTTTTTGTTAGACTAGAAAACTATGTTATGCTAAAATGAATAGGTTCACAATTGCTTTTCTAAAACCCATAGGGTAATTGGGTTGTGGAATTCAAATATTTTCAGATTTTAGAAAGGTAATACCATGTGTTTGCCACATAGTGCAGTGGTAGGAAGTGGCTCTCTGAAAAAGTTTGTATGTGTACATATAAGTTTATTATAAATTTTACTGATATAAACAATCTGTAACACAAAATTACAAATAAAAATAAATAATACGTTTTACTGTAAATTTTTGATTTCACAGAATGCTTTCATTTTTTTTTGCATAATTTTCACATTCATAGTTAACCTATGGTTGTGACTGATGTAGAAATGTACTTTAGTCATGAATGTTTGTTGGTATTTTCCTTTTTTCCTAAATCTGTATTTGGGTTTACTAGTTCTCTTTTTAGTTTCTTTAACTGAACACTTGCTCATTTATTTTAATACATATATATAGAGAGAGAGATAGATGTACGTCCACATCCAGATAGAGACAGACAGACAATAGATGATTGATAGATAGATAGATAGATAGATAGATAGATAGATAGATAGACACACACACACACATACATACATACATACTAAACACAGTTCAGGCCATACATTTCTAAATTCCACTATGGCTGCATCTCTACAAATTTTATGTTGCACTTTCACTGTTTTTTCTTGATTTTTCAAAAACCAAACATACATGGTTTAGAAGCACTATTTTAGGACCCATTAAACTGCTCTAAATTCTCCAGCTTATATTCACCTATTCCAATATTTTTGAACTGTTTCCTGCAAAATATTTACAAGTTTTCCTTTCCTTGATAAAGAAGTTTGGGAAGAAAGGGTTACGCAAAGTTGAAATGAGTTTCCCTAATGTAGGATTAATTGGCTAATATGCATTATAAATCTATAAAAAGGAAATATGGAAGGCACATTTACTATAAGTATTGGACCACAGATTTTTTTTTTTTTTTTTTTTTTTTTTTGACGAGGTCTTCCTCTGTCACCCAGACTGGAGACCTGTGGCACAATCATAGCTCACGGCAACCTCAAATTCCTGAGCCCAAGCAATATTCCTGCCTCAGCCTCACAAATAGCTGGGACTACTGACATGCACCACCATGCCTTGCTAATATTTTAAATTTTTGTAGAGAGGTCTCCCTATGTTAACCAGGCTGGTCTTGAACTCTTGGCCTCAAGCTCTCCTCCCAAAGTGCTGGGATTACAAGCATGAGCCACTGTGCCCTGCTGAACAAAGATTTTTGTTTGTTTTTGCTAAAACTATTTAAGTTTAATGAACCAACTTAGAAATATTTACCTACTCTATAGTAGTTGACGTCAGTATCACTACTTTTACCTGTAATCATCATTTAGTAATATATTAATCAGGATTGTTAATTGCAAATAATAAAAGTAACTCTCAACAAGTTTAAGCATAAAATAAATTTATTAAGAGATAATAAATGGACAAAATATTCTCCAGGAAAGCCAGGGATCGACTTTAGAGGCTAGCACCAGAAACGATTCCCAGGTCACACCACTGGATTGCTGTTTTGGCACCACTAAAATGGCAGTAAATCCATGAAAAAGGAAAGTCATAAGCTGACAAATACAGCAGGGGAAGAGACCAGCAGTAGCAGTTTGGAGGCCAGAAAACACATAAATTACTACTTTAATAGACTAGGGAAAGTTGAGATCTATGTCTCTGGCATGAAAACTTCAAAATTTGGCTGATTAGGACGTCAAGACCCTAAAATAGTTCAAGAATTAGAGATAACATTTACTTCTGAACCAGGAGGTGGGTTTGGGGGAAAGGAGTATAGAACTAAGAACAAGAGAATTCATCGAAAATCTGTATAAAAAGCAGTTACAGCCTTGGAAACTGTTCCCCACCCCATGTAGCAGGGTGACTGCTGATTAGGATTAAGCGCTTATTCTACGGAGAGACTTCAAATTCTGGGATATTAGGCATAGGTGAGAGCAGAAATAGTACATGCCAACACCACAAAACAGTGAGAGGTTCCATACTGAAAAATCTACATGTTGAATGGTAACGATCATAGCCCCCCCCCCTTCTTTACTCTGATTCTAATTCCCTGGAGGATTTCTTTCCAGGAAGCCTAAAGAGGCTAAAAGAAAAGTCCTACAGATAGAATTGACGGTACCCACTGAAATAGCCCAGTTTCATAATCATACAGTGAAGTCCAGCAATTGATAAGGCCCATCCAGGATATGGTTTCCAATCAATTTCTTGCTACTTGAAAATTAAATGGGAATAAGAGAGGAAGATCACTAAACACTTGAGGAATGTCTCAATAGGAAAGACAGAGACCAAAACAAGCAAACAAAAAGTGGACTTCAGAAGAAACAGAAACAAATTTCAAATGAATTTTCTAACTATAATTAAATTCCTTAGCTGGCCACAGTGGCTTAAGCCTTTAATCCCAATACTTTGGGAGGCTGAGGTGGGAGGATCACTTGAGGCCATGAGCTCAAGCCCAGTCTAGGCAACATAGCAAAATCCCATCTCTACAGGAAAAGAAAAAGGCTTTAAAAATTCCTTAAAGAGTTTAAAAAAAAAAAAAAAGACTTTTGTATCCATGAAACAAGAACAGAAAGCAATTTAAAAATTTAAAAGAAAAAAAAAAAGAACTAAAAACGTGACAATGGTAACCTATAACAGAAAAGTTAACAAGGAGAAATAAACCCAGAAAGTGGAATCCCTCCCAGAAAGGATAAATGGATGAATTCAAAGAAAGAAAAAGAAATGGGACATGGGAAAGAAAAATTCTAGAGAATTAGAGGGTGTTTCAGTTATTTAATATTTTATAACAAACTACCCCAAAACTTAGTGAATTAAAACAATTTATTATTTCTCAATGTTCTGTGGGTTGACTGGGTTCAGTTTAGCATGTCTTCTGCTCTTTTGCTACACTCACCTGGTAACTTGGCCAGGGCTCAATATTCCAAGATGTCCTTTCACCCTCTAAGGCCTCTTTCCACATGACCTTTCATTATGAGGTAATCCGCGCCAAGTATCTTTACATAAAAAAAATGTAGGAAGTAGAAGTGTCTAGCACCCTTATGGCCTGGTCTTGAAATCCCATATACCTTCTGCCACTTTCTATTGATTAAAGCAAGTCACAAGATCAGCCCAGATTCAAGGAAAGGGAACATGGATTTCATTTGTTGATGTGAGGAATAGCATGCACATAAGGTTTGGGAGGTATCACTGAGCATTGTCTTTAATTATTTATTATTTTTTACTTTTGAGACGGAGTCTCACTCTATCACTCAGGCTGGAGTGCAATGGTGTGATCTTGGCTACTGCAATCTCTGCCTCCCGGATTCAAGCAATTCTCTTGCCTCAGCCTCCTGAGTAGCTGGGATTACAGGTGCCCACCAACATGCCCAGCTAATTTTTGTATTATTAGTAGAGACGGGGTTTCACCATGTTGGTCAGACTGGTCTCAATCTCCTGACCTCAGGTGATCCACCTGCCTCCACCTCAAAAATGCTGGGATTACAGGCATGAGTCACCTCACCTGGCCAAGCACTATCTTTAGAATCAATCTTCCACACCACACAAGATCACTTTAAGGTGTCCAAAATCCCTAAAATAGGAGTTTGAGAAAGAAAGAACAGACAATATAAGATAGGAAAAAGAAATTCAAAAATAAGTTTTATCATAATTATCAGAACTGAAGGACATAAATTTCCATATTGAGAAAGCCCATCAAAGTGCTCCAGCAGCAAAACAAACAAGCACAAAGACTTGTACCAATAAATACTGCCATGAAATTTTAGAACCCTGACCATAAAGAGAAGATCCTAAAAGCTTCTACAGGAAAGGAAAAAAACAGATTACATTTTAAAAATCAAGAATCAGAATAACATTATACTTATCAAAAACAATAAGAGAACCTAGAAGTTGGTGGTGGAGCAATACCTTCAAATTTCTGAGGAAAAAAATTACTTCCAACCTAGGATTCTATATACAGCAAAATATTAATCTAGTCTATACACAGCAAAATATTAATCTAGTCTGCAATGGAATAAAGACATTGTTAGACAAGCAATTTCTCAAATAATTAAAAGCACACGCTAAAATCACAACATTATCAGAGGAAGCTACTGGAGAGTGAGTTCTATCAAAATTATGGAATAAACGAAGTAAAAGGAAGAAACTGGATCCACTCAGGAGAAAGATGGAAGGACAATGTGAATAGAAAGGAAAGGTGACTAGAGAGACCCTATAGGGTAGTCTCCCTATAAATCAACCAGCCTGCCTTAAAACAGGAAAGGCACTCAAGAGGGGAAATCTTCAAGAAAAAGATAAAATCGTTGGATTACCTAATGAACAGTTGTTAGTACCAATTAAATGAGAACCCTAACTCAGATCTAAGAAACAAAGAGTTCTGATTTTAAAAAGAAAAGCAGCTAATGTGACTACAGCATCCTTCTACAAGGCAATCCCAACTTCTGATGTAGGACTATGATCAAAATATTGCCAGCTGATCAAAGTATTGCCAGATATCAGTTATGGTGATTTAGTTGCTTGCACTTGACATGTCCCTTTTCCATGACATTGGCAACTTTCTTGGCTTGGCTTTTTTGAGTCAGAAAAGCATATTTGTTTTTGAAGGAGACTGTTTGTTTTGAAAGCAAAAGTTTCAAAATGATAAAAAGTTGAAGATTTGAGTGGCTGGAGTGCACAGATGAGGCCTACACAAACTACTTTTTCATACGTAGATTGTATTCATTTTCCTGGATAGGGACAAAAACAGTATTATGTTTCCATGGATTTGAAAACAGTTACTTCATGATTTTTTTTTTAACTAACATTACGTAGTCTGAATTACAAAAGGTTTATAAACGATTTAATGGATTGAAACAATATTTGCCATCCATGATTATTTTTGAAAGTGAATTGCTATTAAAATCTAACTAAAACTTCATACAAAACAATTTATTGTCTTCTAAACTCTATTTTGATGAAAACATTTTATAATTTCCATAAATATGTAACTTAAAAATCTCATTTTTCTCAAATATCTTACAAATTCCCTACATTTAGGCTATTTAAATTAATTTCAGTGAAAGCTAGAAATTATAACCATAGCCTGAAAATTAATCAATTTTCATTTCATAAACTCATAGATTTTTAATGTTGACATAAAAAATGGTTTTACATGCTATTAAGAAGAGTCACAAATGTTAAGAAGTTTACAGTCACTAACCTTCAACATAAATTTTAAAAAACAGTATATCTATTGGATACAAGAAGAGATAAAAATTAGACAAATGTCCAGTAGTGGGTAAGTGGATGGTGGTGTTCATACAATAGAATACTATTTAGTAATACAATTCAATGAATTGTGGCTTCATTCATCTGAATGGATGAATTTGGAAGTCTCTGAGCAAAAGAAATAGGTCATGGGATAACACATAAAGTATGACTCCATTTATATAAAATTCAAAGAGTCAGAACTAAACAATGCAGAACTATGAGAAAGGGAATGAATAACAGAAAATGTATGATGTAGTTACAGCTGGAGGAAGAAAGCGAATCTAATCAATCAAAGAAGAACCAAAGGTGAGTTGTGTTCCATTGGGTGAGGTGGTGAATACTTAGGTATTTAATGCTTATCCTTAAACTGTACATATATTTTACACTCTGGAGAAAAAGACAGGCAGGAAAGTGGAGACCATGTATGTAGATAACTCTGTGAAGAGCTTTATCTTGATTGGAGAATAAAGAAGCACAGATGGGAAAAAGGTGGATGTTCACAGAGATTTTGTTCTTATGCTAAAGTACAGAAAGACTCTAAATACCATAAGAAGAAAGGTTACACAGAAGGGGAGAAGTTGAAGAAACAAGAGGAAGGTACCTGATGACACACACCATTTAAGTAGGTTGAAGGGAATAGGATCCAAGGCACATCTAAAGAGACTGGCCTTTAAAAAGAGAAGGAATGCCACCCAATTCAATCAAAGGGGCGGGGAAAGGGACAGAAATGGATGCAGCAAACATATACACTTGATGATGGGAAGCCTGAGGTGTGTTATGTATGGTCACTTGTTCCTCTAGAATGAAGCAAAGTTATTAGCTGAGAGTGAAGGGCCAGAGTTGGTTTTGAGAAAAAGTGAAGACATGAAATAACTATTTTGGCCAGTAAGAAAATGTGCTGTCCACAAATAAATACACATGAACCCTTGGGCATTTCATCTTCCCTGTTTCTCCTGCCTCTGCTAGAATGTTTTCCCCCTTCCTTTTCACCTAGAAAATCTTCCCATCCTTCAAGATTCATCTTAGATTCTATGTCCTTTGTGAGACCTTTTCTGACTATCCCATAGTAATCCTTTCCTCTTAAATCTTACAGCACTTTAGCTACTTAGCTGTTATCACTCATTTTTCACTTATTGACACACCATCTTGCAATAACTCTTTTGCTTGTACGACTGAATTTTTGCGTTGTCTCGTTAACTACAGTTCTTGAAGGCAGAAATCATGTCTTTTTTATTTTTATTTATTTTTTTGAGACAGAGTCTTGCTCTGTTCCCTAGGCTGGAGTGCATGGTGTGATCTCAGCTCACTGCAACCTCTGCCTCATGGGTAGCTGGGACTACAGGTGTGCACCACCATATCCAGCTAATTTTTTGTATTTTTTGTAGAGATGGGGTTTCACCAGGCTGATCTTGAACTCCTGGCCTCAGGTGATCCACCCTCCTCGGCCTCCCAAAGTGCTGGGATTACAGGCATGAGCCACTGCGCCCAGCCAGAAATCATGTCTTTTAAAACACTGTTCCTCTCACTTTCAGAAAAATAATGCTTTTTTTTTTTTTTTGGAGACGGAGTTTTGCTCTTGTTGCCCAGGCTGGAGTGCAACGGCGCAATCTCTGCTCAACCGCAACCTGCATCTCCCAGGTTCAAGTGATTCTCCAGCCTCAGCCTCCCAAGTAGCTGGGACTACAGGCATGCGCCACCATGCCTGGCTAGTTTTTTTTTTTTTTTTTTTTTTTTTTTTTTGAGACGGGAGTCTTGCTCTGTCACCCAGGCTGGAGTGGCAGTGGCGCGATTTCGGCTCACTGCAAACTCCGCCTCCCGGGTTCATGCCATTCTCCTGCCTCAGCCTCCCGACTAGCTGGGACTACAGGTGCCTGCCACCACGCCCGGCTATTTTTTTGCATTTTTAGTAGAGACAGGGTTTCTCCATGTTGGTCAGGCTGGTCTCGAACTCCTGACTTCAGGTGATCCGCCTGCCTCAGCCTCCCAAAGTGCTGGGATTACAGGTGTGAGCCACCATGCCAAGCAAAATAATGCATTCTTATGTATAGTGAATATTTAGAGGCAGTTTCTAAATATATCATCTACTGAAATATCCTTAAAAGTAAATGATAAAATAATAAAGACATACATGAACAAACGTAACTTTGAATCTTCCATTTTTTTCCTATAACTGCTCCTGATTTTCAATTTTTGGTTTTAGAACCTCCTTTTTAGAAGCTAAGCCAGAGATCTGGTGTTAATATATAATTGGTTTAATTTTAAAAAAATTAAAACAAATTTCTCTTGCTTATTAAACTATTAAAATGTTTTCATTACAACTTTCAATATATTTCTTTATGGAGGTTGTTCTCCCAGAAAATGAAACTGAATGTTATCAAAGACAAATTATGTTAGGAATGCCATCTTGTGGTTGACAGTAGTCCATTACACTAATTGGTCTTGACAATCTTTAATTCAGAAAGAAAACATCCAGTAAATTCACAAACATAAATCATGGTTAAAATGTATTACTACAAAGGAATACAAATTAAATATGTGTATCAGTTGTGTGCAGTTTCAGCTGCCAGAAAAAGACAATGTTCACTGAAGAAATAAACAACAAATTACGTAAGAATTGACTCCAAATAATATAGGGAAACTGCTGTCTACAAATACACTCCTATTGAGACTACTCAAGTACTCTTAATTTTGGAAAACCTTCCTCTTGAAATAGATCATTTCTGTATTCACTTCTAAGTAGTTCTGCTTACTGTTTCATCCTGGATTTCAGTTATGTGTTGATTTTCAAACATCGTCACCCTAACCGTACACATCCAAAGGAGAGTGAAGGACAGAGTACATCTTTAATTTGGACAGTGTGAGATACACATTAGTTGTAGTCCAAAATGGAATTTGAGGAGGGTTAAAAACACTGGCCCTAGCCAGGTGCAGAGGCTCACGCCTGTAATCCTAGCACTTTGGGAGGCCGAGGTGGATGGATCACCTGAGGTCAGAGGTTCAAGATCAGCCTGGAAAACATGGCGAAACCTCATCTCTATTAAAAATAAAAAAATTAGCCATGTGTGGTGTTGCATGCCTGTAATCCCAGCTACCTGGGAGGCTGAGGCAGGAGAATCACTTGAACCTGGGAGGCGGAGGTTGCAGTGAGCTGAAACTGCACCAAAAAACAAACAAAAAACACTGGCCCAAATCCTAATAGAAGAGTTTACTACTTCCTCCATTCAAGTTAGCCATTTTGAGTGGTAAATTAACTTTCTAATCAACAGAGTATTCACTAGTTACAGATGTAGTACCTGAAAACTGGGCTTAAATATTTTAATCGCCAAATAGTATACCAGACATTTTGGTCCACATAACAGTGAGGGTGTGGGAGTGGAAATTGATACACCCCTCATGAGCAGAAGGCAAAAGTATGATAGCTCAAAGGTCCGTGCACTGTGTTACCTTTTGTCACTTCCAGATTAAAGATCTGAGGAGGTGACATGGAGTTCTCATGTCAGCCCTAGAGATCAGACTTTTGAAATTCCAAACAGATATAGAGATATTTACATAAAAGACAAAATGCTACTGTACTCCAAATCAGTGTTTGAGATTTATTATTGCATGCTTATAGCTAGAAAAAAAAATTTACTCTGAAAGCTTTCATATGAATTGATTTTGGACAAGTTGTTCCACATGACTCTTCAAGACATTCATATCAGCTGCACAGACCTGGTACTCCATCTTCTCTTGCTGTTTTGTTCTCTCTAATAAAGCCTCATGCAGTGGAGGTAATGCATTGTATGAACCCAGCAAATAGAGCTGACTTGATGAAGTCTCATTGATTTCTTTAATCTTTAAAGCCTGCATGATAGCAGGTGCAAACTTTGAGTAATGGGCTGTAGATGAGATAATCACAGGGCAAGTTTTGTCTTGCACCCTATCTGCAACCACTTTTGCAACAGCAGTGTGTGGATCCAAAATATACCCTGAAGTATTATAGGTGGAGTTAATAGCTGCTAGGCACTCTCCCTCAGAGCACCAGTCAGCTACAAAATCCTGCTGAAGTTTCTCAACTAGAGCCTTTTCTATCTGGAAATGATGCTGACTTTCTAATCGATTAAATAATTC
The DNA here is from genome assembly GCF_000001405.40 of Homo sapiens. Lineage (NCBI taxonomy): Eukaryota > Metazoa > Chordata > Mammalia > Primates > Hominidae > Homo > Homo sapiens. The sequence continues at coordinate 25,024,987 of NC_000010.11, read as the reverse complement.
TGTCATTAGCTGTCCATCTTTATTAGCCATCAAGTGTAAATGTCGTTCTAGGTTTGAAGATTTGAGAATATCTATTGACGGTGAAAAGGTTTGTGCTAGTTTTCTTTCCCTTAGATCATAATGTCCTGTTTTTATAAAATCAGTCAAAACATGGTTCTGATTAGAGGCACAGATAAATTTTCGAATCGGGATTCCCATCATTTTGGCATACACTGCTGCTAAAATGTTACCAAAGTTTCCTGTGGGAATACAGACATCGACTGGGCTTCCAAAAGAAATAAATCCTTGACTAACAAGATCAAGATATGCGGAAGCATGATAAACTACCTGCGGAAGTAGTCGGCCCCAGTTTATGGAGTTAGCCGAACTTAAGATTGTTCCATATTCCACAGTAAGAAAGCCAGTAAAATCAGAATCATTAAAAATTCTTTTTATAGCTGTCTGGCAAAAATCAAAATCTGACTCAACACCCACTGCCCATCCATTTTCTCTCTGACTGCCAATTATTTGTGCTTTTTGAAAATCACTTACTCCATTCTCAGGAAAAAATGCAACCACAGCTATCCTTTGCTTATCATTCTTATTTAGACGACTAAAACCATTTAAGACTGCACTCCCTGTGTCTCCTGAAGTAGCTACAAGTATCATATAATTGCAACTTGGTGGGATACAGTGTGCAAAAATATGAGGCATAAGCTGTAAAGACAAATCTTTAAATGATCCTGTTGGTCCATGAAACAACTCCAGGATGAACTGGTTGCCTGAAAGGTGCCTGACAGGAGCAATTTTTGAGCAGGCAAAGTTTTCCCCATAAGCAGTTTCAATCATTTCTCCCAACCTGGCAGCAGGTATGTCTGCAGGATGGATACATCTTTCCAACAGTATCTGTGCTCTTTCTACGTAGGTTGCTCCTACTAGGCTTTTCCACTCCCCGCAGCTTAATTTTGGAAACTCCTTTGCAGGAACAAAGAGGCCACCATCAGAAGCCAACCCCTCAATTACAGCTTCACTAAAGAATTTTGCTGAAACCTTCTGTTCACAGTCTTCAGGCCAAACGTGTCTTGTTGAAATGAATGTTTCCGAGTCCACATCTTGGTATCTTTTAATTGCATTCAGCACTTTGTCAGCTACCTCCTCTGGGGAAGCCCCACTTTCACAGAAAACACGAGCATCATACCACTTCTTATAATACTGTCTTCTAAATTTAAGTAAGTCTTTCATAGATGTTCCAGAATTCTGACCTACAATCCTATCTGTCTTCATTAATTTTAGACGACAAATTAGATCTAGTAGAGGTACATCCAGGTATACAATTATTCCATTTTTCTTCAGATGCCACATGCTAGCATCATGCATTGGATTGGACCCAGTAAGGGAAATCACACTTCCAGATGCAGAGAAGTTTAACACAGCTTTTCCTTCCTCTTCTAAAAATTGCTCATTACCAACATCCTGTAATTTTTCAGACACACTCATATTCCAGGTTTTTTCAAGGATATCATCATCCACATCTATGACACAACAACCTAGTTTCTGACCTATTATTCTGCCTACTGTTGTTTTCCCAGCACCAGGAGGTCCCATCAGGATAATATTTTTGTCTCCAACAAGAGAGTGGGTTGAATACCATGACTTCCTCAATTCCGCAAGTGCAAAGGTTCTTGAAAGAAATCGCTGTGCATGTTTATCCGTTTTAACATGTATACTAGAAAAACATTTCTGTGTTATCTTTTTCAGATGATGACATCGGTTAAAGTGGAGCATTCTCTTTTCACTTTTCTGCCCAAGCCAACCTAAAAATTGGCTTTAGCCCTTTTCAAAACACAAAACAAACAAAAAACAACAAAAGATAATTTGGTTACTAATTACAGTAGATTGTTAAAATCCCAATAGGACTGAATATAACCATGCCCATGGTACATAAACTGTTTAAAAATCTTCCAAACTTATGGAATTAAAAAAAGTATTCCAACCCAAATTCTTATATATTGCATATTATCCTTTTAATGATATCTTTTAAAATCTCAAGACACTGAAAAATCAAAACTTTGACAAAATTTGTAACTATAAAAAACAGAAACTTGTATTCACAAAGTGCCAGATTGTAGATGCTTTTAAAAGTATATATACACTAAATCAAATTACTATTTCTTTTCATATTGAGATCTTTTAATGAAAATTATTTCATGGTTTATCAGTTTATATCACATATAAAGATGATTTGGAGTTGGAGTGCTATCTACTTGCAATTCACAAAAGTTGAACAATATTCTTTATATTTAATTTCTCTTCAGTTATATGAACATTGTGACAGACTATATTACTCATAAATTTCTTATAGAAGTCATAACAGGAAACCAGAATAAAAGAACATATTTGCTTATAAAATGCTTAGTTTTCCAAACTACAGGACAAAGGTATGACATTTTCTTTCTTATGTGCCTTTTACACGCATATTAAGAATCATTGTTACATATTATTCATATTGAAGGCTTTAAAAAGAGCCAAGGTGAAAGGTATATTATACAAATAGTTAAGAAAAATTAATAATCAGCAATGAGGTCAAAGGCTACATATAACCTTATCTGCACAGAACCATCACTTTTGTTTCTAACCCTATAATCATCAGTGGAGAGATTTAACTCAATTTCCAGACCCCAGGGCCACAGCCAAGAACCTCAGGAATGTTTCCAATGATGAGAGACAACAATTATTCTGGCATCCAAAGAAGCTCTATAATTTCCCATATTGACCAAGTCCTTGTCTTTGGAAATATACTCACCATTAAAACAAAAATGTATGCCAGACAAGTCAAGTTTTTAGTTACGTAAAATGCAGTATAATACCTGTGCAATGTTCATGTAAATTGCCTGAAGTAATGTCACAGACACATAGTGGGGCTTATCACGTGTTCTCTGGTAGAAGCAATATGCAACTAAACCATATTAAATACTAGATCATATGTTAAAATATGTTCTGAAAACTTTTAATCATGTAATACTGACTTTCTATGCTACTTAAACTCTGTTCTGTAATTAAACATTTAAATGATTTTAAGCTAACTCTGAATTTAACTTACAAGTAAAATTAGAGCCGTCAAGGGAGGTAATTCATTTCCTTATTTGACTTTTCAATTTATATGTGTTGTGCTTAATTTCCACTGACTTGTAAACATAGGACACACCGGAACCAATCTGAAGAGTTTGTTGACTCTGAGGCAAAACCGATCTTTGCAAAACGTGGAGTCTATAATGGAAAAAAATTTAAGTTAATCATAACTGTATAGAGTATCATAAAATTCTACACATAGACTAGTCTATTATTTGAAAAGCTCATCTGAAATTTTAAAAATACAGAAAAATTGACCCTTTTCATATGTTTCCCCAAATCTGTTATTAGAAGATTAAAATACTGTTTTTAAACATGTGTGTCTCATTATAAAAAGAATTTCACTAAACAGTACTGAAGGAATTTCTACCATCAAGCAATAAAAAACCAAATAATAACAAATATAAAACTTTTCAGAAGGATATCTGGAATTTTAATGATTTGGCTGTATAATGATCAGAGGGGAAAAAGTCAGCAGACTAAAGCTATGAAATTAGTGTCTGAGTTGTTTTTTAGGCTATATTATCTATCAAAATCACTATATATTCATATGTAATAATATCCACTATAAAAAGCCCAAATAAAACTCTTGCCACAAAAAGATACCTCTTAGCTATATAAGTGTCTATAATAAAATCAAAGCACATATCATAGTGGTTAGCACAAAATATTTACAGTAAGATTAATCATTGTCACTCACTGACAGTGGGCTAGGAATATATAAATTGAACCCAAATATGTAGGTACAAGGCAGGGTGCATTTTTTTTATGGTTTGGTTTATAAACCTTCAGAGAATACCGTGGTGTTCACCCACGAATCAAGAACTGTTTTGCCATGCACAGTCTAATCCTTTCCCTGAAGTAAACCAGGGACCAGAAAGAATTATATACTTGAACCATAACATCAATTTATTTTATTAAACCATATTCTGGTACTGGACTTTAAAAGCACAAACTGCTTTTAGGGCACTTACATAAAACAGTCTGATTAACCTCCTATTCAGGAAGCTTTTGCTTGTAACATTACAGTTTCTTCTTTTTGAGTTTGCAATACATAACTTTCTGATACCTGTATTAGTAATAATTGTATATAATCTGAGTAGATGGTTTTCATGAGCAGTAATTTTTTTTTTTTTTTTGAGAAAGGGTCTTCCACTGTCACCCAGGCTGGAGTGCAGTGGCATGATCTCAGCTCACTGCAGCCTCAACCTCCTGGGCTCAGGTGATCCTCCCACCAGGTGTGCATCACCACACCCAGCTAATTTTTGTAGGTTTTCTAGAGACAGGGTTTCACCATGTTGCCCAGACTGATCTCGAACTCCTGAACTCAAGCAATCCTCCCACTTTGGCCTCCCAAAGTGCTGGGATTAGAGGCATGAACCACCATACTGGCCCAGTAAATCTTTCATCTTTTCTTCCGCTTTATATTGCTTGCTACCATGCTTAACATCAACTTCATTAAAAGTAGATTGTAAGGAAACATTATGTTACCTTCACCTTATGTTTTGCAATCTTACTTTTCCTATATGTTAGTTCCCCTCTACCCTCTTGTTTTTAAATTTTACTTCACTTCCCTTTTTCAAGACTTTGGGGTAGATATATATAGATATAGATATAGATATAGATATAGATATAGATATATTTTAAAGAAAATTATGACAGTTCAATTTGTAAATTCTGTATCAATATTATTTCCCACAAACATGTTCCTTAGACTAGCAGAAGGCAGTTAAGTGCTATAATATATATTATTTCTAAAGAACAATAAAGATATATTCTATTTTAAGCTACATACTAAATTTTATTTTGTAACATTTAACCACAAATTGATTTTAGGGGCTCAACATTTTTTAACCAACCAAATGAGGAAAAGACATCCTCATTTCTTTTTTGAGAACGTCTGCTGCAATGGCCACTCGGGAATATACATAGAAGGCATATATATGGACTTCACCAAAGCATTACACATGGTTCATTTAAAATTTTTTTAATTCACGGAGAAATGGAAAAAAAAGATTTGAGGATATTGTTGAATGATCATAAAAATGGTTCTGTTGAATAGAGGGAAATTTCTGGTAGTGCACTCCAAGGCTTTTGGTCTTGACACTCTTCTCTTTCATGTGTTTAACAATTATTTGGATTAAGCATTGAGAGGGATATTGGATAATTAGCAGTTAATAGGACTGACTTTAGAGTGAGAAAAATCTGCAGATGTGCAAGTCCTTTATATAAAATGGTGTAGTATTTGCATATAACCTGTGCACATCCTCCTGTATACCTTAATCTCTGAATAACTTATAATACATAATACAATGCAAATGCTAGGTACAGAGCTGTTGTACTAATTTGCTTTTTTGTTTGTGGTATTTTTACTGTTCCATTATTTTCGTGTTTTTGTTTGTTTTTCAGACAGGCTCCCACTCTGTTGCCCAGGCAGGAGTGCAGTGGCACAATCTTGGCTCACTACAGCCTTGACTTCCTAGGCTCAAGCAATCCTCCCACCTCAGCCTCCCAAGTAGCTGGGACTAAAGGCACGCACCACCACACCCAGCTAATTTTAGTATTTTTAGTAGAGAGGGGGTTTCGCCATGTTGCCCAGGCTGGTCTCCAACTCCTGGGCTCAAGCAGTCTTCCTGCCTTGGCCTTCAAAAAGTGCTTGGATTGCAGGTATGAGCCACTGTGCCCAACTAAAATTTTAAAATATTTTCAATCTGTAATTAGTTGAATCTGAGAATGGGAAATTCACAGATATGGAGAACTAACTGTGTATCAGGACACAAACTAGCCAAAAGGAGGTTAAGCTCTACTGCTTCTGACTTCTGACCAAAAATTCTCTCAAACTTTTCATTCAGAGGGCCTCCCACTTGCCATGAAACAGAGGTGAGGGTGGAAGGACCACACAATCCAGTATAGTTCTGTAATCACAAGGATCTCACAACTAAAACAATTTTGCAAGTTCATCACTTAGTCTTTATATTACTATCAAAGCTGACTAAGCTTTTTCTGCCGTTAGACTTCTGCTGTTAGACATATTCTTAACGATCTCGAATATTTAATTGAAAACTTTAGTATCCACAATTCTATAACTTTGAGAATTATAAAGAACCTGTCTTTATAAAGGGTTTATTTACCTTCCAATTGTCTTATATACTCATCTACACCCATTTTATTCATTTAAATAGATTAAAATAATCCTTCGCAAAAAAAAAAAAAAAAAAAACAACTCTCATTTGTTTATGTACATCACAGGCATACCATTATATACGGGGATCTAGGATCTGTGCAAACTACAATCCACAGGCTAAATCTGGCCCACCATCATTTTCATAAATCAAGTTTCTTTGAAGCACAACTTCAGTCATTCATGTGCTCACATATTTGTTCAGTACCGTCTTTGGCTGCTTTTGAGCTACAATGGCAAAACTGAGTAGTTGCAACATAACCACTTGGCCTAAAAAGGCCTGAAATATTTACTGTCTACCCCTTTATAGACAGTTTGTTCATCCCTGTAGGTATATACCAGTTAATTCCCTGTGGACATGCGGTGGACACAGGCATTTTTTTGAAGTGTCATTTCAAGAGCATTATAAAAACTAGAAATAATTTTGCTTAAACACACTTTCAAAAGGCAAGGAGAATTGCAGATCAAATGTCTAAGAAAAAAGAAAAGTTTTTTTCCAAATGATTTAACAACCTGCTCATGGCTGTAAACTAACTATACCACAGTGAGGTCTTGCACAAATTGTTTAGCATTTTTTAAAGCATAATAAATATACAGACATCAGTGAAATTATTTTATTTCAGTAACCCCAGAACATCAAGGCTACCAAAGGCCAGTTGGTGCTAACTGCAGAAATCATGTTTTGCCCTTACTTGCTATTTCAGGAACTGATTAACACAAATAGTCTCAAGGTGTTCCTTCTAATTAGAAAATTCATAAGCTTTAGCCAGTGACTATCCACTTGGCTAATGGCGTTATCATTCCATGAGTCCTTGGTTCGAATCTTCGTACATACAGGAGGTTTCCCGCCAAATTTTTTCTCTATACTTGCTAAACAGAAATCCCAAACATAAAATACTCAAGGGCGAAAAGAAAGGGGCAAAGTGATATAGATTTGGATCTAGATCTAAATATAGATCTACAGATCCATCTATCTAAAATGTTTTGGAAGACAATCTGATGTGAAGAAATCTGGAGAATTTTCCCTAAGCGTCTGGGACAAAAATTAAAATCAACTGTATACAAAAAAAAAAAAAAGAAAAACTTAACGTATTCTTATGTAGTGAAATTCAGTAAGAGCCCAAAGTAAGGACCTACACATTCAGTAAAGCCTTTTTATACAGGAACTAAAAGGTTCACCAGGCCATTGTGTTGTTTTAATCACTCCGCCAGCCAACCAGGCAGTGAGAAACCCAGACTCAAGTGTGTTTTCTCTCCTCTCCGGGAAGCTTTATTTCCTTCGGGCAGAGTGGCCTCTGTACCGGTGGTTCAGAGGCATCCATCTTCCTCCCCAAATCCTATTACCAAAATGTCTTTTAAACACTCGGGTAAAAGCGTCTAAATGACTTTCCTACGGCAGGCCCATGTGCATAGATTTACGGGTGACCAGGTGGAACAAAAAGGAATAAAACCGCTTCTCAGAAGACAATTTTCCAACAAGGGACACCAAAAACTGGACAAAAACGTAAAGGCCCACTTAAAAGGCTTCTCCTCTTAGTTTAGGCTGCTCATTTACAAAGAGCAGGTCCACTGGTTCCTGGAGAACGACCTAGAGGAAGAGTCCCGACCCGGGGAAGAGCAGGCGCAGAGCCGACCCGGAGGACCGCCCAAGGGGCGGTCCCGGGAGCAGGGGCGGGAGGGCGAGCGCAGCAGGCGGAGGAGGCCGCGGGCCCCGTGCGCGCACTCACACACGTGGCGGGCAGGGCTGCGCGGCGTTCCGAGGAGCCTCGACCAGAAGCAGCAGGAAAAATGCGCGCAGAGTTGAGATGACCAGCGAGTAGCGGAAAGGGGAAGGGACGGTACGGGGAAAGGCATGCGATGGGAGCGGGCTGGCTTCTAGTTTTCCTTCCTTTCTCCTCCAATAACTCACCAAGGAAATCTCACTGAGAAGACGGGGGAAATGAAAGGAAATGGGGGAGCAGTGTCCACGAGCCGCTAAAGCCTCCACAGGAGACGGAGCACCGTACCTGCAGCTAGCTCCCCGGTCCCGCCCCCGCGCAGTGGACTCTGCGCCTGTGCCTGCGGCGGCCAGCGTGCCTCCGCTCCACGCCCTTCCCCGAGCGGCCTCGCGCAGGGCACGTGACTCTCCTTTCTCACTGTAGCCTATCCGAGCACTCCGATCTCCTCAGGCTCCTCCCCTCCCTCGTCTCCCTGGCGGCGCTGGCCTTGCGTCCTCGTGGTCTCAGCCGCTCGCTCCGCCCACACCGCGATTGGGGCCTGCTCACAAAAACCTTATTGGGTGACGCCTGCGCACCAGCTGCGCTTTGCCGTCTCTACTAGGATTTTTCTTTTTTCCCCAGATACACAGAAATAGAAAAGAGCACAGTTTTTAAGGGGACATCATTTTCACCCCGTTAACTTTCAAAGGCACGTAAAAACAGTGGCTTCCAAATGAGCTTCTCTAGCAGAAGGCGCTGCAGAAAGAGGGAAGAGGGGAGACCTAGTTTGCGGTGCTGCCTGCCACTTCCTCGTTGCCTAGTAACGGTTTCCACGGCAACCGCACAGTCAACGACGCTTAGCAATCCGGAGAGAAATAGGGTGTTTTCTTCCCGAGAGAGGACTGCTAAGAGGGGGTTAAAGGGGGACGATGTGAAGGAGAGAACCTGTGGTCCTTCAGAAGGCGAAGAAGAAAGAAAGGGGAAGCAGTGAAGAAAGGGACGGAGATACTGGGACAGGGAGAAAAAAGTTGTGGAGAGTAGCTTTTAAGGAGTCATTTGGTGGCCATGGATCCAACGTGCTCTTCTGAGTGCATTTATAACCTCATACCCAGTGACTTGAAGGAGCCTCCCCAGCCTCCTAGGTATGTGGATAAGCAAAGACTATCACTTGAAACAAGAATGGGGAATACTCAGTATTAATTAAGCATACATATACTGGAATTTTTAATAATAAATAAAATGTATTTTTGCCTCGATGAAGTAGCCTTGGAGGATAACTTGTTAGAGAAAAGGTCGAAATATCTAGGTATTCAGCATCTCACAGTTTTACAGAGAGGGCAGTCTGGCGCTGTGAGATGACCATTTTATTATATTACACTTAACCTCTTATTAATACGGTATGTGATTATTGTGTAATTTAATTATATGTGATATACAGCATAGTATGAAGTTTCATGTTGAAAAGAAAAAAATCACAATTCTATTATCTTGTTTAAGGATACTTGATGTTTGGTTTCAGGAGTTCGGTGTTGTATTTCTAACTGCACTACTCCCTCTCTAATGGGATAGGATAGGACTTTTCCCCCAAGATTTTTATGAAATATAAATTTACATTTGCTTTTGAGCCTCAGGTTTTTGATCAGTGAAACGAAATATCTACCACTATTAGGCAGTTTCTAAGGACTTTTTCAGATCTAATGGTTTAAATGGAAGGAAGAATTGGTGGATAGATAATGAACCAAAAAATATGTAATTGAGTTGAAATTTTACATAGGTCTTAGAACCTCTTAAATTCTCCAAATCTCAAAAACGTGCAAAGGAAGCACTTCAGTTACTCCCATCTGTAGGGACTTCTTAGAACTTACTTAAATCTGTGGGGAGCAAAGAAAGTAGTGGAGAAAATCTCATTTCTCCTAGGACTTGAAATGTTTCCTGTCTTTTACCATCATCCTTGTCCGTATGCAAGTCAAAACCACATTTGAAAAGGACTGGACTAAAAATCGGGCCTAGCAATTAATTGTCTTTGTGAACTTTAGAATAAAGTTTCATTTGTTTACTGATCTGTGAGATAAATGTACCAGATAATATCCAAGGCCCCTTTTAGATCTAATGGTCAATTATTTTTACTAGTATTAGGGTAATAGCTTCAACAAGTAGGCAGCTTCTTCAATTTTAAGTATCTGGTTTAAATTAGAGCAGTAACTGTATTACATCTCCATTAGCATATCAACATCTAGAGACTGGAAAGAGGAATGTAAAGTAAGTTATGGCACAGTTGCAGAATTTATTTTCAAATTTTCTATTGTTGCACCAACTTTTGGTTTCAAATTCCTGCATATTACATGAGATAAAACTCCTCTATAACAGATTGGTAGATTGTATTTCTATAGAATATTGAATTTGAGAGTTATTTTATTAGGTAGGTATTCTGTTCTTTGGCAAATTAAAAAGCTTTACTGCATCTAGACGATTTTTTTTTTCAAAAAAAATTTATAGGAACAGTCTTTATTCATTTGGCAAGCATTAATGGAGCCCCTATTATGTGTATAATATTGCACTAGTATATCTGTTCTTGGTGCTGTTGGAGTGATAGCACAGACTTCTTGGTTTTACTATGAAGAAATGAGTAGAAGAAAGATTTATGATTAGAGGAAATAGAGGCACCCAAATGTGATGCCAAAAGAATCATTTCTGTTAGGTTAAAGTCAATTTACACTGGCAAGATTCTGACAACTGCCTGGCTTTTGATCTCCCACGCCTCAGAGTTTACCGTCTTTTTGGGGAACTGAAATATGAACACTAAAATTTATCATTGAAAACCATAATGAGAGATGAAGATACTAAATGAGAACTTAGAAGATGAATGTATGTGACCAAAATCGGATGAAAGGCACTTTTCTGCAGTTGAACTATTGGCTGAGACTTAAGTTATGAAAGCCTCAGAGTCAATGGGAAGTCATGATTCAGTTTTCAAAATTTGAGTTACTCATGATGCATAAGATGGTTTCCAAGATTTTCACCAAATCTGTCACCCTTTTTTTTTTAATTACTTTTTTTTCAAGACGGAGTTTCACTCTTTTTGCCCAGGCTGGAGTGCAATGGCGCCATCTTGGCTCACTGCAGCTTCTGCCTCCTGGGTTCAAGCGATTCTCCTGCCTCAGCCTCCCGAGTAGCTGGGATTACAGGTCCCTGCTACCATGCCTGGCTAATTTTGTATTTTTAGTAGGGATGGGGTTTCACCATGGTGGCCAGGCTGGTCTTGACCTCCTGACCTCCAGTAATCCACCCACCTCTGCCTCCCAAAGTGCTATGATTATAGGCGTGAGCCACCACGCCTGGCCTATCACCCTTTATTGATGTCTGCAGTTATTGAATATCTCCAGTCATCCCCTCTTTCCATTTTGTTTAAAGCAATATTCCAGTTATGGTCTGAACAGTCCATGAAACCATTATCTCCTTTCCATAATTCTTGGCACAATATTTTCATCCATTCAGCCTAAGCTTCCATAAGCATTTTGACAGTCATGTCCAACTATTGGCTCACACTAAAATACCCTGTATGGATTTTGACTAAGGTTGGTCTCTCCCATCCTCTAATTATGTAGCTGATTCTTTTTTATCTCAACTCATTAATCTATGGAGATAGTTTTGCATTTGAATCTTTTATACATTCTGTTAACCATTCTTTTTGTGTCATTTGCAAATTTAATAAATATGTCTTTTATATCTCTTATCTATCATAGAACATAGTATATTAGTCTGTTCTCACGCTGCTAATAAAGACATACTCGAGACTGGGTAATTTATATTTCAAAAGAAGTTTAATTGACTCACAGTTTCACATGGCTGAGGAAGCCTTACAATCATGGCAGAAGGCAAAGGCGGAGCAAAGTCACATCTTACATGGTGGCAGGAAAGAGAGTGTGTGCAGGGGAACTCCCCTTTATAAAACCATCAGATCTCATGAGACTTATTCACTATCATGAGAGCAGCACAGGAAAGACCCACTCCCATGATTCAATTACCTATCACCAGATCCCTCCCATGACATATGGGAATTATGGGATCTCATCAATTTAATGTGAGATTTGCGTGGGGATGCAGCCAAACCATATCATTCTACCCCAGCCCCTCCCAGATCTCATGTCCTCACATTTCAAAACCAATCATACCTTCCCAACAGTCCCCCAAAGTCTTAACTCATTTCAGCATTAACTCAGAAGTCCACAGTTCAAAGTCTCATTTGAGACCAGGCAAGTCCCTTCTGCCTACAAGCATATAAAATCAAAAGCAAGTTAGGTACTTCCCAGATACAATGGGGGTCCAGGCATTGGGTAAATATAACCATTCGAAATAGCAGAAATTGGCCAAAACAAAGGGGCTATAGGCCCCTTGCAAGTCCAGATTCTAATAGGGCAGTCATTAAACCTTAAAGTTCCAAAATGATCTCCTTTGACTCCATGTCTCACATCCAGGTCACGCTGATGCAAGAGGTGGGATCCTATGGTCTTGGGCAGCTCTGTCCCTGTGACCTGGCACAGTACAGCCCCCATTCCGGCTGCTTTCATGGGTGGGCATTGAGTGTCTGCAGCTTTTCTGGGTGCATGGTGCATGCTCTCAGTGGATTTACCATTCTGAGGTCTGGAGAACAGTGGCCCTCTTCTCACAGCTCCACTAGGCAGTGCCCCAGTGGGAATTCTGTGTGGGGGGCTCCCACCCCATATTTCCCTTCCACACTGCCCTAGCAGAGGTTCTCCATGAGGGCTCTGCCCCGAAGCACATCTTTGCCTAGACATCCAGACATTTTGATACAACCTTTGAAATCTAGGTGGAGGTTCCCAAACCTCAATTCTTGACTTCTGTGCACCCGTAGTCCCAACACCATGTGGAAGCCACCAAGGCTTGGGGCTCGCACCCTCTGAAGCAATGGCCTGAGCTCTACGTTGTCCCCTTTTAGCCATGGCTGTGACTCAGGGCACCAAGTCCCAAGATTGCACAAAGCAGCAAGGCCCTGGGCCCAGCCCATGAAACCATTTTTTCTCCTAGGTCTCTGGGCCTGTGATGGGAGGGGCTGCTGTGGAGACCTCTGACAGGCTCTGGAGACATTTTCCCCATTGTTTTGGCTATTAACATTTGGCTTCTCCTTATGCAAATTTCTGCAGCTGGCTTGAATTTCTCCTCAGAAAATTGGTTTTTCTTTTCTATTGCATCATCGGGCTGCAAATTTTCTGAACTTTTATGCTCTGCTTCCTTTTAAACATAAGTTGCCATTTGTCAATTTTGGCTTTTGTTGCCATTGCTTTTGGTGTTTTAGACATGAAAACCTTGCCCATGCCTATATCCTGAATGGTAATGCCTAGGTTTTCTTCTAGGGTCTTTATGGTTGCAGGTCTAACGTTTAAGTCTTTAATCCATCTTGAATTAATTTTTGTATAAGGTGTAAGGAAGGGTTCCACTTTCAGCTTTCTACATATGGCTAGCCAGTTTTCCCAGCACCATTTATTAAATAGGGAATCCTTTCCCTATTGCTTGTTTTTCTCAGGTTTGTATCTAATTAAACTAGAGCTTCTGCACAGCAAAAGAAACTACCATCAGAGTGAATAGGCAACCTACAGAATGGGAGAAAATTTTTGCAACCTACTCATCTGACAAAGGGCTAATATCCAGAATCTACAATGAACTCAAACAAATGTACAAGAAAAAAACAAACAACCCCATCAAAAAGTGGGCAAAGGACATGAACAGACACTTCTCAAAAGAAGACATTTATGCAGCCAAAAGACAGATGAAAAAATGGTCATCATCACTGGCCATCAGAGAAATGCAAATCAAAACCACAGTGAGATACCATCTCACACCAGTTAGAATGGCAATCATTAAAAAGTCAGGAAACAACAGGTGCTGGAGAGGATGTGGAGAAATAGGAACACTTTTACACTGTTGGTGGGACTGTAAACTAGTTCAACCATTGTGGAAGTCAGTGTGGCGATTCCTCAGGGATCTAGAACTAGAAATACCATTTGACCCAGCCATCCCATTACTGGGTATATACCCAAAGGACCATAAATCATGCTGCTATAAAGACACATGCACACGTATGTTTATTGTGGCACTATTCACAATAGCAAAGACTTGGAACCAACCCAAATGTCCAACAATGATAGACTGGACTAAGAAAATGTGGCACATATACACCATGGAATACTATGCAGCCATAAAAAATGATGAGTTCATGTCCTTTGTAGGGACATGGATGAAATTGGAAATCGTCATTCTCAGTAAACTATCACAAGGACAAAAAACCAAACACCGCATGTTCTCACTCATAGATGGGAATTGAACAATGAGAACACATGGACACAGGAAGGGGAACATCACACTCTGGGGACTGTTGTGGGGTGGGGGTAGGGGGGAGGGATAGCATTAGGAGATATACCTAATGCTAAATGACGAGTTAATGGGTGCAGCACACCAGCATGGCACATGTATACATATGTAACTAACCTGCACATTGTGCACATGTACCCTAAAACTTAAAGTATAATAATAATAATAAAAAAAATGAGTTCCAATTCCAAACCATATCTTTGTGAATACATAAAACTGAATGCTTTTAACACTACTCAAGTCACCTCTTGAATGTTTTGCCGCTTAGAAATTTCTTCCATCAGATGCCCGGAATCATCTCTCTCAAATTCGAAGTTCCACAAATCTTTAGGGCAGGGGCAAAATGCCACCAGTCTCTTTGCTAAAACATAGCAAGAGTCACCTTTATTCCAGTTCTCAACAAGTTCCTCATCTCCGTCTGAAACCACCTCAACCTGGACTTTATTGTCTTTATTGCTATCAACATTCTGGTCAAACCCATTCAACAAGTCTCTAGGAAGCTCCAAACTTTCCCACATCTTTCTGTCCCCTTCTGAGCCCTCCAAACTGTTCCAACCTCTGCCTGTTACCCAGTTCCAAAGTCGCTTTCACATTTTTGGGTATCTTTATAGCAG